>NC_000002.12:126864618-127489618 GCF_000001405.40 Homo sapiens
ACCTTTAGAGATACATTCCCATGTAATAAAACTATAAAACAACAAAAACTACCCCAAAAAGTAAAGGATTGATAAGTTCAATTTCAAGAGAGTGATTGCAATTGAGAAGGATGTACTCTGGAGACCTCAGAGTTACTGGTAATGTTCTATTGCTCAAGCTGCAGGGTGGATACACAGGTGTTCACAGAGTTATTGTTACTGTTCAAATCACACATGCAGATATTACTATATATTTATTCATATGCTTGAAATATATTGTCTAATAAAAAATTAAGGGGTGTGGATGAAATGGCAGAAGGCATGGTTAGCTTCTTCAGAGATGTTTCAGATGAGGTCAGAGCCCCTCAAAAAGTTACGCCATGTAAAAGCAGGCTGATCCTCCACCCAGCAAAGGCCCAAGGACTGCCCTTGCACAGGATCATCCAGTCTGCTAGGGGGCGCTCCTCGGGAAGCCAAGAAATGCCTGAAGCTAAAGGAAAAGGGAAGGGACTGTCTTCCAGTGTCTGCTGCCTCTGACCCTCCTCCACTGAGCTAGGATTGTGGACTATGTGTCAGGCAGTTAATCCTACAGGTGAGGCTTCATCATACCCATTTTACAAATGAGGAAACAGGCTTACAGAGTTGATATTGCATGCCCAGGATTACACAACTACTAAAAAGCGTAGACCCTAACTCTAGCCTGTCTGATGGCAAAACTTGACCTGTTTTCCATACTCCAGGCTCCCTGCTGAGTGTCCGCATTCACCAACCCCCTGCCCCAGCTACCACAGAAATGCCTTTGGAGACACAAATGGACAAAAACACCCATTCCTCTCAGGCTGCTTCACATAAGCTCAAATTAAAAAGAAAAATTTTAATTCACCCAGCCCAGCTGCCAGGCCACTAGCATAGTTGGGCAGTGTATTCGTTTATTTTCATGCTGCTAATAAAGACTTATCCAAAACTGGAAACAAAAAGAGGATTAATTGGACTTACAGTTCCACATGGCTGGGGAGGCCTCAGAATCATGGCGGGAGGTGAAAGGCACTTCTTACATGGTGGCGGCAAGAGAAAGATGAGGAAGAAGCAAAAGCGGAAACCCCTGATAAGCCCATGAGATCTCCTGAGACTTACTCACTATCATGAGAATAGCACAGAAAAAACCAGCCCCCATGATTCAATTACCTCTCTCTGGCTTCCTCCCAAAACATGTGGGAATTCTGGGAGATACAATTCAAGTTGAGATTTGGGTGGGGACCCAGCCAAACCATATCATTCCACCCCAGCACCTCCAAATCTCATGTCCTCACATTTCAAAACCAATCATGCCTTCCCAACCATCCCCCAAAGTCTTAACTCATTTCAGCATTAACCCAAAAGTCCACAGTCCAAAGTCTCATCTGAGACAAGGCAAGTCCCTTCCACCTATGAGCCTATAAAATCAAAAGCAAGCTACTTACTTCTAGATACAATGGGGGGGTACAGGTAATGGGTAGATATAGCCATTCTAAATGGGAGAAATTGGCCAAAACGAAGGCGTTACAGGGCCCATGCAAGTTTGAAATCCAGCAGGGCAATCAAATTTTAAAGCTCCAAAATGATCTCCCTTGACTCCAGGTCTCACATCCAGGTCACTCTGATGCAAAAGGTGGGTTCCCATGATCTTGAACAGCTCCGACCCTGTGGCTTTGCAGGGTACAGCCTCCCTCCTGGCTGCTTTCACAGGCTGGCATTGAGTGTCTGCAGCTTTTTCAGGTGCAGAGTGCAAGCTGCCAGCAGATCTACATTCTGGGGTCTGGAGGATGGTGGCCCTCTTCTCACAGCTCCACTAGGCAGTGCCCAGTAGGAACTCTATGTCGGGGATCCAACCCCACATCTCCCTTTCACACTGACCTAGCAGAGTTTTTCCATGAGAATCCCATCCCTGCAGCAAACTTTTGCCTGGGCATCCAGGCATTTCCATACATCTTCTGGCATTTTCATACATCTGCTGAAATCTAGATGGAGGATCCCAAACCTCAGTTCTTGACTTCTGTGCACCCGCAGGCTCAACACCACGTGGAAGCTGCCAAGGCGTAGGGCTTCCACTCTCTGAAGCTACAGCCCAAGCTTTACTTTGGCCCTTTTCAGCCATGGATGGAGTCACTGGGAGATGGGGCACCAAGTCCCTAGGATGCACACAACATGGGGACTCTGGGCCCAGCCCACAGAACCACTTTTTCCTTGTGGGCCTCCAGGCCTGTGATAGGAGGGGCTGCTGTGAAGGTCTCCGACATGGCCCGGAGACATTTTCCCTGTGGTCTTGGGGATTACCATTAGGCAGTTTTAGACATGTTCAGTTTGAGATGTCTATGAGACATCCAAGAAGAGATGTGATGTATGCAGTTATTGAATCTAGAAAAAAATAGACTTCAAGAGAGAAGTCCGGACTGAATTACAAAATACTCTACAGATGCCATCTCAGAGTATTTTAAGTTCACGAAACTGAATGAACTCACCCAGGAGGAAAGTATAAATAGGGCAGAGAAGAAAGGAGCGCTGGGATCATCTGGCATTAAGAGTTACGGAGAGAAAAGGAGGAAACAATATAAGACCAAGTTGATACAACAGCAATTCAACTGCTACACACATACATACATACACCTTGTAAAGTTCAACAACCTCGAGAGATAGATAACATAATCTAGAGTCTTTGCAAGATATTCACAATATCCATCATACAATTAAAAATACACTAGTTATTCAAAGAAGCATAAAAATGTATCTACAATTGAGAGGAAAAGCATGAATAATGTTGATCATCCAAATTTTGGAATTAGAAGACAACGACTTTTTTTAACTATTGTAAATATATTAAAGAGTTAAGAGGAAAAAAATGTATAGAATGGGTGAACGAACATATGAAGGATTTCAAAGGAGGAATTTAAACTACAAAAAGAGAACCAAATCAAAACTCTAGAACTGAAAAACACAATACACAAATGAAAAATTTATTAGATGAGTTTAGCGTCAGACTTAACACAAAGAAACAAAATCAGTGGATTTAAGGCATATTGACAGAAATTATCTAACTAAAACACAAACAGAGAATTTTTGTGTGTCCCATACATATGGAGCAATATCAAAGAAGGAGAGAGTGGGAGGGTAGAAGAAATACTTGAGGAGAAAATAACCAAAATTTTTCTGAAAATTGATGAAATATCTAAACCCAGACATCCCAAAGCAGTATAAATACAAAGACGACCACTCCTAACATGTCATAGGCAACGTGCTGAAAATAAAAACCAAAGAAAAATCTTTAAGCTATCCAGAGCCAAAGGACACTTTATATCTAGAAAAACAACCACATTTCAAGCAGGAAAAAAAAAAGGAACCGAGAAGACAAGCATACAATCTCTAAGTGCCAAAAGGGGAAAAAAGCAAACTCGGAGTTCTATGTCAGGTGAAAAACACTTTAAAAAAATCAAAGCTAAAAAAAAACATTTTCACGCAAATATAAAAAATGAGAAAATGTATTGCCAGCAGACAAGTACTACAAAAAAGTGTTAAAGGAAGTCCATCAGACTGAACAGAAAAGATGCCAGATGAAAACCCAGACATGCAGGAAGAAATAAAAAGCACCAGAAATGCTAAATATGACTGTAAATATAAAAGAATACTGTTTTTAATTAATTTCTAAAAATTATTGTCTGTTTATAGTAAAAGTACTAAAAATATAAATATATAGAATATATAATAGATGTAGAAGTAAAATATAAGGCAGTCATAGCCAAAAAGGCTGGAGGAAAGGAAAATTACTTTATACATTAAACAATATAATAACCTATGGTAGATTATGATATTTTTGCTTAAGGTAGCAAAAATAATACTGATAATACAGAAAAGCGTAACTAAATAGTCAACAGAGAAAATAAGATGGAATTTTTTTTTTAATTTCTTTAAATGCTAGATTACTCCAAAAGAAGGCAGGAATAAAGGAACAAAAGAACAGACACAAATGATCAAATATAAAACAAATAGCAAGATGATAGCCTTAAATCCAACAATTTCAATAATTAAATGGAAATTAACTAAGCACTTAAAAGACAAAAATTGTCAAACCGGATTTTTTTAAAAACAATCTATAATTCTATGCTATTTACAAAAGACAGAGTTTAAATCTAGCCAACAATATAAGTCAAAAGAAAAGGTTAGAGAAATATACACTTTGTAGAAACTAATAACAAGAAAGCTTCTGTGACTAAAATAATAACAGCTATGGCAGACTTCAAGACATTGCCGGGGATTCAGAGGAATGTCTCACAACAATGAAAGGATTAATCAATCAGGAGCATATGACAGCCCTAATGTGGATGCGTCTGATGACAAGCCTTTAAAATATACGAAGCAAAATTTAACAGATTAAACAGGAGAAATAGACAAATTCACAGCTAGAATTGGCGATCTTAACACTCCATAATTGGTAGAAAAATCAGACTTTTAAAAATCAGTACAATAGCAATGAATGAAACAACAAAATTAACGAATTTGGCCCAATTGATGCATGTAGAACACAGAATGCACATTCCTTTTAAGTGCACATAGGCCAGGTGCGGTGGCTCACGCCTGTAATCCCAGCACTTTGGGAAGCCAAGGCAAGCGGATCACCTGAGGTTGGGAGTTTGAGACCAGCCTGACCAACATGGAGAAACCCCGTCTCTACTAAGAATACAAAATTAGCCAGGCGTGGTGGCACATGCCTGTCATCCCAGCTACTTGGGAGGCTGAGGTAGAAGAATCTCTTGAACCCAGGAGGCGGAGGTTGCGGTGAGCCAAGATAGGGCCATTGCACTCCAGCCTGGGCAACAAGAGCAAAACTCCATCTAAAAAAATAAAAATAAATAAAAAAACATGAAGCAAAATTTAACAGATTAAACAGGAGAAATGGACAAATTCACAGCTAGAGTTGGAGATCTTAACACTCCATAATTGGCAGAAAAACAGATTTTTAAAAATCAGTACAATATCAATGAATGAAACAACAAAATTAACGAATTTGGCCCAGTCGATGCATGTGGAACACAGAATGCACACTCCTTTTAAATGCACATGGAACATTAACCAAAATAACCCATATGCTGGTGCATAAAACATGCCTCAAAGGATTGAAATCTTACAAGGGAGGCTTTCATGCTCTCTGGAATTAAATTTAAAAAATAAACAAATAATTATTTTAAAAATTAACTAGGAAAAAAGTCCCTCCAAATATCAGGGCAGAGAAAAACTCAAAAGGAAATCATTCACTGTTCTTATCTGAAAAACACAACAAATCAAAATGTGTAGAAAATAGCTGAAGCACTGCTTACCAGGAAATTTATAGTTTTAATTTTACATATAAGGAAACAAGAAAGTTTTAAGTCAGCAGATTAAGCTTCCACCTCAGAACCACGCAAAAGTAAAACAGAATAACTCTAAAGCAAAAAGAGAAATAAAGAAATAATGAATATTACAGAGTTTAAAAACATCACAGGAAGGCTGGGCAGGGTGGCTCACGCCTGTAATCCCAGCACTTTGGGAGGCCAAGACGGTTGGATCACTTGAGGTCAGGAGTTGAAGACCAGCCTGGCCAACATGGCAAAACCCCGTCTCTACTAAAAATACAAAAATTAGCTGGGCTTGGTGGCACATGCCTATAATCCCAACTATTCAGGAAGCTGAAGCAGCAGAATCACTTGAACTTGAGAGGCAGAGGTTGCAGTGAGCCCAGACTGCACCACTGCACTCCAGCCTGGGCAATAGAGCAAGACTCTGTCCCAAAAAAAAAAAAAAAAAAAAAAAAGTCACTGAAATAGAAAATACACTAGCCATGAAGAAAATCAGCAAAGCAAAAAATCAATTATTTCAAAAGATTAATAAAATAACAAGAATGATCCAGAAAACAAAAGAAAATAAGGTAGAAACTACCAATATCAAGAATGAAATGAAATTAGAAATGTTCTGCAGACATTAAAAGGATAATAATAAAATATTACGAAGAACTTTATGTCAAGAAATTTATTAACTTAGATGATGGAACAGTTCCTTTAAAAATGCAACTTCCCAAACCTGTCACAAGAAGAAGTAAGAATCTCAAGAACTTTCTATTTTTTAAATAGAAGCCATAAATTAAAATAGTCTCACTTTAAAAATTAACAAAAAACCCACACAAAGCAAACAAGTCTCCAGACTCAGATGGCTTTATTAGTGAATTCTACCAAATATTGCAAAAAAAAAAACTTATACAAACTCTATCAGAGAACAAAAAAGGAAACACTCTCAACTCATTTTATGAGACTAACAATCCTAATACAAAACTTTGACAATAGTAGTACAGTAAAAAAATTGCAGATTAATCTAAATAGAGATGCAAAAAATCGTTAACAAAATATTAGCAAATTGAATCCAGAAACAGATGAAAAACAAATGTATGGGGTATATCATAGTAATGCAAGGTTTGCTCAACATTAAAAATTAATAAATGTTGGGTACAATAAAAAGAAGGAATGAATAAGACCTGCTATTTGATAGCACAACAGGGTGACCATAGTCAATAATAACTTAATTGTACATTTTAAAATAACTAAAAGAGTGTAATTTGGCCAGACGCGGTGGCTCACGCCTGTAATCCCAGAACTTTGGGAGGCCGAGGTGGGCGGATCATGAGGTCAGGAGATCGAGACCATCCTGGCTAACACAGTGAAACCCCATCTCTACTAAAAACACAAAAATTAGCCAGGCGTGGTGGCGGGCGCCTGTAGTCCCAGCTACTCGGGAGGCTGAGGCAGCAGAATGGCGTGAACCCGGGAGGCGGAGCTTGCAGTGAGCCGAGATCACGCCACTGCACTCCAGCCTGGGCGACAGCGCAAGACTCCGTCTCAAAAAAAAAGAAAAAAAGAGTGTAATTTGATTGTTTGTAACACAAGGACTAAATGTTGAGGGGATGGAGACCCCACTTTTCATGATGTGATTATTACTCATTGCATGCCTATATCAAAACATTTCATGTACCCCATAAATATATACTAAGTACCCACACAAATTTAAAAAATTTTAAAAAGTAATCGATATACTTCAACATATTAACACAATAAATATGTAAAACCATGTGATAGTCTCAATAGATTAAGAGAAAGCATTTTATAAAACTTAGTAGTTATTCAGCCAGGCGCGGTGGCTCACGCCTGTAATCCCAGCACTTTGGGAGGCCGAGGCGGGCGGATCACGAGGTCAGGAGATCGAGACCGTCCTGTTTAACACGGTGAAACCCCGTCTCTACTAAAAATAGACGGGCGTGGTGACGAGTGCCTGTAGTCCCAGCTACTTTGGAGGCTGAGGCAGGAGAATGGTGTGAACCTGGGAGGTGGAGCTTGCAGTGAGACGCGATAGAGTGAGACTCCATCTCAAAAAAAAAAAAAAAAAAAAAAAACTTAGTAGTTATTCATAAATAAAAATTCTCAGCAAGCAAAAGGTAGAAGAAAATTTCCTCAATCTGAAAAAGAATTTCTATGAAAAATACATAGCTGACAACATATATAAGGATGAAATATTCAACATTTGCCCTCTAAGACTGGGAACTAGGTAAAGATATTCATTCCTATCAAGTTTATACAGTACAGTACTGAAGGTTTCAGTAGTCTTCTAAGGCAAGACAAAGAAGGATGTAAGGCCGTCTTTATTTGCAGATGACATGATTGTAGAAAAATCCAAAGAAACCTACACATTTCTAGAATAATTAGTGAATTTAACAAGATTGGAGAGTTAAAAGTCAAAATAAAATAATCAGTATTATTTTTAAACACTAGCAACAAATGGAAAATGAATTTTTCATTAAAAAATATTATTTTTGCTATGGTTTGAATATTTGTCCCCTCCGAAACTCATGTTGAAATTAATCCCCAATGTAGCAGTGTTGAGGGGTGAGCCGTTTAGAGGTGATTGGAGGCTGGGCGCTGTGGCTTATGCCTGTAATCCCAGCACTTTGGGAGGCTGAGGCGGGCGGATCACGAGGTCAGGAGTTCAAGATCAGCCTGTCTAATATGGTGAAACCCCGTCTCTACTAAAAAATACAAAAATTATCTGGGCATGGTGATACACGCCTGTAGTCCCAGCTACTCAGGAGGCTGAGGCAGGAGAATCACTTGAACTTGGGAGGTGGAGGTTGCAGTGAGCTGAGATCACGCCACTGCACTCCAGTCTGGGGGACAGAGTGAGACTCCATCTCAAAAAATAATAATAATAATAAAAAGAGGTGATTGGATCATGAGGGCCTTACCCTTATTAATGCATTAATTCATTCATGGATTAATGGGTTAGTGGATTGTTTGGTTATCACAGGAGCACAGCTGGTGGCTTTACAAGAAGAGGAAGAGAGACCTGAGCTAGCCTGGTAGCACCTCAACCTCCTCACCATGTGATATTGGAACTCTTCAGAGAGTCCTCATCAGCAAGAAGGGTCTTGCTAGAGGCGGTCTCTCAGCTTTGGATTTCTCAGCCTCTATAACTGTAGAAATAAATTTCTTTATGAATTACCTACTTTCAGATATTCTAAATAACAAAAATGGACTAATATAATTTCCAATAGCATTCAAAAAAGTAAATATGTTGAAACAAATTTAACTAAAAAATGTGCAAGACCTCTACACAAAAAAAGTATATAACATTGCTAAAAGAAAGTAAAGACCTAAATAGATGGAAAGATATCCTATACTCAAGGATTGGAAGACTATTGTAACAGATGCCAATTCTATCCAAATTGATCTATAGATTCAATGAAATCACCAGTCAAAACCCCAGCAGGATTTATTATAGAAACTGACAAGCTGATTCTAAAATTTATACAGAAATGCAAAGGACCTAGAATAGCCAAAGCAATCTAGAAAGAGAACAAAATTGGAGGACTTATGGTAGCTGATTTCAAAACTTGATATGAAGCAAAAATTATAAAGACTGTGGGCTGTTAGCTCAAGGATAGAAAAAGACATCAAAGTAGCAGAAAATAAAGTCCAGAAATTGACCCACACCCGTATGGCCAAGTGATTTTTGGCAAAGACACAAAAACAGTGAGGAGAGAACAGTCTTTTTAACATACAGTGCTGAAATAACCGCAGAGCACATGGAAGAAATTAACTGGCTATCACCTTGCCCCATTCACACAACTTCATTCAAGATGGACCATAGCCTTAAATATCAAAGCTAAAACTAAAAATATTCTGGAAGGAAAAATAGGAGGATATTTTTACAATCGTAGGATTTATTAGACACGTCCTAAAAGCATAAGCCATAAAATTTAAAAAATGAATAAATTACACTTTATCAAAATTAAAATCTTTTGCTCATAAAAACACACTATTATTTTAAAAGGAGAAGGAAAGCTATAGATTTGTCTGTGAAATAATTATTGAATCACATATATCAGACCAAAAAATTATATCCAAAATGTGTAAAGAACTCTTACAAGTCAATGAGAAACAGCCAGACAACCCAATTATTGTAAAGGAGAAAAAGAAAACACACAAATGGCCAGGAAGTACATGAAAAGGTGCTCAACATCATCACCCGGGAAATGCAGTGATGTCATTCACACTGCACAAAGGGCTAGAATTAAAAATTTACAATACCAAGTGCTGATGAGGATGTGGAGCAATTGGAATTCTTATGTGTTAGTATCGGGAGAGTGAAAAGGCTTAAAACACTGTAGGAAGGTGATTAGCAACTTCTGTTGAAGTTAAACATACACCTACCCTACACAGGAATATAACCAAGGGACATTAAGGTGTAGGCCCACAAGAAAACTTACATAAAAATGTTCATAACAGCTTTATTCATAATAGCTCAGAGCTAGAAAAATATACATATATATATATATAAACAGGATAATCAATAAACAAATTAAACAAATTGTAATAAATTTAAACAAGGGTGTCTCCAGAAAAACAGATAGGCTGAACCACTGATACTTGGGTGGATCAAATCCCAAAAACATTGTTTAAACAAAAGAAACCAGACACATTCTATAAATAGGAGGTTCGAGAGCAGGAAAAACTAATCTATTGTGATGGAAATCAAAACAATGACTGCCTTGGCTGAAAAGGATTGAAAGGTAGCTTTTTGGGAGGATGGAAATATTTCATATCTTGATTTGGGTTCATGGGAATACATATGCTGTTCATGGGAATACATATTTGTCAAAATTGTCAAACTGTATACTGAAATCTGTTTACTTTCCTCTATCTAAATTTGCCTCAATTTAAAAATAACAAACATTTTAAAGTGAGAAAATGAGGGAAGGAGCTTTGGAGTCGGTGTACACTGTTTCAGGAAGTTTTGCTACAAATGGGAGCAGAGAAATGGTATAGTATGTTAGATATAGTGAACTCCAAGTTTCTCTTCAAAGAATCAGTATTCAGTATGTTCGGCCCTCTTATTCTTTGGTTCTCCATTTTAAAGTTTAACTTCCTGGTTCTCTTCACCCCCTTGCCTCTAGTTTCAGTAAACAACTTTGCCGCCAGTTCTAATCAGTAGTTTACATCTGTTCCCTGGGTCACCTGCTCCGACCTGAGTCACTCCTGGTCACCTGCTCCATCCTAACTCATCCTGAGTCACCTGTTCTGTAACAGCCCTTCCCACCAAACTACTAACCCCACCACTCTGGCTCATACTCCTGCTCTCTTAAAAATAGGCAATCAGAATTAGCTTAGACTCTGCAGTCCAACCCTAGCCAATAGGGGAAAAACACAGCAGTAGGGGCTACCCGCATCAGGAATAAGAACCCTTTTCCCTCCCTTGTTTAGGTGTGTTCTTGCCATTGTTCCCTCCATGAGTTGCACCCTTCTATAGAAGTAAAAATTGCCTTGCTGAGAAAAGTAAATTTATGTTCAAGTGCTATTTCTTCTTTTCAGCACTGGAGGAAGAAGCATTTGTTTCTAACAGTAGCTGATAGGGCAATGTGAGGAAGACGTATTTGTTTATTTTTTAAGACAAGAGAGATGACCGCACAGTTGAATGCTTATGGGAATGAGCCAGGAGAGGGGCAAGGACTGCTGGAGTGAATTCCTGGGGAAGACAGAGGATGTGAGCTCTAGACCCCCAGGAGTGGGGCTGAATTGAAGTTAGAACCCAGGTGGACCCTCTATGGCAAAGGGACAGGAGGGCAGAAGATGTGGGACAAGATGGTAACAGGTAGGGGATGATATGCTGGGATCTGTGGATGTAATCTCTTCTGATTGTTTCTCCTTTCGCAGTGAAGTGGGAAGCAAGGTTTTCAGATGAGTGTGAAGATGAGGGAGGAGGTTGTGGAGGAAAGGATGGAAGAGTCCTGTAGGATCTGGGAGAGGGCTGGCCTGCAGTGGGAGTCCGCCAACCATGGCCCTCAGGCCAAATCCTGCTGCTGCCTGATTTATATATGGCCCAGGAGCTAAGAAAGGATTTCACATTTTGTAATGGCTGAGAGAAAAAATCAAAAGAAGAATAATTTTTGGCATGTGAAAATTATATGAAATCTAAATTTCAGTTTCCATACATAAAGCTTTATTGGAACATAGCCACACTTCTTCATTTCTGTAGTGCCCATGGCAGCAGTGTTGAGTGAGAGCAGCAGAGACGGGTGGCCCATAAAGCCTGAAATATTTACCACCTGGCCCTTTACAGCCCGTTTGCCAACCAACATGATTGCTGGGCAGAATGAAGAGTTCACTTGGGGATTGTGGTCTTGAGTTTACAATGAAACACATCCACGTAGTTGTATGTTTTTGTTGTCTGTAATGTGGCGATAATTAGGTCACAGTTTGGTTGCTGATTTAGTTAAATGAGATCATATATGTAGAGTTTCTAGCATAAATGAAGTATTTATTCAACATGAACCCCCCCCGCCACCCCACCCACCTATTACCACTATCTCCTCTTGAGGCTAAAATGCACTGAGGAGGTGAAGTGCAGAGATCACAGTGGGATTCTAGTCAGATGGGGGCTGTCTCCTGAACCGGTTTTTCCTCTTCCAAACTTCTCCTTTGTAAGGCTGGGCTACTTTTGCATCCCCTCAGGGTGACTGGTCAGCTTTGTTTGTACAACAACTACAACAACCCCAATTCAAAACTATTCTGATCTTGCCCCTTGCAGGACAGTTCTGTGGGTGGCCCTGGGTCAATCCATTCTCTCCCACTTTTTCACTTGTAGTTCTCAAGAGTAACCGTAGAATGTGCTGGGAATGCAACGTCCTGAGTAAGGAGGAACAGCCCAGACCAGCCCCAGCTCTGTGCCAGTCTCTCCCGCAACAGGATGTCCTTCAGTGCTTTAGTCCAGAGTGTCATGGTGCCCTCGGGGTATAAAACCCAGGGCAGGTTGCTTTCCAGAGTCCTTCAGCTGTGGTGCAAGTGGGCATGTGCAGACATTTGCCCTGAGCAGCTTCCTGAGCCTTAGGGGACCTTTGTCATGAATCCTAGGCTTCTATTGCCCCTTGCTCCTTGTCTGTGAGGAATGAAGTTGTTTCATGCACTGTGTGAGTGTTCCATCTCACCAGACTTGAGCAAGCAGTAGAAATTACAGCCAGAGTCAGTGGGCCGAAGTGGTAACCCATGCACAGTAAACCTGCTTTGCACGCCTAGTCCTCGCTGGCAGACAGAGCTGTGACCCAGCATCTGTGGGTTCGAGAACTTAGATTCAGGGACCAAACTGTGTAGGAGCATTTAGGAGGAGCTTCCTCCACCCGGCCCCTCACCATCCTCACCATGAACATTCTCCCACCAATGCAGTTTCATAAAACAAACACAAGAGAGAGTTTGAAGGAGTGCTGGTGTCATTGTTACTTCCCATGAATGAGAATTGCCATTGCCTTTTTAAGACGTTTTAGAAATTTTAATCCAGTAGCAAAAAAAAAAAAATCACTATTTTCTTAAATTTAATTAATTTACTAAACTCCTCATGGTTCGTTGGATTCAATCCTGTATCTGTGATCTTTCTGGGTCCATTACACTCATGGGATTCGACTTCATCTCTTCGAACTCATAAAAATCTCATCAAAATGGAAATAAAATGTGATTTTGAACTTTCTAATGAAGGCGCCCGTCCTGGCTCCCGGGCACTCTGGAATTAACGTCCTCTCTCCCCCACCCTCTTTGTCGAGAACACTTTAGTTCTGTGCCGATGGGATGGGGAAAAGGATGTTGTTATGGTGAACACTCCCTGCCCATTCAGTCTTTCCAGCTCCTGCATCACACAGGAGGGACACTGAGAGGTATGCCGGTCCACAGAGCCACCTCCCGCCACGGCTGGCTCTTAGGATTCTATGTCCCATGGAGATTTTTTATTTTTTAATGAAAGGAAGGAAAGGCACTGTCCCAAATAAGGAAAAGAGTAGAATCACTTTTGAGCAGGCTTCTGCACAGATGTGAGGTGTGGCGGGCCGTGTCCCCAGGGTGGCCACACAGCCGGCCCTGCCTGTGCTCCCCGCGCACCTCCCGCCCTCCCTAGGCACCGGATGCTGGCTCACCACCGGCCTCACAAGCTTAGGACAGCACTGAATAGAGGTGCCGTTGTCTCCATTTTCAAATGAGAAATTCAGAACCAAAGGAGGCATTTAGCAACCTGTCCACGCTCACACATCCAGCAAGGGACAGAGCAGGGCTGGTTACAGCACGATGAGGTCAACCCCAGGGATGATGAGCGGAGGCCAAGCGTCCTCTCCAGGCCAGGTCTGGGGCCACGTGCCGTCCAGGCATGACCTCTTTCAGTCTGCACAGCTGCTCGAATGGTGCCATGATTATCAGCCCCAGTTTACAGATGGGCGAACAAAGTGGAGCAGTGAAGCCTCCCAAGACCACAGCCAGAAAGCAGCTGAGCAGTCACGGCGAGGACTGTGGACTCCCTGGCCTCAGAGCCCACGCCTTCTATCATCATCCCCACACCTGCTGGCTAGACACGTCCCCAGGACCGAAGTGCGAAATGGACCCTCTCCTCTTGGAATGTCCAGAAGAGACTGGTATTTTTCAAATTGGAATTTTACTTAATCTGAGTGCCTCCAAGGATATCCAAACTTCTAGCCCAGGAAGAGAGTCTGCTGGAATGTTCAGCTTTCCGGTCTGCGCTTCCAGACCTCGTCCCAGGACCGTGGGTCCTGCCTCAGTTCCCAGGTGTTGAGAGAGGAATGAAGGCCCTTCCAGCTGGTCCCCAGTGGCTCACGGCCCCCATGGCTGTTCACAGAGCTATTCACAAGTGTGCCAGGTCTCCCCACGTGACTTGTTCTGAACAATAAAACATAAGGCAAAACAATGTGTGTCACTCCTGGGCAGAAGTGTTAAGAGAAAGTGCACAACTTATCACACTTCTTTCCATTCATCTCAGTGATGGAAGAACTCATGTGAGATGGGACCTTCATCAGCCTCGGTCCCTGAGTGACAGTAAGAGTGGAGCCCCTGCCAACCTTCTGTAAGGAGCACTAAGTTCTTTTGTAAAGCCACTGAGATAATTGGTTATTTATTAATACAGCACAACCTGGCCACACACATGCAACACATACTCCTACAAACTCCCCAAACATGCACGCATGCCCCTCCAACCACACACACACAGACACACACACTCCTCCAACCACACACATAGACACACGCACTCCTCCAACCACACACACACAGACACACGCACTCCTCCAACCACACACACACAGACACACACACTCCTCCAACCACACACACAGACACACACACTCCTCCAACCACACACACACAGACACACACACTCCTCCAACCACACACAGACACACACACTCCTACAACCACACACACAGACACACACACTCCTACAACCACACACACAGATACACGCACTCCTACAACCACACACACATAGACACATACACTCCTACAACCACACACAGACACACACACTCCTACGACCAGGCACGCATACACACACATGCCCCTATAGCCGTGCACGCATACACACAGGCACCTACAACCACACACATAGACACACACACACCTACAAACACACACACAAACACACATACACCTACAACCATGCACACATGCACACACATGCCCCTACAACCATGTACGCATGCACACACAGGCACCTACAACCACACACACACTCCTACAACCACACAGACACACACTCCTACAACCAGGCACACATACACACACATGCCCCTACAGCCATGCACGCATCCACACAAGGCACATACGAGCACACACACACACACTCCTACAACCATGCATACATGCACACATATGCCCCTACAACTATGCGTGCACACACACACACACATGCACCTACAACCACACACACAGACACACACACTCCTAACACCACACACACCTACAATGACATACACAGAGGCACACACTCCAACCATGCACACATGCACAACATGCCCCCACAACTATGCACGCATGTACACACAGGCACCTACAACCACACAAACACACACACACCTACAACCATGCGCACATGCACATACACTCCTACAACCACATACATAAACACACACACTCCTACAACCATACACACATAAACATACACATACTCCTACAATCCTCCCACACACATGCCCTGCCACTCCCATGCACATGCCCCACACACATGCCTGCAACCACACACACAGGCGCATATATGCCCTGTGTGTTGGGGGGGCACTTGGGAGCAAGGTCAGCCCATATGGGATCAGCAAGCTGGGCAGAGTCTCAAAGAATGAGTGGGTGCTCCCCAGATGAAAGGTGGGGCTCTGGACACTCCAGGCATAGGAACAGCAAATGTACAAGGAGGATAGGGGCAGCCTCCTGGGCCTGATGGGTGTGCTGGCCGGATGCCAAGCACCCAGCAGGGAGTGTGGCTCAGGTGAGGTGGGAGGTGGGCAAGGCCAGATCCTGACCAGGCAACCACTCACACGAAACCCACTGCAGTGGTGCAACTTGGGGGCTTTTAAGGGCCTTTGCCTTTAGGTGGCAAGGAGCATGCTCAGGCCCTCAAACTGGTCAGTGACACGGTCAGGTTCGTCTAGGGAAAGACATCTAGGGCAGCCAAGAGAAGACAGGAGACAGCGGGGGCGTGCAGTGGTCCAGCCTGGCAGGGGTGGAAGAAGTGGAAGAGGGGGCGGGCAAGACACATTTGATGCTTCAAAGCTGAGACATGGAAGACCTGCCTCCCCGCTACTGTGTTCAAAGCACTTCCACTCCCGACCTCCCCCAGTCCCCGGGCAATAGAGCTACTTGCATTCACATGGCTATTACCAAAAAACAAACAAAAAGAAAACAAACAAACAAAACAAAGCAGAAAATAACAAGCGTTGAGAATGTGGAGAAATTAGAATCCTTGTGCACTGGGGTGGGAATGCAAAATGGTGCATCCGCTGTGGAAAACAGCAGGGAGTTTCCTCAAAAAGTTAAGCATACAATTACCATATGACCCAGAAATCCCACTTCCGGGTATATACCCAAAAGAACTGAAAGCAAGATCTCGAACTGATATTTGCACACCATGTTCCTAGGAGCATTATTCACCACAGCCAGAAGGAAAGCTACCCAAGTGTCCATCAAGGGATGAACAGATCAACAAAATGTGGTATCACACACAAAAGGATGTTGTTCCACCTTAAAAAAGAAGAAGATTCTGGCACATGCTACAACGTGGATGAATCTTGAGGACATTATGTTAAGCTAATCATAGAGGGAAAATACCATATGATTCCACTTATATGGGATGCCTAGAATAGTCAAATCCATGGAGAGAAAATAGAATGGGGGCCCCAGGGACTGGAGGGAGGGGAATGGGAAGTTCATGTTGAATGGGGACAGAGCTTCCGTTTGGGAAAATGGAGAGTTCTGGAGATGGATGGTGGCGATGGTTGCACAATGATGTGAATGTACTTTAATGCCACTGAGCTGTACATTTTAAAAGGCTTAAATAATAAATTGTGTTACGTGAATTTTACCACAATTTTAAAAATTCGAACTTTCTTAAAATCCAGATCTGGCCCGTCGCAGCTGTTGACTGTGGGAAATTAATCTCTCTGTGCCTCTCTCTCTTTCATGATTTCAAGGATTTGTGATGACGATGCACGTAAACTGCCCTGCGGGCTGCCTGGCTTGGAGGAGGCATTTACGAAATGATCAGCACAATCAACTGCCTCCTCCGTGCCCCTGATGTGTGCAGGTTGCAGGAGGTCACAGCAGGAAGAAGGAGCCCCCGCCTCATCCTCAAGAGTCCTGTCTGGAATCCATCCTGGGTGAAGACATGAGTCAGCACCCCGTAGGCAGGGAGAGAGAGGTTTAGCTCCACGTAGACCCCCAGGCGAGGGTCTTTAGCTCAGAGTTGCCCCAGAGGGAGCCCAGATCAGCCAGGAATGGCTCCCAGTGAGCAAGAGGAGGGGCATCTGCAGCCAACATAGCCTCCTGACACCTCCTGCCTCCACATACCCCTGTGCCAGACAAACAGTGCCATGTTCTGTGTATTCTGCAAACATGGGAAAGGCTGGGAAATGGAAGTCTTGCTCACCCAGGAACTACTCGCATTGAAAAAATGATAGGAGCTAGCTTTTCTGGGAGCCCCCCATGTGCTAGAAATTTTTAATAAAATCTCATCAATCCTAATAAGAAATATCCTAAATAGATGTTGCCATTTGCATTTTTGAAGATGAGGACACTGATGCCCACAGAAGTTAAGTGATGCCCCCAAGGTCACATGCATGGCATTGAGAGGGGGGTTGCAAGCCAGGTGTGTCTGGCCACAAAGCCTCTCTCCTTTCTGACATGCTCCAAGATTCCACACCTGGCCCATGGCTCAAGCAGATGGCATCATCCCCCTGCAGCCATTCGGTAACCCACTCGACTCAGCCTTATCCCCCTCTCACCCCAAGAACAACCCACATCCCTGACAGTGGGGGAGAGAGAGGTAGGAGGACCAAGCCCACCTGTGCCCTTTTTTCTTTTAACTAGTCAGCTCAGCATCTATCCAAAAAGCCCCCACCAGGAGCCCTGAGAGATTGAATGACTCCCCTCTTGAATGACTCCCCTCTTGGACCTCCTAAACCCAAGATCACCTCTTTGGTGCTCACCTGTGCTGGGCATACAGCAATAGTTCAGACAAACACCAGAGTAGCCCACATGCCCTGCATCAACCAGGGAGACTGGAGGGCAAAGCACGCTGGGTCACCACCGAGCAGGACCTGGCTAATTAACAGGGACACATAGCATGGTAAAGGTTTGCATCAGTACCTATATCTGAGAAGGAGCTCCTGGACAAAGCAGATTTGCCTGTCACCCCACCTCCCCATAGAGGGGAGCTCACAAGGCTCTCAAATCCCAGGGGAGGCCTCTCTGAGCATGGAAGGTGGACAGCCTGAAAGCCTTCAGAGGAAGGAAGGGCAGGCCTGGGGAGCCCCACACCCTAGCAGGCTGCTCACCTCCCCAGATCTCAAATCCCAGCCCGCAGCCAGAGGCCAAGATGCATTGTCTCTCTGAGTTTATTCCCTAGGTCATCTCCAGCTGGCTCTGCTGACCCTGAAGCTCTCCTTTCCTGGAATGACATCATGACATCATGCTTACTGGAAACCCAGCAGCAGATCCCTGGGACCCCACACTCTGTGCTGCCCCGGCCCTGCCATGGCAACAAGGGTCAGTGTGTGGGCTCTCATTTTATGTGTAGGTAAATCAAGCGCCACAGTATGAAAGGGATTCAGGCATCGCCTACCTCCTACATAATCAGGTGCCTGCCTGACCTTGGCCTTTCAAAGATAGAGAACAAAGGGGACCCCAGTGCCACATAAGCCCTAGAGGAGAGACAGCCTCTGCCCTGAGGTTGGGAAAACAGTCTGTAAAGCTCCCTCCACCCATAATGGCATTGCTTCCCTTTGGCCCCATCCACCCATCCATCTCCCACCCATCAACCCACCTATTCATCTATCCACTCACCTCTTCATCTGTTTACTACTCAGCCATCCATCCATTCATCCATTCACTCAATAAACATTCCTGCCTACCTACACTATGCCCGGCCCTGTCCTGGATGCTGGATGCTTACAGAAAATGCAAGGTGCATAGATAGGGCAGGGACCATGTTAGAGGCAGGTAAATATAGCACAGGATTACTCTGGTTGGCCGAGGCCTCAGAGCTGTGCAGGAAGCTGGTCTATGGCTGCCTGTAGTTGGAACTCTGCTCTGTGCACATGGCCGTGTCGAGAATGGCCTCCTATGGCCAGGTCTGGACTCCCCAGTAAAACCGTACCCCTGAGGGCAGCTATGTGGCTATTTGAGATTTGTGCCCCACTCTGTGAGGAAACTGAGTTCTGCAGGTGGGGGGGAACAAGAAGCCTCTTGTCTGGAATAGTGGTGACCAGCACATTTCCAGGCCCGGAGCACTCATAGCCCTCATCTTGTTCCCTACAATGCCATTCTTCTTGATGGCGTAGGTGATGGTGAGTGAAGGATGCAGCTGGTCCCAGTTAATTGTTTATGTGCCAATATGACATCTGTTCCCCTCTGGCAGCCCTACATAGTTGTTTTCAAAACACCTTAAATTTTTCATATACTTAAGTACAGGCGTTCTCGCACCAGATTTGGTTTCAGGGACACATCAGGGCAGGTGGTGTGGGACCAACATCCCACTGTGTAGTCCACCTCCTTGACCAGCAAAGAGGCCTGTGGGCTACACATTGAGCCCAGACTGGGACCCATCACCATAAAGGGAAGGGAAGCACCCCTAGCCCTCTCTGTGAAGCAAATGTGATGTGCTTTGAGCCCTGCTTATAACTCTCCCTGGCTCCTCTGCCCTCAGATAAAATCAGCCTCTGCGGGGCCGACTGACCCTAGAGGTCCTGGTGGCCTCACAGATCTATAGATCGTGGCTCTGTGGCCCCCAGGGAGGAGGTGTCATCTTAGCTTATCATCATCAGTCCTGCAGACATCAGCTACAGTCATCCTGGCCAAGGAGCAACTGGTGAATACTTAAAAGCATTGATACGGGCCGGGCCGGGCGCGGTGGCTCACGCCTGTAATCCCAGCACTTTGGGAGGCTGAGGCAGGCAGATCGTGAGGTCAGAAGTTCGAGACCAGCCTGGCCAACATGGTGAAACCCTGTCTCTACTAAAAATACAAAAATTAGCCGGGCATGGTGGCGAGCACCTGTAATCCCAGCTACTCAGGATGCTGAGGCAGGAGAAATGCTTGAACCTGGGAGGCAGAGGTTGCGGTGAGCCGAGATTGTGCCACTGCACTCCAGCCTGGGCAACAGAGCGAGACTTCATCTCAAAAAAAAAAAAAATAAAAAGCATTGATACTACTGCCCGCATGATCCCTTCTGGGAGGGCCAGTGGAGACTGCCCATAGTGAGTCCGACAGAGCCGCTGTGGGCCACACACATCATGGCTCATAGATGGTGTTGGCTCATAGATGGTGTCGACTCATTAGCCTCAGTCATGCTGACGACATGCTCTTTATGGATGAAAAATTAGGATCAGACTGGTGGAGCTCATGCCCAGGCACCTGCAGCAGCTCTGCCTATTTTACGTGTCAACTCCACCAGGACACGAGGTGCCCAGACAGTTGTTCAGACATTATTCTAGATGTGTCTGTGGATAAACATTAAATAAGTAGGCTGAGTAAAGCAGATTACCCTCCCTAAGTGGGTGGGCCTCATTCTATCACTCGAAGGCCTGAATAGGAGAAAAGGCTGACCTGACCCTACCTGGAGCAAGGGAGAATTCCTCCTGCCCGGCGGCCTTCGAGTTGGGACATCAGCTCCGCAGATTTTGAACTTGCCAGCCTGTCTCCTCTCCTCTCTCCCTCTCTCCAGATAGATAGATACATAGATACATAGATATAATAATATATCATGTATATGTGTATATGTGTGTGTGTGTGTGTGTGTGTGTGTGTGTATGTGTGTATGTATGTATCTCCTACTGATTCTGTTTCTCTGCAGAGCCCTGGGAAGCCTCTGGCCACACCCCCAGCCTACAAGTCGGGGAGTGGCTGAAAAGGGAAGGTGTGAGGGGCTGAGCAGGCAGTGGGTATGCAAAGTGCACAGGTGGGCTCCACGCCAGGCCCAGCGGGTCCATCCTACCCTGCTGGATGTCGTTTATGGGTTTCCGCGGGGCCTCGGATTCCTCACATGGGAACCGGGAGACCCACAACTTAGCTCCCAAAGGCGCCTGGAGGGCTCTGGGCAAATGAAGCCTCCATCCGGGATGCACGGACTTGTGCTGCTACTGTTCCCTCCTGGGCTGGAGCGGGCCCGACTGGGAACTCCAGGCTCCTCCAGGCTCCTCCAGGGTTCAGGGCCTCTCTCAAGCCTCGCTCCTTCACCACAGACAGCGCCGGGGCCTCGCGCCTTATTTTTCTGCTCTTAGAAAAGTTTCTGCCTCGGCAGCTTTCCCGAGCTGAGTCAGCAGGGAAGGCAGCTGTCTGGACCTCGGGGTGGAAGCCCATTCATCAGCCCGCTTTCTTGGTGCTCGCCCAAGGATGGCTTCGTGGGGGGACGTGCTCTGCAGGCCCTGAACTCTGCACCTCCTGGACCACAGTGTCTGGGATGAGAAGGGAAGTGGGGGCGTCAGGGGCAACCCACAGGGCAGCCCCTGGAAATCTGTGCTGGCAAGCCCTTCCGCAGCCTTGCAAACCAGGGCCCCGCGCGTTGAACCCAGGAGCCAGGCCATGTCCGGAGAGGCTGAGCGCCCTCCAGCACCGGCCACCTGGCCCTAGCCCAGCTGCAAGCAAAGGCTCTGTGCCTAGCGTGGCCCGGCCCCACAGGACTGATCAGGCTCACGTGGCCGACCCTCCCAGCCCCCTAACCCCGGTCGGGCCCATCACCCAGAGCCCCAAACGCACCCTCGCGGCGCTTCAGCGGGGTGGGCGTGGTCTGGTCGACCCGGTGGTGCCGCCCCACAGCGCCCCCTCGCGTGCGCCAGCCAGCTCGGCCTCAGCTCCCCGCGCTCCTGCTCCTGCCTAAGGAGAGCTGCTGGCCTCTTCCCCAGAAGGAACGGGGCTCTGCCCCTGCCTTCCCGGAGCCCCATCTGGGTGACCCTCCCACTGGCAGTAAATCTTGCCTGAAGTCCCGTATCTGATCCCTGCCAGACTCTTCTCTCTTGCCTCCTCCACCCGCTTCCTCACCCGCAAGAATCACCTCCTCCAAACCACCTGCTGATCCCAGGGCCGTCAGAGGCTCCTCCTGATTCCTGCCTCCCCGTCCCTCCCTCCCCACGCCACACCTCCGCTCTCAGGGCCTCCTTCCCCTTCCCTCTTCCTTCTCTCTTCCCGACCCAAGCCCTTCAAAGCTCAGAGGCTCGACTCATTTCCCCTAGGGCAAAATGGCACGTGGTTGGCATACACTACATCTGTCTTGCTTTTTCTCCCTCCCAATATTTGTCTCTTGGCTTCTGCTTTCTATGTACCCAGTAGTCTCGAGACCCGTGGGAGGAGCCCCCTCAGGCCAGAACCCCCGGACTGGAGCACTCACAGACATGCGCTCTCCAGGTCTACTCCCACGTGTGCCCCGGCTCCTGCCTCCTGAGACCGGCTCCAAGTCCATTTTCTTCCCGGGCAGCGCATGGTCCAATTTACTGTCACCTTTAGGGTTGCCCCCATGTGAGTAGCGAGTGAGGGACCCAGACTTAGCCCTCCCCATTGACGCACTAGAGAAACCGAGACCCTATACTAGACAGGGGAGGGAGTTGTCCGTAGTGGGGACAGAGAGAGAGAGAGAATGTATGCGTGTGTGTGTGTTATGTGTGTGTGTGTGTTGTGCATGTGTGTACGTGTGTGCTGTGTGCATGTTTTCTGGGGCTCTATGGGGAGGATGCTTCAAGGGAGGAAAGCTTTTCTTTTTTTTTTTCTTTTTTTTCTTCTTTTTTTTTTTTTTTTGACAGAGTTTCACTCTTTCACCCAGGCCGGAGCGAAGTGGCATGATCTTGGCTCACTGCAAGCTCCGCCTCCCAGATTCTCCTACCTCAGCCTCCCAAGTAGCTGGGATTATAGGCGCCTGCCACCACACCCGGCTAATTTCTGTATGTTTGGTAGAGACGGGGTTTCACCATGCTGGCCAGGCTGGTCTCAAACTCCTGACCTCAGGTGATCCACCTGCCTTGGCCTCCCAAATGCCAGGATTACACGCATGAACCACCGCACCCGGCCTGAGGAAAGCATTTCTTCTCACAGCTCCCTGGCAAAGCCAGAATGGAAACTGCAACGGTGGGGTTGAAGGATCAAGGGGGGCGTCTGTGAACACCTCAAAGGAAATCAGAAGAGGAGCTTTTCTCCCTGAAGCCCCCATTTCTGAGGGAGTTGCTTTGCACAAGTTCTTAGCTTCTCTGAGCCTCTGTTTTCTTATCTGTAAATGGCAATAAGCCCATGGACCTCACAGGGTTATGCAAAGGGTTAAATCACATGCTGGGTGTGAAGAATCTGGGCAGTACCTAGCACTCAGGAGGGTTCAGTCTCCCCAGGGCCTGACCCTCCATCCATGGCCCACAGGAAAGGATTCCGCCATGCCCAGCCCATCGTCCCACCAAGGGAGAAAGAACAAAGAAATGTGACTTGCAGAAAACACTCCACCCTGAGAGTGACAGCCCTGCCAGGAGACGGCTCAGAGCTGGGAAATTATGAATGCAGTGTTATTAAGGAAAACGCATAAGTGATTTTCAGTATAATTAAGATGGATGGCTCTAATAACCCTGCAGGGCCCAATTCTGAGCCACATTACCAGGCTTTTAAGGGGAGTTTCGTGCACTCTGCTTCAGTGAGCACCAGAGTCCAGTGCAGGGAAGATGAGGCTCTCAAGCCAATGCCCCTGGACCAAAGCCAGTGGAGAGGCTTAGATCAGAGCCCAAAGAATCGGCAGAACCACTGTGCCCTGGGAAAGACATCCTAACCCCTTGCCTCTGCAGCACAAAGCCATTCTTCCTTCTCCCTTTGAGACACAGTGCTTCGGTCACCAACAGGACTCTTGTTGGATTGAAGTGCCGTCCTATCACCCTGGCAAGAGAGGAGAGCTTACAAAGGAAGAAACTGAGGTCCCAGGGGGCCATGTAACCTGCCCAGGGATCACCAGCACCTCAAAAACATTATCAAAAGTGAGATGAAGGGACCTAAATGTGGTCAGATTCTACCTTCTCCCATTGCAGGTCTCCCCTGTAGCACCAGCCAGACCATCCCATCACTGCTGGATGAGCTCCAGTGCTAAGCCGCTCCCTAGCCCCATCTCACTGCAGTAATAACAACAGAGCTCACCATAGGCGCTCATGCTTACTGCCTGCTGGTGTGGGCCCAGCTCTTTCTACCACCTATTTTAAATAATTCCCACTACAACTCTGTTATTATCCCTAGAGGGTAATTGACTTGCTCAAGGCCACGTGACTAGTTAGGGGCTGTGCTGAGACTCTCCCTGAATCTCTGTGAGCGTGGAACCCACACTGCTGCAGATGCGGGTCTCCAGGTGTCAGAAAGCCAATCCTTACAAAGTTGAGTGATCCAAGTCTACCTGTCAGAAAACTACGTTCCCTCAAGACTGGGGAATCCTCCTCTCCTCCTCTGCAGCAGCTGCCTCCACTCTGTCAACTTGGGGCTGCCTGTCCCCACTCGAAAGCCAACCCCGCTTCCCCCAAAATGCGGCTCCCAAGTTCCCCACCCCTTCTTGAGAGAGCCCTGGCTCCCCAGTGGGCCACACTCTCCCCACAGCAGCAGGAGGACCACCCAGGAACTGGGCAGCACGTTGCCCTGAGCCCCACACGGCCGCCACACCTCTGGGCCCTCCCTCCTCTCTCAGCAGTGGGTGTGCAGGCTGCACTGGCCTTGAGGTCAGACATCTGGGGCAGTGCCTTGCTCCCCCGTTACTAACCAGGCAGCCTGGAGCAAGCCACTGTAATCTCCCTAGGCCTCGTTTTCCCCACCTTTGAAATGGAGATAGACGTGCCTGCCACACATGGCTACTCGGAAGACCGAGGGCAACAATGTCTACACACTTAACCCTGTCCATTTCCAACCCTGCCAGGCTCTGCAGGGTGCTGAGCAGGGTGGGAGCTGACAGGGAAGAGGGCCTTGCTCTGAGGATTTAGCTCTCTGCCCTGCAAAGCACACCTGGTCCTGCAGACTTAGGCAAAATGCCAGAGGAGGGGGAAAACAGAAAAGAAAAATTAAGCTGCAGATGTTTCATTCCTCAGGGCCTGTTTGGAGTGATGGGGTTTCCTTGCTGTAGAAAGAGCTTTCAAGAACGGCTGCCCCAGCCTGGAGTGGGGCCTGAAGGTCCATGCTCCAAGCTCCCAGGATCCACACAGCCCATGGACCCTGTGATGCCATCCTGAACCCGCTTCCTCTAGGCCAGGACTCACAGCACTCCCAGCACCTGAGAGTCTTCGCTTTGCTTCTGGCCTGTGCCTTCTCTGCTTCCCCAGGACTCACCAAGCCACAGGCCAGCCAGCCTTATTCCCCGCACTGGGAGCTGCCAGACTCAGCCATCTGTTCTTGCTGGGCACTGAGAGCCTCTTGAGAGGCTCCTAGGTCCGTAAATACCCCCAGATCTTCCTATCCAGAGTCACCTGCTTAGGCAAGCGCTCCTGGGCCAGGGGCATTGGGGATGAGGGGGGTTATCTTACAAGGCTTTAGTGGGGAATGCAGGGAGTAGGGCCAGGATGGGGTTCTGATCACCTCACCTTGAGGTTCCTAGCTGTGTGGCCCTGGCAGTTCCCTTAACCTGAGGCCTGCTTCCAGCACATGTAAAGTGAGGATAGCACCCCGCGCTGGCATGAGCTCAGCATGCAATGGGCCTCCACATGGAGACCCCAGGCCCCCTGCTGTTTCTGTCTCTGCTGCCCCTTCCTGAGCCGCAGAGTTCTCTGGGAGGAACAGCAGAGGAGAGGGCAGAGACTCACGTCATCAACTGCTCCCAAATGTTTCTTCTTTGGGTTTCCTGAGGACATGACAATTTTCTAGGCTGGAGCTTTGTGTGGGTTCAATACCCTTTTTGAATCCTCCAAATGACTTTTCCAATAAAGATTAATGAGCTGGGAAGTTGAAACTCTTCACCCAGAGCACGGATCTTCGGGTCCGGGATCTGGGTTCCGTCTGCGGTTGCATCCTTGTTTGCCTGCAGGAGCGACTCCTGTCCCAGTGGGTCACATGGGAATGCAGACTTTTCTCACAGGTTGGGCTGGGAGTCCTCCACATTGGTCACCAGACATTGCCACTTCTCCTCAGGGCAGGTCCTCAGCAGGAGCCCCCCACCAGGCCACATCATAAGGTACCATCTTTGAGGCTGGGAGAGGCTGTACAATTAGATCTGTGCATGACCTGTGTAAGGAGGTGACATCTTCCACTTCCCAGCCGGAGCTTTTAAGGACCTCCTACACTCACTTCTCCCCTAGCAGGGTGGCCCCTAACACTCAAGGGAGGAACTGTGCCATCTGCCAGGCCTTTGAGCGGCTTTGATGACCAGAGACCTCTGCCAACCCATATGGCTAAGTAACATAAAAGACAAAGAAGTCTTTGTTGTTTTAGACCACTGAGATTTGCAGGTGTTTGTTACCAGGGCCTGACCTTGCCTACCCTGACTGATACACTTACTGTAAAGACTAAACGTGACTCAGTGGATAGAGCACCTGGCACACAGCAGGCTCTGAAATGATGACTGTGTCCCCTTGTTGCATAAACTCCAAAGGGCAAGGCCGGGCCACAGCAAAGAAGTCAAACACCCCCAGCAGAAAGCACACATGCTTGTTCATACTGACATGTAAGTGATGGAGGGCAGATTTTTTTTTTTCCAAAAAGCAACTGTGGCTCAGACGGTGGTGAGAAGGTTCCAGGAGCAGAGTCTGGGAAGGAGTGGGAGGAGGCATGGAGACCCGTGGAGCTGAAAGCAGATGCCCAAGACCAGACCGACCACCTTCCTCACCACTTTGCAGGGAAACTTCCATCAGAAAATGCATCCCACAGCTCTGCTGAATCCCGGAATACAGTCGAGGGTAGGGAGGATAAAGAGCAGGGAGGAGGGAACTGATCAGGAAGGCAAGGAGTGGGACCTGGCAGGCAGCAGCATCCTATAGCACAGCCCCTGACCAGGAAGGGAGGGCAGGACCCTAGCGTACCCTCCCCTGAGTGGTTGCAGAGCCAACAATCCAAACCTAACAACAGCAACTGACCCTTGCTGAGCACCTGCTCGTGGCTAGACCGTGGCTGTGTGTGCCCCATTCATTACTCTCCACTTTTGATCTTCCTAGCAGGTCCTGCGAGAGCCAGCATCAGCTCCCAGGGGGGGCAGGAGGCTCTACATTCCATCGTCTCTGCAAAGCTCTTGGCACGGCCCTTGGCAGGCAGCAGGCACACAATAAATGGCATTTCACAGCCATGTGGGAAAGACCACATGCCAGGTGGGACACCTGGGGAGGCTGGGAAACTCGCCCAGCAGCCGTGAGTGTGGGATTCTCTTCTGTCATGAGGCCTCTCCTTGGGCACCAGTGGAGTCTCCATGAGGGCCTGGCCCACAGCAGCCCCACCTGTCACAGCCTTCAAAGCTAAATACCTTGCCATATGCTCTGGCCCCAGAGAGATCCACTGTTTCCCGGACACAAATGCCAATAGCAGTCAGTTCTTGTGATCCGTGCTGGCTCACCCTTAGGTATGGGCATATTCACCCATGAGTTTATGGCACAGATGTGTGCTCAAGGTCCCAGTCCCATGGCTGGGGGACCAAAAGGAGGAAGCCCAAGCACTGCCGCCTGGGACCTCATATTTTCTACTGATGCCAAGAGACTCCTTTGAAGCTTAGTCAGTGACACTGCAGGCCTTCCCTTACAGCTGATCCACTCCCCTGCCCCAGCACACTGGCCTACTAGCAGGCAGCTTCCCAGTGATGGTGGTGTCAAAGGGGTCTGTGCCTTAAGCCCTGTGCCTGGCACACAGCATGCCCTTCATAATTTATTGCTGTTATTATTGGCGACTGGGTCCAGCTGCCTAAAGGTCCTTCCAAAGAGAAGAGAAAGGATTTAGAGGAGTTGAGGGCCTACATTATGCTAAGCGCCTGACAGAGATCTCAAAACTCTCCAGAGATGGCACTCTAATTAGCTCCATTTTAAAGATGAAGAAACTGAGCTCAAGACATGAAGAATCGAGCCCAGGATCATACAGAAAGGAAATGTCTGCCAGGCATGGTGGTTCATGCCTGTAATCCCAGCACTTTGGGGGGCTGAGGCAGGTGGATCATTTGTGGTCAGGAGTTCGAGACCCATCTGGCCAACATGATGAAACCCCATCTCTACTAAAACACAATACAAAAATTAGCCAGGTGAGGTGGCGTGCACCTGTAGTCCCAGCTACTCGGGAGGCTGAAGCAGGAGAATCGCTTGAACCTAGAAGGCTGAGGTTGCAGTGAGCAGAGATCACGCCACGCACTAGAGCCTGGGCAACAGAGCTAGACTCTGCCTCAAAAAAAAAGAAAGAAAAGAAAAGAAATGTCAATAAGGTTTGAAATAAATCCATCTGAGTAAAGATGGCATGAACCTTTATTCCCCATTTCCACCATCCTACTCTCCAGCAGGGAGTGTCAGAGTGTACCCTCTCTGCCTTTTTCGCTCCTTCTCTTTTTCTTCTTGGAGGATGGGGGTGGGGTGGGAGTGGCCACAGTGTTCATTCACTTGGGGCCTAGGCCTGTAGGCTTCTGTGTGGCTGTCGGGGGTTCTGTAGTCAAAGTACACTTGGAGATCCCAAACTTCTCCATGCACAAGTCCCCAGGACTGGGGCCACACAGGCAGCAACAGACCACCACCACTTTGATTTCCTGCCCTGACTGAGCCCTTCGATCCCACTTTGCAGCGCCCCCTCAGCTAGGGGCCCCACTGGGCTTGGGATACCACTAATAAGGCCGAGTCCTTCCCCTGTTGAATGAACAAGTCTTTGTGTTGTGCACTTTGCAGAGCCCTGTGTTCCCAGAATCTCTTGCTGCACAAAAGGACACAGGCCTGGACATGGCTTTGCTCTGCTCTACAATATCTGGAGCCTTAACTGGGAACACTCGAAAGGCTTAGGGGCTGGAGTCATATGGAGGCTTGTTCACTTACATGTTGGTATCTGGACTGGGACCACTGTCACCCAGAGCATCCATATGTGGCCTTTTCATATGTCTAAGGCTTCTCCCAGCATGGTGGCTGGGTCCCAAGAAGGAGTGTCCCAGGAGTGAGCATCCAGAGAATGAGCTTCCCAGCAGGACCAGTGGAGGCTGCAGGGCCATTCTCACCTAGACTTGGAAGTCACAAGGAGTCAGTTCTACTGCATCCTACTAATTACAAACAAGTCCATAAGGTCAGCCCAAACCAAAGAGAGGAGAACTGGACTCCACCTCTTGTTGGGGGAGTGGCCAGTTTCCACTGCAGAAGAGTCTGTGGGTGGGACATGAGGCTCCATCTTCTTTGGAAACATACCATCTGCCACAACCTGCAAGGAAACAGATATAATCAGTAAGTTTCAGGGACAGAACCCTTCCATTCCTACGACAATGTTCCTAATGTCTGCAGTATTCTTCCCCACCCAGGGAGCACTACACAGCACCCTGCCTGCCTTGACAGAGGGGCAGTCACCCAACTGGAGCAGGGGTCTCTAGACCCTCTGCAGTGCCACCACCCCTGAGAGATGTGTGTGGGAAGAACAGAGGCTCATTCTGCCCAGATAAGGAGAACACATTGCTGTAGAGAAGGATGTCAGCAGGGCTGGGCAGGAAGCCCTTTTGTCCTTCAAAGATGTTCAACCTTCCTGGCATTGGCCATGTGCTCCTGACCTCAGGTGTTTATCATGAGAGCTTTGATGGCCACCTCTTCAGAGAGGAGATACCGTGCTCTCATCCTCAGCTGTATCCATGGTCCCAAACAAAACACCAAAGCCCAAGGAGGTAGGGTAAAGACATCCTATGCCTGGGCGGGGGGCCTCTATCTCTGCTCCTACTTCTCCAGAGAAAACAAATACCCCGTTTGGGAACCAGAGACTTGTCCCATCAAAATCAGCTTTGACCAGCATAAATGCAGTCCTTGTCCCCACTGTCTCAGTTACCTTAGAGTTTAGGCCTGTCTGCAAGACTCTTGGGGAGGCTCATCCTTTTGGAAAAGGAACTTTGTGAGAAAGAAGCTATGGTTAGGAGCCAAGAGGGTGATGAGCAGGCACGCTCCCCGGACTGCCGCTCACCTCCATGAGAAGACAGGCAGCGGCCTCGGGTCCACTCAGAGCTTGGGAAACAGACATTCTGCAGTGGGCCTGTGGCTAAATGAGAGGAGCCATTTTTCCATTTCTCCAGGGCCATGGTCAGGGTCCAGGGCCTCGTGAAGGCTATCAAGAGAGCCCTGGGATCCTTCAAGGAGCGAGAACCCCTTTCACTGAAACAGGGGAGAAGCTGGGAACATGGTGGTGTGTGGGGAGTGGCAGGTGAGTCCAGCGCCACAGAGAGAGGAGCAGACGTCCCAGGCCAGCCACATGAGCTGCATCATGGCATCAGTGGGACAGCCCCTGAGGGCCACCCAGACTCTGACAGCCAGGGGAGCCAGGAGAGCAGACCTTGCCAAAAGGAGATGGCCCAAGGATGTGCTGTTGTGACTGTAACCCTGTTTTTAGAAGCAGGCTGGTAAGACCTGAGAAAGCATAGGTTACAGCAGATTTTAATGACATTTTGAATCAACAGAAAGCCTGTCACAAGTCCGCATGCCGCTAATTGCCTAATGAAAGAACAAACATGGGCCCTGACAAAAATGAGAGGACGTGGAAATCTCTGTGGGTGGAGAGACCTGAGCAGGCTTCACAGATGCAGAGCTGAGCTCGATAGCAGGAAAATGGAAAGAACTCAAGAGAAAGAAGGAATAGGAATGGGGTGGCAGGCACTTGTCTTGAGGGCACAAAGCATGAATCTGAACCCTCATCTGTTCCCCTCAGGGCCTCAGCCACTTCTCCCTGGAGCAGTGGATGGGCTACACTGAGTCCTGGGCAAGGCGACGGCCAGCCCTAGCCCTGCATGACTCTCTAGGACCAGAGGGAGGTAGCCAGGCACTCTTTGTTTTGCAGATCCTCTGGCCACAGCCACTAACTAGGGAGAGAATGTCTCTGCCCAGCAGCAGGGGTAGACGAGGGAGTGCCCTACAGATTGAGAAACTTGCCTCCTTGAACACCCAAGGTTTCACCTTTCCCAGAAGCATCATCTCACTTTAAATTCCCCCCAATTCTAGTCAAAATCCTTTTGATGGTTATCAAAATTACATGACTGGCTTCATGCAATTTTAATGTTCTCTACCAACAAATTCTGCAAGAGAGATTCCCCCCAGGCATCCCCATTGATCATTCTAAGTAGATACAACAAAGCATTTCAAGACACAAGTTTTAACCGGAAAGAAAATGAAATGAATATTTCATTTATGATAGGTTATCTGATGATGAACTTTTTGTAATTTTTCCATTAAAAAATCAAACAACTAAATCCAACCCTTTATAAAGGCATTGACCAACCAGATGCCAGTCTCTTGAGTATATCAAATGTTGTCCTTTCAGACAAGGTTCCTATAACAACTGGAAAGGATTTGCAGGTCAATGACCTCTAAGATGATTTTACCAACCAAGTGAGTTAATTTGCTAAGATAGAAGCCCTTGTCATGTTCCACTTGTCCCTGGATTTGTAATTGCCTCTACTCTAATATCTCCACAACTCAGCATGGGCAAAGCAAAAGCTTGTACCTGGGACTTGAGATCCTCCCAGAAGATTCCAGGAGACCACAGAAGCATTACAAAGCCTCGATCTGAATGAATTCATGCCCAAATGTTAACGGGTAATCAGAACTTTATGTGCTATTGTTGTATGCAAAGAATCTGGCTATCCTTTGTCCCTGGTACCTGGGAGACAATCTCTTTATCCTCAGAAATTTCCTGAGTGATAGGACGGTCTATTATTCATGGTGGGCTTATGAGACCCTACCTAACCATACCCTTTTATGTTAACGAAATGACTCAGGATAGGAGCTGACCACAAGAGAAAGACTAACCATGTGATTAGAGGGCTGGGGCTTTGAGCCAGGGAATATCAGCACAACCTCCAGGGAGGGACAGGGCCTGGAGATCGAGTTCAATCACATGGCCAATGATTCAGTCAATCACACCTACATAATGAAACTCCAGTAAAAATTCTGAACACCATGTCTTGCGTGAACTTTCTGGTGTGACAAACACCAATGTGCCTAGAGGGTGATGCATCCTGAGGACATGGAAGTTTTGTTTTGGGACCCTTCCAGGCCTTGCCTTTCCAGAGGTATTGACTGAGTAGAAAAAAACAGGCTTATTCCTCATCCTTGATTCCATACAAAGCCAGGGATAGAGCAACATCTCTGCAGTACTCGGAATCTCCCTCCCATCACAGAGCCCACCTGACTAGCACAACCTGAGTTTATTAATTCAACTATTTCTTCTTTTTTTTTTCTTTTTTTTGAGACAGAGTCTTACTTTATTGCCCAGGCTGGAGTGCAGTGGTGCAATGCCAGCTCACTGCAACCTCCGCCCTCTAGGTTCAAGCGATTCTCCTGCCTCAGTTTCCTGAGTAGCTGGGATTACAGGCACGCGCCACCACACCCGGCTAATTTTTTGTATTTTTAGTAGAGACAGGGTTTCACCATGTTGGCCAGGCTGGTCTTGAACTCCTAACCTCAAGTGATCCACCTCCCTTTGCCTCCCAAAGTACTGGGATTACAGGCATGAGCCACCGCACCCAGCCTCAACTATTTCTTCTAGTAAACCTCAATGCCACATCCCTCCCCCTACACAATAGAATCTCTTTCTGTATATACTTCCAACACAACTTCTATTATAAATAATTTTCACCTCTTCATTTTCTTTCTGGAACTTGTATTAGCTGGATGTTGGACCTCATGGATTAATTATCTAATTTTATTGTCTTTTATTTCCTATTTCCCATCTCTGTCTTTTTGTAGTTCTGTCTGGAACATTTCTGAAATGATCTCCCAACACTTCTATGGAATTTTTAAATTTACGCTATCATATTTTTAGTCCCCAATAACTTTTTCTTTTACATAGCAACTTCTTCTTGTCTGGGAAAAACAATATTTTGTCAATTTAATGGTAATTGGGTTATAAGGCTTTTTGTTTTGTTTTGTTCTTTGTTTTTTTTTTTTTACTGGCGTTTCACTCTTGTTGCCCAGACTGGAGTTGCAGTGGCATGATCTAGGCTCAGGCTCACCATATTCTCCGCCTCCCAGGTTCAAGGGATTCTCCTGCCTCAGCCTTCCGAGTAGCTGGGATTCCAGGCATGTACCACCACACCCGGCTAATTTTGTATTTGTAGTAGAGATGGGGTTTCTCCATGTTGGTCAGGCTGGTCTCGAACTCCCGACCTCAGGTGATCCACCCGCCTCAGCCTCCCAAAGTGCTGGGATTACAGGTGTGATCCACCATGCCCAGCAAGGTTCTAAGTTTTATTCTGCTTCTTGTCATAACTCTGTACTCTTCCTATTTCCTGCAGTTTTTGTTTGCCTTTGTTTTGAATTCTTGCTATGGTTTTTGTCTCTTGGTCATATTAGAGGCATTCCTTAAATGCCTAGTGGTCTTAGCTGCCCCTGATCCAGCCTAAGGCACTCAGAAGCATGGCATAGAAGGGCAAAGCCTGCCCCCTGAGGAGTGACAAGGATCCCACTGGCTTTCTTTATTACAAAAGAGTAGGGAGTTTTGCCTTTTTTCAGGGTGCATTGCACAAAAGAACCACTGCTCTGAACGTGACTTCTCTCTCTGCACTTCCATGCAATGCTGAGTAGAATTGTCTATACTCTGCCTGCACTGTGGTGTTAAGAGCTAAGACCCTCTGGCTTGACCAAACATGAGACAGCTGCCTGTTTATATATGCCATGAAAACATGTTTCTTCCATTAACTTCTCCTTGGTTGACCACTTCTTTGTGGAAAAGTGTAAAGAGATTCTGATTCTCTTCACTCAGCTAACCCTCTCACTGTGCTGCTCTTTTCTGCCTCTCAAATTTCAGCTCTGTTAAACTCTTCCACACCAGATGAACACAGTCAGGATAGCTGAGCATCCACCACCAGGCAGTGCAGCCATCCTTCTGATCCTCACAAGGACCTTCCCTGCTGAGCATGTGACTCCAAGTTCAGAGGAAGAACTATGTACCGAGGCTCCCACTTGGGTCCGATCCCAACGCTTGGGTTCATATCATGACACCACAGCTGAGCCTTGCCTTGCCCTACAGAATGCACTTTGTCCTGCCAAGAGAATGTGGTTGCCAAGGGGACAGAACACCAGTGTTCCACGTGGAACTTCCAGGCAGGGCACTGGGGCACAGTAGGAGGAACCCAGAAGATGCTGCCTCTCCTGATCATCTGTCTCCTGCCTGCCATTGAAGGGAAGAACTGCCTCCGCTGCTGGCCAGAACTGTCTGCCTTGATAGACTATGACCTGCAGATCCTCTGGGTGACCCCAGGGCCACCCACAGAACTTTCTCAAAGTATTCACTCCTTGTTCCTAGAGGATAATAATTTTCTCAAACCCTGGTACCTTGGTGAGGCACAGCCAGGAGATCAGGGATTGGATGTGGCCTCTTTACCTGACCTGGGATCTTACTCCCTTGACTTCCCTTTGACCTGTATCTCATCCTCAGATCGTGACCATTTGGAAGAAGAAACAGCCAAATTCTTCACTCAAGTACACCAAGCCATTAAAACGTTACGAGATGGTGAGGAAGCCAAGAGCCCCAGGGCCTTGGGGCTTGGGTTGACAAAGGCCCACCCTCCAAGGCATTCTCAGAGGCCCATGTGGCCATGGGTGGGAGGTCTTGTGAAGGTGGGAGATGAATGCAGTCTGTCTCCGTGTGCTCTTTGGAACTTCCATGTAGAAACAAGGGTCTGAAAACCCAACCTTGAGCAAGTTGTAACCCTGAACACCCCTTCCCTCCTGCTCTACCCAGATAAAACAGTACTTCTGGAAGAGATCTACACGCACAAGAATCTCTTTACTGAGAGGCTGAATAAGATATCTGATGGGCTGAAGGAGAAGGGTAAGGGGTGGGGACGATCCCTGCACACGGCCCAGCCCTCCACACCTGCCAAGACCCAAGGCATGCAGATTTCACTCTGCAGCCCCCTCGATCATCCCCAGGAGCCCCACCCCTCTCCATGAATGCCTTCCCGGCTCCATCTCCTACTTGCACCCCAGAACCCCTTGGCTCTGTCTGCCTCCCCAGCACCTCAGTTTCTCTACCTTCTCACCCTCCCTGGCAGCCTGCAATGAGTCCTGTGGTGAGTATGCATGGGGACTGGGCCTGGGGGAGGGATGAAAGGCACCTGGCACCCCCTAGCCCCTGTCCCTCCCCTCCCATAGACATACAGTCCACACTGAAGGTCACCAGCTGTGCTGACTGCAGGACTCACTTCCTCTCCTGCAATGACCCCACTTTCTGCCCAGGTCAGTGGCCACCACCCTGTCCAGCCTCTCCCCTCCCTGCCCTGCATTTCTGGAGCCATTGCTGTCTCTGTCATTCTCTTTTGCCCAACTCAAGCTTTTCTTGTTCTTTATCCTCACCCTGGGTGAAGGCAGCACCTTCTGGGATTTCTTGATGTCCTCATGTCAAGCTCCAGAGCCCCTTGGAGGCATCTGCCTGTAGGACATCACTCATGGAGGCCTCTTGGTTCTCAGAGATGCCATGCCTAGAAACATGACCAATCCTTACTCAGGAGGCTGAGGCAGGAGAGTCGCTTGGACCCGGGAGGTGGAGGTTGCAGTGAGCCGAGATCATGCCACTGCACTCCAGGCTGGGCAACAGAGCAAGACTCTGTTTCAAAAAAAAAAAAAAGAAAGAAAAAAGAAAAGAAAAAGAAAAATGCCCAATCCCATCAAACCCCCAAACCTGTTCTTCCTCCAGGGCCGTTCTCAACAAATGGCCCCACTCAAGCCCTCAGTCTCCTAAACCAGGAATCTCCCTCCACTTAGCACGGAGAATCACCATGTCTTGCTAAATAAGTCTTCTATGTGTTCCCATAGTTTCATTCTAACCTCCACTCTCAGGCCTCCTCATCTCTCATCTAACTTACAGCAACATTTCCCATTAGCCTCCCTGTCCCTCCAGGCCACATCACACTCTGAACTTCTTCTCAACGAGCAAGTCTACCCATGACACTCCCTGCTTATAACCAGCAGTGGTTCCCAAATGCCCCTAGAGAAAGCCCACCCTCCTCGGGAGCCCCCTACTCCCCAGGCACACTAAGTGCATACAGGCAGCTCCATACCTCTATCCTTGAGCGTGTCCTGTGCCGGGGACACAGCCTTGCCCTTGAACTGATCCCTTATTTGTGTTTCCAAGTCCAGCTCAGACTCCTGTTTTCTAAGAAGCTTTCCCTGATCAGCTCCCACCCCAGAGGCTTGTCAGCCATCCTCACTGTCACTTCCCCTCCCATGTCCTGTCCTATTTCCCTTGAACCCCACACCATGATTGTTTGCTTGTCTAGATATGTGCTGGGCGCACAGCGTGCTCAGTAAGTGTTTGCAAACACATCATGAGTGAACGAATCAAAGAATGAGAGGATGGTGGCCTTCTCTCTGAGTTGAGGTAGCCCTGCCTGGCCTCCAAACACCTGGCTTCCTCTTTCACACCCCAGCCAGGAACCGGCGGACCTCCCTGTGGGCTGTGAGTCTCAGCAGTGCTCTACTCCTGGCCATAGCTGGAGGTGGGTGAGTGACCTCTCCAAGCCCCAGCATCCCCAGGGAAGACACACCTATTCCCTGACTGACTCCACCCTGTTTCTTGGCCCAGATGTTTCTTTTACTGGCAAAGGAAGAAGGAGGCAGTAAAGGTACTGGGAAAGGAGACCCCGACCCAATTCTAGGGCTCCCAGAGGGAAAAGCTGGGTGTGCCCTGGGAGTCTCAGGGCCTGGAACCCCAGTGCTGACCTCCTGGGGTCTGGCGTGCAGAACAGAGTGGGATCGAGGGCCAGGACTCTCAGGAGTGCCACTCATCAGCCTCCATATATGCAGACATATTGGGGCCAGGGGCCCAGGACACAGAAATGGCAAAGCTCCAGGCCTCCCATCCTCACTACAGAGTGCTCTTCCTCCCAGCTGTCCCTGTCCCCTGCACACCCCACCTTCACCCCTGCTGCCCTGCCCTGACCCACAGGGACCATTAGCATGGCTGCCTTGCCCTCTGCTCTGGGTTGGGTTTGGCCAGGGGAGACTCCCAGGAGGAAGTTAGAGAGACAGGGAGGAGGCCAGAGTAGTGGGAGGTCAGGGTAGAAATGCCCAGCTTCTTCTCCCTCAGCAGGAACAGGGCAGCCCGCATGTCTTCCAGAAGTGAACAGAGGCCGCAGCTACCACCGTCACAAAGTTCACTCATCTCTGGGTCCCGGTGACCCCATCCCCCCATACCCTCCATCCTGGGTCCTGGGGCCCCAAAGCTCTGAGGCCTAGGAGACTGCGCTGTCTCGTGGTTTGCCTACTCCTACACCTTTGTAAAGAGTCTCTTCATTAAAACCCCTCTTCATAGCCTAGTTGACTGTGCTATCTGTCTCCTGCCGGGTGCTGAGATGACATCTCTTCCCGAGTTACCCTGTGTGCCATGTCCCATCCCCTCACCCTCCCACTCCTCTCCAGAATCATCCTGTCCTGGTCCCAAAATGATGATTTTATGGGCTCATCCAGGCCTCACCTAATTCCAATACCTGAGACGAGGCCAGAGGTGGCCTGGGCGCCCCCCTCTGCATCTCAGTTTCCCCATCTGAGCACAAGGAGATGGGGGTGTGATGCTTTGGCCAGGCTGGTGTGCTCCGACCCAGGAACCTGCCCACCTCATATTTATTGTCCAGTATTTGGCCATGCCATGGGTGCAGATCCAAAGCCCTCACTCCCCTTTTCTCCTTCAGTCCACCGAAGTCCTGCCAGGGTCCTCAGCCCAGCTCCTAAAAGGAGAACACCTGTCTCCTTAGGCCCTGTTTGTACTTGCTCCTCGGAGCTGGCAGCTCAGCCTGGAAGGCTTGGACTCAGGCTGACTTAACACCACCAACCCATGGTAAGGGCTGCTTCTTGGAAGACAGCCAAGGACTGCAGGAGGCCTAGACATAAACAGAGCATAAATGGCAGCAGGGCAGAGAGTGCCATGGCCGAGGGCAGCGGTGGGTCTCCAGTCACAGGCACCTCCCTCTCACCCAGCTGGGGGATCCAGGAAGGCTTCCCTGAGGTGGTGTCTTACACCCATGTGACAGCCCAGAGAAGGGCAGGAAGGAAGAGAGGGGTGTTTTGATTGGCATTGCCGAGGAGCAGAGGTCTGAGAGACCTTGAGAGTTTCAGGAATCTCCAGGGATTGTGGTCTGGCTGGAGTGGGTGACACAAGCAAGCATGTGGTGAGAGGTAAGATGCTAAGTGAGGAGACAGAAGAACCCACAGAGGCTCCCGGGGCAGCAGGAAGGCGTGGAACGCTGGGAGTCCTGTGGCCGAGAAAGAGATGCCAAGTGGGTGGGTGGGTGTGAATAGACACGGTTCCGCTGAGGCTCCCCTTCCACCCTTCTTGCTTTACTAGACTGGGGAGTCCACAGATGTAAGGTGGCTTTGGAAGATGTATAGCACTCCAAGGACATTGCCATATAGCAAGGGTGGAGGTGCAGCCATTCTGCAGGAATGGGTTAGAGCCCCCAGGCAGGTGGCATAGCTCTGGGGGGCTGTGGTTTTTTCCACATGCCTGGGGAGCTGGTGCCATCCAGGACACAGGAGATGCCAGGCCCTCCAGGCAGCGATGGTGTTTTCCTTTTTGTATTTAAATTAGGACCTAGACCATTACCTCAAAAGTATCCAGAGTGGGTGTTTTCTGATGAGTGCAGTAAAAAATAGAAAACTCTGGGTGTGATGTATGTGAAGCATGAATTGGTGTGTTTGTCTTTGTGTATGAATCTTTTGTCAAAGAGTTTTCTTATTTTCATGAAAACTGTATATTGAGTTTAGCTAGAGTACAAAGGTCAAGGAATTTAGAGTCAGGCAAACCTTGGTCAAAACATAGGGTCTGGAGGAATTCTTTCAACTATGACAGAGCAACTTATAGCAGACTAACACTCCAGGCAAGGGCAACTAGAAATAACTTACATCAAAGGACAAAACAAAACAAAAATACTGTTTTAAGGCATAAGAAGAGGCAGGCCCTAAGCATTCAGGTCCTGGAGAGAAGGGGTGCCCTGGATGAGCCCTGTGTCCTGCTGCAGGTGCCCCTCTGCATGGGTGAGCTACAGCAGCAGCAGGGAGACTCAGGGAGACTGCAGGGGCTTGACTGAGGATGACCTCAAAGTTTGGGAGAGCTTTCTGCAACATCACGGGACAGAGGAGACAATAGTTGGAGTCTGAGATATGCCAAAACGGAACATGAAGGATTCAGAGACCTGAAAGCAGGGAGGTGCAGAAAAGTCAAACAAACATACTGCATCTATTTCTTTCCCACCCTCCAAAGTACCTTCATGCAGTACAGGGCTAAAGGCAAAGAACCCAAGCAGAAAGTATCTGAAATGCAATTGATTAGAGATCTGGATGCTGGGGAAATAAAAATTGGAGGTTTTGACCCACATAGGAAGATGATCCTTGGTAAATACTGCAGGATATTGATTGGGAAGGCTATACTCTGAAAGTGGGCATGTGCACAAGAGGCAAACCAATCCCTACAAAGCATGACATGAAGTTTCAAGGCATTCAGCCCCTGACAAAAATAAAGAGGTCTATTATTCTACATTGACTGATGGAGGATAGGGTAAACACTTTATGAAGGAAAATATCATCTATAGCCCCTATGATGTTTGATTTATAATGTCCAGTATCCAAACACATATTAACAGGTATACCCCAAAAAAAACAGGATCAAGAGAAAAAACAGACAAAAGAAACAAACCTATAAGTGACCACAAGTGAGTTATCAGATATTAATATTAAAATGACTGATTAGTGCTTTCAAAAATGTTTAAGATTCCTGTTTAACAAATGGGACTGGAGCAGTTGGACACCTATAGCAAATGCAAGCCTCAATGTAAGTTTCACACACCATAAATTAACTCAAAATGGATAATGGACTTAAATTTAAAATAAAACTAGAAAACTTTTAGAAAAAAATCTTCAGAATCTAGGATTAGGAAAGGAGCTCTTACATGTGATACCAAAAGCATAATTCACAAAAGGAAAAACTGATAAATTGGACTTCATGAAAACTGAAAACTTCCGCCCTGAGAAAGGTCCGGTTAAGACGATGAAAAGATAAGCTCTAGACTGGGAGAAAATATGTGCAGAGCACATCTCTGACAAAAGACTAATATCTAAACTATAAAAAGAACTCTCTTTGGCCAGGCACAGAGGCTCACGCCTGTAATCCCAGCACTTTGGGAGGCAGAGGCGGGCAGATCACAAGGTCAGGAGATCGAGACCATCCTGGCTAACACGGTGAAACCCCGTCTCTACTAAAAATACAAAACATTAGCCGGGCGTGGTGGCAGGTGCCTGTAGTCCCAGCTGCTGGGGAAGCTGAGGCAGGAGAATGGCGTGAGCCCAGGAGGCGGAGCCTGCAGTGAGCTGAGATCATGCCACTGCACTCCAGCCTGGGTGACAGGGTGAGACTCTGTCTCAAAAAAAAAAAAAAAAAAAAAAAAAAAGAACTCTCAAAATGCAACGCCAAAGTTGAAAATATCTAATTAGAAAATGGATAGAAAATAGGAAGATACATTTTACACAAGAGGATGTACAAGTGGCAAATAAGCACGTGGAAAGATGTTCAACATCATTAGCCATTTAGAAAATGCAAATTAAAGCCACAATGGCATAGGGTGCAGCTGCTTTATGTATATCTGTGTGTGTGTGTATGCACGTGTGCATGCACTTCTAAGAGATTCATTGACAGCATTCCAGAGTGGCCCTCCTCTTGGCCAATGAGCAGAGGCCACCAACATTCCTGCTGACAAGCAGGAGAGTTTGTTAGTAAATGATCATTTATCAGGACTCTGGAAGTGTCTCATGTACCCCCGAGCCTGACCAGTCTGGAGCAGCCCAAACAAGGGTTCCCAGCCTCCTAGCAGGGCTGCCTTCCAGATCCCTGCCCCACTCCACCCTCCCCTTCCTCTCCGCCCTCTCCAGCCTTGGCTGAATCTCCCAGGCTTTGTTCTCCACACATGCCTTATGGCCCCTCCCTTCTATCAGTGGTCACACTAAACTTCTTCCTCAAAAAACTCTCCTCATGCATGTATTGGCTCCACCACATACAGCCAGAGACTCTTCTGGGCAAGAGGGAGGCATCTTCCTAGATGCTTTCTAGTTCCTCAGCTACTTGTCACTTTATCTCATTTAACTATACCAACCCGGAGCATACTTTACAATCCTCTTTTTGCAGAGGAAGAAATTGGGGGCTAGGGAGAACGTTGCTTAGTCGGCCACTTCTTTTTTCCAAAGAGCGTTCTAGACTTTTCCATGGCATCTGGAACCTGGGAACTAAGATGAAGTCATCCCTCTCCCCTACCCCAGTAGCTACAGTTCATTTCCTCTGTGGGTGCCCGCTTTTATCAACTGAAGGGGTGCTAGCTGGCCCTATGCCATTACGCCCCTAGGCTGCTGCCTAGACTGCAATGGAAAATTCCACTTGAGTGTGGGCATTGCTCTTTGAAATCAGTTTTTCTATTTCTCCTTTTTAGTCACTCATTTGTCGAGCACCTTCAATTGCCAGGCTGTGTGACAGGTGCATTATAGAGACCATCCCCAGTCTCAGCATAACCCCCCATGAAGGTTCTCTTCCCCTGGGACACATGTCAGAACACAGCGTGCCCCCACCAGCTGGCCCACTGTAAAGTGTGGGTGTGTGCGGGTAAGGTGTGCTTACCTGAACACATCCAGAGTGCACAGCTTCATAGATGCTGCATCTCAAACCAAAACCTAGAGAGATTAGGCAAAGGTCCAAAGACTTTGCACCAAGCTTTCCTCCTTGTACCCTGACTTCCTGCTGAAACTGCTGCATGAAGGGAGGTGAGAGAAACAGAGGCAATTCTCAGGAATAGAATCTTAGCAGAAATGAGACAAGTTAATGAGAAATGAAGACATAAGGCTTATCCTGCCAGAAGAAAGGCTGTTCCCATGCTATGGTGTTAACTGGTAAAAACTGACTAGGCTCCCATCCCCTTGATGAGAGTTTTAAACAGAGAAAGAACTATATCATCACGTTTGCTTGCGGTGAAAGCTCCTTATTTTTCTCTGCCTTGGGGAATTCAGAAGGCTTTCACTTCTGTTTGTAGTTTGGAGTGGGGCATAGGAGCACCACCTCTGTCAAATGCCAGTGTGGAAGCTGACACCAACGGACACCAAGAGACAGAGCCCACACTCTGCAGATCACAGCATCTCTTGCCAAAGGAGGTGAGCCAGGAAGCTGCTAGGAGTTCCCGGGGAGCAGCTGTGACATGCTGACGAGACTTATCACTGACTCCCGACTCTGCTGCTGAACCCAGCAACAGCGTCCTACACAGTGCCCACCTGGTTCACATCACCAGGGACCTGTACTCGTGACTGTCTGAGCCCATCTCCTCTAGAAACCCCTATCAGTCCTGGGGAATAAAACCCTTCTCTCATTCCCAGCACCCTTACTCTGGACCATCCAGTGCATCCTCCCTGTACTCCACCTCCATTACCATTTCTTTTCACCACCATTTTCCACCATCCGGGTCAGGCCACAGCTCTGCACCCACCGACTGCACCTTCCTAGAACCTCCAGAGGGCAAGGATTGCTTGTGTACCGAGTTTCTTTGTGCCAGGAGGAGCCAAAGAGCCCTCACCTATGCCATCTCCAAATGCCTGCCTATGAAAGGGTTGCTCTTTTTATCTCCAACTTAATGGATGAGGATACTGAGGCTTAGGACATTTAAATAACACTAGCACAGAAAGAAGAAGCAGCAGAGGTTAGGTTCTCGCCCAGGACTGTCCACCTACGCAAGTCACTTCACAATGCTACCCTCTCAGGACTGTGCCTGGGCCATTTGATGGGTCTTCCCCAAAGTTTTCACCTGCACACTTCAGTGTCCACTCTTGGATCCTCTTACAGATAACTGAGTCAATCCCTTATATGGGGATTCTTGTCGGCTTTCCTCTCATGCTACAAGGGAATGTCTAGAGTCTGGACGTTGCCTCCCCTCCCGTGTGGGCAGATGTTAGCTGAGGTAAAACCACACGGACCAGGCTTGGCCTGACGTAGAGCAGGCAGGAACTCCCAGCGGAGGCAGGGCCAGGACAGAGGGGTGCTCAGAAAAGGCCTTATTTGGAGCTGATGCTCAATCTGAGACCAGAAAGTGGGGAGGCTGGGCAAGAGGAGCACCAACGAGCCCTCCAAGCCCAGGGCAGCCCGTGGGAGGTGCAGAGCGAGTGAGGAGAAGAAGGTAGAGGACGAGGGGAAGGAACCATAGCCCAAATCATGCAGAACTACGTGGTTCATGTCAGAAAGTTGCATCTTTTGAGTGAGACAAGGCGCTGGAGGGCTTTAAGCGGGGGAACAATATGATCTAATATATGCCTTAAATGGCTGATGGTAGAAAATGGAAATAGGGGATAAGGATGGGGAGGACGAATGTGGTGGGGTCCCCTGAAGACCACCCTCCCTTTCTGAGCTGTGCAATACTCCAAGCACATGAACCTGTGGTCCCAGAAGCCCCCTCCACCATGCAAGCCACGTCTTCACACCAGGGGCCTAGTGAGCAAGTCGGCAGGACTCAGTGGATGATAGGAAATCTCAATTGCTGTAACTTAAAAACCTTCATATGCTGGGGTCCTTCTGGCTTAGGTTCTGTGGATCCAGAATGCTCCAGAGAAGCATTAGGGATATGAGGATGTTTATGAAAATAATTCTTAAAGAGTCTTCTGGTTTCTGATGGAGGATTGAATGTATTTATCTAATTTTTCTCCCTCCTGAAATTCCATTAAAACTATATTAAAGGATTTGTTAAAATCATAAACCCACAGAGATGGGAGAACAGGAGAGAAGACAGCAGCAATTAAACTTCAGTAGCTGGAGGTGACTGAATTAGCATACCCAAGACACTCAGATCCGAAGCCAGCAACAGAGGAAAAGGAGACCCATCCCAAGTGGTGCTGCAGAATCCTGAAGGCCAGTGGCATGCCACAGGGGAGGGGCAGGGACAGCAGCGGAAGCCATCGGCCCCTGCTGCAAGCGGTAAGAGCATGTATTATGTACAGAAAAAGTAAAGCAAGAATAAAACCGACGACCAGGCAGTCTGCTGCTCTTATCACCACACATGGGAAGTTTTAAACAATAACACTGATACAACTCTCCTCCCTGCCAGAGTCGCCCATGCCCCCAACCTCATCCAGCACGGCTCAAATGCCTCAGGGGCCAGCAGTGCCAGGGTCTTCTGCGCTGTGGGCAGGCAGGGGCAGGCTAAAGGAAAGGGCTGGGGGAGTGCATAAGAAACCTCCGCCCCACTTCGTGCCCCTGGAAATTGCCCCTCCTCCCCTTCCATAGAAGCCTGCAGTGGGGGTGCCAGACACTGGCAAGAGTGTGAATTTTGGATCCAAAACAGATGTCTGGGTGATTGTATGCATGTGGCATGATTAATGTACAGGCCCCTCGCCCTCTGTATCCAGAATGTAAGCAGTGGGACTCTGACTCTTGTGTGAACCATCTCTTTTTATTTTCTGCGTTCTGATGTTTTGATATCTGGGGCCTTGCCGACCCTAGAAGGCCCACCCCTCCCAGGGCTAGCTAACTCCTGGAGATTGCAAGCAATCTCACACTTGCCTGCGAGTGTGCCTTTCCATTGCAAACCAACCAATCCAGAGCCTACAACCCCAACCACCTCCTTTATGGGGCTCTCACACTCCAGACCACTACCCAGCTACTGTGATACTCTCAGCACCAGGGACCAGAAGTGGGCTCAGCCCCTCTGCAGCAGAGGTCGCTGAGATTATTCAAACTACCCATTGCTAAACTCGCTTACACAGTCTCACCCATTCTTTCCGAAAGAAACCACAATAAAGGCCCTTGCCCACATTTTCCCCTCACTCCCTCTGCCTCCTGACCCACCCTGGTGCTTCCCTATGTGGCCCTATGTGGCATGTCCTGCCTCCTGTTTCCAGGAAACTATGAGTATAAAAAACTTCTTCCGTCATGACCGTCATTTCCATGTCTGTGTGTCTACGCCAGATCAAAACAAATCAGGCACCTTTAAAACACCTGGCACAGTGAACATGGCTTGATGCCACGTGGGGATGATATGCTCTAGGCTGCTGTAGCCTCACTGATTGGATCCCACAGACAGCACCCACTGCCAGGTAAGGCACTGCTGCTTGTTGGCACCCTGTATCTAGACAGCTGCATTGTCTCTGCCAGGTGTAACCCCAGTATCCTCCACTTCCTTTGCCTCCTGACCAACCCTGGTGCATCCCCATGTGGCCCCTATGGTGTGGCAAGCCCCCTTCTCTTGGGATCTGTGAGTATAACAAACTAGTCCTTCGGTGGCACCCGTCTCCTGATCTGTTGGCTTCACCATACCTGAAAATAGTGCAATCTTTTTTTTTTTTTCTTCAGACAGAGTTTCCCAGGCTGGAGTGAAGAGGTGTGATCTCCACTCACTGCAACGTCAGCCTCCCAGGTTCAAGTGATTCTCCTGCCTCAGCCTCCCAAGTAGCTGGAATTACAGGCACACACCAGCTTGCCTGGCTAATTTTTGTAATTTTTTTGTTTTTTAGTAGAGACAAGGTTTTGTCATGTTGGCCAGCCTGGTCTCGAACTTCTGACCTCTGGTGATCCACTCGCCTTGGCCTCCCAAAGTACTAGGATTATAGGCATGAGCCACCAAAGAATCATACCGTGTAGGTAGGGACAGCCCTGGGAAAGCCACTCTGGCTTCAGAGGGTGATTCTTTGCTCAACTGCTGATGGCTCTTGAGTTTGTACTCCTTACATAAAGCAGTAAGAAGACAAAAATCATTTTCCTAACTCCTCCAAAATGCACAAAGCTGCTCTTACCCAGGAGTTAGTACATTTGATTATTTTGAAAGGCTGTTTCTTTTTGTTCATTCTCCCCACTGTTAAAAGACAAAATTTCAACAAAATGAGTTTAATGATCTAATTGGCTTTTATTAGCAATTCATAAATCAAGCAGCATCCTGTGTATGAAATGGATGCTCCACTGAGCTGAGAAGAGCAGGTAGGCTTTACAGACAAAAAGGGTAGAGGGAAGCAGACACAGAGAACAAAAGACAGACAGGTGGTTTCAAAGTGACTTTCCTGATAGGGTTAAAAGAGAGGGGACTTCCTTATTTTGCCTGCAGCTCAGGAACACCAGGCCCCTTCTGACTGGTTGTGATAAATTTTTCCTAATTTTAAGAAAACTGGCCCATTTCCAAGTTCAGTTTTATGACGTGGCACCTAGCACAAGTGACTCCATTCTGGTTTGGTCTCATCTGTGGGGCCTAGGGCAGGAGCTCAGTCCAAACCAATGGCCTCCAGTAAATCCTATTTAAGCCCACCTGCCCCACCTCCAAGCCACGCCATCTCAAGCAGTGTGAAGGCCAGAGGTTCTTCACGTCCACTTTGAGCTACAAAAACAGCCAGCCAGGCTCTGAAACCCCAACTTGGAGGGGCCCAACAAAACTCTTGGATGTGGGACCATCTCCCTCTGTCACAGATGGAAGGGAAAGGAGAAGAGGGCCATTGTGTTGATCAGAGCCAGCTGCTAGAAGACTCACTGGGACTCTGAGAAGTCGGCAGCGGAGCCCCACCCAGCCACACATTAGTATTAAGCACTGGAGAAGAATGAGCTAGACTCATTCAAGGTTTGGGGATGTTTTGCTCCCTCACCCCACCACACCCTCACCCTTTTGGTTTACTCCCAAAGACCCACCTGAGAAAAGGCTGTGGTGGTGGGCTGGCTCTGGGGGACTGCAGCCTGCAGGTGAGAGCAGCCCCCTGCCCAGCACTCCAGCTTCACGTCAGCACACAGAAACTTCCACCCATGAGCCAGGTCACCAAGCCTGCATCATATCTCATGTCCTTAGGCTCTAGCAGTGAGTGACCATGTCTGGACGGCCCCAAACCTAGGGATTCTCCGTCCACCCTACTCAGGGCCTTTCCATAGGGCCCCAGCTCTCAGAAACTTATCAGCTCTGGAAATCCAGGCGGGTGGCAGAGCTAGGGGGAGACCATGGGCTTGTCCCACTCCAAAGCCCACACACCTCTCTCGCAGACAACTGACAGAAGATGCAGGAAGGAGACCAGAAACTGTTGCTACAATCTAATTCAGTCAGAAGAAAGTGTAGAGACATAAGCAAGCATTGAGTGACTTTATAATCAACGTCTCACCAAGACATAACTTGAGTTCATAAGAATCCAGGGAAGGACTAGATCAGTGGGTTGAGAGAATCATGAATGGCTTCTGGGCCAACTTGAGTTGGGCCCCTCCAAGTTGGGGTTTCAGAGCCTGGCTGGGTGTTTTTGTAGCTTAAAATGGACATGAAGCGCCTCTGGCCTTCATGCTGCTTTTTCCTGGTGGCAAAAGAGGAAGACATGTAAACAAGCCAGTGGCGATGTGGGGGCACCCAGGGTGCAGGGAGAGCATGTTCTCACTCTCCTTCCCCACCTAATGCTCTAGCCCTAACAACAGGGCCTCCCACTCGTGTCTTCACCAGTCAGGCTGGGACACAGGGTAACAGCAGGGAAGAGCCCACATTCCTGAGCAGGACCTCTGCTTGCGTCTTTCTTACCCTGACTTGCCATGCACATGCTTGACTCCAACGCTCATCCTTCATTACGGTAAGTGGGCGCTAATAGCAATTGTGCTTGAATTTGCACAGATGTGATTGAATCATGCATCAGGGGCTTCCATTCCCCAAAGGCCTTGGGAGATGGACCTCTGCAATTCAGTCCTAATCAACAATGGAGCACCCATCTGTGTAAAGCACCCTCAGAGGCCCTAGGGGCACAAACACAAACACGATCTCATTCCTGCCCCGGGAGAGTTCACAGGCTGGTAGGGGAGACACAGAAGAACTATGCACACTGCAATGTGATCAGACAATGTAAAAAGTCTTACTTAACACTACGTTTATCTGAGCAAAATCACTGCTGGCCCCATAAGGACCCAGTCAGAGGCCACAGGCAGATGGGGACAGCCAGATTAGGAAAAAGAATCAAGAATTTGTATTTTTCAAGGCAATTGCTAACTCCATTTTAAAGATCAACTTTCATCTGATTAATTATCAAAGGAAAGAGAAGACAATAAACCCACTTGAATTTTGTTTAAATACATGGGCTGGCATAAGATTTAATGACACCATTTTCAGAGGAGTATTTAAAATTATAATTTTCGTTAAAAGAACATTTGCTGAGGTCCCATAAATCTGTCACATGGGTGTGGGATTTTTTGATAAATCAAATCTCCCTTCTGTAGCTCAAAACTAACACTGGCAATAACTGTCTGATGGCAGCTTTAATAGTAATGTAATGGGGACAGTACATCGAGTCTGTGTTCGGTGTTTTACAGTTAACGGCATTGCCTGTAGTTAGGAAAGCTGATCAGGAGAAGAGAATGTTTATTATTCCTATAATTGAAAAGAACAAGGCACATTCCATCTTCATTTAAGGGGAATGATCCTGTTAGGGTATTTATGTGAACCCACAGCCCCATCATCCTTCTCCTTTTTCATTATTCTCAGAACAGCTTGCAGGGACTCAGACCAGAGTCTAGAGAGGCCAAGTGAAAGCTGAGAGACAAATGCTTGCCCAAGGATCAAGGGCCACAGCTCTGTCTGCTTTGACTACGTGCTGTTTTGTGAAACTCTTCAATTGCTGCTCCTGCCCAGCCCAGAAAACAGGCCTGGCTGTGATTTATTTGGTTGCTACCTATTCTCCCTGGAAGGAAGGTGTATCAGTCAGCTATAGCTGCATAACCAACCACTCCAAACTCTGTCACTCAAAACATCATCGCTCATGCATGGTCACTCACAAGATGCTGGTTAGTTGGGAAAGGCCACTGATCTAGGATGGGATTGGCTCAGCTGTGGGTCTGGCTGGGGTTGACTTCTCCCTGTGGCTTGGTCTCAAATCTAATCCAGGACAGGGACAGCAGCAACCCAAGGTAAAGACCATGTGAAGTGAAGATGGCAAGAAGACAAACCAAACACCACAAGCACATTTCAAGCCTTTCTCATCCATGAACTGCCAACATTCCATCAGTTAATGCAAGTCCTGTGGCCAAGGTCAGCATATATCCATGGAGTGGGAAATATATCGTCTCCAGTAGGAGAGAGAGGGAGCCAATGTTTGCTGAATAATAATCTAAATTCCCTCAGTCTGCCCTATCACTTCCTGTGCACATGCTAGACACACACATGCCTTTCCCGACGCTCCAGAAGCCTCACGCAATCACAGCGTCAGCCTTGAGGTCCAGGGCTGTGTGCATACAGCAAGTCCACAGCTCCTCTTTATCCAGAGACCAAGAACCACAACTGTCCAGAGAAATTCAAAACACTACTGGAAAAACACTGTCAGGCCCCAACAACCTAAGGGCAGGGACTACCCTCTGATCAGGTCCTGGGTCTGCTCCCTGGGGACAGCATCCCTGACATCACTCTCCACAACTCCTGGGCCCACTCCAGGGAAGCTCCTTCCTTCTCCAACATCCTCCCCTTCCCGTGTGATGGGGGCAGTGGGGAACATGCACTTCTACAGTAAATCAGGAACTCAGAGATCTGTTGACATCTTGAACCATCGCCATCTCTTTTAGGCTGGCAGCACTTTTGCCAACAGAGCTCTCTCTCAGACATGAGGATTTTCCATGTGTTTGATCGTGGCTCCCTCCATATGCCAACAAGCATGCCCACAGCTTCCTTGCGAGGCACACCCTGCTGTCTAGACTGCATTCCAGTACTTGGGCAGCATCGAGCTCAGTGAGACCATGCCTTCTGTCTTGCTAGGAGCCCTTCTGTCCCCGGTGAGGAACTCTATAAAGTGTCATCTTCATACTTTTAGAATTCTTAACAGAGCTGTGTCTTGCTCTTGCTCTGGGAGGAGCTAAAGATGAGAAATATTTTTATTTTCTAACCTAGAAAACCCAAGAATTACTGAACTCTCGAATTTCCTTTCAGTTCTGGTTACAGACTGGCCATTTCTTTCCTAACTTCACCCCTTCCCCAGGGCAGCTCATCCAGTGCAGGGAACAAGAGGTGACTCCATGAAGATGAGGAAGGCCACACTCTCTCGCAGAGTTCCTGGCATGGCAGAAAGAGTCACGACACCCAGTGCCGAAAACAGAGGGGCCAGCAAGCTGTGGTGGAAGCAGAGGGGAATGGCACACCAGCTCAGTGGAGGAGGCTTCTGAGCAGGTGACGCCAACGCGGGCCCTGCAGGGATAAGCGGGAATCAGTCTGGAAGCAGCAGAAGGCATAGCACATGCAAAGGTGTGGCAGGCGGCCAGGAAAGGCACCGATTCCTAGAGAAGCCATCAACACGTCTGAGCCAATGCAGGATGCGCTGAGCCAGGCCTGTGCTACACAGGGATGGAGAAGTCAGGCCCTCCCAGGGAGAATACCAGCCAGCTGAGGGGAAAGTGACCAAGATATCCTGCCCCCAGGGCAGGTCACTGCTCCAAGAAGGAAGGCAAGAGGGCTGAGGGAGCCCAGAAATGGGGAGCTCTCCCGGGAGGTCTCATTGCAGGGGAATCTTGACAGAAGAACAGAAAGAAGCCAAGCAAAGAGGGCAGGAAGGTGTTGGCAGGGCTGGCTCCTCCTGAGGCCTCCCTTCCTGGCTTGAAGATGCCACCTTCTAGCCGTGTCCTCACCTGGTCTTTCCTCTGTGCATGCATCCCTGGTGCCTCTGTATACCCAAAAGTCCTCTTCTGCTAAGGACGACAGACATCCTCTTCTTCTAAGGATGACAGACATCTTGGATTAGAGCCCACTCATATGACCACATTTTACCTTAATCCCCTCTTTAAAGGCCCTATCTCCAAATACAGTCACATTCTGAGGTCCTGTGGGCTAGGGCTTCCACAGATGAATACAGAGGGACACGACTCAGCCTGTAACACAGACAGTGTGGACGTGTTCAAGCAGCAAGAGGGAATGAAGACACAGGGAAAACCACCTCAGAGGACAAGTCCAAAGACAGGCCACTTACCAGAAATTGGGACCTCCCCTGTGGCTGGCAAATTTTACCGCCATCCATGCTACACACCTAGACTTCCCCCTAGTGCGTGTCATCTTCTCCTGAGGAGGGAAAACTGTAGGACCCCTCCAGGAGTGGTGATCTTACTGCTGCCCTGGACTGGTCTCTGAATTCCCAGCAGCACAAAGACCCAAAGCTCTCCAGCTCCCTTCCCTTTCCAGGTGATCTCATAGCCCCGTGGAATTATCCATTTTTAACTTAAATATGAAAAACAATTTTGCCCTTTAGGACACATGGGGGACTCTGCTGGGGGACATGGTGGCAAGATTCAGGTCTCCGTGAGGGCTCCTCTGGGCCCTGGAGCCCCCTCCTTCACAGCAAGATGGCACTTACCACCCAACAGAGCAGACCCACATGACGCTCTGAGGATGCTGAGCTCAACCCCCTCTCCTGCCTTTGCCTGTACTGTTCCCTCTGACTAGAATGCCCTCCCCATCCCTTCTTCCCCAACCCAAGTCCTCGTCATCCCCTAGAGATTGGCTGGAATCCCAGTGTCCCCAGAAGACCTCCCAGACCCTGGAAGTCCTCACTGATCTCTTGACTGCTTTAGGAAAATCTAGCAGTTGTCAATATTTTGGCCACTGTTTTCTCTAATGGTTTTGGGAGTGTGCATCTTTTCCTTCTGGCTGGCTTCATCAGCGATGCCCTGTTGCTTACAGTCTAAGGCCTTCCTCCACCTGGACTCAACCTCTCTTCTGGTCTTGTCCCTAGGTCTCCCCTACTTTACCTCCCTATTCTTACTCTGTAGTATTCACTGTGCCTACCACTCATCTGATTCATCATCAGACAGGAATTGTCTCAATTCTCCAACCTAGAGCCCCCAAGCTCCTGAATGTGACATAGGCATGTCATATTCTTCTGGCATTCCCAGTAACATCCAAAACAGGAATTTGTGTTCTCTTCTATGGTTGACTAATATGAGGCCCATTCTTCCAGAACAGGCATCATGTATTCTCTACTGTTCATAATGGCATGTATTCCCAGAGAGGGCACAGCTAGGGAGAGAAGAGGAAAAGGCACAATCATTTATTAAATGTTGAAATAACACTGTTGGCACCCCACCCAGATGTCTATTGTAGAGCCCCCACCCCCAGCTGCTATGATGATTAGACTCATAGCTGCGCTGCCCAGAGGATTGCCCTCCCCTGGGAAGTTACACCTTCCTTCCTTCCTGGGGGCAGGCTGTCAGCTGATTGATAAGAGGTACACAACCTGGGCCCCTTCGCTTTAAAATGGGACAGCTCAGTGGTGGCACTCGCACTGCAGACTCCCCGTAGGAACAGGCTGAGGCTGGAGCCATGTCATTGCTTAGTGTCCTCCACCATATCCTGCTTTGGTGTTTCTCCTGACTTTCCTATGGGTTTCTCCTTAGAGCACACCCTCAAAACGTTACTGGCATAGTAAGTCATTTGCCCTGCGACTCAATAGACCTGAGCCAGACATCTACCAGCCATGACCTCTGCCAGCCTCATCACACACATTGGTTTTTCAGTCCCCTTAATTATCTCATCCTTCAGTGGAGGGAGCAGAGGTGGAGTCCATGCCGCCAAGAATGGAGCAATTTTGACCTGCAATTCCATACCCAGTCGAACTATCAATCAAATGTAAGGGGAATTGATGATGTTTTAAGGGAGAAAATCTCAAGAAGTTTTTCTCCCATATATCCTTTCTGGAAAAAAAATGCTTGAGGGAATACTGCAGAAAAATGTGCAGTTCATAGAACAGTAATTCATAATTTTCTTTAAAAAATGAACTAACCAAGAAAGCAAGGAAAACAAATCCCCAGTAACAGCTGTGCAGCAAGTATTCAAAACAGTCAATTCTACTCAGGCAGCTCAATTAAAAGTATGATTTAAAAGCCAGGTGATCACAGAGGTTTAAAGGGTCATATGCTTCCAATAAGGAAAATAAAAGTCTGAGGGCTTGGGTTTCAATGTTCCCACTGAGAAGAATAGACCTTGGGTTCCAAAGGTGAGAAGGTAGAACAGAGTCCCCTACTTAAAGCCAGCACACTTCGAGGGCTATACCTTCAATAAGATGGAAAAGGGCAGAAATGAGGGGAGACAGGAATCTACCCACTGACCCAAGAAGATAAAAATAAAGCTTTTCTCTCTTTGGTCTCTGTAGGCAGATGTTGGAGGAACTCTCTTATGAGGTACCAAAATCCCAGCCCTATGTCTCACACGAACTTGATGTTCAAATTTACGTCACTTGCCTGGCACAGGAACCACTTGACCTAAATTAACTTAAAAATGGTGCAGGATCAGAGATACCTAGGAGAAGAAAACACAAAGCACTCAACAGCGAGCACTTCCGTAAGCCAGTTTGCATGGGAGTCCCAGGGTGGGGCATGGAGCAAGAACGTCTGAAACTGAGGTCACAATCAGAAGTTCTCATCACCATGATCAAGAATTAGCACATGGGATAAACTTGCGTGCACTAGAACTTGAGATACTAGAAAGATCAGAAGTTCCAGTAAAATAATTGTATTTAAAAGGATTAATAGATAAAAGGACTATAATCACAAGAAGGAAAGGAAAGATTCGAATCCCTTAAAACTTCTAGAAATTGAATACATAGTCACTAAAATTAAAAATCCAGTGGCTGAATAAAATAGCATATTAGGCACAGCTCAAAAGAGAGCTGGTTAACCAGAAAATAGGGCTGAGGAAATTAGCCATAATGCAGCACAGAGAGATAACGAGAAGAAAAATATAAAAGAGAAGCTGGATCACAAAAGAAAAAAAGATCATATATATATATAAAAGATCATATATATATATAAATATATATATAAAATAGGAATTCCAGAAAAATACAACCTAGGCAATGGGGTTATATTTTGACACCATTTCTCTGAAACCAACTGGCCGTCCTACAATCTAATTCAATTCTAATACTAAAAACCTGGAGTTAGTGCAGTCCCCTCAGATTAAGGGCATAGTCCTTCGCAGGACGGCCCCCCCTTAATATGTCAGCCACAAGTTTCAGATGTCCTCAAGCCACCTGCACTTCTTTCTGGCTGGCTACAATTTCCAAAATGTTTCATTTCCACCACAACTGGGTGACTGCAATACATTCTAACACTAACCACCTGGAGGGAGCATCAGATCCTGCAAGTTAAAGGGCTCAGTCCTTCACAAGACTGACCTCACGTCAAGTCTCAGAGATCACTCACACTTCTGACTGACTGATAAAGCCAGAGGGTCCCACAGCCCCTCACATTTCGATCATTCATTAGAAAAACTAATAGAACTCACTGAAAGTCTTACAGTTAACAATTACAGTTTCCTTATCAAGGATACAGATCAGGGACACCCACATGGAGAGGCACATAGGGCAAGGTCACGGAGAGCGGTGCAGCACAGAGCTTTGATGCCCTCTTCTGCTGGAATCCAAGTGCATCACCCCCAGCACATCAATGCATTCACCAATCATGAAGTTCCACTGAGCCTCGGTATCCAGAGATTGTATTGGGCTTTCATTATGTAGGTATGATAGCTACCTACATAGATGTGTAATTGAGCTCAATCTCTAGTCCCACACCACTACCCAGAGGTCAGAGGTTGGGCTTGCCAAAATTTTCAATCCAGTAATCACATGACTGATCTTTCTACCGACCAGCCTCCACCCTGAAGCTATCTAGGGGCCCACTGTGAGTCGTCTAATTAGTATAACAAACAACTCCTATGACTCTGGAAATTCGAAGGGTTTTTGAAGCTCTCTGATGGGGCAAAGACTAGATATATTTTTTTATTATGCCACAGGAGAAAAATCCATGTGTAAAAAAATAATAATAATGACTGTATAATACCAGATACATCATGGTGAAAATGGAAGACACCAAAAACACAGAAAAAATTCTAAAACCACTATAAAGAAAAGACTAATTTACCTCCAAAGTATAACAATTAGCAAAATTCCCAATCTGTACTATCAAGGCTGGAAGGCAATGAGGAAATATCTTCAAATTTTCTTGGGGGAAATACCTATGAACTGGAATCCCATAGCCAGCTAAACTAGCATTTATGAGTGAGGACGAAATAAAGACAATTTCAGACACCAAATACTGACAGACTCTATGGTTTGAACGTTTTTGTCTCCTCCCAAATTGATGTTGAAACTTAATCCCCAATGCAGCAGTATTGGGAGGTGTGGCTTTTGGGAGGTAATTGAGGCATAAGGGCTCTGTCCTGATGAATGGGATTGGGTGCCCTTATAAAAGGGTTGATAGAGGGAGTTTACACCTTTTTGTCTTTTCCATCTCTTCTAATAGGTGAGGACACAGCGTTCCCCCCTCTGGAGATGCTGCAATAAGGCGCCATTTTGGAAGCAGAGAGCAGCCCTCACCAGACAACTGAGCCTGCTGGCACTTTGTTCTTGGACTTCCGGCCTTCAGAGGTGTGAGAAATAAATTTCTATTGTTGATAAGTTACCCAGTCTTAGGTATTCTGTTATAACCATACAAAATGGACTAAGACACAGACTTGATTAATGCAACACATTGATGGAAAAAAACGACAATAGGATGTCTTTCAGAAGAAAAGTGACTGGCTTAACAGTGAAGAGTAATAAGCAAATGAGCTGGTAAATACTGACTGACAGTTAAGATATGCAAAATACCTAAACTGATAGGAATTTTTAAAAAGACAAAACTAAAATAATGAATAAAAAACTAAGATAGGATATGTCTTTTTGTGAGAGGAAGATAGAAAAAGCATCGACCTTAGATTTAGTTAAACAAGTAGGAAAATATTATAAGTAATCAATAAATGAATTGAAAACTCAATCAAATGAATTTGCAGCAGAACAAAAGGGGAAAGAATATTATTTGCTATACTAGCTAATTAAAAGATAGAAAACGTCAATTTTTTTTTAAATTTTGAAGACAAAATAAAACACAATTATATACTAAAATATAATGACAAAATGTTGAATATAAACGAATGATAAAATATTCCAGGAAAACAATAAACCAAAACTTGGACATAGGTATACTCATATTATATAAAATAGACTTTAAGGCAGAACACATTCTTAAATGAGATACGGAGGTTCATTGCATAATGAAAAGGAATAATTCACCAGAAAGAGATACTACTTCTGAGCCTATACACACCACCAACGAAACCCCAAAATATATCAATAAAATAAATGTTCTTTTAATGAACAAAATTAAAAGAAAAAATTAAGACAGCCACAATTTTTGGAAAGAAATTTTAATACTTCTTTCAAAACTGAGAGCAAATAGTCTTGTCCTCTTTGTACAGCCCCACTCATAATTGCAAGAATGGTGCCTTGCTCACACCAGGCATCCAATAATGCACCTCACTAAAAAAAAGAAGAAAGGAATAAACAACCTGTTGAGCCCCAGCCAGAAGGCCACTCTGATCAGGCTCAGAGCTCACACTTGTTGGTCGAGGTCCCTCCAGCCTGAATGAGACAAGCTGGGCACTGCCAGGCCCCACAACTGGTCCCACATCCCAGCTTCCCCCAGACCTGGCATCTAGGGCCCTGACTATGGCCCAGCCCTGACCCCAATCCCCAAGATCTGTCTCTAGAGACAAGAGGGGACTCAGAGTCAACCTCACTTCAAGGCAGTCCTTCTCTTAGGCCTTCACCCTCATAACTGGGCCCCCACCCATGTCTTGCCCTACTCACTTTCCCATTTAGCTCCTCCACACTATCCTCCGGGCCTGATATCATGCGTGTGGCCTTCTGTTATGAATTAACATTGTTATTTATTGAGCACCTGCCATGAGCCAGCAGAGGACTGGATTCTTTACATACATTATCCCTCTCTGGTTCTTACAAGGAACCTGTGAAGTAAACAGAATATTTAAATGGGGAAAATTATGTGGTCCGCGTCAACCTCAAACCCAATTTCCTAAATGAACCTAATCCATCAACACAATTAAAATAACATGTTAACATGTAAAATGCTGAAAATATTGCTTTCTGATCACTAAACAATCAATGATTATTAGCAAGTAATTACATTTTGTCAATAATGAGACATCTCAGTGCCAGCAAAACCTGAGACGTGTTTGCTTTGTCAACACTCAAGAGAGCTTCAAAAGTCTACAAGACATACTGATAATGTCCCAATTGTATTTGGAATTGAACTCTAAACCTTTTTCTCAGGTGGTTTGCTTTTTTAAGGTACAACTTACATAGAGGGAAGAGCCTAAATGTTCAGTTTTTATATACTATACAGCCATACAAACACCCACATAGCAAGAAAGAGAACATCCCCAGCACCTCTGTGAGCTCCCCGTGCCCTTCCCAGTCAATACCCCAAGCCCTCCAAGAAGGAAACTTGCAGAAATTGAGGTTTGTCCCCCCAAAATTCATATATTAAAACCCTCACTCCAAACGTGGCTGTACAGTCATGCATCTCTTAACAGGAATATGCTCTGAGAAATATGTAGTTAGCAGATTTTGTCATTATGCAAGCATTATAGTGTACTCACACAAACCTAGATGGTGCAGCCTACTACACACTGAAGCCATATACTATAACTTACTGCTCCTAGGCTACAAACCTGTACAGCAGGTTGCTGTACTGAATATTATAGGCAATGGTAACACAATGTATTTCTGTATGTAAACATATCTAAACAGGTATGTAAAAGGTATAGTAGAAACATTATATTAAAGATAAAAAATGATCCATCTGTCTAGACCACTTACCATGAATGGAGCTTGCAGGACTGGAAGTTGCTGTGGGTGAGTCAGTGAGTGATTGGTGAGGGATGTGAAGACATTTACTTCACACTACTGGAGGCTTTAGAAACACCACACATGTATGCTACACTGAATTTATTTTTTAAATATTTTCTTTCTTCAGTAATACATTAACCTTAGCCTACTGTAAATTTTTTACTTTACAGACCTTTTGTTTTTGTTTCTCTTTGATACATATAACTTTACATATTTACATGCATAAAACATGTAATGATCAAGTCAGGGTATATGGAGTGTCCATCACCTTGAATAGTTATCATTTCTGTCTGTTGGGAACATTTCAAGTCCTCTCTTCTATATACTTTAAAATATACAATAAATTATTGCTAACGATAGTCGCCTACTCTGCTATCGAATATTAGAACTTATCTCTTCTATGTATCAGTGTACCCATTAACCAACCTCTCTTCATTATCCCCTCCCACACACTCTTCCTGGCCTCTGATATCTACCAATCTATTCTATACTTCCATGAGATCAAATTTTTTAGTTCCCACATATAAATCAGATCATGTAATATTTGTCTTTTTGTGTCTGCCTTATTTCACTTAATATAATGACCTCCAGTTTCATCCCTGTTGCTGTAAATGACATGATTTCATTCTTTTTTATAGCCAAACAGTATTCCATTGTGTATATATACCCCATTTTCTTTATTTATGCATCCCCTGACAAACACTTAGGTTGATTCCATGTCTTTGCTATTGTAAATAGTGCTGCAATAAATAAATATGCAAGTGCTGGTATCTCTTTAACATTCTTATTTATTTTCCTTTGGATAAATACCCAGTAATGGAATGACTGGATTGTATGGGAGTTCAATTTTTTGTTTTTTGATAAATCTCCATACAGTTTTCCATAGTGGCTGTCCTAATTTCTCATTTACATTTCCCCCAATAGGGTATAAGAGTTCCCTTTTCTTTCTGTGTATTTTTGGTTCTGTTGTCTGTGCTTCTGAGGTCTTAGCCATAAAATCTCTACCTAGACCAATGTCCTAAAGTGTTTTCCCTAGTTTTTCTTCTTGTAGTTTTATAGTTTTGGGGTCTTATGTTTAAGACTTTAACCCATTTCAAGTTGATTTGTTATATGATAAGAGTAGGAGTCCAGTTTCATTCTTCTGTATATGGATATCCAATTTTCCCAGCACCAATTATTGAAGAGGCTGTCCTTTCCCTAATGCATGTTCTTGGTGTCTTTGTCAAAAACCAGTTGGCTGCAAATATGAGGATTTATTTCTGGATTCTTTATTTTGTTCCATTGGTCTATATGTCTGTTTTTATGCCAATATCATGCTGTTTTGGTTACTATAGCCTTGAAGTATATTTTGAAATCAGGTAATGTGATGCTTCCAGCTTTGATATTTTTGCTCAGGGTTGCTTTGGCTATTTGGGCTTTCTGTAGTTGTTGTTCCATATAAATTTTAGGACTATTTTTTCTAATTCTGTGAAAAATAATATTGGTAATTTGATAGAGATTGCACTGAATCTAGGTTGCATCAGGCTGTGGGGTCATTGTAATGACATTAATTCTTCAAAACCATGAGAATGAGATGTGTTTCCATTTGCTTGTATCCTCTTTAATTCCTTTTATCAGCATTTTGTAGTTTTCCTTGTAGAGATTTTTCACCTCCTTGGTTAAATTTAGTCCTAGGTGTTTTATCTTTCTTGTAGCTATTGTAAATGAGACTGCCTTCTTGACTCCCTTCTCGGCTAGTTCATTATTGGTATGCAGAAATGTTACTGATTTTTGGAATGTTGATGTTGCATCCTGCAACTTTACTGAATTTATTTATTATATCTAAGAGTTTTTTATATGGTCAAGGTTTTTCTAGATATAAAATCATATCACTGGCTGGGCATGGTGGCTTACAGCTGTAATCCTAGCACTTTGGGAGGCCAAGGAGGGTGGATGACGTCAGGAGTTTGAGACCAGCCTGGCCAACATAATGAAACCTCATCTCTACTAAAAATACAAAAATTAGCTGGGCGTGGTGGTGGGCACCTGTAATCTCAGCTACTTGGGAGGCTGAGGAGGGAGAATCACTTGAACTGGGAGGTGGAGGTTTCAGTGAGCCAAGATCATGCCACTGCACTCCAGCCTGGAAACAGAGTGACACTCCATCTCAAGAAAACAAACAAACAAAAAAATCGTATCGTCAGCAAAAAGGGACAATTTGACTTCCACTTTTCCAATTTGGATGCCCTTTATTTCTTTCTCTTGCCCAAGTGCTCTGGCTAGAACTTCCAGTACTGTGTTGAATCATAATGGTGAATGTGAGCATCCTTATCTTATTCTAGTTCTTAAAGGAAAGGTATTCAGCTTTTTGTCATTCATTATAATGTTATCTGTGGACTTGTCTTATATGGTCATTATTATGTTGAGGTACATTCATTATATGCCTAGTTTGTTGAGAGTTTTTATCATGAAGGGATTTTGATTTCATCATTTTTTCTGCATCTATTTGATAATTGTATGGTTTTTGTTCTTCATTCTGTTGATGTGATATATCATGTTTATTGATTTGCACATGTCTAATCATCCTTGAATCCTTGGGATAAATGCCACTTAATCATGATGTATTTTTTTAATGTGCTGTTGAATTTGGTTTGCTAGTATTTTGTTGAGGGTTTTTCCATCTATGTTCAGTAGGAATCTTGGCCTATTGTCTTTTTTGTTGCATGATATGCTTTAGCTGTGCCCCCACCCAAAATCTCATCTTGAATTGTAATCCCCATAATCCCCATGTGTCAAGGGCAGGACCAGGTGGAGATAACTGGATAGTGGGGACAGTTTCCTTCATGCCATTCTTGTGATAGTGAGTGAGTCTCATGAAATCTGATGGTTTTACAAGTGTCTGGCATTTCCCCTGCTTGCACCCACTCCGTTGTGCCATCCTGTGAAGAAGGTGCCTGCTTCTCTTTTGCCTTCCACCATGATTATAAGTTTCCTGAGGCTTCTCCAGCAATGTGTAACTGTGTCAATTAAACCTCTTTCCTTTATAAATTGCCCAGTCTTGGGTATTTCTTCATAGCAGTGTGAGAATAGACTAATACAACAAATTGGTACCAGGAGTGGGACACTGCTGTAAAGATACTCAGAAATGTGAATGTAACTTTGGAACTGAGTAACAGGCAGAGGTTAGAACAGTTTGGAGGGCTCAGAAGAAAACAGGAAGATGTGGGAAAGTTTGGACCTTCCTGAAGACTTGTTGAATGGTTGTGACCAAAATCTTGATAGTGATATAGACAATGAAGTCCAGCTTGAGGTGGTCTCAGATGGAGATGAGGAACTTTTGGGGAACTGGAACAAAGATGATTCTTGTTATACTTTAGCAAAGACACTGGCCAGATTTTTTGCCCCTGCCCTAGAGATCTGTGGAACTTTGAACTTCAGAGAGATGATTTAGAGTGTCTGGTGGAATACATTTCTAAGTGGCAAAGCATTCAAGATTAATTAAATCATAAAAGTTTGTAAAATTTGGCAGCCTGATGATGTGATAGAAAAGAAAAACCCATTTTCTGGGGAGAAATTCAAGCTGGCTACATAAATTTGCATAAGTAATGAGGAGCTGAATGTTAAGAAGACAATGAGGAAAATGTCTCCAGGGCATGTCAGAGACTTTCATGGCAGCCCTTCCCACCACAGGCCCAAAGGCCTAGGAGGGAAAAATGGTTTTATGGCCCAGGCCCAGGGCCCCACTGCTCTGTGCACCCTCAGGTCATGGTGCCCTGTGTCCTGGCTACTTCAGCTCCGGTCATGACTAAAAGTAAAATTTGGCCCATTGCTTCAGAGGGTGCAAGCCCCAAGCCTTGGTGGCTTACAGGTGGTGTTGAGTCTGTGGGCACTCAGAGGTCAAGAATTGAGGTTTGGGAACCTCTGCCTAGATTTCAGAGGATGTATGAAAACACCTGGATGTCCAGGCAGAAGTTTGCTTCAGGGGCAGAGCACTCATGGAGAACCTCTGCTAGGGCAGTGCAGAAAGGAAGCATGCTGTCAGAGCCCACACACAGAGTCCCCGCTGGGGCACTGCCTAGTGGAGCTGTGAGAAGAGGGCCACCGTCCTCCAGACCCCAGAATGGTAGATCCACTGACAGTTTGCACCATGCACCTGGAAAAGCCACAGACACTCAATGCCAGCCCATGAAAGCAGCCAGGAGGGGGAATGTACCCTGCAAAGCCTCAGGGATGGAGGTGCCCAAGGCCATGGGAGCCCATTAGCATGACCTGTATGTGAGACACGGAGTTGAAGGAGATCATTTTGGAACTTTAAGGCTTAATGACTGCCCTGTTGGATTTCAGACTCAGGCATGGAGACTTTAGCCCCTTGTTTTGGCCAATTTCTTCCATTTGGAACAGGTGAATTTACCCAATGCCTGTTCCTCCATTGTATCTAGGAAGTATCTAACTTACTTTTGATTTTACAGGCTCATAGGCAGAAGACACTTGCCTTGTCTCAGATGAGACTTTGGACTTGGACTTTTGGGTTGATGCTGGAATTAGTTAAGACTTTGGGAGACTGTTGGAAAGGCATGATTGTGTTTTGAAATGTGAGGACATGAGATTTGGGAGGAGCAAGGGGCAGAATGATATAGTTTGGCTATGTCCCCATCCAAAATCTCATCTTGAATTGTAATCCCCATAATCCCCATGTGTCAAGGGCAGGACCAGGTGGAGGTAATTTGATCATGGGGGCCATTTCTCCCATGCTGTTCTTGTGATAGTGAGTGAGTCTCACAAGATCTGATGGTTTTATAAGCATTTGACATTTCCCCTGCTTGCACTCACTCTGTCTTGCCACCCTGTGAAGAAGGTGCCTGCTTCTCCTTTGCCTTCTGCCATGATTGTAAGTTTCCTGAGGCCTCCCCAGCAATGTGGAACTGTCAGTCAATTAAACCTCTTTCCTTTATAAATTGCCCAGTCTTGAGTATTTCTTCATAGCAGTGTGGGAATGGACTAATACATTGTGCCTTTGTTTGGTTTTGGTATCAGGGTAATGCTGGCTTTGTAGAATGAGTTAGGGGTAACTCCTTGCTCTTCAATTTTTTGGAATAATCTGAAGAGAATTGATGTTAATTTTCTTTGAATGTTTGGCAGAATTCAGCGGTGAAGCTATCTAGTCCTGGATTTTTTTTTTGTTGGAACACTTTTTATTACTGCTTCAATCTTATTACTTGTTATTCATGTGTTCAGGTTTTCTGTTTCTTCCTGATTCAGTCTAGTGTGTGTCCAGGAATTTATCCATTTCCTCTAGGTTTTCCAGTTTGTTAGTGTTTAGTTGTTCATAATAGTCTCTAATGGTCTTTGTATTTCTCTGGTATCAATTGTAATGTCTCCTTTTTATTTCTGACTTTGTATCTGGGTCTTCTCTTTTTTTCTCTTGGTTTATCTAGTAAGTGGTTTATCAATTTTGTTTATCTTTTCAAAATCCAACTTTTTGTTTTATTGATCCTTGAAATTTCTTTTTAGCTTATATTTTGTTTAGTTCTGCTCTGGTCTTTATTATTGCTTTCCTTCTATCAATTTTGGCTTGGGTTCATTCTTGCTTTTCTAGATCCTTGTGGTGCATCCTTAGATTGTTTATTTTAAATCTTTCTAATTTTTTGATGTAGGCATTTGTTACTATAAACTTCCCTCTTCGCATTGCTTTGATGTATCCTATAAGTTTTGGTGAGTTGTGCCTGATTTTCATTTGTTTCTAGTAATTTTTTAATTTTCTCCTTACTTCATTCCTTGCACCAATGGTCATACAGGAGCATGTTGTTGAATTTTAATGTTTAATTTCCATTTGTACAGTTTCCAGAATTCTTCCTGGTATTGATTTCTGGTTTTGTTCTACTGTGATCTAAGAAGATACTTGATATGATTTTGATTTTTTTTCATTTGTCTAGATTTGTTTTGTGTCCTAACATATGATCTAACCTGGAGAATCTTCCTGTCTTGATGAGAAAAATATGTATTCTATAACTATTGGAAGAAGTGTTCTGTAAATGTCTCTTAGGTCCATTTAGTCTAATGTGCACTTTAAATCCAGTGTTTCTTTGTTAATTTTATGTCTAGATGATCTGTCTAATACTAAGAGTAATCTGTTGAAGTCCCCAACTACTAAAGTTTTGGAGTATGTATCTCCCTTTTCTTTTTTTTTTCTTTTTCTTTTTTTTTTTTTTTTTTTGAGACAGAGTCTCTCATTGTCACCCAGGCTGGAGTGCATTGGCGCAATCTCAGCTTACTGCAACCTGCACCTGCCAGGTTCAAGCAGTCTTCCTGCCTCAGCCTCCCAAAGAGCTGGGACTATAGGCACATGCCACCTCATCCAACTAATTTTTGTATTTTTGGAGAGATGGTGTTTCACCATGTTAGCCAAACTGGTTTCAAACTCCTGACCTCAAGTGATCGTCCTGCCTCAGCCTCCCAAAGTGCTGGGATTACAAGCGTGAGTCACTGCATCCAGCCTCTCCCTTTAAATTTAATAATATTTGCTTTATGCAGCTGGGTGCTCCACAGTAGGTGCATATATGTTTAGAATATTATATCTTCTTGCTGAATGATTCATTTATCATAATGTCCTTTTCATCTCTTTTTGCTGTTTTTGACTTGAAGTCTGTTTTATCTGATATAAGTATCCCTACTCCTACTCATTTTTGGCTTTCATTTTCATGGAATCTCTTTTTCCATTCCTATACTTTCAGTTTCTATGTGTCTTTATAGGTAAGATGAGTTTCTTGTAGGTAACATATAGTTGGGCCATGTTGTTTACCTATTCAGCCAATCTATATCTTTTAAGTGGAAAGTTTAATCCATTTATATTCAAGGTTATTATTAATATGTGGGGGCTTATTTCTGTCATTTTATTAATTGATTTCTGGTAGTTTTGTATGTCCTTTGTTCCTTTCTCTCTTATTTTTTATCATTATGGTTTGGTAGTTTTCTGTAGCGGTAACATTTGAATCTTTTCTTTTTCTTGTGTGTTTCCTCTACCAGTGGGTTTTATATTTTCATGTGTTTTTATAATGGTAGATATCATTAGTTTGCTTCCGGTGTAAGGCTCCATTAAACATTTTTTGTAGGGTCAGTCTAGTGGTAACAAATTCCCTCAGCTTTTGCTTGTCTGAGAAAGCCTTTATTTCTCTTTCATTTATGAAGGATAACCTTGCTGGAAATAGTATCTTTGGCTGAAACTATTTTTCTTTCAGCACTTTAAATATATCATCTTATTCTCTCTTGGCCTGTAAGGTCTCTGCTGAGAAATCTCCTGTTAGTCTGATGTGAGTTCCTTTATAAGTGACTAGAGGTTCTTCTCTTGCTGTTTTTAGAATTCTCTCTTCATCTTTGACTTTTGACAGTTTAACTATAATGTGCCATAGAGATCTTTTTGCATTTTATCTGTTTGGGGTTCTCTGAGTGTCCTGTATCTGGATATCTAAATCTCTTGCTAAACTTCAGAAGTTTAAATCTATTATTTTGTTAAATAGGTTTTCTAACCCTCTTATTTTTTTCTTTATATTCTGGGACTCCCAGAATTTGAATATTTGGTTACTTTATGGTATACCATATATCATATGCAGGCTTTGCTCATTCTTTTTATTCTTTTTTCTTTATTGTTTTTCTGACCAGATTATTTCAAAAGGCCTGTCTTCAATTCTGGAATTCTTTTTCTGCTTGATCTAGTCTATTGTTGAATCTTTTAGACACATTTTGTGTTTCATTCAAAGAATTCTTCAGTTCCAAAATTTGTTTGTTTCTTTTTTATGATGTATCTCTTTGGTAAATTTCTCATTAACATCCTGAATTGTTTTTCTGATTTCTTTTTATTGTTTTTCAGTATTCCCTTTTATCTTACTGAACTTCTTTAAAATCAGTATTTTGAATTCTTTTTCTGGGATTTTATAAATTTACTTTCGATTGGAATCTATTGCTGGGGGATTATGTTCCTTTACGAGTGTCAAACTTCCTTGCTTTTTCGTGTTTTCTGTGTCCTTATATTGGTATCTGTGCATCTGGCATAATAGTCACTTTCTTCCAATTTTTTAAGTTTTCTCTCATGGGGAGTGCATTTTCCTGAAGACGTATCTATGGTGTTGGTTGGGTGGGGCACTTTGGCGTTGATTCTGGGTGCATGCACTAGTGTAGCCTCTGTATGATTTCTTTAGCTGTAAACAGCATCAGTGGTGCCTGTGATTTCCTCAATGGCTTAGGGTACAGTTATTAGTGAAGTATATGGTGAAGTTTTTCTGGGGACTGGGATGCCAGACGGGCCAAGCTTTTGGCCCCAGTAGTGGCAGTGGTGGGCTGAGCTGGCTGTCTTTGGGGCCTAGGGCAGCATACATTGGCACTGGTGTCAACAGGTTCAAACAGGCCAATTCTTGGGCCTCCAGGTGGCTTGCTCAAATGCAAGGAATGGCAGCAGTGGGCCAGGAGGATGTGCAAATTCTCAAGCCCCTGAGCAGCAGGAATAGTGTGGGTGATGGCAGTAGCAGTGGTAGGACAACCCTCTGGGTCCTGTGTAGTGCATACTAATGTTGGCAGTTTCTGTGATGGGCTGGGTGGACCAGGCTCCAGGCCTGCAGGTGGTATGTGTAAGTTAGTGCCAGCTATGTGGTAGTGGCACAGTGAGTGGGCCCAACCTCAGGATGAGTGTTCCAATGCCAATGGTGGAGGACTGTTCTGGGAGATCTCCAGGCCCCCAGATGGCATGCTCTGGCATGAGGCGTTGCAGGCAAGCTTGTCCTCAGGCCCCCCAGTGATACCTACAGGCATTAGCTGTGGTAGGCTGGGGCAGGGTGTTTCCCGGGCCCACAGTGGAGTGCTCGGTTTGTGGGTGGCAGTGGCTTCACTTTGGCCTTGCTCCTAGGGAAGGTGAGGTTGCTTTCAGTGGTAGCAGCCATATCCAGTTGGGTGGAGAACATGTACTTGGCTTATGTTTCAGTCCTGGTGGCAGCAGCCCGTGCTTGACTTGAACTTCAGCCCCAGCAGTACAGCAAGGATGGCTCTGGGTGGGGGGGCTCTATGCGTGTGAAAATACATGGTGGCTCCAATGGTGGAAGCAGCAGGGTTACAGCCAGTGGCCCATGCTTTAGCCCCAGCAGCAGCAGCCAGTTGCAGTGGTAGCTGCAGGTGGGGGATATCACTGGGGCTCCAGGGATATAGAGATGCAGACACTGATTGAGCAGGATGCAGTCTTTTGGGGGTTGGGATCTCAAAATGGTGCCTTACTGTAGCTGCTTAGGACTGCGGGGGGAGGGAGAGAGCAGTGTGGGACCCATGTAAGCTCCCTCTCTGGAGCAATGCCATCTCAGTGTCTCCAAGAAGCTCCCTATGTTAATTTAACTTCAGGGCCTGTAAAGGTCAAGTGGGTCTACCATGGCTAGGATTGCAGGAGTCCATGGTGGGAATGTGGACCACTGGGATCTCTCACCCCTTCCCTGCACTGGGGAGTCTCTCCAGGGACCCAGATGATCCTAGCCAGGCAGGCTGCCTCGCTTCCCTCTCTTTCCTCCCTTTGGATGTTTCCTTCCACTTCTCTGTTGAATGCCAGTGTTCTCTCTTGGTTTATCTATTGGAAGGGTGATTATCTGCTCACTACTGGGGTTCTTCTTTGTGGATTTGAGGACAAGACATCTCTGGTCAGCCACCTTAAGGCCCTTATTTTTAACTTTTTGACTCTTTTGTAGTAGCACTTAGCTTAAAACACAAACATGTTGTAGAGCTGTACAAATTTTTTTCTTCATATCCTGATTCTATAAGCTTTTCTCTATTTTTTAATTTTTTTAACTTTTTAATTAAAAACAAAGACACATACCCATTAGCCTAGGTCAACACAGGGTCAGGATCATGCACATTACTGTCTTCCACCTCCACATCTTGTCCCACTGGAAGGTCTTCAGAAGCAATAACTCACACGGAGCTGTCACCTCCTAGGAAAACAATGCCTTCTTCTGGAATACCTTTCAAAGGACCTGCCTGAGGCTGTTGTACAGTAAACTTTTTTTATAAATAGAGATTAAAAATATAGCATAATAAATACATAAATTAGTAACATAGTTGTTTATTATTATTATGTACTGTGCATAATTGTATGTGCTATTCTCTTATACAAGTGGCAATGGAGTTTGTTTACACTAGTATCACCACAAATGCATGAGTAATGTATCGTGCTGCAACGTTATGATGGCTGTGATATCACTAAGCAATAGGAATTGCTCAGCTCTGTTGTAATCTTATGGGACCACTGTCACATAGGCAGTCCTTCATCAACAGGAACATCATTTAGAAATAGGGCTGTTAGGAGGTAATTAAAGTTGAATGAAGTCATAAGGGTAAAGTCCTAATTTAAGAGAATTAGTAACAGTTTAAGAAGAGGAAGAAGGAGATATATGTAGCTCTCTCTTCCTACTCACGCGTCAAGGAAAGGCCATGGGAGACACAGTGAGAAGGTAGCCATCCGCAAGCCAAGAGGAGAGCCCTCACCAGAACCCACCCTGCCTGCACCCTGATCTTGGACTCTGAGACTCCAGACTGTGAGAAAATAAATGTATGTTGTGTTAGCTACACACTTTGTGGTATTTTGTTATGGCAGCCCGAGCTGGCCAATACAGAACCTCTATCCTCACATCTGCTTCCCGAGGCGGGTTTGCCTGTGTGGACCCCACCACCCACACATGGACTCCCCCCAGCCAATGAAATGGAGCAGCCAGGGGAGTCCTGATAGCATATCAAAAATGGCCCCTTCCCTGGTGGGCCGGGGCTGTGATCCCTGAAGGCGTGCTTGGAGCCAAGTGGAGCAGCCAGATGGCTTTGGGAAAGGACGGGCGAGGGGCTCTGCCCCCTGCTGCAGACTGCGGAAGCGTCAGCCTCCTCTCCCCATCTGTTCCCACCGAAGCCCGAAGGGAAGGCTGCAGCTTTCTTATGGATAGGCTTGCAGGTTTTCTTTATTTTTAGACAATTTCTCACTTTCTTTCTCCTGTGGCCAGTCCTGTCAGTACAAGAGAGGTGTGTGGGAGGAGGCCAGCTGTAATAAATCCTTAATGAGTTGTTAAATCGGTCCCAGAAATACGACAGGAGCTATTTGGCCAGGAAATGGGATTCTAGGTCTCCACACTGGAGGTTTGTTATTTTTAACATGAAGTTAAGAGAGGAAACTCTCTCAAGGTAAGGAGCACAGTAAATTCAAACTCACTCTCGTTCTTCCTCCTTAAGTTTACAGCAGTAGAAGATTGGTAAACTCAAGGAGAGCCACTTGAAAGAGGGGGGGGAAAAGCATAAAATCCCAGATAACATACTTTGACTGGCTATTTCCATTCCCTTGAATGCCAAGTCAACGGGGAAAGACCATGCTGCCGTGTGGAGAGCCCTGGGCCTGAGCTCAGGAGGGCGGGTCTAGCCTGGGCTCCTCACCAGCTAGCTGGGTGGTCATGGGGATCCCTTCCCTTGAAGGCCTTGGTCTCCTCCTCTGTAGCATGAGGGGATTGGGTTTCTTTGCTTTATTGATTTAACATCTGTTGAGACCCATCTGGTGTCCAGCAGTGTTGGGCTCTGGGATACAGATGAACTGACCGTGTGCTGTGCCCTCCAGGGACCCCAGGAGGTGGCAGAGACCAACAGAGATGCACAGAGTGGCCTCTGCTGTGCAAAAGCTCGTGGTGGAGGAGCATGGTGGGAGATGTGGAAGAGGCACTAACTCCAGACTGCAGACCATGGAAGGACAGACCAGTGCGGTCCCTGAGCTGGGTTTTCAAAAGTGAATAAGAGACATATAAGTTGGAGTGGATGGGACCTCAAGCAGAGGGAATATAGGAGTACCCCTTATCCATAGGGATATCTTCCAAGACACCCAGTGGACACTGCAGGTAGAACCAAATCGTATACACCATTTTTTTTGTATACACACATCCTATGATAAAGTTTAACTTATAAATTAGGCATAGTGAAAGATTAACAATAAAATAGGAAAACTAATAACAAAATAAAAAATTATAAGGATATACTGTAATAAAAGTTATATGAAGGTAGTCTCTATATCTCTCTCCTTTCAATATCTTATATTAATACAAATAATCAACCAAGGTTGACCACGAGTAACTGAAACCTCGGAAGGTGAAACTGCAAATAAAGGGTCCACTGTGCAAGCAAAGGGGAAAAGGGGCAGGTTTTGAAGGTGGGATTAGCGAAGTAGGTGAGGGCTGGGTCACCGAGGCACACACTGAGGCACATGGAATTTGTCCCACAGCATGACAGCTCCAGAACAGCTTGAGGCAGAGGTGCCGCACAGTCTGATTCACAGTAGAGAAAAAAGACAGAGAGATGAGAGAGAAGGAAGAGTCAATAATGATACCTTGATATCTGGCCTTTGCCAGGAAAGGCAATGCGAGTTGAAGAACAGGTGGGGTGGAGTGAAGCAGGAGGGTGATGAGTTGAGTTCAGGGCATGTTGACATTGTGGCTTCTGTGAGGCGTCCGCACAAAGGTATCCTAGACACAGCTGCATGTCCCATTGCAAAGCTAGGGAAAGAGCACTCTGGGCTGCAAATGCAGACCTGGCAGCCATCAGCACGAAGTGTGTGCAAACTGTCTCACAACACTAGCATCAAGACGTCCAGTTTCACAGCATTGGGCCTCCTCCCTCCCCACTCCTACATCAGCCAAGACCCCCAGTGGCTCGCTCAGAACAAAAGGGTGACAGTCTGCTTTCCCGGCAAGGCAGCAAGAGCCATGGAGTGGCTGGGGCTGCTGATGAGAGGATGGCTCCACCAGAGGTGCCTGGCCAGACACAGCTGCTGCCTGCCGAGCTGGCACAGCAGCTGCAGAGCCACAGAGCTCAGGACAGACCTCTGAAGGAGGCAGGTGCAACTGGCCATGCCTTGCTCCACACCAAGCTCAGTCCCACAGCCCCTGGTCTAGGCCCCTACCCACCCCCAACCATTGTCATCATTCTCCCCGAAATCCCCACTGAGTCAGGCTGGGGCATCCACCATCCACCAGACACACAGCCAGCAGCCTTCCCAGTAGCTCAGGCAACTGCCACCTTCAGCCTCACCTTTCTCAAAAACATTTACTTGGCTGTATGGCTTATTATGGTGGGATTCTATTTATTTCTTGAAAAAGTTAATATAATTCACATATTTCAAAAATTTGAAAGTACAAAAAGGAAGACAAAGTCTTCCTCCTCACCACTGTCCTCAGCCACCCAGCACCCCAACCCACAGTTCCCCAGGACACGTCTGCCGTGCAAGCACAGGCTCACCCGACCCTCACACAAAAGGCAGTGAGCTACACAGAGCTCTGCATCTTGATCTCTTTCATTTAATGATATATCTTAGAGAGTATTTCCAATTAGCACTTAGAGAGCATTCTCATTCTTTGTACCAGTGCATTGAGGGTATGTCTTACTGTCATAATTTGTGTAGCCACCTCTCTATTGGTGAATCGCCGGTGTGTGTCCCGTGGTTTGCTGTTACTGACAATGTTGTGGTTAATAACGGCACTCAGATGTCAACTCACCCACGTGTGAAAAAATCTGTAGACTAACACCCTAGAAGTGAAAAGGATGAAGATGTGTTACCACCTCTCAAAAACCACCCAAGAGACCAGCCAGCACTTTTTTTTTCTTGTAGCAGAAAAGCTAAAATAGAAGTGAAATGCCATGAGAGAAGGGAAGACAGACGGCAGGAGGCGAGATGGGCCTTTGTGCCCAGACTTTCCAGAGGAAGCAGGAGTTAGGTTAAGGGGTGGAGGAGGACGAGCAATGGACACACACAGCAGGTTGGGTTTTCCAGGAGGCAGACTCAGAAACAGAGTCTAAGGAGCAGGATGTTTATGAGGGAATTGACTTTGGAACCCACACCCATGGAAGAGAGGGGATAAAGCAGGCATGAGCAAGGGAGAAGCTGGGTAGCCATGCAGGCCAACACTGTGAGGGACTCAGAGCTGAAGCGAGCAGTCAATGCCTGATGGAGGCGGGGTATTAAGGCCCAGCTATTCTGACTGTGTTGGGTGGATCAGGCATGGGCCATGCACCGCCCTAGGCAAAGGGACTCTGCAGCTGAGGGAATCCCTGAAGACAGCTGAAAGCTTTATGCCAACTTCACTCACAGCAGCAAGGGCAGTAAGTCCTCCCTGAAATATGATCTGGGCAATGCATCTCCATGTCCATCTCAATGGCAGACAGGACTGTGGGAAATAACAACAGTTCCTAGAAAGGCAGATTTAGAAAGAACCTAAGAAACGTTTTTTTATTGATAGAGGTGCAGGACATCAAGGGAGCCCTGGCTTAGTGAAATGGGAGGATGGTTCCTCACTGAGACAGAGGTGGTGCTGAAACACAAAAAGACAGCCAAGTGGTACAGATGGCATGGCTAGGGACCCAGTGTCAGCTCCAGGCTCTGAAATGCAGGGCTCCAATCCTGACACTAACCAGGTATGACACTGACAAGTACCTTGTTTACTCTGACAAGTGACTTTACATGGATTCCTCTTGCCCTTTGCTTCCCTCCACCCAAGGGCTGAGCACTGATGTCCATGGTTCTGCTTGGTCATCCTGCCCATCTTCTGGGCCTAGAACCCTGCAGGTGGGGGTGAGAAGTGGGAGGGAAATTGCACAGGGTGAAGGAGAAATGCAAGTTAATACAGGATTAAACTCTCTGACCTTCAGTTTCCTCATCCACAAAGTGCAGGAGATGAAACTTACCTTGCAGTCTGTCTGAGACTTCAGTGAAGAAAAGATACAAAGTCCCTGGCACATAGCAAGAAATAGTAGCCACCCTTGTTAATGCTGTTGTGGTTGCAGAAACAATAACTCTAGATTTTGAAAATTCAACCTTGCACAGCAGGGCTGCAGCCAGTCAATGCCTCAGTTTCCCCCTCAGCCCCCTCTCCCTGGCTGTCACCCTCTCCACAGCACCTGGCCTTGTCCCCTTCCCAAAGGCTGTGCTACCTACTGACTCTCAGCAAATCCAAACACAGGTCAGTTACATTCCAGAGGGAGTCTAACATTGAAAAGCCTGAGAGATCCGGAGTAACAGAGCATTGCTCTGGACACTTCAGGCCCAGAGAGCTTTTCTCTCCAAGCCCCTCTACGCAGCAACCACACTCAAGTGTACACATCTGTGCACAAATGTGCGTGCATGCACACGAGACTTGGCATAGCATCTCTGTGAGACTGAGAGAGCTTTGCAAGCGTCTTAGGTCTTCAGCAAAGCTGATCCATTTCCCAGTGGTTCTCAGACACTGTGGTTCTCAAAATGTGTCCCCAGACTAACAACATCAGCCTCACTTGGGAACTTGTTCTAAATGAAAATGTTTTGGTCCCCGCCACAGACCTTCTGAATCAGAAACTTTGGAGGTGAGACCCAGAAATCTGAGTTTAACAAGCCTTCCAGTTGACTCAGGTACACACTCATGTGTGGAAACTACTGCCCTACATGGAGACTTTGGGGTGGGGGCTGCTGTAGAGAAAGAGCCGGTCCTGGGTCTGCAGTGCAGCTTCTCAGTCTCGTTCCACCCACTGCATCAACAGCAAAGCCTCTCATTGTCTCTCACTGGACCAGTGCCGCTCTCTCATGCCCGGGTTGCTCATCTTTGACTGTTCCCTCTTCAAATACAGGTTCCTCAGCTGCTGGATTGCACTTCTCAAGGCACGACTTTACTCCCTCACTCTACAGCTCAAACACCTTCAGTGGCTCCCACTGCCCACAGAACCAAGTACAAACTCCTTGGTAAGGTCATCAGATGGTCTTACTCCTTGGTAAGATCAGATGGTCTCTCTGAACAACAGGCAGTGTACCCTTTAGATTCTCCTCCCATTATCCCAGCCTGGAGTCCATGCGCAAGCAGAGAGGACAGGCAGGCAGTGCTGAATGCACTAAGCCCAGTCAGCACATGCCCTTCCACTGAAATGATCTATCACTCTCATTTTGAATGTGGCCTCCTATATGAAATCTCATTCTCCCAGGCCTTTTCTCTATTTCTGCATCTCTGACTCTCCTTTTAGTGTTCATCATAAGAGTCTCCATGGGAAGGCTAATTGAGTTTCAACCCCTTTCCCCAAGATGCCTAAACTCATGCCCCTTTCTCCTGACTGGACAACATCAAGCCTCCAGAGAGAATAATCTGCCAAATGGAGGCACTGGTAAGCAAGACCCAGCATCCCGTGTGAAAGGGTAGACACAAGCCCAGAGAAACAAGGGTTTTAGAAGAAAAGTAGCTAGTTATCCTAAAATTTATCATCATTCAATGGCCTCAAACAGTGACATTAATAAGCATGTCAATGAGCCTCTCCTTCCTTTGCAAATTTGTCAAATGCCAATTAAAAACCCAGGACTTCATTCTGAGTGGTTGTATTAATATGAATACCATGACTGTTTCAGAACCTCCCAGATGTTTAAGGGAGCACCTCCCCTCCATTGAGAACAATACCAGTTATTACTAAAAACTCCTGAATGTGGTTAAGAAGGGCAGAAAGAACAGACAAGAGCCAGTGGAGACTGAGGATGTCTCACTGAAGACCACTTGGTGAGACCCATCAGCTAGTCATAGCTAACACATGTAACTTACTATATGTTCCCACACTTTTACACATATTAACTGACTTTATCTACCTCACCTCTATGAAGGAATTTCTATTAGCAATATTATTGGTATATTTTGTACTGACTAATATATTATGATTCATTTTCACTCTGCTTTAAATAAACCAACATTGATTTCAATGGCCATAGTGAACCCAGCTTTGATTTTCCGGTTTGCTTACAACTAGATTGTTGTTACTACGGAATTGAGCCATCATTCACTCATTCATCTATTGAGTGTGAAAATGCATATTAGGTGCCTACTGTGAGTGAGATACAGTGTCCCATTGAGCATTCAAAATGAAAAAAAATGACGACAACATATGTGTTCCCCAAATCCTCCCATTTTCTTCCTGAACACACACATTTAACTACATTTACGAGCCCCCTGGGACTTAGTCTGGGACCAGGGGACTGAGTTAAGGTTAAGATAACGAGGGCAGAAGTGGTATACACCACCTCCAGGCCTAGCCCATAAAAATCTCCACTCTGTTCACATTCTTTCTGCAGTAACACAGATGGTCACACATGGTCACACATGCTGAAGATGGTAGCACCACAAGACAGAGGAACATGGTCCTTGAAAGGCTGCATGGAGCAGATTGTCCTCCAACCAGTGCCAACCACATCCAACTTGAGCCATTAATACTATTTTGTGTCTTAAGCCATTGAGATCTGGGAGCTCTTTGTTGCCACAGCTACCATTACTGAAGCAGCTACATTACCTGACCCCTTCACAGTTGGGAAATGGAGCACAGGGGCACTGGAAAAAGGCTGCCGCTTCAATGCCAGCAGGGGTGAATTCCACTCACTGAGACCCACTGCACTTCACCCCTCATGGGAGGGAGAGCACACAGGTGAGTGGGTGCAGGAGCCGGGGCAGTCACTTTTGGGTGCCAGCATGAATGAACTTTGTACCAACCCCACAGCAGTGTATAGGGAGCTGCCCCTATACACTGAGCCCCAGCTGGCTCCCCTGAAGCCCCAGAGGAGTGTCACAGTCAGTACTCTTTTAACTTTGCTATCCACAGATGGCTTAAGTGTTAACAGCTCAGTGGAGGGTTCGTGTGACAGCCTTTTGCACCCACATTCATGTCTCCAAGTTCTTGTCCAGTGTCCAGGAAAAATGAAGTCACACAAATGAATTGAAAATGGTAAATGCAGGGAATTTTATTGCCAATGAAAGTGGCTCTCAGCAGGATAAGGAGTTGAAAAGGGGATGAGGCGGGAAGGCAATACTCCCCCAAAGTCCAGCCATCCTCAGCCAAACTCCTCTCCAAAGCTACACCATCAAGCTACTTCCCTCTGAAGTCAAGCCACTTCTGTCTGACGTCCAACCATAGTCTCCTATGTCCAGCTGCTTCTCCTCTTGTCCTCCCTCTGCCAGTTGAGCCTGGGATTTTATGGGCACAGGATGGGGGGCGGGGCAGGCCACAGGTGGTTTTGGAAAACAGGGATGCAAGTTCTCACTTTAGGCTGCGGCTCCAGACTTGATGGTGGGGCCCTTGCCAGGGACCTGCCCTCTTCTGCCCAGAATTTCCCTGCCTCCTGTCCATATCATTACCACCCTGACAAGTACTCTACATCTCTGAGATTTTGGTAGATCACTGTTCAGTTTTTTTATGTCAGCACCCCCCCGCCTTCATTACTTTCCCACTGTGTGCTCTAGAGGGGCCACAGACACCCTCCAACTCTCCTTTAGCTCTTAGTGGGCTCTCTGGCTGTATCTGGAAACCAAATTGACACCAGGCAGATTAAGAAGAAGAAAGCCCACCAATTTTACTAGTTTTACATGTACATGGGGATCTTCACAAGAGAGTGGAGTCCAAAGAAGTGGCCAAAGGGAGATGCTTTTATACTTTTAATCAAAGAACCATAAATTTCAGAAGAAATGACAGGACAAAGGGGATCTGGCTAGTGCAGTAAATTTCCAGGGGACTCACTTGAAGATATATAGGGGATGGGGAGGTGGTAAAACTGAAGAAAGATAAGCATTACTTTTGTGGAAGAAAAATAAATCACAGGACCCCAAAATCAGTAAGCCAAAGGGAAAACTGAAGCTAGGTACTATGTAGGCAAACCTGCCTCCCATTCTATTCCTTAACAAGAGATTTTTTCTTAAAAGCTGCATACCTCCCTCACAGTTTGCCCACAAGGAAATCCCTTGTGGACAAAAGACAGACAGGACTCAAAGTCGTCCCCCTGCTCACATGAGACAAATGCATATCTGATTGCTTCCTCTGCCTTGTTATTTCACTAAGCAAGACTAAGGCATAAGTGACTTATGTAAATGGTGTATTCAGTGAAAGGCTAATCAGAGACACCAAAGAATGTAACCATTTGTTCCTTACCTACCTATGACCTGGAAGCCCCCTCCCCAGCCTCAAGGTGTCCTGCCTTTCTGGACCATACCAAAGTACATCTTTTTTTTTTTTTTTTTTTTTTTTTGAGACAGAGTCTCACTCTGTCGCCCAGGCTGGAGTGCAATGGCACGATCTCGGCTCACTGCAAGCTCTGCCTCCCGGGTTCACGCCATTCTCCTGCCTCAGCCTCCCGAGTAGCTGGTACTACAGGCGCCCGCCACCATACCTGGCTAATTTTTTGTCTTTTTAGAAGAGATGGGGCTTCACCATGTGAGCCAGGATGGTCTCGATCTCCTGACTTCATGATCCACCCGCCTCGGCCTCCCAAAGTTGGTGGGATTACAGGCGTGAGCCACCGCGCCCGGCCACCAATGTACATCTTACACACACTGACTGATGTCTCATGTCTCCCCAAAATGTATAAAACCAAGCTGTGCCACCTTGGGCACATGTCACCTGAGGCTGTGTCATGGGTACATCCTTAATGTTGGCAAATAAACTTTCTAAATTGGTTGAACCCTGTCTCAGACATTTTGGGTTCACACTTTGTTAAGTATGTTTATTCAGGTCCATTGTAGCCCCAATTCCCAGCCTCTAGTGATAAGGGCTATTTTCTCACCCTGGTACTGTGAGGGTACCCCTCCCAGAGGACTCGTAATGGTTTGCTGCATGCAGAAGACAGGTCAGCTAGCCCTTTCTGAAACTACATATTTACTATTTTCCACTTGAAATAATCAATACACCAGTCCGGCATATTTTAGGATGGTATATGCTTCATTCCTTCAATGTCTTTGGGAAAACTATTTAATCTATGTTAACTGTGATTTACACATTGGAAAACAGAACTAATAATACTTAAAATACATGGTTGTGGAGAGATTTGAATGTAAAATAGAACTGACATTGTCCCTGGCTTGTAGCAGGTGCTCAGTTAATGGTAGTTATCTCGTGCAGCCATTCAAGCTCAAAATTTTCACAAAAGTAAATGATATTGGATGAAGAAGGAAGATAATTGCATTTTTCCTTGTCCCTTGGGATGAGTTAAGTCCAGGATTTTCACAGTTTGCCTCAGTTTGGCTTCACACTTCTGTGTTCACCAGGGGTTGCTTTATTTACCTGGATGTAGAATTGAATAGGTGTGAATTGCAAGATAACAGCTCTGGAGGGCTGACATTAGCATTTCAAAAAAGTCGTCAAATGGCTGATGGGAAGTGTTTTCACACACTGCCTAATCTCTTTTCACACATCTATGCTCCAGGCTGGATGCTTTTTATCACCTGTGGAAGGAATTGAATAGCTGTGAGCTCCACAGCCATGAGGCTTACATCATATTTTAGCATTTCAAAGAGAAATCAAAGGAGCTTTTAGGAAGAATTTCCACAGTTCTCAAAGTTATACCCAGGCATTTTCTGGATTCTAGTAAGTTGTTATAAGTCCAGAAAGAACTGAACTGAGAAAAGCTAGGAAAAATACAATTTTGCATGGGAAAGGCCCTCACAGCCCTGCGGGGCCCTCCTGCCACATGCTGACAAGGGGTCTCTAAGCCCCGATGCACCCCTGGTGGTGGGACGGGCTCCCTCAGGGGCAGCTGCACCACTGTTGAGCCTGTCAACTTTGAAGATTTTTCTTCTCTTGAGCAAACATCTGCTGCCCTAAATGCCTGTTCATCCTTTGTGGTTATATGTTTTACAGTAAGGCAAAATGAGCTAGACTCCCTGTTGTGGGACAATCCTTCGGATATCTCAGGGCAGCTGTTAGAGATGCCTGTCACCCTCAGCCTCACTACCTGGCACCCTCATTCCTTCCCTTTGTCCCAGACATGCCTTCACTGGGAGCCTTCCCAGATATCCTGGCCGCTCTCCTTCTAATGGATTTTTTTAATAGACTTGATTTTTTAGGATAGTTTTAGGCTCATAGCAAAACTGAGCAGAAGGCACAGAGTTCCCATACACCCCCTGCCGCACACATGCACAGCCTCCCCACCTATCAGTGTCTCTCACCACAGCAGTGCATTGCTACAGTTGATGAGCCTGTGCTGACATGTCACTATGTTCCCAGGAAAAAAACGGAGTTCATTCTGAAACCAGTCCAATTGTCCTATCAAACTAATACTTATGGTTATTTGAATAAACATAGAAATAGACTCCCACCCCAGGGTTAAAATTTGTAATTTGTCTCATCCGAGTTTCTTTCTCAGAAAACTGACTCTCAGGCAAGAAACTAAAACTTATCAGATTTCCACATCCAGATAATGAGATGTCAGCCCCCTCATCCATCATGATTACTTCCTTACCCCTCCCTAATTCCTGGCTGTATAAGCACCCCAATTTTAATCTGTTGGAGAGATGGATTTGAGACTGAGCTCCCATCTTCCTTGGCTGCAGCACCCAATTAAAGCCTTCTTCCCTGGCAGTACTTGTTGTCTCAGTGATTGGCTTCCTGTGCAGCAAACAGCAGGACCTAGACCAAACCCTCAGTGCTTCAGTAACAGTTTGCCTGGCAGGTAACAGATGACTCCCTATGAGAACACAGGTTTTGATCAATAGTTTCATTACTTGGCACAAATAAGAAGAGCACTGGGAGGATTCTCCAAAGCAGTGTCTCCCTGAGAAAAAGGGACAGGAGAGTCTTATGGGGTGATAGGGTGGGGAGAGGGTGCATAGCTGCATATAGAGGAGGGGCCCAGTGGCGCAGACACAGTGAGTCATCATGCCAGCGCATGGGTTGCATCTTATGGTAATGAAGCTACAGCTACTCCCAGCATGGAGACTTTAGCATGGTCATGAGGATAACATTCACTCGGGGCCATTTATAAGTTGCTGGGGTCTGTCAGGACCTGGTTTCAACTGACTAGGTGACTGCATTCCACATACTGTTTGGGGAAAAACAAGCTGCAAGGTAGGAGACTGTAAAACAGGCTGATTGCTGAAGTTGGTTAAATTCCTAGTCCCTGGAGACCCTCCCTGTCTGCTTACAATGATCATCCAAAGACCATAGTTGGCATGCGGATTCAGTCTGGATGATGCATATTCTGTGGGTTTGGACAAATGCATAACAACATGTATCCACCATTATAGTATCATACGGCATAGTTCGCTGCACTAAAAATCCTCCGTGCTCTGCCTGGTCATCCCTCCCCACCTCCTGTAGGGGAGGAAGGTTTCCTCAACCCTTTTGGGGTCCCTGGCTAGGACCAAAAATAAAACTGAAAGGACAGATCAACAGGAGAAAAGCATACAAATTTATTCAAGAAACTTTACATGACATGGGAGCCTTAATAAGCAAATGAAGAGTCCCTGAAATAGCAAAACCTGTGTTTTTTATGCTAAGCCTGGTGAAAGAAGTGATGGCTGTGGGGAAACATGACTGGACAACGTGGGTGTCATCTAACAGTAAAACACTGAGGGGAGCTCAGCCTGGCCTGTGTGTCCTGGTGCTTTTCTGTGTCTCTGGGTGATACTCTTTCCCTCTGAGTATCCAGCTGAACATCTGTCACTTGAGGGTCTTCAGGGCAGAAGGGTGGGAGAAGGGAAAATAATGCCCATCTCATAGGACCATTAGGAGGATTGATTTAAAAAAAAAAAATTTAAGAATGTAAAGTTCTCCATTTTTACTTTAGTCTCAATAAACACAGTACCTGCCACACTTTAGGCACCCTGTATGTAATTAATTGATCGAACTGGTTAATAACAAGCAAGGCATTAATGCTTTCCCTTCCCAGAGCATCAGATCTGAAAAGCAAAGGGAGGAAGTTGGAGGGGTAGATGTGGGGGCAGAGAGAGAAAGAGAGAATGTGGGAAACAGGCAGCTTCCGCACCTCCTGGCAAGGCGCCAATGCACTTACACCACTGGAAGCCTCGGGTGTCTGGGGCAGCAAGGGCTGGCTGCCCACCAGACATTCGTGCTCCCCTTCCAGAGACTGAGGTATGGCTGGAGGGCAAGAGTCCCGCCAGAGGTGCAAAACCCAGGCTCCACACATCTCAGTGTGATATGTCACTCATTCCCAATGTGAAATAAAAATAAAATCTTAAGCCCTGGACAGACTGAATGGACTGCTCCTGGCCAAGGAGACCCCAGAAAAACATTTAAAACTAAGTTTCCCAGCCATAGCCATGAAGAGACAGGAGGTTGGTCATGCCTCAGTACTCCCCCTTCCTCAGCAACCAATACCAGGCCAGTTTTTTCCTAAGAATTAAACAGAAACCAGCCCTGGAAAACTAAAAATGGAAGACTCCTCTGTGGATTCCAATTTCAATCAACCCCCTGATGCTGTCACCAGGGTCCCCTCCCTTTTTGCCTTTCAATGTTGATGGCTGACCAGTGTCACAAAGCTTTCCTATGACCCTGACCACAGACTGGTTCTGGCCAGTTTACAGAGGCTATGCACTGAGTGACTCTGGATCCTAAGTTTTACCTTTGGCATGTAGGGCTTAATTTTACTGCATCTATAATGTTAAGTCTCCACCCCAAGGTGAACATGGGATATATGCAACATGTATGTTTGCTTATCATGCCTGTGCAGGACCCTTTTTCATGAATATTCATAATCCACCTATAACCTGTAACAAAGTTATATTTAGCCAACTAATTTAGGAAAACTCCTTGTCCTCCTTCCTCCCTCAAAGTGCCTGCTTTTGGCCTCTGCTTGAGGCTCCAGTCCCAGTCCTGCAGGTTGCACCCTTTATAGAAAGTTTCCCTTTCCAAATTTATGAATCTCGTGAGTTCTAAGTCAATACCACCAAAGGCATGAGACACGAGGTGATGTGGGTCACATCCACGGCAAGCTGCCTAAAACAGGGTCCTCTTCTTCACTCTCATTCTTGCTTTCTCTTTCTGCCAGATTAATGCAGATTAGCAGGATGGATTCATCTCACCCCAGCCCAAGGCACCAGTGTCTGATTCCCAGAATTATAACTCCCTGAGGGTTGGGATAAACACAGCTCCCCCTCCCTGCCCCCATATGAGCTACTCCAGCCTGAGCGCTCATCCACCCATCTGGTTTCAATCACCACCTACTGGCTGACCATTCCCAGGCAGACATGGAGCCCAGACCCCACGCCTGTGCATCGCATGGCCTCTGAGCTGTCTCTGCCTGCAGGCACCTCCAATTCCACACAACGCTGCCTAAGTCAACCCCTTTCCTGTTGCACATCCCACATCCCACATGGGCACCGGAGCCTCGTCTTCCTCATCATCCAAACCTGGATTCCATCACCTTGCATGTTAACTACCTATCCAGGTTAACTATTCACCCAGGTTAACTACCACCCAGGTTAACTATTCACCCAGGTTAACTACCACCCAGGTTAACTATCCACCCAGGTTAACTACCACCCAGGTTAACTATTCACCCAGGTTAACTACCAGCCAGGTTAACTATTCACCCAAGTTAACTACCACCCAGGTTAACTATTCACCCAGGTTAACTACCACCCAGGTTGGGTCACCCCTGCCCCAATTCTTCATATCCCCCAACTCCTCCTTGTCTACTCCCTCTGAAGCCCTGCTGTATGTAACTCTGATATGACATCTGCCACCCTACATACGAACTACCTGATCACAGGGAGCACAAACTGTCACCCTAAAGGTCCAGGTCCACAGGCCCAACACACAAAACCATCACTAGGGGCTACAACTCAGCCACACTGGCCTAAGGGAGAAGAAAGGAAATAAAGACCAGGCATATTCCCACAGCCTCACTTACAGGGAATGTCCCCCGTTCCTATTAGAGGGAGGAAGGGTTCAAAGTCAGCAGAGAGTGTGCCTGGGCACGGCGCGTAGTGTGTAATATATGCCTGTGCCTAAGTTAACTGTGCAGGGAGCTGTACTTCTCATGCTCAGTGCATCCCTTGGCCATCGTGTGCTTAAAGCCCTGAGTTAGCCAAAGTCTCAGGGGGCCCTGTGGGGAGATCTGCCTGGCTGCCATGGTCAGGATCCTGATGCCCACAGGGGAGACCAGCTGAGCAATCCCGAGTGTAGAAAACTGAACAAGAGTGGTTCCTCTTATTTTTTATTTTAGCTTTATTGGATTGTTTTTTCTCCAATTGTATACATAGCACATTCTCACTCTAAAAAGAAAAAGCCAAACAGAACAGGAAAGTATACAGGGAAAGTAAGAATTGCCTGAAATCTCTCCACAGCGGCCATCCTTTCATATGTTTCTCTATGCAGATTTAGTGTTTAAACACAGTATTTAAATGCCGATGTTTAAGACACATAAGTGGAGATTTGTGTTGGGACAGTGATGTGGCTAACAGCATGTTATCTGGAGCCACACTGCTCGGGTTCCAACCCTGGCTCAGCCACTTCCTGGATTTGTGATCAGGGGCAAGTTGTTTGACCTCCCTGTGCCTCAGTTTCCTCACCAGCAAAATCGAATTAATAAGGTGGTATTTACCTCCTATGGTTATTGAGAGGATTAAATCAGCATCCTATGAGGCAGGTGCTCTAACTTCATTTTACATTTATGTTTGTCTTTTAAATACATCATCTGCTTATCTAGGCAAGCTCATCTGCATATTCAGGCCAGTGCTGAAGCATTTAGATCCTTTCCTGTCGTTTTCTGCGACTGTAAGAGGTGTCTAAAGCCCACTGCCCAACACCAGGCAATCCTGCCCCTGGCTTCCCATCTCACAGCTCCTCTCAGTTGCCCCTTGTCCATGGCTGCTGGTCGAGGCCACCCCTCTAGAATCACTGCCTTTCCTGTCTGCTCCTGTCCCTCTCCAGTCCCAGGCAGCTGGGGCATTCTGCAGCTGGGACACAGCCCTCCTGGCCAGGAAGCTCACTGTGTGGGCAGGCCCAGCCCCTAGCCATGTTAGCCTATCCATTCGTCTGGTCAGGGCCCCTCATTCCCTGTGCATACCACTCCCCAAGCCGCACATCCAAGAACGACAAAGTCCCCTCCTGATGGACCTGGCCTGCATCTCCACCTGGCCACTGCTTCTAGACACCAAGAACCTCCTCCCCCAACTATATCTCAATGTCCCCATCTATAAAATGGGACCATTGCATGCAAAGGCCTCCCTTCCACCCTGACATTCTACATCTGAGACTCTGTCCTGGCCTATGACATAGATGCTAATTCTGCTTTACACCCCTGGGAACGCTGTCCTGCTTTGGGCCATTGTCAGCGGGGCTGTCACCAGTCAACCCAGGCTCCCCCTACCAAGCATGCATGCTTTCAGCCCTGGCCTTTCCCCCCTTGATCTCACTGCCCCCTCTCAGGGTCCTTAATCAGTGTGAGGAGGCAATGCACGTGGCCCTGCTTTGTACAGGTGCAGGATTAACAGAATGGATTCAGTAACTCAGCAAGGTGAGCGCACCCCAGCACTGTATGGTGCTTTGTTGTTTGAGGAGGGCAGTGGGTGGCTTAGATTTTTTGGTGGCAAGTTGATTTTTTAAATTATCAGGTGGCTAAAATTAGACATTGCAGTATGGGCAATGCCTGTGATCAAAATGCCCCCTCCTGGCTTTCTAGCTGCTAAACAGCACTCTCTGTGCCCCTGGCTCCCCTGCTCTGGGTTGGTAGAAGATGTGGCTTCCTGGGCTGGTTTCCTCAGAATACTCCTGAATTCCTGCAGAGACTGGGAAGGGACCCATCCCCGCCAGCCGCAGGCTCAACTGGAGTTGGCTCAAGGTTATCTTCCTCACAGGCGTAAGCTAGTGGGATTTTTCCTGCTGGGGCTTTTCTGCTAATTGTTCTTTATTGAGGTATAACTGACATATGGTAAAGGACACAAATCTTAAGTGCTCAGCTTGATGCGTTTTGACAAATTCACACACTCACGTGAGCATCACACAAATGCAGTTAGAGCATTTCCATGGCCACACAAAGTCCCCTTCAGTCACTCTCCCAGCCCCTGCTCAGGCAGTGATGGCTCTGACTTTTCAAAATTCAGTGGGATTATACAGTGTGCCGTCCTCTATGTCTGACTGCTTTCTCTCAACAAAATGTTTCTGAGACGTATCCATGATTGCATGTATCAGCAGTTCCTTTCTATCAATGAGTAGTATTCCACTGTAGGAAGATAACACAGTTTGTACCACCTGTTCATAGAAATTTGGATTGTTTCCAGTTTGAGGCTACAGTGAAGAGCCACCATGGAAGTCCTTGTGCATGTTTTTTGTGGACATAGTCACTCATTTCTGCTAGGTATATTTCTAATATTGAAACTATTGGATCATAGGGTAGATATATGTTCAACATTATTGAGATGGAGCAAGGACCCCTAAGACCCATCTTAAGGGCCTACGGGGTCATCCCCAAGCATGGAAATGAAGGAAAATCTGAGTCTCTTCAAGGGCAATTCCAAACATCTAGCTGGCCTTGGGAGGTAAATGAGAAATCTGATAAGCAAGAAGGTAACAGCAGCTTAAAACAATCACCAAGGAAATTAGAGACACAAGATGTTTGGTTCCTATAGAAATTAAAATAACATCTTCAAACATGTCCCTTAGTTGTTTTCCAGAAATGCGGGCCGCCATGATGGAAAATGCTGACCGCTGTCATGCAGACCTCAGAGAAGGAGGAACTAGGGACTGAAATCTAACTGTAGTTCCTTGTTCTCAATTTCTTCCTGCCCGGGTGCTGTAATCCTAGCACTTTGGGATGCTGACCGGGGCAGATCGCTTGAGTTTGAGCCATCATGGCAAAACCCTGTCTCGGCCAAGCACAGTGGCTCACTCCTATAATCCCAGCACTTTGGGAGGCCGAGGTGGGCGGATCACCTGTGGTCAGGAGTTCAAGACCAGCCTAGCCAACATGGTGAAACCCAGTCTGTACTAAAAATACAAAAATTAGTTGGGCTTGGAGGTGGGCACCTGTAGTCCCAGCTACTCAGGAGTCTGAGGTGGGAGGCTGGCTTGAGTCCTGGAGGTAGAGGTTGCAGTGAGCTGAGATTGTGCCACTACACACTCCAGCAATAAATAAATAAAAATTTCTTCCTGAGGCGCCTGGAGAGAGTTATCCCCACAGGTCGCAATTTAACATTCCTTTTTTCTGACCTTAAGTTTTTAGACAAAGCCTCATTTATTTAACCAACTGCAAATCAGAGAATCTCTGAATCCTCCTATGACCCGTAAGCCCCCACTTCAAGATACCCTACCTTTTTTAGCCTAACCAATGTATAACCTCCATGTACTGATTTACAATTCTGTTTGTAACTTCTGCTTTCTTGCTATGTACCCCTGCCTTTGAAAGCCCTGTTTACAAGCTGCTGGGGAGTTTGAGCCATAAGCATTAACTGCCCAGTGCTCGCTTGGCACTGTGCCATAAATGCCTCACTTTCTCTCGCAGCAAATCTCCATGTCAGCTTTTGGTTTTGCTGTGGACCCATGCTTGGTTTGCTAACATTATCAAAAAGAGCCAAATAATTTTCCAAAGCCATTGTGCCATTTTACATCCCCACCAGCAATGTGTGAGATTTCCAGCTATTTCACATTCTTATTTTAGCCAGAAAAGTGGATGCATTTTTAACACTACCATCAATGGTGTTTTTTCATTTTATTTTCCAATTGCTTGTTGCTTATATATAGAAATACAACTGGTTTCTGTCATGTCCTCTATTAAAAAAAAACAGTTTTATCTTTTCCTTTTCTAGCTGTATGCATTTTATTTTATTTTTTCTTACCTTATTACAGTGTCTAGGACCTCCAGTATAATATTGAATAAAGTTTATAAGACCTGGCCTTGCATTTCTTCTAACCTAAGGGAAAAAAATTCAATGTTTTATGATTAAGGTTTATGTTAGCTGTAGATATGTCACAGATACCTTTTGTTAATTTATGAAAGTTGCTTTCTAGTCATGGTCAGCTGAGATTTATCATTTATCACCTATTTATCATAAATAAGTGTTGACTTTCATTACATTTTTCTAAAATTTTTAAGAAAATTATGTTTGATTTTCTGTCTTGCTAGTGCAGTGAAACAAATTGATTTAGAAATGTTAGACCAATCTTACTTTTTTGAAATAAAATGCAGCTGGTCATGAGATAGTGTCCCTTTTAAATATTGGTTGATTAGGCTTAATAGTATTTTGTTAGAATTTTTGCATTTTTATTCATTATTTATTTATTTATTCCTTTATTTATTTATTGCAATATCCTTGCTAGACTTTGATATCAGGCTTATGTTGCTCTTATAAAAGAAACTGGGAAATATTTCCTCTTATCTATTCTCTGAGGAAAAAAATTGTGAACAATTGGCAATTTTTTTCCTCCTACAATGTTAGGGAGAATTCACGAATAAAACCATATGGACCTGGAATTTTAAAACTTAGAACAGTTTTTCATGCGGCCTTGATTTTTTTTAACATTTTTTAGCACCATTCAGATTTTCCATTTCTTCTTGTGTTGGTTTAGGCAATTGTATTTTTCAAGAAATCTGTCCGTTTTCTTTTTTTTTTTCTTGAGATGGAGTCTCACTCTGTCACCCAGGCTGGAGTGCAGTAGCAAGATCTCGGCTCACTGGAAGCTCCGCCTCCCGGGTTCACGCCATTCTCCCGCCTCAGCCTCCAGAGTAACTGGGACTACAAGCGCCCGCCACCATGCCTGGCTAATTTTGTTTTCATATTTTTAGTAGAGACGGGGTTTCACTGTGTTAGCCAGAATGGTCTCGATCTCCTGACCTCGTGATCCACCCGCCTCGGCCTCCCAAAGTGCTGGGATTACAGGCGTGAGCCACTGCACCCAGCCCCATTCCCGTTTTCTTTAAATTGTCAAATTATTAGCATAAAGTTGTGTGTAATAATAGTTAACATGTTAATATCCCTAAAAGACTGTAGGATCTGTAGTAATATCTTTTTTTTTTTTTTTTTGTCAATAGTCCTAGAAATTGACAATGTTACATTTTCCCAGAGCCCTGGGCTCCGGAAAATAGCAATCATTAAGAAATCCCCTTACTTGTTTGTATTCCAGAAAAAGACTTACTGCAAAGAAACACCCCTCCCTACATAACTTCCCCCATATGACTCACAGATGCCACATTGTTCATCTATCATGAGGCCAAACACAGGCACTCCAAATTCCCACTCTTTGTCTCATAAATTATTAAACTACTTGGTACCCACTGTTCAATCAGAACAAAATGTTTGTTAACCTAACCTTAGTTAAGATTCTGTCTTTCCCCTAGGTCCCAGAATTCTCACTCACCTTCACTCTGAGCCAACATACAACATACAGCCCTTCCTTAATGGCCTTTCTCAAGAGTAGGCTGACCTCAGGATAAAACATCCTCTAACCTATTGTCTGATCATCTCCCCTCCAACCTGTAATCCTGTTCTTCCAATTTTCACACTCTGGGTTCTTTCCAGGTTTGTTTACTCCTCCTTATAAAAGAAAAGTCCTTTTCCGCTTAACCTTTGAGACCCTTACAGTTCTCATGGTGAGAGAATTCTCCTTAATGCGATAGTCCCTTTCCCCCTTCCCTTGCAATAATCTTTCAGTTAAAGTCTCTTCTTATCTAAATTTGGAGTTGTTTTTTATTTGACAGAATTCATCAATTTTACTAATCTATTCAAAGAAACAACTTTGGCTCTGTTAATTTTATCTGTTGTTGATTTGTTTTCCGTTGGTTTCTGCTCTTAATTATTTTCTTCTGCCTTCTCTCTGTTTTCATTATTTCTTCTGTTTTATGACTTATTGAGATGAAAGCTAGATCATTTAGTTTAAAACCACTTTCCAATTTAATATATTCACTTAGTGCAATAAATACATCCCTTTACATCCCACAAATGTTGATACATTGTTTACATTTTTGCTTGGTTCAAAATATTGTCTAACTCCCTTGCGATTTCTTCCTAGATCCATGGGTTATTTAGAAGTATGTTGCTTAATTTCCAAATACTTTATAATTTTCTAGGTTTCTATTTTTTGGGGGGGAAGGAGGGGGTTTAATATGGTCGGAGAATGTACTCTGTATCATTCCAATCCTTTAGATGTCATTGACATGTTATTGTTTTTAATATGCCCCAGGCGATAGTCTATCCTGGTAAGTATTCCATGTGCAATTACACAGAATGCTTATTTATAGAGACAAGTTTCTATGGGTTCTCATGTTTCTGTATGTCTTATAAGCAGAGACACTAATGGTAATGGCCCTTTTTATTTTTTGAAAGACATTTACATAGCAAACAGCCTTTGAAGATGGAGATAATGTATTCATTTGGAACAGAGGGCAGCTTAATTTGCTGGCCGCTGTAATAAAGATAATGACTCCCTCTGGGGCAAAAGTTGAGTAGATTTGCTTTCACCCTGTGATAAAAGCCTGAGGTTTCCTAACCTCAAGGTTCCTCAGCTGTGATGCAAACTCACTGCTTGTATAGCATCCACCTGGGCCATACTACGTTACCCCAATGAGAGTTGGCAAGGAAATAAAAGGAACCAAGGCAAACATGAAGTTCAGTATGCTTGCTGTGCTGTGAATTATAAGGCTTTTTGTCTCTGACGCAGGAATCTCAGACCTTCTCCAGCAACCATGAAACTGGGAGGCTAAACTAGCATGCAAGTAGGGCAAATTCTAAAACCTTTACTGTTCTTGACATTTATTATGCAGCTGTTGGATGAAATGTTCTGTATATGCTCATTAGGTTAAGTTTATTAATCAGGTCATTCAGATCTTATATATCCCTACTGCTTGTTTTTCTGTATTTTTTATCAGTTATGAGAGAAGGGTGTGTGTGACTTCCATTATGATTGTGGATTTGCCTCTCTCTTCCTGTACTTCTGCCAATCTTTGCTTTTTGTGTACTTTTTTAATAGATGTTGATATGGTTTGGCTCTGTGTCCCCACACAAATCTCATCTTGAATTGTACTCCCATAATTCCCACATGTTGTGGAAGGGACTTGGTGGGAGATAATTGAATCATGGGGGTGGTTTCCCCCATACTGTTCTCATAGGAGTGAATAAGTCTCATGAGATCTGAGGGTTTCATCAGGGGTTTCTGCTTTTGCATCTTCCTCATTCTCTCTTTGCCTGCTGCCATCCATGTAAAGCAGGACTTGCTCCTCCTTGCCTTCTGCCATGATTCTGAGACTTCCCCAGCCAAGTGGAACTGTAAGTCCAATTAAACCTCTTTCTTCTGTAAATTGCCCAGTCTCGGGTACGTCTTTATCAGCAGCATGAAAATGGACTAATACAGATGGTGTCTTGTTTCCCAGGCTAGCCTCAAACTCCTGGACTCAAGGAATCCTCCCATCTCAGCCTCCTAAGTCACTGGGACAACAGGCATGCACGATGGGGGCCAGCTTGTTTTGTGTGTACTTTGAAGATATAATAATTCGTTCAAATTTTTTGGATTATTTGTCATCTTGAAGAACCAGCCCTTTTATCATTTAAAATACCCCTCCTTATCTTTGGTAATATTTCTTATTATTAATCTATTTTGAGATTAATACAACCACACCAGCTTTCTTGTGCTTACTGTTTATGTGGTATGTATTTTTCCATCCTTTTACTTTTAGCAGTAGTTCTATTATATTTAAAGTATGTCTAAAAAAATAGTATGCAGTTTCTTCCTATTTCAACAGTCTGTCTTTCATTGTAGTACTTTGGTGGTTTTAAAATATGTCCACGGGCATGATGTCAGCAAAATGACTGACTAGGAGACTCCAAGCTCTCATTCCTCCACAGAAACACACACAAACTGTGTAAGCCAACTTTGCATGAGCTCTGGAGAATAATCAAAGGTTACAGCTCCTAAGAAAACATCTAATCAAAAAAAGCCATCTGAAAATTGGTAGGAGAGTTTTGTGGTGGTTTTTACTCATCCTTTCCCCATCCTCTTCCAGTGTGGCAGCAGCCTGGTCTTGAGTGTCAGGATCCCAGTCTCCACTCCTTTCCCTCAAACCAGAAGGAATAGAGCAGACCCTATTTGCAAATTACTATGTACATCTGTTATAACCTGGCTAGGGAATACCTAGAGGACTGAGGTAGGGTGCTCATCTCTGTATGGCATAACTGAATGCAGGAAGAAAGAGCAGTGGGCACTTTTCCCCTAGTAGTTTGTAAAGCTACAGGGAACTACAAGTCAACAGATGTTTTGGGCAACAGATTACAAATGGAGACGTACAACAGACCATCTAAGGCCCAGAGGAGAAGCTGGGGTGAGACTCTTTGGAAAATTAGGACATACAAAAGCAGCCACATATATGGAAGAAGTCAGTAGTCCACACATGGTCAAACAAGATGCATGCTCAGGAAAGATCTGAGATGACATTAAGTTTTCACCTCAGGCTGACTCCTAGACTCAGAGCAAGCCTATCTAAGTAGCAAAGGAGTGTCCCAGCACAAAGCCCATCTACAAAGACTAGAAGAGGAGGTTTTTCACTCTTTTAGGCTTCTACTGGGGGGGAGGGCTATTGTTTGCTTGTTTGAGCTCCACACATTCAAAAAACTCTCTGAAAACATTAGCTAAACCAAGCTTACATAACAAAGTGATCACACATGACAAGGGCTTTGCAGAAATAGTTTGAAAAATCCTCAAAAGAAACTACTACAGCCTTTGACAATTAGAATAAAAAAGAGCAAATGTTGGGAAAAGAAGGAAATCTGTTTTTCAGAGTTACCACATTGTAACAGTCAAATACCCAGTATTTAATAAAAACTCACAATGCATAGAAGAAAGAAAAACAAGAAAATATGGCTTCTTCAAAGAAGCAAAATAAATAACATAAACCATTCGTGAAGAAGCCCAGACATCAGAATTAGTACATAAAGACTTTAAAACAACTATATTATGTATGCTCAAAGAGACAAACAAAACCACAAAGAACTAAAAGGAATCAGGAAAACAATATATGAACAAATGAGAATATAAATAAAGACATAAAAGTTATAAAAAGGGGAGTGGCTGGCAAGATGGCCAAATAGAAACAGCTGTGGTCTGCAGCTCCCAGTGAGATCAACGCAGAAGGTGGATGATTTCTGCATTTCCAACGGAGGTACCCAGCTCATCTCATTGGGACTGGTTAGACAGTGGGTGCAGCTAACTGATGGCGAGCTGAAGCAGGGTGGGGTTTCGACTCACCTGGGAAGCTCAAGGGGTTGGGGAACTCCCTCCTCTAGCCAAGGGAAGTGTGGGGGACAGTGCCATGAGGAACGGTGCACTCCAGCCCAGATATTATGCTTTTCCCACAGTCTTCACAACCCACAGACCAGTAGATTCCATTGGGTGCCCACACCACCAGGGCCCTGGGTTTCAAGCACAAAACTGGGAAGCTCTTCGGGCAGACACTGAGCTAGCTGCAGTTTTTTTGTTTGGTTGGTTTTTTCATACCCCAGCGGTGCCTGGAACGCCAGTGAGACAGAACCGCTCACTCCCCTGAAAAGGGGGCTGAAGCCAGGGAGCCAAGTGGTCTAGCTCAGTGGATCCCATCCCCACGGAGCCCAGCAAGCTAAGATCCACTGGCTTCAAATTCTTGCTGCCAGCACAGCAGTCTGAAGTCGACCTGGGACGCTAGAGGTTGGTGGGGGAAGGGGCATCCACCATTACTGAAGCTTGAGTGGGTGGTTTCCCCTCACAGTGTAAACAAAGCCCCCAGGAAGTTCAAACTGGGTGGAGCCCACCACAGCACTGCAAAGCCTCTGTAACCAGATTGCCTCTCTAGATTCCTCCTCTCAGGGCAGGGCATCTCTGAAAGAAAGGCAGCAGCCCCAATCAGGGGCTTATAGATAAAACTCCCATCTCCCTGGGACAGAGCACCTCGGGGAAGTGTACAGGTACTTGTACATTGATGTTCGTAGCAGCATTATTCACAATAGCTACAAAGTAGAAAGAACCAAGTGTCCAGTGATGAATGAATGAATGAAAATATGATGTATACATATAACGGAATATTCTTCAGCCTTAAAAAGTGCAATCTAGTATAGTCTATAACAAGGCTAAGCCTTGAAAATATTGTTTGCCAGATGCAAAATGGCAAATGGTGTATGATGTACCTAGAATAGGCAAATTCATAGAGACAGAAAGTAGAACAAAAGTTACCAGAGGATTGGTGGAGGGAAGAATGGGGAGTTACTGTTTAATGGGTACAGAGCTTCTGTTTGGAACGACGAAAAAGTTCTGGAAATGGATAGTGGTGATGGCTACCCATTGTGAATGTACTAATGCCACTGAATTGTATGTTTAAAAAGTGTTAAAATGGTAAATCTTTTGTATATTTTACAATTTAAAAATCACCAAAAAGTCTTCACTTCTTTTAGCATTTTTTTTTATACTTTAAGTTCCGGGATACATGTGCAGAATGTTCAGGTTTGTTACATAGGTATACGTGTGCCTTGGTGGTTTGCTGTACCTATTGACCCATCCTCTAAGTTCCTTCTCCTTGCCTCCCACCCCCAACAGGCCCTGATGTGTGTTATTCCCCTCCCTGTGTCCATGTGTTCTCATTGTTCAGTTCCCACTTATGAGTGAGAACATGTGATGTTTGGTTTTCTGTTCCTATGCTAGTTTGCTGAGGATGATGGCTTCCAGCTTCACCCATGTCCCTGTAAAGGACATGATCTCATTCCTTTTTATGGCTGCATAATATTCCATGGTGTATATTTACCACATTTTCTTTATCCAGTCTATCATTGTTGGGCATTTGGGTTGGTTCCAACTCTTTGCTATTGCAAATTGTGTTGCAATAAACATATGTGTGCATTTGTCTTTATAGTAGAATGATTTCTATTCCTTTGGGTATATAGCCAGTAATGGGATTGCTGGGTCAAATGGTATTCCTGATTCTAGATCCTTGAGGAATCACCATACTGTCTTCCACATGGTTGAACTAATTTACATACCCACCAACGGTGTAAAAGCGTTTTGGTTTCTCCACAGCCTTGCCAGCGTCTATTGTTTCTTGATTTTAATAATTGCCATTCTGATTGGTGTGAGATGGTATCTCATTGTGGTTTTGATTTGCATTTCTCTAATGATTAGTGATGTTGAGCATTTTTTCAACGTTTGTTGGCCACGTAAATGTCTTCTATTTAGAAGTATCTGTTCATATCCTTTTCTCACTTTTTAATGGGATTGTTTGTTTTTTCTTGTAAATTTGCATAAGTTCCTTGTAAATTCTGGATATTAGACCTTTGTCAGACAGGTAGATTGCAAAAATTTTCTCCCATTCTGTAGGCTGCCTTTTCACTCTGATGATGGTTTCTTTTGCTGTGCAGAGGCTCTTTCATTTAATTAGATCCCATTTGTCAATTTTGGCTTTTGTTGCAATTGTTTTTGGTGATTTCATCATGAAGTCTTTGCCCGTGCCTATATCCTGAATGGTATTGCCCAGGTTTTCTTCTAGGGCTTTTATGGTTGGGGTTTTACATTTAAGTCTTTAATCCATCTTGAGTTAATTTTTGTATAATGTGTAAGGAAGGGGTCCAGTTTCCATTTTCTGCATATGGATAGCAGAAAATTTAATGTACTTTTCCCAGCACCATTTATTGAATAGGAGATCCTTTCCCCATTGCTTGTTTTTGTCAGGTTTGTCGAAGATCAGATGGTTGTAAATGTGTGGTGTTATTTCTGAGGTCTCTTCTGTTCCATTGGTCTATATGTCTGTTTTGGTACCAGTACCATGCTGTTTTGTTTACTGTAGCATTGTAGTATACTTTGAAGTCAGGTAGCATGATGCCTCCAGCTTTGTTCTTTTTGCTTAGGATTGTCTGGGCTTTAAGGGGTCTTCTTTGATTCCATATAAAATTTAAAGTAGTTTTTCTAATGCTGTAAAGAATGTCAATAGTAGTTTGATGGGAACAGCATTGAATGTATAAATTACTTTGAGCAGTATGGCCATTTTCACGATATTGATTCTTCCTATCCATGAGGATGGAATGTTTTTCCATTGTTTGTGTCCTCTCTTGTTTTCTTGAGCAGTGGTTTGTAGTTCTCCTTGAAGAGGTCCTTCACATCTATTGTTAGCTGTATTTCTAGGTATTTTATTCTCTTTGTGGCAATTGTGAATGGGAGTTTATTCATGATTTGGCTCTCTGCTTGCTATTTTTGGTGTATAGGAATGCTTGCAATTTTTGCACATTGATTCTGTATCCTGAAACTTTGCTGAAGTTGCTTATCAGCTTAAGGAGATTTTGGGCTGAGATGATGGGGTTTTCTGAATATACAATCATGTCATCTGCAAACAGAGACAATTTGACTTCCTCTCTTCCAATATGAATACCCTTTATTTCTTTCTCTTGCCTGATTGCCCTGGCCAGAACTTCCAATACTGTGTTGAATAGGAGTGGTGAGAGAGGGCATTCTTGTCTTGTATCAGTTTTCAAAGGGAATGCTTCCAGCCTTCGCCCATTCAATATGATATTGGCTGTGGGTTTGTCATAAATAGCTCTTAATATTTTGAGATATGTTCCATCAACACTTAGTTTATTGAGAGTTTTTAACATGAAAGGATGTTGAATTTTATCAAAGGCCTTTTCCGCATTTATCGAAATAATCATGTGGGTTTTCTCTTTGGTTCGTTTATGTGATAGATTACGTTTATTGATTTGTGTATGTTGAACCAGACTTGCATCCCAAGGATGAAGCCAACTTGATCATGACAGATAAGTTTTTCATGTGCTACTGGATTCGGTTTGCCAGCATTTTACTGAGGATTTTCACATCGATGTTCACCAGGGACATTGGCCTGAAGTTTTCTTTTTTTGTTGTGTCTCTGCCAGGTTTTGGTATCAGGATGATTCTGGCTTCATAAAATGAGTTAGAGATGAATCCCTCCTTTTCAATTGTTTGGAATAGTTTCAGAAGGAATGGTACCAGCTCCTCTTTGTACCTTTGGTAGAATTTGGCTGTGAATCCATTTGGTCCTGGGCTTTTTATTGGTTGTTAGGCTATTAATTTACTGCCTTAATCTCAGAACTTGTTATTGGTCTGTTCAGGGATTCAACTTCTTCCTGGTTTAGTGTTGGAAGGGTGTATGTGTCCAGGAATGTATCCATTTCTTCTAGATTTTCTAGTTTATCTGTGTAGAGGTGTTTATAGTATTCTCTGATGGTAGTTTGTATTTGTGTGGGGTCAGTGGTGATATCCCCTTTATCATTTTTTATTGTGCCTATTTGATTCTTCTCTCTTTTCCTCCTTAATAATCTGGTTAGAAGTCTATCTATTTTGTTAATTTTTTCAAAAAACCAGTTCCTGGATTCATTGATTTTTGGAGGGTTTTTCATGTCGCTATCTCCTTCAATTCTGCTCTGATCTTAGTTATTTCTTGTCTTCTGCTAGCTTTTAGATTGGTTTGCTCTTGCCTCTCTAGCTCTTTTCATTGTGATGTTAGGGTGCTGATTTGAGATCTTTCTAGCTTTCGGAGGTGGGCATTTAGTGCTATTAATTTCCCTCTTAACACTGCTTTAGCTGTGTCACAGAGATTCTGGTATATTGTCTCTTTGTTCTCACTGGTTTCAAAGAAATTCTTGATGTCTGCCTTAATTTCATTATTTACCCAGGAGACATTCAGGAACAGGTTGTTCAATTTCCATGTAATTGTGTGGTTTTGAGTGAGTTTCTTAATCCTGAGTTCTAATTTGATTGCACTGTGGTCTGAGAGACAGTTTGTTATGATTTCTGTTCTTTTGCATTTCCTGAGGAGTGTTTTACTTCCAATTATGTGGTCGATTTTAGAATAAGTGCCATATGGCACTGAGAAGAATGTATATTCTGTTGATTTGGGGTGGAGAGTTCTGTAGATGTCTACTAGGTCCACTTGATCCAGAACTGAGTTGAAGTTCTGAATATCCTTGTTAATTTTCTGTCTCGCTGATCTGTCTAATACTGACAGTGGGGTGTTAAAGTCTCCCACTATTATTGTGTGGGAATCTAAGTCTCTTCGTAGGTCTCTAAGAACTTGTTTTATGAATCTGGGTGCTTCTGTATTGGGTGCACATATATTTAGAATAGTTAGCTCTTCTTGTTGAATTGTTCCCTTTACCATTACATAATGCCCTTTGTCTTTTTTTTATTTTTGTTGACTTAAAGTCTGTTTTGTCAGAGACCAGGATTGCAACCCCTGCTTTTTTTTTTTTCCTTTCCATTTGCTTGGTAAATTTTCCTCCATCCCTTTATTTTGAGCCTATGTGTGTCTCTGCACATGAGATGGGTCTCCTGAATACAGCACACCAATGAGTCTTGACTTCTTATCCAATTTGCCAGTCTGTGTCTTTTAGTTGCGGCATTTAGCCAATTTACACTTAGGGTTAGTATTGTTATGTGTGAATTTGATCCTGTCATCATGATGCTATCTGGTTATTTTGCACAATAGTTGATGCAGTTTCTTCATAGTGTCATTGGTCTTTATAATTTGGTTTTTTTTTGCCGTGGCTGGTACTGGTTTTTCCTTTCCATATTTAGTGCTTCCTTCAGGAATTCTTGGAAGACAGGCCTGGTGGTGAGGAAATCCTTCAGCATTTGCTTGTCTGGAAAGGATTTTATTTCTCCTTCACTTATGAAGCTTAGTTTGGTTGGACTTGAAATTCTGGGTTGAAACTTCTTTTCTTTAATAATGTTGAATATTGGCCCCCAATCTCTTCTGGCTTGTAGGATTTCTGCTGAGAGGTCCACTGTTAGTCTGATGGGCTTCCCTTTGTAGGTGGCCCGGCCTTTCTCTCTGGCTGCCCTTAACATTTTTTTCTTCATTTCAACCTTGGAGAATCTGATGATTATGTGTCTTGGGGTTGATCTTCTCATGGAGTATCTTAGTAGTGTTCTATTTCCTGAATTTGCATGTTGGCCTGTCTTGCTAAATTGGGGAAGTTCTCCTGGATAATATCTTGAAGTGTGTTTTCCAACTTGTTTCCATTCTTCCTATCTCCTTCAGGTTCAGCCTTACATAGTCCCATATTTCTTCGACGCTTTGTTTGTTCCTTTTCACTCTTTTTTCTCTAATCTTGTCTGTATGCCTTATTTCAGCAAGGTGGTCTTCAAACTCTGTTATCCTTTCTTCCACTTGGTCGATTCAGCTATTGATACTTGTTTCTGCTTCACAAAGTTTTTGCGCTGTGTCCTTCAGATCCATCAGGTCATTTATGTTCCTCTCTAAACTGGTTATTCTAATTAGCACCTCCTCTAATCTTTTATCAAGGTTCTTAGCTTCTTTGCATTGTGTTAGAACATGCTCCTTTAGCTCAGCAGGGTTTTTTATTGCCTATCTTCTGATGCCTACTTCTGTCAGTTTGTCCATCTCATCCTCCATTCAGTTGTGTGCCCTTGCTAGAGAGACACTGCGATAACTTGGAGGAGAAGAGGCACTCTGGTCTTTTGGATTTTCAGCGTTTTTTCATTGATTCTTTCTCATCTTCATGAGTTTGTCTAGTTTAGATCTTTGAGGCTGCTTACCCTTGGATGGGGTTTTGTGGGGACATTTTTGTTGTTGTTGATGCTGTTGTCACTTTCTGTTTTATTTTTTGTTTTTATTTCAATGGTCAACTCCCTCTTCTATAGGGCTGCTGCAGTTTGCTGGGGGTTCACTTCAGTCCCTATTCATCCGTCTCACTCCCACACCTGGAGATGTTCCTCAAGGAGGCTGAAGAACAGCAAAAATGGGTGCCTTCTCCTTCTTCTGGGATCTCTGACCTCGAGGGGCAGTAACCTGATGCCAGTAGGATTGCTGCAGTATAGGGTGTCTGACAACCCCTACTGGAGGGTCTTACCCAGTTGGGTGGCATGGGGAACAGGACCCATTTAAAGAAGCACTTTGACTGTCCCTTGGTGAAGTGGGTGCACTTTGCTAGGGGAAAACCCATTCATCTGGGCTGCCCGAATTCCTCACAACTACCAGCAGGAGAGGCTAAGTCTGGTGGTCTGCAGAGACTGCGGCCACCCCTCCCACTAGGGGCTCAGGCCCAGGGAAGTCAGGGTTCTCTGTCCCTGAGCCTCTGGCTGTAGGTGTTGGAGTTCCTGCAGGGAGGCCCCACCCATTGAGGAAGGATGGGACAGGGACAGGCCTGAAGAGGCGCTCTGACCACAGTCTGCCACAACCGGTGTGTTGGGCTGGGGGAGACACCTCTTGCAACCAAGTCATCCAACCCCCCTGGCTCCAGCAGGGGAAAAGCATGGCCTGGAGCTTTAGAGATGGATGCCACCCTTCCCCTGCCCAGGGAGCTCAGCGTGTTAGGCAGTTATGAGATCCCTTGCTGGCTGCTGCCCCTCCCCTAAAGAGCTCAAATGGCTCAGACAGCTGGCAGCCACAGCTGTGGTTCTGGTGGCCCCTCCCCCAAGGAGCTTGGCAGGCTTAAACAGATTCTAGCTGAGAAGCTGTTGAGAATCTGCATGGTTCTGGGGTTGGGGCTCTAGGCCCCCGTGGCATGGATTCGCGAGTGGGATCTTCCAATCCATGGTTGCACAGTTCTGTGGAAAAAGCACAGTTTCCTCAGCTAGGTAGCACCCTCACTCACCGCCTCCCTTGGCTGGGAGGTCAATGCTTGCCTGCCCCATTTGGCTCTCAGATGGGCCACTCACCACATTGCTCTTCCTTCCTCTCCGTGGATCATGCCAGCCGCCTAGTCAGTTCTGATAAGAGAATCTTGATACCTTGGTTGCTGGTGCAGGAATCACATGCAAATTATGGTTCTTTTTGATGAGAGCCTCCAATCACCGCTGCTTCTAGTCGGCCAACCTTGCCCCACCTACCCACTTTTTTTATATATTACTCCCTTCAAAAGGTGGAGCCCAGTTTTCTTCCCTTGAGTGCAGGCTAGACTTAGTGACTCCCTTCCAAGATACAGAATAAAGCTTAAGTGATGGTCTATGAATTAAGAGACTAAGTCCTAAAAGGCACTGTGGCTTCTCTGCTCTGTCCATTGGACTGCTCCCTCTGGGCAGTTAGATGCCAGGTCATGAAAATATTGAAGCAGTCATTGGAAAGGCTCTTGAGAGGCAGAGGTCTCCTGTCACTGGCCATGTGAGTGAGCCATCTAGGGACAGATCCTCCAGGTCCCATCAAGCCCCAGTTCTCTACAGCTTCTGCTGACATCCTGATTGGTGTTTCATAATAAATCCTGAGCCATAACAACCTAGCTAGGTCTCTCCCGAATTCCTAAGCTACTGAAAGTGTGAAACAAAAATGTTTGTTATTTTAAGCCTCTATGTTTTGGAGTAAGTTGTTTTTCAGCAATAGATAATTCATGCAAGTTTATAGTTCATTTTTACTTAATGTAATTACCATTATGGTTATGTTTCAATCTGCCATCTTGCTTTTGTTTTTTATTTGTTCCATCTGTTCTTTGGTACTTTGTTTCTATGTGCCGTTTTTCCTATTTTCTTTTGGATTAACCAAAGAGTTTTACATCTTTCATTTTGTCTACTCTATTTGCTTTTTGTTGTTGTTGTTGTATTGCTTTGGGTTTTTTGTTTGTTTGTTTGCTTGTTTGCTGTTGTTGTTGTTTTGTTTTTGGTACGCAGTCTCACTCTGTTGCCCAGGATGTAGTGCAGTGGTATGATATCGGCTCACTGCAACCTCCACCTTTCAGGTTCAAGTGATTCTCCTGCTTCAACCTCCCCAGTAGCTGGGATTACAAGTATGCACCACCACGCCTGGCTGATTTTTGTATTTTTAGTAGAGACAGGGTTTCACCAATATTTGCCAGACTGTTCTCAAACTCCTGACCTCAAGTGATCCATACACCTTGGCCTCCCAAAATGCTGGGATTACAGGTGTGAGCCACTGCGCCTGGCCTCTAGTTGCTTTTTTAATTGTAACTTGTTGTAATTTAAATTGCTTCTCCAAGGATTATAGTAGGCCTCCTCAATTTATCACAGCCTGGCTTGGATTACTATTATAGAATGCTTATCAAATATAAAAACTATAACAGCATAATTTCAATTATCCCCCATTATTCCCTTTGTGCTTTGGTTGCCATATATTTTACTTCTACATATGTTATTAATTTCATTGCATATTTGTATTGTTGTTTTAAATAATCAATAGTCCTTTAAGAAAAAAATGTAATTTTTTTTTGTATTTACCCACATATTACAATTTCCAGTGCTCTTTTTTTTTTCTTGTTAAACTATAATACTTCACATTTAGCCCAAGGAACTTTCTTTGGTGTTTTTGTAGCATAATTCTGAGGGCCACAAATTGCTCTGACTTTTAGTTTAAAACACCTTTCTTTTTCTCCCTTAATTTTTGGAGGATATATTCACCAGATATAGTATTCTTGGCTTTCTGTTTTATTTTAACGTTTTTTAAATGTCATTTCATTGTGTTCTTATTCCATTTTTCCTAATGGGATGTCAGATTTACCTTTGGTTTTCAGCAGTTTGACTATGTTGTGTTTAAATATTTTTCCTGCTTGATATTTGCTGAGTTTCTGCGATCTGTAGTTGATATTCTTCATCAATATTGGAAATGTTCAATTATTATGTTTTCAAGTATTTTTTCTCTTTCTTCTATTTTGAGGCTCCAGTTGTTCATATGTTAGACTGCTTGACAATGATCAGTCTTAGGCATTCTGTACGTGATGGTTGTTATGTTTGCTTTTTACTTTCTCTTTTCTTTTTATTCTTCAGTTTGTATAATTTCTATTGACCCGTCTTTTAATTCACTGATCCTTTCTTCAATTATCCAGTCTAATATTGTCACCTCAATGAATTCTTAATTTCAAGGAAGATAATTTCCAGTTCTAGAATTTCTGTTTCCATTTTTTTGATAAAATTTTCTATTTGTTCACCATTATGTCCACTTTTCTATAATTTTTTAAATTACTCATTACTGTGATTCTTATTTCTAATTCCAACCTTTCGGTCATCTGTGAGTCTACCTCTATAACTTCATTTTCATTATTATGGGTCATGTTTTCCTGTTTTTTTATGTTTGGTTATTTTTTATTGTATGCTGGACCTTATCAATGATATCTGTAGAAGTTCTGGGTTATCTACCTCCAAATAATGCTAAGTTTTGTTCTGCTAGGTAGTCAAGTTACTGGCAGTGAAGGTCTATCTCAGGTTTATTCTTGATATTACAGTGTTTTCCACCAGGGATGTTATCTTTATACCTTAGATATTGTTTTTCTGGAGTTCATACTGAATGTCAAGTGTGTTCAACAAGGCAGCTAAGCTGGGGTCAGAACTCCAATATCTCCCCAGCACTTTGCAACCTTGGAAAACTCTTCTCAGCTCTAATTCTATGTTCTGGTTACTGTTGTTGTGTAACAGATTACTCCCAAAACTTAGCAACTTCAAAAGCCATTTTATTATGCTCTCAGCTTCTGTTGATCAGGAATTTGTGCAGAGCAAAATTGACTTGTCTTTGCTCTACAAAGCAGTCACTGTCTATCAAGACTCAAAAGGAGAGAAACAGACTCCATTTCTTGATGGGAGCATGCCAAAGTCATATTTTTAAAGAGCATGTGGGATGACAGATATTGTTTGACCATCTTTACAAAATTCAATCTGCCACAGTCCCCCAGCAGCTGTTATTGGCTTCTCAGTCTTTTGCTAAATATGAGCAAATTGGGATTTGGCCAAGCTCTTAAGGATTTCCAGGGCTTCTTTTCCAAGGTTCCCTCCTCTCTGGTGCCGCACCCCTAAAATTCCAGCCACCTGGCAGCCCCAAATTTCTATCTCTTTTTCCTCTGCTCAGCAAGATCACCTTCTATTTAAGCTCTATTTTCCTAAGCTGTGGCTTAAAATTGCCCCCATGCAGAAAACCAGGGTCAATGTGGAGCTCACCTCCTGTGCTCTTCTCGGGGTATACAGTCCAATGCTGTCCTCTGTTCCGTGTCCAAAAGTAGTTGCTTCAAATATTTTGTTCAATTTTATAGTTGTTTAATGTGAAATGATATGATACACTGAGTCTAAGATGGTCCCCTGTTTTCTCTGACTCTTAATGTTTATTCCCTTCGTGTGTGGGAAGGATCCGTGACCTGCTTCTAACCATATAGAATATGCCAAAGGTGATGGGGCTTACAGGCATATGTGTACCTGATTTCTGAATATGGGTATATTACATAAGATAGTAGTGCCTGTTCTATTGCAGTCTCTCCCTTTCCCCTGCTGACTTTGAAGAAGCAAACTGTGATGTTATAAGCTGCCTGTGGGGAGGGCCATGTAGCAGGAAACTAGAGGGTAATCTCTTACCACAGCCAATGCACACAACTAGGGCTCTTAGTCCAGCAGCTTCCAGGGAACTGATGAGACCCCAGCCATGGTCAATACCTTGATTGCAGTCTTACAGAAATCCAGTTAAAGAGTGCCCAGAATCCTAACCCATAGAAACTATGAGATAATAAATGGGTGATATTTTAAGCTATGAAGTTTGTGGTACTATTGTTATGCAGCCAAAGACAATACAGATAAGTCTGATCCTACCAACTCCTTTGTGACCATCCTTCCTTTGTTGGCAACCATAGACCTCCATGGGCCTAGGAAAGGTTAGGGGATGAGGTGTCTTATGCATCATGAATTCTCAACTAACAGACACCTCCCAATCTCTTTTAGTATATGCCTCAAAGCATCCCCTTTTATCCCAGTATTCAACAGTCCATTCTTAGAGCTTCTTTATTCTTTGAATTAAACATTCATCCATTCAACAAAGTTGTACAAAGTCTCCTATATGATAGTCCCCATGCTTGGCACTGAGGAAGAAAAGATGAGTTAAGCATTGTCCCTGCCTTCAATAAAGGCACAATGCAACTCACTTTATATATTTATCTTATTTAGTATTCACAATAGGCCTATGAGGTGGGCACCATTATTGTCTGTATTTTGCAAATTAGGAATTAACACTCAAAAAGGTTGAATCACTCATCATAGACATACGGCTAATGTGTAGTATAACTGGGTCATAATTTGAACTCAGGATTTTTTTATGCCAAAGTCTTCCCATTACATCATACTAAATTACTGCCTAGTGTGGGAGACAGACAAAAGAAAAACGTTATTATAACTCACTGTAATGAATACTCTACTAGAGGAAGCAAGGAGAGACTAGGGAGCAGAGAGAGGAAAGTTTTGAAATCAAGAAAGGTTATCATGGGAAGTGGGCAGCTGAGCTGGATCTTTCTGGCTATCAAAGACAGAAGCAGTGCTGGGTCAGAGAGACCAGCAGGAGGGCAAAGCCACACAGTGTGGCACCTGCTGGGGAGAATCCACTCAGTCATGGTGGTGGATGGAAGTGTGGGAAGAGTGGCATGTAGGGGAGGATTCCAGTCACTAGGATGAAAGCGCGAGGATGGGAACTAGATGGTGAGGGTCTCCCTTATGGCATGAGGAAGCATGGCAGGATGACTCAGACCACTGAAGGCCACGGGACCTCTGACCACAGGGGAATCTGGGACAACCAGTGTCAGCCACTCTGCACCAGGCATGCCATGGCTGCCTCCCTATCATTCCCACTAAGAGAAAATGCTCCACCCATGGCCTTTGCTGAAGAGGTGGTCTATGGAACCGTGACTATACCCATGACCTCATGCTTCTGTCCACAGATGATTGACCCAGGACTAGATATGCATTTTTGCTTTCCTCCTGGGTCCATGTAATTAGCACAGCACACCAGGAGATCCTGCAGGTGTGGCTGAGATGCAGACCTTGAGGATCAGGACCATCGTGGGCACCAAGGCTGTCCAAAGCCACAGATGAGCTTAGGTACCAGAGCATCCAACAAGTCACAGACCAGCCAGTCTACAGAGGAAAATAGATGAGTGGAGCAGAAACCCAGAGGGATGCAGTGGTGAAACTGAGACCCCAAAGGAACAGAGGAGGAAAGATGGCCTGAGGAACTCCCTCCTGACTCCCCATTTCTCACAAGGTCAAGTTGTATGTCCTGTTCCTCAATGCCAAAAGAATTCCCTACGTACTCACACACACACACACACACACACACAAACTTTTATACATGAGTTAGTTTGAGTAAGTTGCTGTTGGTTATAATGAATGACTCCTGTTCTGTTCAAGACCCTTGATTGCACGTGACAAAAACCCCGCACTGACTTGTTCCATCACAAAAGGATGTGCTCAGTCATATAACTGAGAAGGATGGGGTGGGAGTGGGGTTGATGGCATCCCACACAACTGAATCCAGGATGCAGGTCATGCCCTTGGTGAGCCATTCTGCTGGCAACCCAGAGTCACATTCTTCCAGGACTGCGACCCCATGGGAAGAGACAGTCTTTCCACTACCAACAGGAGAAAAATCCTGGGGAAAAACTCGTGCCAATCCCTGTGATCTGCAGAAGACCTGAGGACCAGGTATCTTACCCAAAAAAGGAAGAAAAGGGAGGTCCCTGCTGGGTGGCCCAATATAATAGCTACCACATTTCTAAACTAAGCTGGAACCAAAGAACAGGCAGCCCATTCACTGCAAACAACCTAAGATACACAGAGAATCCATTAATACCTGGTCCACACAACTCAAGCATGTGAGCAAATGGAAAGCCCTTGGGGGTCTACCCTCTCCCCACCTGCCTCCAAACACCAGGCCGACAGGGGTGCCCCGGATTATAGGAAGCAGCTGGCAGAGCAGAAGGAGTTCAGTCCATCAGAGACCTAGACGTGTGTCTCAAATCTGCTGTTCACTAGCTGTGGGATCTTGCGCAAACTGCAGGACCTCTCTGAGACTCCAGTTTTCATTAATAGAATGGAAGAAAAATTGTCCACATCACAAAGTAACTGTGAGGTTTACATCATGATGAAAAGGTCTATAATGTTAAATAAAGAAAAGAGACAGAAACACAAGAGGCAATATTATACATCCAGGTAGGCTGCATACAGCCCTGTGAAAAATTCCTGCACGCAGAAAACATCAAAAACTATGCAAGTGACATCAGTGGTTATCTCTGAGCAACAGAGCTTGAGGAGAAACTGTTTCTGACTGATCACATTTCTTCCTATTTGTCATGTCATACCTGAGAATTTGAGTTTTTGGCTCTCCAATTCTGCTGTGGCAATGCCCTGCCCCCGACAGCAGGCAATGGTCATACTCATTTTTCAGTTGCCCAAACGGGACAATTTCAGTGTAAAGGGCATTACTAAGGATAAGTGAGTTCTGTTACAATAGCAGTATATTCTGTTGTGAGTTCTGTTACAATATCAGTATATTCTTCTATGTCTGCATTATACATGCCCCAACAGAATAAAGGTCTTTTCCTTTAACATCGGGGGAGAACCTTTTTCTTCAACCACTATCTTGAGATGAATCCCAATCCCTCATACTGTAAATTCAGTGCTATCTTCCCATGTCTGGCCCTTCCTTCAGAGACAGCAGTCAGATGGCATTCCCCAACTGCACATGATTCTCCCACACAGCCCATCCTTCCAGAATCCTCCCAGCCAGCCAGCTCCCTGCTCCTCCACTCCCTGCCATAAATGGCTCAGAAGGGCCCTTCGCATGCCAGTCATCCTTGTCCTCCTGCTGTGAAGATTCCTGAGCTACAAACACAGTAGGGCTTTGCTTTCTGGGCAGGCAGTGCGTTGGCAGAAGCACATGCTTCTCAGAGAAAGGCCCCCTGGAATGTAGAGACTGCTCTCCCCTTCTCTAGCGGGGTGAGTCCTGCAAGTCATTAACAGGGGTTTGGAGAAGGGGGTGAGTCCTGCAACTCACTAACAGGGGTTCAGCTTTGTCATCTATAAAATGGGGGCAATTTTACTCACCTTACAGGGTTACTTTGAAGATTAAAGGTAATGAAAGTAAAGCACACAACCTGGTACCTCAAAAGCTTCCAATGAATGTGGCTTTTGTCCCTGGGAAAGTTAACTCCTAGCCAGCTACCTAAGCAAGAGCCTCCCTGGCTCCCTCGAAGCCTGCTCTCTGCCTCTGACCCTCTCCTGGGGGTTGTAAAGATCTGTAAAAGTCTGGTGGAATAAGTGGTAGCTCTCGTAGCATAGGGCTCCATTTGGCGGACGGGAAACCGAGGCCCGGAGACATCAAGCTCTAGGGAAGGTTAAAGCCGGCCGCCAAATTCCTCGTCCCTCTCTCCAAGAGGCGGCATCTGTTTTCCTGCCCTTGGGTCGGCCTGGCCCTGAGAGGTCAGCAGGAGTCTGCGGCAGTGGCTCTGTGCCTATCTGGGTCTCGCCTTGCGGAGGAACTTCCTCTTCTCCCCTCCTCAACACTGGCTTTTAGGGTCCTCCCTGGAGGAGCACAGCCACAGGAGCGGCTCGCGTGGGCACTGACTACGGTCGGGAGCCCCAGCCAGCTCCCAGTCGACAGTCAGCACCACTGCCAGCCCCGGGAGGGCCAGCCCCGTGGGAGGACCAATCCCGTGGAGGACCAGCCCCGTGGGAGGACCAGTCCGTGGAAGACCAGCCCTGTGGGAGGACCAACCCCGTGGAGGACCAGCCCCGTGGGAGGACCAGCCTGTGGAGGACCAGCCCCGTGGGAGGACCAGCCTGTGGAGGACCAGCCCCCTGGGAGGACCAGCTCATGGAAGACCAGCCCCGTGGGAGGGCCAGCCCAGTGGGAGGATCAGCCCCCTGGGGTGTCAGCCAGCCGAGCCTGCAAATGCAGCAGCCCCAGTCGACACCACGTGGATCAGAAGAACTCGTAGAAACGTGCGAGAATAAAATGGTAGTTTTAAGCCACTGAGTTTGGGGGTTGCTTTGTTTCATAGCCAATATTAATAGATACCCGAGGCATTGGTTTTGGCGAGGGCCACGCACAGCGCAGGTCGGGGCCTGGGAGCCCTGCAGGGATCAGATGGGGGCTAGGGGAATCTGGTCAGGCCCAGAGCCGGGTTCCCGACCCCAGCTCCGAAGCAGCTTTCTGGCTACGGCCGCGCAAGCCGCGGAGCCAACTGCGGGGCTCTATCTCCCCCTGGCGGAGCAGAGCTGGTACTTCAGAGCGCTGCCTGACAAGCCCGCTCCCCCGCGCCACCTGCTCGCCCTATTTCTGGACCCGGAGCCGGCCCCTGGCCCCGGAGGCCTCCAGCTGCCAGGATAGCTCGGCTGTGAGGCCGGGCCTGCGGCTGTACCAGCCCTGGCTGCCTGGGTCAACAAGAGTGCCAGCCCCCGGTGCTCAACCGGGCTGCCAATGGGGTTGGAGAAGACAGCAGGAAGCACTCTCCTAATAAATGAGGGGCTTCTGGAGAGGAGCTGGAAGCAGGGCTGGCACTGGAGGGGCTGCCTTAAGATACGCCTGCCCAGGGGCTCGGCCAGCAGGCAGAGGCCTTGCCTTCATCAGCACTGGGCCTTGCAGGGCCTAATGAAGACAGTCCCGGAACGGGAGTGAGGCTCCAGAGCTAAGGGGTCAGCCAGCCCCTCCCCTCCGCCCACAGGGAATGCCACCCAGCTGTAACGTCTGGTTTGTTCATGTAGTAAAATATGCATCACAAGAAGTTTGCCACTTTAACCATGTTGAAGTGGCATTAAGCGCATTCACATTGCTGTGCAACCATCTGCACCTTCCGTCTCCAGAACTCTGCCTCTTTCCAAACTGAAACTCTGCACCCACAAAACACTAATTCCCCCTTCCCCTTCCTCCAAGCCCCTGGCACCCACCATTCTACTTTCCATCTGTATGAATTTGCCTATTCTGGGGACCCCATGTAAGTGCAATCGTACGGTATTTTGTGACTGGTTTCTTTCACTCAACATAATGTCCTCAAGGTTCATATTCGCTGCAGGTACATGCTGCGTTTTGTTTATCCTTCATCTGTCGATGGACACCTGGGCTGCTTCCACCTTTGACTATTGTAAATAATGCACTATGAACGTGGGTATACAGATATCTGTTTCAGTCCTTCCTTTCACCTCTTTCTAGATATTGTAAAAAGTACTCTTTTGCCTCTCCCTCTGTTGACCACAAAATGAAGAGATGTAAACCTGCCTACCCAACCCCACACCCTGTACCAAAGGCTGGCTTGCGATCAAAACTCCCATTCCTAAGCCCCTTGCCTTTCCCACCAGTTTAATAAAAGTGAACATTGACAGAGCAGTGACCACATGGCACTGCCTTACAGACACTTTAATTCCCTCAGCAACCCTGGGAGGGAGGCATGATTATCTTCCTACTTTACAAATAAAGAAACTAAGGCTCAGAAAGGGCACAGACCCCACTGAAGTCACCGGCTGATAGGTTGCAGAGTCACAACTTGAAGTCAGGCCCATGTGAGTCCAAACTGGCTCCACACCCACACCCTGCTCCACACAGCCCCGCCCCAGCCCCCAACATGAGCAGCCCATCCTCTGCGGCTCCCTCCTGTCTCCCAAGCCTGACTGTTGATACTGTTTCTCCATCTTTCATCTTTTTCTTCCCCTGCTGGACAAAAAGTCATGCGGTCCTTCCCTCTAGGGGAGGCTGTGTGGTACATGGCTGACCCTGCTAGATAAGCAGCAGCCCTAGTTACCTTGGGAGCCGAGGCGTGCCCCAGCCACTCTCCCTGGCCCCAGCTCAGGACAGCAGTGAGGACTGTACCCCTGGCAGTGGCTTCTGGGTGATGTTAGGGGAAAGGAGACAAAGGGCTCTCTCAGCCAGCGCCTACTCATTCTCACCTCACTGGATGGGTCACCCTTCCCAGGAGGCAGAGCCCTGCAGTGACCTACAGGCAGCTTCAGCCCCAGGCCCTGCCTGTGCTCCCTGGGAGGTCAGGACAGGGCCAGGTGGGTGCCAAAGTCCAGAAGGATGAGTCTCAGTCTTCCAGAGCAGCCATTGGCAGAAAGTCCCTGAGGACACAGACCCTTGGCTCCAGTTGACTGAGACATTTGTGTTCAGTCTCCCTTGACCAGACCCAAGAGAGGAAGAAGGTGGCAGATGGAGTGGCTGGCTCAGCATCCAACCGCCTGGGAACCCCCACCAGGGAGGAAAGGATTCACCTAGGGAATGGCTGGACCTCATATGACAGAGGGGGACACCTTGACAACTGAGTTTCACCCCAGACACCATCATCAGGGCAGCAGCCAACAAGGCCCAGCAGCAAAGGGCCCAATCCTCTGTCCACAGTGGGTGTCTATCGCCCCAGTGCTGGGGTCAGGGGTGAGAAGTAGGGGGCAGGTTTCTTCACAGTCCTAGGGAATAGCTGTGTGTGCTCTCTGCTCTCAGCTTTCAGAAGCTCAAGCTCCAGCCTCAGCATCAAAAAAACACACAGAACCTCAGAGCCACACACCTTGAAGACCATCCCATCTAGTCACAGGTTTTTAACTGGATGATTTCAGAGTCTGTGAACCCTTAAACCCAAACGAAATGAGGCTAAGTGGGGATTTTTCTGAGCAGAGTCCGTAGCTTTCATCATGTACAAGGTGGTTCATGATGCAGGAACTGTCCAGACCCCCAAAAACCCTCCTTCTCAGGTGGAAAGTTTAAGGGGCTGGGAGGGAAAGGGGCCTGTCCACGGTCACACAACACATTGGACCACAGGGCCAACCCTGGATCCCAGGCAGCCTGGCCCCACGAGGGTGCAGAAACCCTCCACAGCCCCCACAGACTCCACAGCCCTGGTCTCGGGAGGTAAGAGGACTGGCCACTGAAGCGGGAGGAGGGGTGGAGGGGAAGGGAGACGGGCAGTACATGACCATGGACGCCTCCGTGAGGAAGCAGCTTCCTGCTGGAAATGAAACTGGCCCAATGGTCCTATGGGCCTGATATGTACAGGTTTTTTGAATAAACATAGAAATTGACCCTCCCTGGTCTTACAACTTGAAACTTAGTAATGCCAGAACTCTGGGAGGCCGAGGCAGGCAGATCGCCTGAGGTCAGAAGTTTGAGACCATCCTGGCCAACATGGTGAAACCCTGTCTGTACTAAAAATACAAAAATTAGCCGGGCGTGGTGGCGCACCTGTAGTCCCAGCTACTCAAGAGTCTGAGGCAGGAGAATCACTTGAACTCGGGAGGCAGAGGTTGCTGTGAGCCAAGATCGCGCCACTGCACTCCAGCCTGGCAACAGAGCAAGAATCTGTCTCAAAAAAAAAAAAAAAAAGAATTGTCTTACTTGACTTCCTTCCTGGGAAACCAACCCTCAGGCAAGGGACTGAAACTCACCAGATCATAACATCCACCCCTCATTCATTGTGATTTCTTCCTTACCCTCCTAAGTCCTGTTTCCCCACCTTCCCTGCTATTAAAAACCCCAATAGTAGTAGGTCGAGGAGATGGATTTGAAACTGAATTCCCGTTCTCTTGGCTGGTGTCCCCAAATAAAAAGCCTCCTTCCCTAGCGATACTCATCTCTGGCGAGCAACGGGACCCAGACCAAACCCCTAGTGTTTTTGGTAACAGAAAGAGCGCTTTGAATACTATAAACTTCAACAAATGTAGGGAGCAGTAAATGAAGAGAAAATTGCCTTGGTCAAAAACATAAGGAAGTTGTGCATAAAAACAGTAGAAAAAATGTTCCCCAAGACTCCTTAAAGATTTAATGTATTTAGAGCCAGTTTTACAAACATAATAATTACAGAGTAAAAAAAATATGTTCTTTTGGGTCAGATATGCAATGGAAAAAGGGTAAGAAAAGGGATTATAGAAAGCATTTAGATTTCATGCACATTGAGCAATAGACCAAAAAGTAGAGTTTGGAAGGTGCCCAAGTTTCAGGATTTAAATTCTGCCCTCTGTTATTCACTATATGGAAGAACTTTCATCATTGAATGGTTCAACCATGTACATCTTTTACATAACTTCCTAAGTTAGTGGGTGATCAGTAAAATTGCCCAAGCAAGAAAGAGCCCAAGACAAAAAAAAAAGAAAAAATAGGAACCCCAGCCTTCAAGAAAACAGTGCTGCTGTGTCTACCCTGAGTGCAGCAGGGCAGCAGCTTCAGTGGAGGCCAGGCAGGGCCTCCAGAGCGGGAGCCTAGGTGTCCCTCCACGAGTCCCCAGGGCGGCTGTGGTCAGCCCTCCCCCTGGCCTCCTGAGGTCACTCTCAGGGAACAGGTTCTGGCCTAGTATCTCCCAGCTGCTCCACCTCCTGGGATTGGAAGGTGGCCTGGATCTGTCTGGTCATTAACGCGTGTTTAGGTAGCAAAACAATGTAAAGTGTATGTTTTTTAAGACTGCAAATGTTGGAGTCTCCTCTGCAGGCTCCCCAGGCACAGTGGCCAGCCCTTTCGGGCCCCAGCCAGCTTTTTAGCTAGTTTCGCAGAGCCCAACCTCAGCTGAAATTCTGAGAGAACAGGACCTCGCTGTGGGAGGCGGAGCCCGGGGGGCCAAGCCCACACCTCTGCCCTCCTTTCTTCCAGCTTTTCTTTTAGACTGGACGGCCTGGTAGGGAGCATCCCAGAGCATGAGGGCTCTGCCAGCAGAAGGCATTTGAATTTAATTCTGGTGAAAGGCCCAGGGGCCAGCGTCCCTGTGTCTGTGTAGCACCCCAGGACTCTTGGAGGCCCGGTAGGCCCACCCAGCAGGGACACAAGCCCCAGAGAGTCCCCAGAGAGGCCGAGATGTGAAGACCCCTGGGACTGCTCGACGGGAGGCGAGAAGAGACCTCACAGCCAGAAGAGGGGGAGCTGCCCCTGCTGGCCCTGCCCTGCCCGACTCACGCAGCGAGGTGCCGCATCAGACTGAAATGTAATTAGAGTGTAATGCAAGCCAGGACGCGCGGAGACTCTTAATTGAAAATTCCATTTCCAGCCCCATCACGGCTCACAGCGCCGATGCTATCAGAGATAGACGCGGCCAGCACCCGCAGCTCAGCCCCACACACCCCACCCAGCCAGCACCACCCCGCCACTGCCCCCCACTTCGTGCTGCAGGGCCTGCGCCAGGCCACGTCAGGGACATTTCTCGGGGGAGGCCGAGAGGGGCGTGTTGAAGAGGGGTCTTAGCTGAGACTGCCCTGAGTCTCCACCGCTCCCCCGGGTCACCTGCCTCCCAGGCTCTGCAGTCACGTGGGGCACCTGAGCTGGGGAAACACACACGGGGTGGGGGAACACGCTGAGCCAAGCCTGGCCCCTCCACACACATTCTCCTCCCCATGCATCCTCTCGGGTGCTTTATGGTTTTCAAATGTGCATTCTACAGGTGACAGAACAGCGGCTCTGAAGCTCACACCTCGCCCACCCTGTCACCCAGCTGCGGCTCGAGTGCAGGAACAGTCACTTTCAAAGCAGGCGTTCTTGTGACTGCTGATGCCGCCCAGGCCGCGTCTTCTGTAGGGCACACTTCTTGGGGCAGGGTGGGGGCACCGCCTGCAATGGGCAGCTCCCCAGCCACCGCGATTGATCCAGAAGACGCCAGAAGCAAACAGGGCAACGCAAAGCTCCCTCACTCAAACAGGACTTTTGAAAGGACAGATGCAGAAGCTGGGAGTCGCTGCAGCAGTGGTCTGGGTTCCACCACCACCGCCACTGACACCGAGGACTTGGCCCTCCTGCCTTCCTTTGCTGCTGTGGAACACTCCATCAGCCTTCCAACAGATGTGGGGACCCGGGAAGGTTTGCAGGGTGGTGTTTGTTCATTTGGTTGCCTCACTTAGAGTGGGTTTTCGTTGCTTGCAACCATAGAACTTTAGATAATTAAATCTAAAGAGGTCTGAAAAGGTGTAGAGGCCGAGGCCTTTGTCATTCCAGCTCCATCCCGTGGCTCAGAACTTATCCTTGCATCTCCGATGCTCCCCCCACTCAGGTTCCACTACTCAGACTCGTGCCCTGGCCGTTCCCCTGCATAAGCACCCTCCCCACCCCAAACCCCACCTTTCCACCAATCAAAGAAATTCTACCCGTCCTCCAAAGACTCCCTTCAACCACCTCAGCATACTATGGTCTGCTGCAATACAACAATCCAAAATAATAACCAAACCCAGCATGTGGCTTCATACTGCTGTTTACCTGGCTAATAAGGCCTTTGATCATAGAAATTGCAGTCTCTTGTCACTGCACACACAGATGGTCTAGCACAGGCTGGGAACAGAGCAGATCTACTGATCTGCTTGAGAACGGTCCTGGTGGAGATGGCTATGTCCTGACCAAGAACCTGTTTCGCTTCACATCTCCGCTCCACAGCCCAGACTCCCATGCATGGAGGCTTGCAACCAAAGATCTTTAGGTAATTAAGTTCTGTAGGGCTGTGCTCTAACCCATGGAAAGTGAGCCAGCCCACAGCTCTTGAGAAGCAGCTGTGCCCACCCACACCTTCTTTCCCTTCCCTTTGGCTAGTTGCAGACAACAAGGAGGCCCTAGGTGATGGTAGGGGCTAAATTCTAAATCATTGTATGATGGAAAGTCTCCAGCAACTAAGAACACCTGCTTTAAACAATTACATAAGTGAGAAATAGACTTCTATTATGTCTGAGTCATTTGACATTTTGTGGTCCTTTTGTCAGAGCGATCAGTACTACCCACCTCCTGCAGATGCTGATCGCAATGATGCAGGAGCTGGCGATGGGGTCTGTAGCAGAGACATTTGTGAAGACAGCCACAATAGTTATGGGGCCGTGGTCATGGTAAGTGTGGCAGGAATGGTGGCAGGAATGGTGGGTGGCCACCTTAGTAATGATGCGGCCAGTATTGTTAATGACTGTGAGGTTAACTACAGTGATAGTGATACAGCTGAAAAATACTTTCCCTGTTACCACAGAAATGGCAACTAGACCCAAAGCTGCAGAAAAGAATCACTAAGTTGTCCCTATTCGAAATAGGGTTACCAACATTTTGGGGGCAGGCACTCCCTCAGAGACCAGTAAGTGTTGGGAGAACAGGTCTCTGAGCCCTGCCCTGATGGAAGAGCACCCACCAGTCTATGTAAGCAGAGGGCTGGGAGGTGATAGGTTCCTCCTTCCCGGCTTCCCCACCCAAAGCCAAGATTGGAAGGCGGTGGGGGGATGGCCTAGATGTCCTGAAACAAGGAAGGCTGCATCTCATTCTCCCGTTGAACACCTGCCCTGAGATGTGGGGTGGCCCTGCTGGTTCCTCCAGAGAGCTCATAGTCCCTCAGTGTGGGATTCTTGTGCATCCCATAGAGAACCAAGGTGTGGACATCTGCCAAACAGGGCATCTGTGTCCATTAGTACAGTGACAGCCACTCAAGAGGGGACTGCAATAGCAGCTGGTTAAGTAAAAATTTAGACATGTGTGTCACCCTACTCCTTCCTCACTCTCAACATGGGGGTGGACAGGACTTCCAGAGGGGAGGGAAGGGGTGTAAGACTACGCCTCCTCCCCTTCAATAAGTCACAGGCTGAGACTACACTTGGGAGGAGGGAGGAGAGGATATTTCATTTGCATGAGAGTGGGGTTTTAAATCAGATGGATTTGCACCAACAGAAAAGACCACATCATATTGTAATGAAAATTGTCAATGATATTCTCAAGGGATGGGAAGGGGAGTATGTACAGAGCCCAGGTAAGGCATTTACAGGGGAAATGGAGCCTTTTGTTAAAGTAATGCCCCACCAATTTGAGAGTTAATAGACTGGTTACATCAGGAACAGGAATAATGGTGGTGATTCATTAATTTTTTTCACAAAATGTGCACTGTGAGGCTGCCAAGTTGCAGGCCATGAGCTGCTGGGAACAATGCTGGCAGTGGCCACCATGGTGGAAATGGCAATAGTTCTGGATGCTGGGGGCGGGGCAGTCTCCGCTCCCTCAGCCCCTACAGCAGCCTGGGCCCCCTCCCACTCTCAACTGGAATGTCTGTTAGGATACTGGTGCTCACTGTAATCGAGACTCAATTTCACAAAGATTAAGCAAGATTGAAGTTTTTTTCTCACCCATGAAAACATCCAGGGAGTTGGGGCTGACGAGGCAGCTTCCCTCACCAATGGCCCAGTTTCCATCTACCATGCGTTGCCATCCTCAACATGTGGCTTCATCTCAAGCACAGCCCGCACCATCAGGCCCACCTCCAGCCAGGCACCAGCACAAGGGAAGAACAAGATGCACTTCCCTTGATGGGCTTGGCCAGAAATTGCAGGTGTCATTTCCAGTCACATCCCATTGGCTGGAACTTTGTTGCGTGGCCATACCCACTACAAGGGAGACTTGGAATGTCCATGCCATCTTTAGCTGGGTGGCCGTGTAGCCAACTAAAAACTCCATCACTGTGTAAGGAGAAATGGATACTGGAAAATAACTAGTGGCCTTGGCCACATGGCAGTGTCTCCATTTGCCAAAGTAATCTTTTAAAAAATATTAAAATCTTTCCATTCCCTATGGCGGCCCATGAGGCCCTGTAAGATCTGGTACCTGCCCTTGCTTAAACCCCACCTTGTACCTTGTTCTGCCTTACTCATTGTTCTCCAGCCACACTGGTAGAGTCTTGAGAGCCCCATGATATCTAATTCCTTGCCATCCTGGGGACTTGGGACTTGCTGTCCTCTGGCAAACAATGCCTTCCCCCCAATCTTCCTCACCTTGCAGGCTCAGATTGGCTTGAGCCCCTTAAACAGGCCTTCCTGGATAGATCCCCAACCACCCATCCAGTTACTCTCTATTGAGTCACTTTATGTCTTTGTTTCTGGGGACTTATCAGCACCAGTAATATCTTGTTTATTTATTAGTTCTCTTACTGCACTTCTCCCCACTAAAATGTAAGCTCCGTGAGGGCAAGACCCTCCTTGTCTCGTATGTTCACTGTAGAGCCTCTGCACTTAGCCTAGGTAAAGTCTCAATAAGCATTTGCTAAATAACACTAAGGTGTTCTGAGACTGCCTCCTTCCTTTCCAAGGGGACACTGTGGCTTCATATTTATTCTCCGTCATGTACAAAGACAGTTAAGTAGGTAATTTGGCCCTCAAGAAGACCCCCAAATCTACCTACCCAACCAGCCACTTGATTGAGAATGCCTGGCCCACCCCATCAGGGTGTCTGATTCTCAATCAAAACACCACACAGAGTGAGAGAGAAAAAATTGCATGTGGCTCATGACAGGTTTCCCATCACAGAAATCAGATCACCAGTAAGCATGGCCCAGTGACTGCCTCAGACTCTCCCCTTGGGGAGGAGTTCATAAAAAAGTAAGAGCACGAAGAGAGGAGGTCTGCTGTGAAGAGGTTTAGGAGTGCACTCCCTAAGGCTAGAGATTTGTGTAGATTAGGAAAGATGAAAACTAAGGCCGGAAATGAAGTAGGGAGTTACCTGCCCCTAGAAAGCCATTGGCCTTGGTTGTGGAAGTCAGAGCTGCTGGTCTCAGCCCCACCCTCAGTCACCACATGAACAAGGATAAGTCATGCCACCTTGCTGGGCAGCTGCCTCTCCATATGTTTAATAAGAGTTGCTACATTATCTCTTGGGTCCCTTGAAGTCCTGGTAGTCCCCGGGAAGAAAGGGTTTTCTTCATTAGCACCAAAGCCCACCAAGCTCTGCACTGAACAGGGTTCCCCTCCAAGTGCCTCCTGTCTCCATCACTACATGGCCCCTCTTGTAAACACATTGCTGTTTGCTGCGCCTCTGAGTCAGCAAACATTGGCAAAGGAATCTGAAGAGGGTTCACTTGACAGTCCAGCAAGCTGGTGTCTGAAGCAGCTGGGCGTGGCTTTTTTCCATCTGTGGATCCTTTGCCATAGGAAGGCAAACTTACTAGCACCCCGTCCCGTGCAGCATGCAGGCAAGGGGCCACAAACTGCTGGCTCAATAGCGAGGAAGTTTCTAACAGGTTTGGAAATCTTTTATATCAACATCCCTTATGGGTGCTGAGTGGCCCTGGAGTAGCATCTTTTCTGGCTTAGAGGAAAACAAAACTCCAAACTATTTATAAGGGTATCTACAGAAGAAAAAGAGAGAGAGAGAGAGAAATTCCACCATGAGTGGGGGACAAAAATGTTGAGTATTTATTTTACCCCCATCCCTAAACTAGATGCTATGAGGAGTGAGGTCCAGGTTGGAGTGACAGTTTTAAGCTAATGTCTTCCCACCTCCTAAGTTCCAGGAAATAGCGGGACAGCGCAGGATGGGAAGGGGCCTGGGAGGATGACATATAGGTCAGTTTGTTTTAGAACTGTAAAAAATGAAAAAATTTCTAGAAAAAACATGACACAAGAAAGTAGAAAATCTGAATAGTTTTATAATGATTTTAAAAGTTAAAACTATAAATCAAACAAAAAACTTCCCACAAGCAAAGCATCAGGCTAAGATGGTTAGCCCAGAAATCTGTAGCAAACATTTAAAGAAGAAATAAAGCCGATATTACACACAGCCTTCCAGAGACACAAAAAAGGAGACGTCACCTTAGTCATTGAGGCTATTTAACATGCAAAATCAATTTATATCATTCCTCACATAAACGGAATAAAGGAGAAAAATCATATGAGTATTTCAAGAGATGCCGAAATGATGCATGTAAATACATTTCGAGGCCTGTTTATAATAAAGCCCTCAGCAAACTTAGAATGAAAGGGAACTTCCTGAATCTGATAGAGTACAGTTTACATCACACTTAACAGTGACAAAATGATCATTTTCTCCCTGCAGTCAGGAAGAACACAAAGATGGCCACTCTCACTGCTGCTGTTCTACATTATACTGGAGGTCTTAGCCAGGCAAAGAAAAAGAAGTCAAAGGCATAAAGTCAGGAAAGGAAGAAATAACACTCCTTATTTACAAGTGGTGTGAGTATATGTGCTGACAATACCAAGGGAAAAAAACAATAGTTGAATTTTGCAGGAACACAGGACACATACTCGATAATAAAAATAAATTGTATTTCTATACACTAGCAACAGACAATTGAAATGAAATTGAAGAGATAACACCATTTACAATACCATCAAAAAATATCAAAGATAAAGGAAGTCATCCACGCTGGAGTCAGCTCATGCCAGTTCATGAGAGTCAACTGAGCATACTTGTGTTGGTTTTCTACTGCAGCATAACACCACGTACTTTGTGGCTTAAAACAACACTGATTCATAACACATTCTGTAGGTCAGAGTCCAGCGGGACGTAGTTGGTTTCTCTGCTCAGGGTATCACAAGGCTGCCATCAAGGTGTTGGTTGAGTTCTCATCTGCAAGCCTTGGAGAAAAATCCACTGTCAACCTCATTTTATCGTTGGCAGAAATCAGTTCCTTGCAGCAGTAGGACTGAAGTCTCCAGTTCCTTGCAGGCCACATTCAGGAGGCCATTCTCAGCTCCTCAATGGTCCCTGCATTCCTCATCACATGGCCCCTTCAGCAACAAAGAATTTCTTGCACATCAAATTCACCAAATCTTTTCCCTCCTGTTCAGTGACCAGACAGAGAAAACTCTGCTCTTAAAAAGCTTATGTGGTGAGGTCAAAATCACCCAGGTCATTTCTGAATCTGAGGCCAAAGGTACCATAGTCCGTAACATAATCATGGGAGCAAAATTCATCATCTTTATAGTTTTGGAGATTATGCAAGGTTTGTAAACACCTTGAAGAGGTGTTTGCCTCTCAAGGAAGAGGTTAATTTTGGGGAAGATTTCCCAATATTGCTCAGTACAGTCCATCCTCTGACCCCCAAATATTTACATCTCTCCCAAATGCAAAAATACATTCACCTCTTTCAAGGTTGGCAAGGGTCTCATCCCATTAAAGCATCAGTTCAAAGTCAAAATTCTCATATGAATCTCATCATATACAATACCTAAATCAGGTGTGGATGAGCCTCCTAGGTGTAATCCATTAGGTGTGGACTCTTGGGCACACTTGCTTTCCATCCATGGATCTGTGACATTAGAGATGGTTACCTGCCCAAAACGCTCCTTTCATACAATTGTGGGACAGGTATAGGATAATAGTTATAAGCATTCTGGTTCTTAGGTCTGATGCCAAAAAGAGAAAAATGATAAACTGGATTTCACCAAAATTTAAACCTTTTGCTCTGTGAAAAATTCTGTTAGATTAAAATAAGGGAGAAAATATTTGCAAACCACGTATCTGGCAAAGCACTAGTATCTAAAATACAGAAAGAATTTTCAAAACTGAATAGCAAACTAAGAATCCAGTTAGAAAATGGACAAAGGTCATGAACAGATTTTTTGCCAAGCAGATACACGCATAGCAAACAAGCATCTGTAAAGATGTTCAACGTGCATTAACAAACACAAATTATAACCGCAGTGAGATACAACTACACACCTATCAGAACAGCTAAAATAAAAAACAGTCACAACGCCAAATGCTGGCAAGGATGCAAAGAAACTGAATCACTCATATATTGCATATGAGAATGAAAAATGGGACAGCCACCCTAGAAATCAGTTCAGTAGCGTCTTAGAAAAAAAAAAAAAAAAAAAAAACGTAACCACCATTCAACCCAGCAATTGCACTCTTGGATATTTACGTCAGAGAAATAAAAACTTACATTCACACAGAAACTGTGCACGAATATTCATAGCAGCTAGCCAAAACCTGGAAACAACAGATGTCCTTCAAGTGGTGAATGATTAAACAAACTGCGGTGCCTCCATACTACGGAACACTACTCAGCAGTGAAAAGGACCAAACGACCAATGCACACAACAACTTGGACAAATGTTCAGGGATTATGCCAAGTGAAAAAAGGGCCTATCTCAAAGTGTTACACACTGCATGATTCTATTTATGTAATATTCTTGAAACAAAATTATAGAAATTGAGAACAGACTAGTGATTGCTAGGGACCAAGGAAGAGGGAGCTGGATGTGGGTATAAAAAGGCAACATGAGATTGTTTTGCTAATGGAACTGCTACGCATCTTGGTAACCTACAGGCCACATTTGTCCAGCTTCCAAATTAACCCCCTGGAGAAGGTCTGATGATTCACAGCTTATATCCTATCCCTGAGTAGAGAATCTCAAGTCCCTCAAATCTTAATCAGTTCCTCAAACTGATTAATATATAACCTACTGACATTGAAAAAGACACTGATTTGTTTCTGAATCTGTTTTTTCAACTTTTATTTTAGAATCAGTGGGTAGATGTGCAGGTTTGTACATAGGTATATTGTGTGATACTGAGGTTTGAAGTAGAAATGAATCCATCACCCAATAGGTCATTTTTCATATTTCTTTTTTTTATTTTTTTATTTTTTATTTATTTATTATTTATTTTTTTTTTTTTTTTTTTTGAGACAGAGTCTTGTTCTGTTGCCCAGGCTGGAATGCAGTGGTGCAATCTCGGCTCACTGCAATCTTCGCCCCCCAGGTTCAAGCAATTCTCCTGCCTCAGCCTCCCTAGTAGCTGGGATTACAGGTGTGCGCCACCACACCCAGCTAATTTTTGTATGTTTAGTAGAGACAGGGTTTCACCACATTGGCCAGGCTGGTCTCAAACTCCTGACCTCAAGTGATCCACCCGCCTTGGCCTCCCAAAGTGCTGGGATTACAGGCATGAGCCACTGCACCTAGCTGGTAGTTTTTTTCAACCCTTCCCTCCCTCCCCGCTCTGGTATTCCCTGGTGTCTATTGTTCCCCTTTTTATGTCCATGTGAACCCAATATTTAGCTCCCACTTAGAAGTGAGAACAGAAATCATAAATCATAAAGTTTGCTAACTGTCTTGCATGTAAAACCTTGTAGCCGGTATGTTGTCATCTGTAGCCAATGACTGTAACCGCTGTATTGTACTGTCCAATGAAGAGGACAGCTCTAATAAGAGGCTCCTCTCTTCTCCTAAACTTTCCCATAGAAATGTTCCAACTTAGAACAGACTCTGGAACACATTGAATTTTGTTGGTGTATCTGCCCATGTGAGTCTTCACATTTGGCTTCCAATAAACCTTCATCAAATTAGTTTGGTCAACAATCTTGACTGTATCATGTCAATATTGGGTTGTGATATTTTGTAAGAGATAACCATTGAGGGAAACTTGGTAAAGACACACAGAATCTCTTTGTAATATTTCTTGCATGTGAATTTTCTATTATCTCTAAAGAAAAAGTTTAAATAGAAACATTGAGTTGGCATTGGAATTGAACAGTTGGTAGAGGCTGACAGAATTTTGAAAGACGAGATAGGAAAAAACCCTTGATTGCTCTGATCAAACTAGTAGAAATGTGGACATTAAAGACGCTGTTAGTAAGTGCTCAGAAGGTGTAAGGAGCATAGCAGCGAAATCCTAAATTGCCTTAGAAAACAACTACATCTCTGTGAGTAGACTGTTAACAGAAATCTGGAATTTAAGAACACTTTTGGACAGAGCTCAGAATTAAGTAGGGAGCATGTTATTGGAGGAAGATATATCCTTGTTAAGAGGTGAAAGAAACCCTAACAAAATTGTATCCCACAGTCCTGTGGAAAGCAGTACTTGTGACAAACTTGCTTATGTGGCCAAGGAGATTTCAATGCAAACTGCTGAAGGTACTCCCTGGTTCCTCCTTGCTGCTTGTAGTTAAGTGAAAGAAGAGAGAGAAATTGAGGGGAAAACAGCTAAACAAAAGGAACCAGGGCAGAATGGTTTTGAAAACTATCACCTTCTCCAGATGGCAAAAGATGTTAAATGTCATAAATAGCTGCTGAAAGTTTGCTTAGAGAAAAGGCTGCATGTGTGACTGGACAACACTCTGCTGAAAGTTTGGAAAGGTTTAAGGAAAAAAAAAAGGTCAGAGTGTTCAGGCACAAACAATCCCAGGGCTTAAGGGTGTGAGTAGTTTCTCAAAGTTGAGGGCTTCTAGGAAGCTTTCCAGCCTTCTAGGTTTGCTCCTCAGCCACTGAGGGAGAAGTCAAAGATAGAGAAGGCAGCAACTCAAAATAACCTGGGAATGCGGCTGTTGCTAATGGAAACAGAACATGCTGCAAACCCATGCTCCCTTCCATGAAGTAGGAGGGGTGCCTCCGAGGGTGGAGCCAGGAGCCACGCAGGCCAATTCCCATGCCGTGAAACCTGATCAAGGATCTCTGGCTACCATTTGCCTGGCTGGATTTCCAAACCGCTTTGGACCGCTGATCACTTTTTAACCTTCCATTTCTTCCTTTTTTGAGCCAGAATGCTTATAGCTATTACCCTATACCTGTTTCACGATTTAGGATGAGAGTTTGGGGGCAGATAATTGTGTCTGTGGTGTCACAGGTCCAGAGATGGAGCAGAAGTGCGCCCAGGAGTTGCACCTAATGAATTACACCCAGGAGCCACATCCACACCTGATTTAGATTTTTTTTTTTTCTTTTTTGAGACAAGGTCTTGCTCTGTCATTCAGGCTAGAATGCAGTGGTGCAACCACAGCTGCTGCAGCCTTGACCTCCTAGGCTCAAGTGATCAGTTTCCCCAGTAGCTGGGACTACAAGCATGCATGTACCTCCACGCCCAGCTATTTTTTTTTTATTCTTTGTAAAGACAAAATTTCCCTGTGTTGGTCAGACTGCTCTTGAGCTCCGGGGCCTCAAGTGATCCTCCTGCCTCAGCCTCCCAAGTAATGGGGACTACAGACATGCACTACCACATTCAGCTTATTTTTAAACTTTTTGTAGAGTGTGGGTCTTGCTATGTTGCCTAGACGGGTCTCAAACTCCTGGCCTCAAGTGATCCTCCTGCCTCAGCCACACCACATGCTTGGATTACAGGCATGAGCCATCATAGCCTGCGTGATTTAGATATTGTACATGAAGAGATTTTGGATTTTTGGACTGATGGGCTTTATATGAGATTTTGGACTTTGAATTAATGCTCTAGTGGAATGAGACCCTTGCCAACCTTGGAAGAAGGTGAATGTATTTTTGCATTTGGGAGAGATGTAAATATTTGGGGGCCAGAGGATGGACTGTGCTGGGCAGGATGAAAAATAATCCCCAAGATTAACCTCTCCCTATTTACGCACCTTGCATATCCCCAGGAACTTTAAGATGACGAATTTTACTCCCGTGATTAGGTTACTGACTATGGTACCTTTCGCCTTAGATTGGGAGATGACCTGGGTGGACCTGACCTTGCCACACAAGCTTGTTAAAAGCAGAGTTTTCTCTGGCTGGTCACTGAACAGGAGCCAAAGCTCTGTGGTGATATCCCATTTCATTTCTGATATTGATGATCTTCTCCTTTTATCTTCATTGGGCTTACTAAAGCTCTATTGTTTTATTAAAATTTTTCTGCTGGGCGGTGGCTCACACCTGTAATCCCAGCATTTTGGGAGGCCGAGATGGATCACTTGAGGCCAAGAATTTGAAACCAGCCTGGCCAAAATGGCAAAAACCTGTATCTACTAAAATCGCAAAAAAGCCAGGTGTGGTGGCAAACACCTGTAATCCCAGCTACTCAAGAGGCTGAGGCGTGAGAAGTGCTCGAACCTGGGAGGTGGAGGTTGCAGTGACCTGAGATCACGCCACTGCACTCCAGCCTGCGTGACAGAGCGAGACTCTGTCTCAAAAAAATAACATTTTTTTTCCCAAAGATCCAGCTTTTTGTTTCATTGATTTTCTCTATTGATTTCCTGGGGTTTTTTCTGCCCTTATCTTTATTATTTCTTCTGCATACTTTACATTTATTTTGCTCTTCTTTTTCTAGTTTCTTGAGGTAGATATTTGAATTATTGATTTAAGACTGTTCCTCTATTCTTATGTAAACATTTAGTGCTATAAATTTTCCTCTCAGCTGTGTTCCACATATTTTGATACGTTGTATTTTCATTTAAATATAGTTTTTGTATTTTTTATTTCTATGAAAATTATTCTTTGACTTATGTATTATTTAGAGGAATGATTTTGATTTCCAAGTGTTTTGAGATTTTTCTGTTGTCTTTTTACTTTCGATCTGTAATTTGATTCCATTATGGTCAAAAAACATAATCCACATGATTTCAATTACTTTAAATTGTTGAGGTTTGTTTTATGACCTAGGATATGGTCTACATTGGTGAATCTTCCATGGGTGCAAAAAAACATGGCCAGAAGCAGTGGCTCATGCCTGTAATCCCAACACTTTGAGAGGCCGAGGCGGGCAGATCACTTGAAGTCAGGAGTTCTAGGGAGACCAGCCTAGCCAACATGGTGAAACCCCATCTCTACTAAATATACAAAAGTTAGCCCGGCGTGGTGACAAGGCCCTGTAGTCTCAGCTACTTGGGAGACTGAAGCAGGAGAATCACTTGAACCTGGGAGGCAGAGGTTGCGGTGAGCTGAGATTGCGTCACTGCACCCCACCCTGAGCGACAGAGCAAGACTCCATCTGAAAAGGGAAAAAAAAAAAAAACAGACCAATTGCAGTGGCTCACGCCTATAATCCTAGCACTTTGGGAGGCTGAGGCAGGCAGATCACCTGAGGTCAGGAGTTTGAGACCAGCCTGGCCAACATAGCAAAACCCTGTCTCTACCAAAAATACAAAAATCAGCTGGCATGGTGGCACACGCCTATAGTCCCAGCTACTCAGGAGGCTGAGGCGGAGAATCACTTGAACCCTGGAAGTGGAGGTTGCAGTGAGCTGAGATCATGCCACTGCACTCCAGCCTAGATGACAAAGTGAGACTCTGTCAAAAATAACAAAGCAAAACAAACAAACAAACAAACACACACACACACACACACACACACAAAGAAAACCGGCAATGTGTTCTCTGCTATTGAGTGGACAGTTCTATAGGGGTCTGTCAGGTCTAGCTGGTTTATAGCATTCATTGTTCAAATCTTATATTTCCTCCAGTTTTCTGATTCTGTCTTCTGTCTTTTCTACTCTACTCTTGAGCCCATCCAGTGAGGTTTTTTTTATTTCAGTTAGTGTATTTTTTAGTTCTACAATTTCCATTTTGCCCCTCCTTATAACTTATCTTCCATGGCTGAGATTTTCTACTTTTTCATTTGTTTCCAGAGAATTCACAGTTGTTTGTTGAAGCCTTTTTATGATGGCCACTGTAAAATCCATGCCAGATGATCCAACACCTGATCTTGCTCTGTGCTGTGACCTGTTGATTGCTTTTTCTCATTCCTGCTGTGGTCTTCTTGTTTCTTGATCTGGTGCATGGTTGTCCATTGTAATCTGGACATATGGGACATTATATTGTGAGAACTCTGGATTCTGTCTAGGTTTCCCCTTTTTAAGGGGCACAGATGAGGCATAGCACAAGGGCTAGGGTATGTATGGTCAGCTTCACGCTGAACTTACTGACAGCAGCCCCACAGAAGTAGGGCTGTGACTCACACTGACCCTTGAGGGTGAGTGAGGTGGAAGTTTAGCTCCTCCCTCTATGTCCATGAGCACTTTCCCTGCAGCACCAACTTGTACAGGCTCATCGCTTCCAAGTGGTGATGTGAGATCAGCTCCCTGTGGGACCCCACTGCCACCAAGGGAAAAGAGAGGGGAAAGTGACTCACACTGCTTTGCTGCTGCAAGGTGGAGTCAGGAGCTCAGGTGCACCTGCTGAAACCAGGGAAGAGACAGGAAAGCTGAGCCCCAGCTAGCCCTGTTCCCCATCACCTTTTCCACCTCCTTGGTGCCAGGTGAAGGTGGAAACTAATCCCATTCCCACTACCTTATAAAGTTTTGTAGGGGAGGAAAAAACTCTTTCTCTGCTTTCTTGGGGGTTCAGTGGCTAGCGTGGGCAAATCAAACTGATTTTTAAAAATCAACAGAAGAAGAGAAACGTTTATTTACACTTGCAACACATACACACAGGGGTGCAAAGTGTAAGTAACTCAATGAGATGGTTAGAATTTGGAGCTTAGAAAACCATCTTAACAAAGGTAAATAAATCTTCAGAGAAGTGACAAGAGGAAGGAAAAGGGATTTGGGCTTTAGGGGCAGTGAAGGTAAATATCTGGGGGAAGCCAGGACAGATAAGGATTATGTTAGTGGGGTTTGCTTGTGCAGACCCAAACCCAGGTCTGCTTTCTGCCTCCAGTGATAATGGTTGTTTTGTCCTCCTGGTATGGGAGAGGGGAGGGAGATACCGTCACAAAGGGAAATTTATGCCCTGCCTTTAGGCAGAAATTGAGGGGGTGGAGCGTAGAGAGCTTTTCCTGCCTCTGCTGTTTCTCAATTGCCTTCAGCTCAAAATAATCTCTATGCCCAAGTGGCATGTTTTGGGGTAGCATATTCCAGTGCCCTTAGCTCCATTGCTGCTGGGTGGAGGTGGAGCTCAGCTTGCCCCTGGGCCCTCTTAACACCTCCCCGGCAGGGGAGGTGGAGCATCGCTGGCTTCACCAGTGATCGGCTTCACCGATCAGCACCACTGCAACGTGGAGGGCTGTTTTCACTAGTGTTTGGCTGGAGTAGGAAAGGTATTGCCAAGAAAATTTCTGTTCTTAGGCCACCCTTTTCCCAGCCCTTTGGGTAGGGGTATTTCCTGGTGCCTGTTGGTCTGAGCCTGTTGGAGGCTCTGGCACTGCAAGGATGTCGAGGATGTGTGGGAGGCAAGAGCGAAGCCGGGGCTCATCACTGGGTCCATCCCGTGCCCTGAGGTCCCAAAGCCTGCCTTCTTCTTTCCACCTTTCTGAGACCTCTGTGGTCATTTGTTGTTTTATGTCCAGGGACTTTTAGTTGTAAGGCAGAGGACAAGGAAGAAACAGGGCTATTCCACCTTCCTGGAAACTGGGAACTCCTTCCCACACGCACTTTTTTTTTTTTTTTTTTAAGCAGAGTCTTGCTCTGTTGCCCAGGCTGGAATTCAGTGGCGTGATCTCGGCTCACTGCAACCTCCACCTACCAGTTTCAAGCGATTCTCCTGCCTCAGCCTCCCAAGTAGCTGGAACTACAGGTGCCTGCCACCACACCCGGCTAATTTTTTGTATTTTCAGTAGAGACGGGGTTTCACCATGTTGGCCAGGATGATCTCGATCTCTTGACCTCTCCACACACTCATTTTAGGTGCTTGTTACAGCAGCCCCACTCTCTCAGTACCAAAATCTGTATTAGTTTGCTATTGCTACATGCCAGTTATCACAAACTTGGTGGCTTCAAACATCAGTGTACTACTTCACAGTTTCTGCAGGTGAGAAGTCCAGGCATGGAATGGCTGGATTCTCTGCTTGGGTCTCATTGGAGCTGCAGTTCTATCTGGGGCTCAGGGTCACCTTCCACGATCACTGGTTGTTGGCACAAGTCACCTACTTGGTGTTGTGGGACCGAGGTCCCCATGCTCTTGCCAGCTGTGAGCCAGGGACCACTCTCACCTCCTAGAGGGCACTCTCCAGTCCCCGCTATGTGGCCCTTCCACCTCAGCAGCAGGGAACCTCCCCCAAGTCAAGTACTTCTCATGCTTGGAATCTCTCTTACTTCCCCTTCTGCAACCAGCCAGAGAAGACTTACTGCTTTTAGGGGTTCATGTGATTTGGTGAGGCCCAGTCAGATAACATCTTTATCTTAAGGCCAACTATGCCACATGTCAACCTAATCTCAGGAGTAAAATCCATCATCTTCCCAGCCCAGGGCTCATATAGGATGTGCACAGCAGAGGGCAGGAAAACTCGAGGGCCATGTTGGGGGGTCGTGCACCTCTCTTCAACTGCATGTCCATGGACATCACATCGTTAGCTTGAAATCAACCACGTTGGGTCTTTTTCCACCAGAGAACTCAACAAATGCTCAAAGTTGGGGCTTCTCTCCCCAGGGCAGGTCTACCAACACACTAACTGAATAAATATAATGGAAGATGTCAAGTCCTCAACACTGAACACTGCAAAGCATTGTTAGGAAAAATAAAGATGACCTAAATAAACAGACCAGCTGTACCAGGTCCATGGGTGGGGAGGACTCAATGTTGTTGAAAGATCAGTTCTCCACAAACGATCAATAGATACAAGCCAATCTCAATCAAAATCCCATCCGTTATGTGTGTGTGCGTGTGTATAAATTGTTATGTGATTCAAAAATTCATCTGGAAATGCAAAGACCTTTGATAGCTCTAACAATTTTGAAGTAGAAGAAAAAAGTGAAGGCTATGCACTATAAGATTTCAAGGTTTGCTCTAAAATCGCAGTAATAAAATCAGGGTAGTACTAACATAAGGATAGAGATAAAGACCAGTGGAACAGAATTTTATAAATCCCAGAAACAGACCCACACATATACAGTCATTTCATTTATGACAAATGTGCTGCTGCAATTCAGTCGGGGGGAGAGTGAGCCTTTCAAGAAATGATGCTGGAGAAATTACATACTCATATGGGAAAAAAATAAACCTTGACCCCTCTCCTACCAAAATGAATTTGTGATAGATCATAAACTTTAACATCAAAGGTGAAACATGAGAGTTCCTAGAGGAAAATTCAGGAGAATATCTTTATGAACTTAGGGTAGGCAAAGGTTTCTTAAATGAAACACACAGGGTCAGAAGTGGTGGCTCACGCCTGTAATCCCAACACTTTGGGAGGCCGAGGTGAGCGGATCACGAGGTCAGGAGTTCAAGACCAGCCTGAACAACGTGGTGAAACCCCATCTCTACTAAAAATACAAAAATTAGCCTGGTGTGGTGGTGTGCGCCTGTAATCCCAGCCTCAGGAGGCTGAGGCAGGAGAATTGCTTGAACCCGGGAGGCAGAGGTTGCAGTGAGCCAAGACCCCTCCACTGCACTCCAGCCTGGGCGACAGAGCGAGACTCCACCTCAAAAAAAATAAATAGGCCGGGCGCGGTGGCTCACGCCTGTAATCAATCCCAGCACTTTGGGAGGCCGAGGCAGGTGGATCACGAGGTCAGGAGATCAAGACCATCCTGGCTAACATGATGAAACCCCGTCTCTACTAAAAATACAAAAATTAGCCGGGCGTGGAGGCGGGCGCCTGTAGTCCCAGCTACTCCGGAGGCTGAGGCAGGAGAAAGGCGGGAACCCGGCAGGCGGAGCTTACAGTGAGCCGAGATCGCACCACTGCACTCCAGCCTGGGCGACAGAGCGAGACTCTGTCTCAAATAAATAAATAAATAAATAAATATAAAAATAAATAAATAAATGAAACACACACACAAAATGAAAATAAATTTAGACTTTACCAAAATTGAGAGCTTCTGTTCACCAAAGGCTTCATTAAAACAATGCAAAGATGTTAAAAAAAAAAAAAAAAAAAAAAGGAAAGCTTTTACCTCTACCCTTTTAGGGTTTTTCAGCTGGGTCTGAGAATTAAATTGACATAATACAGTTCAGCAGGAAAGAGCATACAAATTCACTTAATGCAAGTTTTACATGGCATAGGAGCCTTCATCAGAAAGTAAGAACCCAAAGATGCAGTTAGAGGTTGGCGCTTATGTACTGAATTAGACCAAGAGTGGTAAGTTATGAAAATGTGACCAGGCAAAGGCTTGGGCAAAGGGAGTTAATTGGTGGAGAACTGGCTGAGAGGATGAGGGTTAGTCTAGCAAGGTTTGTTTCTGCAGATTTCCCTCAGTCTCAACTTCCTGTCCCCAAAGATAAGAATGATGCTGTCCTTCTGGTGTTGGCAGAACGCCTTTCACAGGGGAACTTTATCTCCTGCTCTTCAGAGACAGAAGGAAGGTCAGAGTGAGCTTGCACCTCCTGTTTTCAAGTGCCTTTAACTCAAAATAGTCACTATACCAGAGTGTCATATTTTTATCTCCTTCAGAGACAAGCCACAGACTAGAAGACATTCGCAGTACATAAATCTAGCATGAGACTTGTACCCAGAATATATAAAGAACTCCTACAAACTGATTAATTTTAAAAACAGTCAATCCCATGGGAAAAAAAATAGCAAAAGACTTATGCTTCATAAAAAAGGATATCTAGATGGCCAATGAGTACATGAAAAGGTGGCCAACATCATTATTCCTAAGAAAAATGAAAATTAAAATCGTCACAACATACCGCCATACCCCCAGTCAAGGTGAAATTAAAGGAACTGACAATACCAAATTTTAGCAAACACATGGTGTAACTGAAACTCTTATATACTGCTGGCAGGAATTTCAATGAAGATAAGCACGTATACCTTATGACCCAGCAATTCCACTTCAGAGTTTGTTCGCTAATGGTAATGTAAAGGACCCTTCAGGCCGGGCGTGGTGGCTCACGCCTGTAATCCCAGCACTTTGGGAGGCCAAGGCGGGCAGATCACCTGAGGTCAGGAGTTTGAGACCAGCACGGCCAACACGGTGAAACCTTATCTCTACTAAAAATTCAAAAATTAGCCAAGCATAGTGGTGGGTGCCTGTAATCCCAGCTACTCTGGAGGCTGAGGCAGGAGAATTGCTTGAACCCGGGAGGCAGAGTCTGCAGTGAGCCGAGATCACGCCACTTCACTCCAACCTGGGCGACATAGTGAGACTCTGTCTCAAGAAAAAAAAAAAAAGGCCCTTCATAGAGATTTTATTCATAAATGGGAGACAAGCCAATTATCCACTGGGACAGAGCAGAAACCCCTCTTAGGGGCCTTCCAGGCCCCCAAAGCATGGAAATAACAAAAAACTCTTCAGTCCCTTCCAGGGAAATTCCAGGTACCTATCTAGGCTTGAGAAGTGAATGAACAACCTGAGAAGCAAGCAGGTAATCACAGCTTAAACGGTATCTACTCAAGTGAGCTAGAGTTACAAGGTGTTTGGTTCCCTATAGAAACTAAAGATAACATCTTGACATGTGTCTCTGAGTTGCTTTTTCAGAAACCCAGACCCCCACCAGATGGAAAATGCCAACCACTGTCAGGCAAGTGGGAATGGGGGACTGAACTCCAACTGTTACCAGGAAGTGCAGGAATCCTCAGTTCTTTGTCTCACTCGGAGGAAGCACTCTGCCAAGTGACTGATTTACTGAAGGACACTAGAGAGCAGACAGTTATTTAAGGGGAAGTACACTGCAAAGATCAGGCAGAGTGGGCTGCTAAAGGGAGTGAGCCAGCAGCAGCTTGAGAGTTCTGCACTGGGTTTTTATGATGTTGGAGTCTTTTCTGAAGTTCCTGCCTCTGTCTTAAGTCTCTGCTGTTTTTCTTTGCCTAGTTTTCCTACTTCTGCCTTAAGTCTCCATCCTTTGCCTGCCTAGTTCTCACCCCAGGCTTGTGGGACCCTCCCTTACTATTAGTTGGTGCACATGCATGTGTCCCAGTGTTGGGTACGAATCCTATTTGACGGCTGCATCGCTCATTACTGCCACCCCAGGAAGGCTGTATAGTACTCAGATCTATACTTACTGTATCTATGTTATCTCTTAGGAATTTCCTTCTCTGCCCTCTTCCCCTTATCAGCATGCATCTAGCTACATTCGGACACATTAACTGCAGAGTGAATGATTAGTGGGCATCTTAATGGGCATGCCTTCCTGTATAGGTATTCCCCCTCCTCTCTACTTGTATCTATCATGCCTGTTTCAGGTGGTCCCTGAGGGGTGAGATTTTCCAGACCTCCCTTTTTTCAGGAGCTCTCCTCTCCTGTTCATGTCTGGCTATCTGCCTGCTCTAACATGACCACCAGTCTTTGTTCTAAATTTCTTCCAGAGGAGCCTGGAAAGAATCATTCTCATAGACCAAACTTTAACATTTCTTTCTGCTGACCTCAAGTTTTAGATAAAGCCTCACTTCCTTAACCAATTGCAAATTAAAGAATCTCTGAATCCACCTATGACCTGCAAGCCTCCGCTTCAAGATAGCTTGCCTTTTGGGGCCAAACAAATGTATGGCCTCCATGTGTTGACTTATGACTTTGCCTGTAACCTCTCTCTCCCTGCCTTTAAAAACCCTTACATGTAAGCCTTCTGGAAGCTCAGGTCTTAAGCGTTAGCTACCCAACTCTCTTTGCTTGTCACCCTAAAGTAAATACCTTTCTTTCTCTCACTGCAAATCTCAGTGTCAATGTTTGGCTTGCTGCACCAGGCAAGTGGACCCAAGTTCAGTTTAACTGCAGAGTGAATGATTACACCATCAACAGTAGATGGGGCCAGGTGCAGTGGCTCACGCCTGTAATTTCAGCAATTTGGGAGGCCGAGGACCTCAAGTAGGCAGATCACTTGAGGTCAGGAGTCCAAGACCAGCCTGACCAACATGGCGAAACCCCACCTCTACTAAAAATGCAAAAAAATATTAGCCGGGCTTGGTGGTGCATGTCTGTAATCCCAGCTACTCTGAGGCACAAGAATTGCTTGAACCCGGGAGGCAGAGGTTGCAGTGAGCCAAGATCACGCCACTGTGTGGCAGGCCAGGTGTCACTAACGCAGGCCTCCATAATAACTGTTTCAGTACTGAGTGGTTAAGTTAAATATTAAAAGCCAGTGCTCCAGGAACAGAAAACCAAACATGGCATGTTCTCACTCATAAGTGGGAGTTGAACAGCGGGAACACGTGGACACAGGGAGGGGAACATCACACACTGGGGCCTGTCGCGGGGAGGGAGCCAAGGGGAGGGATAGCATTAGGACAAATACCTAATACATGCGGAGCTTAAAACCTAGATGACAGGTTGATGGGTGCAGCAAACCGCCGTGGCACATGTATACCTATGTAATAAACGTGCACGTTCTACACATGTATCCTACAACTTAAAGTATAATAAATAAATAAAGCCAGTGCTCTTACACAAAGGCTGTGATGTAACAAAAGCCCATCAAGAGTTTGCCTAGGCCTTTCCTGGGCCCTAAAGCATAACAAAATAATAGAGGAATTCTTAATAGAACCCATTTAGGATTAAACAAGTTTTACTGTGGGTCTGAAGAAACTCCCCAGGCCTCCACAAACAAGTTTATTGAGGGTCTGAAGGAACTCCCCAAACCTCTGTGATTTAGCAGGAGACAAGATAAGGGTAATCACCCCAGCACCTGGACCCATTGAGATTAAGTAAATTTACTGAGGCTCCAGAGGAAGGTCTTCAGGACTCAGACCTTAGTTGTGGATTAAAAGAAGTTAATCACTTATGTCTTTAGGTGAATGCACACTTACACATAGACATATAACTTAAAAGGTATATATAAGCTCTGGAAAACTATAATTTTGAGTTGGTCTGGCGATAATTTCCAAGTCTTCTCCCTGTAACTGGTTGCAGAAATATAAATTCTCTTCCTCCCCAGTTTATCTGCACCTTGTTATTGGGCCACAAGAAATAGCAGCCTGACCCTCAGTTTGATCCAGGAACAATTGCACTCCAGCCTGGGCAACAGAGCAAATCTCTATCTCAAAAAAAAAGAAAAAAGAAAGAAACGGTAGATGGGATATATAATTTATGGCATATTCATACAATGGAATAACATAGCAATGAACAAAAATGAACTACACGCATGCAATAATATGGATAAATTGCTCAGTTATAATGATGAGCAAAAACAAACACAAAATAACATACACAGTAAATTCCATTCATATGAAATTTAAGAGGAGGCAAACTAATCCTCCTACATATATCAAATACATTTTGGGAATAATTAGGGAAATGTGGGTAAGTACTGGATGTTTGACAATATTAGACATTTGTTCATTTTCTTAGGTGTGACAATGGTATTGTTATCACTCATATTGTTATCACTCATATGAAATGATTAAGAGCAACATGTCATGATAGCTGCAACTACTTTTAAACTCTTGTAAGTGTGTGTGTGTGTGTGTGTGTGTGTGTGTACTTTTCTGTTTTGGAAAAAAATGAGAATGAACTACATTCTCATAAAGTGCAAGGTAAACACTTTATTTTCAAACATATTTATGCACTTCTCATAAAGTGCAAGGTAAATACTTTATTTTCAAACATATTTTTAACCAGAGCATAGAGGAAAAGATTGATATGTTTGCCTATATTAAGATTCAGAATTTGTTTCATCAAAAAAGATCACTAAGAGTGAGCAAGGATAAGCCACAGAACAGGAGAAGACATCTGTTTCCTTTATAATAATTCATTAGGTTGTGTATTTAGATCTTTCATACACTTCCCTATATGTGTTTATATTCCACAATAGCAAATAAAAAGGTTAAAAAAGAAATTGGGCTATAAAGGACCAGCTGGATCTTACTTAGCCAGGAATGGTTCTAAGGGATGTTTTTATCATGCTTGTTAAATAGGTCATTTAGCTGCAAGGAATTTAACATTGTTGCCTGCAGAAACCATTAAAAAACAAACAAACAAACAAACAATAAAACTAACAAGCAATATTCTCCAAAGTGCTGGGGAAGAAGAGCCCAAGGCTGAGAAGAGGTGGGGGCAGCAGCTGGGGAGCCCCTCCTGGAAAATATGAAACATCATGAAGCCAATTAATTTTCCCTGATTGGCATGAAAATTAATTTGCCTAGAATTATTCATGCTGGAGGGTTCTAATTATTCATATCCATCAAGAGGCAAATTGAGTTTTACACAGAGCGAACAAGAGGGACGCCAGAGGGAAGTGATGGGGTGTGGTGGGTAGGCCTGGGTTGGCAGGCAACCTGGGATCCAGGTAGTCCTGAGACACAGGAATTCTGGAATACAGCTTGGGCAGGGGTGTCTCGGGGCCTGTTGCCTCCTATCTGAAGTGGTTCTCCTCTGGGGAGAGTCACTGAGCCACAGGAGAAGCAGCACAGACATGTGCTACTGTGTGCAAGCTGCATCACAGGATGCACCTGATGCCAGGAATGAGCAATGCCCAATGCTGGGAACCCAGAGACGCTGTCAGCTGGGGCTGGTGCCCATGCTGGGGAGAGTCACATAACAAAATAAGAGGATGTGCTCAGTGAGCATCCTTGCCTGCGATGGGTGTTCAGGACATGTTTGATGATTCACTGCTGCATTATTAATCCTTTGGCGGACCACTGAAAAAAGTCACCCTCTACATGAATAATAAAATTAATTACACTACACAAGAAATATTTGTTACCCAAATATTAGCTGGGTCAAGCCTGTGTTAGGTACTAGGGATGCAGAGGAGAAAAGTTAGTCTTTATCTTCTCAGGGAGCTCGCTGTTGGGTCCTAAGACCACAACAGATCTTTAGAGTGGCTGAGATGTTTGTAAGGAGGGAGGGAAGATGTGCAAGACCTCTGCCATTGAAAACCACAAAGCATTGTTGAGGAAAAATGAAGAAGACCTAAATCAATAAAAATGCAAAGGACTCAGATAAACCATGGCACTTTTTTCAAAAGAAAAAGGTGAATTGACTTGCTCTACAGCTATCGCAACATTATAAAATGATGTTGTATTACTCAAGATTCTCCAGCAAAGCCAGCAGAATGTGTCTATGTAGAGAGAGAGGTTTATTGTGGAAGCTTGGTAACTTCAAAATCTACAAAATCTAGAGCTGGCAGGCTGGATACTCAAGGAAGAGTTACAGTTGAGTCCAAAGGAAAGTTTGCTGACGGAATTCCTTCTTTCTTAGAGGAAGTCAGTCTTTGCTCTATATTAAGTCCTTCAACTGATTGGGTGAGGCCCACCCACATTAGGGAAGGTAATTTGCATTACTTGAAGACCACCGGTTTACGTGTTCATCTCATCTTTAAAAACATGTTGACAGAAACATCCAGAAAAATAACCAAATATCTGAGCACCATGGCCTAGCCAAGTTGACATAAAATTAATCATCACAGATGACAATTAAGAAAGCATGGCATTGGCCAGGCACAGTGGCTCATGCCTATAATCCCAGCATTTTGGGAGGCCAAGGCAGGAGGATCACTTGATGCCAGGAGTTCAAGACCATCCTAGGCAATATAGCAAGATGCTGCCTTTTCAAAAACAAAAAATTTATATAATTTTCCACAGTCCAGTTCTGGAGGCCAAAAGTCTGAAATCAAGGTGACAGCAGGGCCATGCTCCCTCCAAAGGCTCTAGGAAAAGATCCTTCCTTGCCTCTTCCAGCTGGTTGCCAGCAACCCTTGGCATTCCTTGGCAGGCAGTCGCATCACTCCAATTCTGCCTCTAACATGATATGGCCTTCTTTCCTGAGTCTCTATATCCACATTTCTGTCTTTTTATAAGGACACCAGCCATTGGATTAGGGCCTATGCTAATCCAGTATGATCTCATCTCAACATGACTCCACAGTCATCTGCAAGACTCCACAGTCAGGTACTGCATGTTTCAGTCAACAACAAACTGCCCATACAACGGTGGCCTCATAAGATTATAATGGAGCTGAAAAATTCCTGTCACAAAGTGACATCATACCCATTGTAAAGTCATAGCGAAACGCATTACTCATGTATTTGTGGTGATGCTGGTGTAAATAAACCTGCCACACTGCCGGTCATAGAAAAGATTAGCACATACAATTATGTACAGTACATAACAACTGATAATGATAATAAATGACTATGCTACTGGCCTGTAATCCCAGTACTTTGAGAGGCAGAAGCGGGAGGATCACCTGAGGTCAGGAGTTTGAGATCAGCCTGACCAACGTGGTGAAACCCTGTCTCTACTAAAAATACAAAATTAGCCGGGCATGGTGGCATGCGCCTGTAAGCCCAGCTACTTAGGAGACTGAGGCAGGAGAATTGCTTGAACCCCAGAGGTGGAGGTTGCAGTGAGCTGAGATCACACCATTGTACTCCAGCCTGGGCAACAAGAGCGAAACTCTGTCTCAAAAAAAAAAAAAAAAAAAAAAAGACTATGTTACTGGTTTATGTATTTACTATACACAAATATAAAAATGCTAAATATTAAAAAAATTCAGACATAAATGTTATAAACATTCAAATTCAGATTCATACACACCAGATGTATATAAATATGACAAAGGAGAAAAATAGCAAAATCTCAGTAAATATATAAAAATCCTTTAATAAAATTCAACACTCATTATTTAAGAAAAAATTTTTTTCTTAAAAAAATCTTAGAAAGCTAGAAATAAAAAGAAACTTCCTTAATATGGTAAAGTGCATCTGTCAAAACCCTACAGCAGCAAATGTCCATAACAGCACAACATGAGAAGCATCCCCCTCCAGAGCCCGGAGCAAGACAGACTCCTGCTAGCTCATCCGCGCTCTCAATGCCATCATCACTTCCGGTTAACTTTGTCCTGGAGCTCCTAGCTATGAAAATAGTGTAAGAAAAACAAGTGTGAGAATTAAGAAGAAAGTTTTTAAAAACCACTATTTGCAGATGATGTTTGCAGATGTCTCAGATCTCCGGAAATAATAGAGGCACTAATGAGTGAGCTCAGCAGGTTGCTGCTCAAGCCCATCCAACAGCACCAGCCAATCAGAAGATTAAATTCTATAAGAGACAGACTTTACAATGACAACAAAACAAGCAGGTACTGGGAGTAAAGGTAACAAAATATGTGCAAGGTCTTTACAGGTTAAAAACATTGAGTTTCAAAAAAAGAAAAAGAAAGCTTAAATAAATGGAAAACTAAAAGATGTTCACGTGTGGGATGACTTAATATCATAAAGATGGCAATTCTCCTCCAAATCAGTCTATCAATTCTAGATAGCAGTTCCAACCCAAATCCCAAATGATTATAGATGGAAACTATTATGTCATTTACTTAATTATCACATTGTCCCCCAGTTGTTTTTCATTGTGCAAGTTGTAAGCTTCTGATCTGTTTTCCTTTCCTTCCTCTGGTGCTAACTAAAGGAGTTCTAGTATTCAGTCTTAGAATGATAGGCCCTTATAAAATGCTGGTGAAAGAAATCTCAACAAAATAAGAAGGAAGTTTTGCCCCTTTCCCTCCAGGTGCAGGAAAGTATCATTAAATATCCTTACTTTTCCTTATTTGTCACAAAATAATATTGAAAGATTCCTAAACTTCAGAAATTATCACTATGGCCTATGAAAATAACTTTTAAGTCCTAAAGTGTATGTAATTCTGATCACTTTTCTTCCTTAGTAGTTTTCTTGCCCTTTAATAATATTTAAATTGATACCCTTGTTTTCTAAAAGATATAAATATTTATGATTTTTTATTAGGGCAGATGACTGTTTCTATTTTCCTTTTCTCTTGTCTGCATGGAGTTTTTAAAAAATAAAACCTATAACTATGGAATGTCTCATCCACACAAAGAAAATGAAAGTTTTTCCTCAGTTAAATTAATAGAGTTAATCATGGAATTTGACAAACTAAACCTAACATTCATATGGAAAAGCAAAGGAACAACATAGCCAAGCCAAGATTAAATGAGAAAGCTAAAGGTTGGCCTCTGCCTATCATACATGAGAACGCCATAAACTACACAAATTATGATAGCGCGACCTCTGCCCAGCATTGACAGGCTAGAAGCAGACCTGGCTGTGTCTGCTCAGATGCTCCATTCCCTGACCTCCCCTTTAAACAATGTCTTCCTGCCTGGACTTTGCATCTCCTCACCTGGCTTTAATTTTGTCATGCCACATCAGCACCTTACATTAAGTACTTACATGGTCATGTAGTTTGTTTACTATCTTTCCCACTGAATATAGGAGCAGTACCTGAGATTAAAAAGGGATATGTCATAGACTGAACTGTGTCCCTGAAAATTCATATGCTGAAGTCCTAACCCCAGTACCTCAGAGTGTGCCTGCATTCAGAGACAGGTCTTTAAAGAGATAATTAAGTTCAAATGAGGTCATATGGGTGGGCCCTAATGCAAGATGACTGATGGCCTCATAAGAGGAGATTAGGACAGAGACACACACAGAGGGACGGACGGCCATGTGAGACACAGGGAGAAGACAGCCATCTGCAGGCCAAGGAGAGAGCTCTCCGGAGAAACCAAACTGCCGACACATTGATCTCGGACTTCCAGCTTCCAAGACTTCGAGAAAATAAATTCCTGTTGTCTAAGCCACCCAGTCTGTGGTACATTGCTATGGCCACCCAGCAGACTACTATAGGACATCTCATAATAATAAGAGAGTCAATTCATTAAGACAATATCACAATCTTTAAAGTGTCTGTACCTAATAACAGAGTATCAAATAAATGACACAAAAACTGATAGAATAAGTGGAGAAATAGAAAAATCCACAATCACAGTGGTAAAATCTTTTTTGAGACAGAGTCTCACTCTGTTGCCCAGGATGGAGTGCAGTGGCATGGTCTCAGCTCACTGCAACCTCCGCCTCCCGGGTTCAAGCAATTTCCAGCTAATTTTTGTATTTTTAGTAGAGACAAAGTTTCACCATGTTGGCCTGGTTGGTCTCAAACTCCTGACCTCAAGTGATCCGTCCACCTTGGCCTCCCAAAGTGCTAGGATTACAGTCGTGAGCCACTGCGCCCAGCTCCTAGTTGTAAATTTTAACATTCTTCTCTCCATAATTGATTGAGCTACTCACAAAGTATCAGCAAGCATATAGATGATTTAAACAACACTTTAACCAACTTAACGCAGTTTCTCAACCTTGGCACCACTGGCACTTGGGGCTGCGAAATTTTTTGTTGTGGGGGCTGCACTGTGCATGGTAGGATGTTTAGCAGCATCCTTGGCCTCTACTCACAAGAGGCCAGTAGCTCCCTCCCCTCAGGGGTGACAAAAAAGTATCACTAGACATCACCAAGTGTTTCCTGATGGAAGAAAATCACCCCCGGTTGAGAAGTGATGGCCTGTTTGACTTTGTAGAGCACTGAAACCAATACCCTGCCTTTTCAAGTGTATGTAGAACTTTCACCAAAACAGAGAGTATGGCTCAAGAGATTCCCAAAGATTGAAATCACACAAAATATATTCTCTGACCAAAAAGGAATTTAATTAGAATACTTTTTGTAATTTTGGAAAATCTCTAAATAAATAGATTAAATGTTAATAAAATACAAAATATCAGTATCTGTAGAATACAGCTCAAGCTGTAATCATCCCAGGAAAAAAAAGGTTTAACATTAATCACCTATGATTTCACATTTAAAAACTAAAAAAGAAGTGCAAATTAAACCCAAAATAAGTAGACAAAAGAAAGTTGCAAATATAAAAGTGAAATCAATAGAAAATAAATAACCAACAGAGAAAATAAATGAAACCAAAAGTTGGTTCTTTGGGAAGGTTAAGAAAATCGATAAACTTCTAGCTGGACTAAGAAAGACAGAGAAGAGAAAAACACAAAGTACCAGCATCAGGGATGGAAGAGCAGACACCACTACAAATGCTATAGACACAATGGGATGGAGTAGGGACCCCTCCTCCTGGCCTGCTGGGCCTCCCCTCCCACTCTGCCAAGCATGGAAATGAAGGAAAATCTTTAGTTTCTTCAAGGGAAATTCCAGACACCTAGCTGGCCTTGAGAAGTAAATGAGCGACCTGATAGCTTAAAACAATAGCCAAGGAAGTTAGAGTCACAAGATGTTTGGTTCCTATGGAAACTTATCTTAACATATGTTCCTGAGTTGTTTTCAAAAACCCAGACCCCCACCAACTGAAAAATGCCATCTGCTGGAGCTTAGATCTAACATAAGGGGGAACTGACCACCATTCTTTGTTTCAAATTTCTTCCCGAGAGGCCTGGAGAGGGTCACGTCCACAGGCCGGAGCTCAACATTCCTTTCTGTGGACTTCAAGTTTTAGACAAAGTTTTGCTTCCTTGACCAATTGAAAATAAGAGAATCTCTGAATCTACCTATGACCTATAGGCCCCCACCGCCTGCCTTCAAGATATCCTGCCTTTTTAGGCCAAACTTCCATGTATTGACTTACTATTTTGCCTGTAACTTTTGCCTTCCTGAAATGTACCCCTGCCTTTAAAGGCCCTTGCTTGTAAGCCACCAGGGAGGTCGGGTCTTAAACATGAGCTGCCTGATTTTTCTTGCTTGCTGCCCTGCAAATAAACACCCTCCTTTCTCTCCCTGCAAAACCCTGGTGTGGACGTCGGCCTTTACTGAGCTGGGGAAGAAGACCTAGGTTTGATTCAGTAATAATAGGAAGGATAATAAAGAAATACCATGATAAACTCCATGCCAATAAATTCAACAACTTAGATTAAATGGAGAAGTCCTTGAAAGACAGAAATCACCACATGACTGACCTAGAAGAAAAAGAAAATCTGAAAAGCCTTTCATCTGTCTGTTTTTTAATGACATAACTTAAAACCTTCCCAAAAAGAAAACTCCAGGCCCAGATGGTTTTCCTGATGAATTCTATAAAATCTTACACAAACTATTTCAGCAAACAGAAGAGAAAGAAACACTTTCCAACTCATTTCATAAAGCCACCACAACCCACCGATATACTTTAAAAACCATGACCAAGTGGAGTTAATCCCAGGAATATAAATTTGGCTTAACATTCATATCAAAAACTAATCACCACATCAATGCCATCAACATCCAAAATTTAATCAACACATTAACACAAAAGATGAGAAAATCACGATTATATCAATTGATGCAGAGAAAACATTTGACAAAATACAACCATTTGTGTTTTTTTTGTTTGTTTTTTTTTTTTGAGACAGAGTCTCGCTCTGTCACCCAGGCTGGAGGGCAGTGGCGCGGTTTTGGCTCACTGCAAGCTCGCCTCCCGGGTTCACGCCATTCTCCTGCCTCAGCCTCCCGAGCAGCTGGGACTACGGGCGCCTGCCACCACACCCGGCTAATTTTTTGTATTTTTAGTAGAGATGGGGTCTCACCATGTTAGCCAGGATGGTCTCGATCTCCTGATCTCATGATCCGGCCGCCTCGGCCTCCCAAAGTGCTGGGATTACAGACGTGAGCCACCATGCCCAGCCTGTGATTTTTTTTTTAATTGGAGTAGGAATGAATGTCCTCAACCTGATAAAGGGCATCTACAAATATATATGGTTAACATCCTACTTACTGGTGAAAGACTGAATGCTTTCCCCTGAGATCAAGAGCAAGGCAAGGGTGTCCACCTGCCATTTCATTTCAGCACAGTAATGGAGATCTTCCCCAGCCCAACAGGCAGGGAAAAATTAGTAAAGGTCATAACGACTGGAAAGAAATAAAACTGCCGTTTTCACAGAAGATATAACTGTGCACATGGAAAATCTCAAAAAGCCTACAAAAAACTGTAAGGACTAATAACTAAATTTACCAAAGTTGCAGGATACAAGGTCAATTAAGAAAACTCTGTTTTTTCCTTTTCCTGGAGGACTCATTCTTTATTTAACAGCTTTTGGGGGGTGTAATTGACATATAATAAACTGCACACATTTAAATCATACAACTTGGTAAGTTTCGACACGTGTGTACACCTGTAAAACCAAACTACAGTCAAGATTGTGAACACATCCATCACCTCTGAAAGTTTCCTCCTGCCCCTCTCTCCCGTGCTTCCCCTATCCTTGGGCTACCACTGTCTGCATGTCACTATAGAGGTTTCATTTTCTAAAGATGTACATAAATGGAATCACGAAGTATGTACTTTTTTGTCTGACCTCTTTCACACAGCATATTTTGAGATACACCCATGTTGTAGCAGGCATCAGTAACTTTTTATTGCTAAGTAGCATTTTATTGCAGGGATATTCCGCAATATCCACTCACCTGTTGATGGACATTTGAGTTGTTTCCATTTTGAAGTGATTATGAATAAAGCTACGACTATAAACATTTTATACAAGTTTTTGAATCAACATATGTAATTTTCTTTCTAGACAGGAGCAAGAAGTAAATTGGAAAATAAAATTAAAAGTACAGGATCATTTACAATAGCATCCAAAAAAGAAAAAATTACTTTTATTTCTATATGAAAACCATTTTTAAATTTTTAAAAAGTCTCTCTTAATAATGTGAAGAACTAAGCCCACAACTAACTGGAAAGCTAGGTTACCCCTAGTTCTCTCGTCTGGAGCATCCCAGGTAACTATTTATGGCACCTTTGGTATGGTAATGGCCGTAAGTCAATAGTAATCCTTTTCTCACCATAAGCACCATGTCTTATTTCCCATGACTTTGGAGTCATGACACATGGACTGAAAATAACTATTTTCTGACTCATGGTTGTATTACATAAAGTTCTGGATTAATCATAGTTAGCTTTGCATTTTTAAGAAAAAAAAGAGAGCAGAGAAGGACAAAGAGGAGGAAAGGGAAAGAGAAGGGGAAGAAAGAAATGATACACCACTGAGTATTACCTCTGGCGGAAAGCTGAGACTTACAAACCTGTGGTTCTAGAAAGCCTAAGGTACATCCTCAATCTGAATAACAAATCCCAGATTATTCTTGTTTCTCATATTTTTAACTATCGCAAAATTCACATAATATAAAATGTATCATCTTAGCCATTTTTAAGTATACAGTTCAGTGGTTGCTTCCACCTTTTGGCTACTGTCAGTAACGCTGTTATGAAGGTGGGTGTACAATGTCTCTTCAAGACCCTGCTTTCAATTCTTTTGGGTATCTACCCAAACGTACAATTGCTGGATCATATAGTAACTCTACTGTAGTTTTTAGTTTTTTGAGGAACTGCCATCCTGTTTTCCATGACAACTGCCCCATTTTACATTCCCACCAGCAATGCACAAGGGTTCCAATTTTTCCACGTCTTCTCTAATACTTGTTATTGTCTCGTGAGATGATAGATGAGATAGATAGATAGATAGATAGATAGATAGATAGATAGATAGATGATAGATAGACAGATAGATAGATAGACAGACAGAAAGAAAGATAGATAGGGAGTAGCCATCCTACTGGGTGTGAGTTGGTATCTTTTTGTGGTTTTAGCTTGCATTTCCCTAACATTCAGTGATGTTTAGCATCTTTTCATGTGTTTATTGACCATCTGTATGTCTTCCTTGGAGAAATGTCTATTCAAGTCGGTCTTAGCATCTTCCTTGGAGAAATGTCTGTTCAAGTCAGTCTTAGCTGCTAGGCTGCTGTAACAAAAATATCATAGACTGGGTGGCTTAAAAAACAAATATTTATTTCTCACAATTCTGGAAAGTCCAAGACCACAGTGCCAGCAGATTCAGTTCCTTCATAACAAAATCCTTTGCCCATTTTTGAACTGGGTTTTTTTGAGGTTGTTGTGAAGTTTTAGGAGTCCCCTAGATATTCTAAATATTAATCCCTTATTAGATACGTAATTTGCAAATATTTTCTATCATTCTATACGTTGTCTTTTTAGTCTGTTGATTGTGTCTTTTGATGCACAAATTTTCAAAATTTTTGTGAGATCCAATTTGTCTGTTTTTATTATTATTGCCTATGTCTTTAGTGTTATATCCAAGAAATTATTGCTAAATCCAGTTTCATTAAGCTTCTGCCATATGTTGTCTCCTAAGAGTTTCATAGTTATAGCTCTTCTGTTTAGCTCTTTGATCTATTTTGAGTTAATTTTTGTATATGGGGTTAGATAAGGGTCCAACTTCATTCTTTTGCATGTAGATATCCAGTTTTCCCAGCACCATTTGTTGAAAAGATTGTCCACTACCTATTAAATGGTTTTGGCACACTCGTAGAAACTAATTTGACCATTTATGCAAGGATTTATTCCTGACCTCTCTATCCTGTTTCATTGATCTATGCCTATCTTTATCCAGTACCACAGTTCTGGTTATTGTAGCTTTTAGTAAATTTTGAAATCAAGAAGTGTGAGTCCAACGTTCTGCTTCTTTTTCAAGATAGTTTTGGCTATTTGGTTTGTCTTGAGATTCCATATGAATTTCAGGATATATTTTGCTACTTCTGCAAAAAGTTTGCTGCGATTTTTATGGGGATTGTACTGAATTTGTAGATCACTTTGGGTAATATTGACATCTTAACAATATTAAGTCTTCCAATCCACAAACATGGGATGCCTTTCTATTTATTTTTATGTTCTTTAATTTATTCCAGCAATGTCTTGTAGTTTTCATTGTACAAGTCTTTCACATCCTTGGATAAGTTAATTCCTAAGTATTTTATACTTTTGATAATATTGTATATAGGATCTTTTCTTAATTTCCTTTTCAGATTGTTCATTGTGAGTGTGCAGAAATGCAACTGATTTTTGCTTGTTGATTTTGTATCCTGCTACTTTGCTGAATTCACTTGTTAGTTCTCATAGTGTTTTGTGGAACTTTAGGGCTTTCTAGATCTATGATCAGATCATCTGTGAACAGAGGTCACTGTACTTCTTTCTTTCAGATTTGGATGCCTTTTATTTCTTCGTCTTGCCTAATTGTTCAGCTAGCACTTCCAGTAATACATTGAAAAAAAGTGGCAAAAGTGGCATTATTGCCTTGTTCCTTATCTTAAAAGAAGTTTTCAGTCTTTTACCACTAAGCATGATGTTGCCTCAGTTTTCATACATGGCTTTTCTTATGTTGAGATGGTTTCCTTCTATTCCTAGAGTGCTGCTTCTTTTTATTATAAGTGTTGAATTCTGTCAAATGCTGCTTCCGCATCAACTGAGATGACCATGTCATTTTTTTTCCTTTGTTGCGTTAATGTGGTGTTTTATATTGATCAATTTTCACAGGTTGAACCATCCTTACATTCTGGGTATGAATCACATTTGGTTATAGTGTATAATCCTTTTAATATGCTGCTGAATTCAGTTTTCTAGTACTTTGCTAAAGATTTTTACATCAATGTTCATAGCTTTGTCTGGCTTTGGTACCTGGGCAATGTTGTCCTCACAAAATGAGTTAGAAAGTGTTCCTTCCTCTTCAATTTGTTGGGAAAGTTTGAGAATAATAGACATTAGTTTATTAAATGTTGGGTAGAGTTAGCAGTGAAGCCATCAGATCCACAACTTTTCTTTATCAGGAGATTTTTGATTACTGATTCAACCTTCTTACTAGTTATAGGTCTTTTCAGATTTTTTGTTTCTTTGTAATTCAGCCTTGGTAGGTTTTATGTTTCTAGAAATTTGTTCATTTCATCTAGATTATCCAATTTCTTGGCATACAATTGTTCATAGTACTCTCTTATAATCCTTTTTATTTCTGTAGAATGGGTAGTAATGTTCCCACTTTCATTACTGATTTTAGTAATTTGAGTCACTCTCCTTTTTTCTTGGTCAGTCTTATAAGCTTATTTTTAAAGTGTCGTTTTGTTTAAAAATAGTTCCATCAGTGGGCAAGTGAGGGAGTTGGTGAATGAGTGAATATATCACATAACTTCCCTCTTCGTGTCCCAATATCCCCTGCCCACCATACGTGGATACCGAAAAAAAAAAAACCGGACTCAGAAAAGAAGCAACTCCTGAAAGCCAGTTTTCCTTAGAGATGCACTGGGGATGTTCCATACCAGCCCTCAAGTCCAGGCCATTCTCAGCCCCATCCTTTTCTTCCTAACTCTTTAAAAAGTTGTCCAAGTTCTCAACCAGTTTCCCCTGGATAGAGGAGAAGCAAGCACTTCCAGTTGAGCACAGACTGGACAGCTGACTGGGGGAGACAGTACTTGCCTCCTCCCCCTGCCTTCTCTGCACTAGGGCTGCTCCACCCACTCCTGCCTTGGCACCACTAGGGCCCTGATCTTCTGGCTGGGTCAGCCTCTTGCTGCAGTTTTCCCCTCTCCCTTCCAAGCATCAGTCTTCTGTGCCCTAGACTATAGCACTACTCAGGGACTGACTAATCCAATGAAGTTATCCAGGCTAAGACCCTAATGAGCCATAACAGCTTAATGCACTCTGCCTTCCATAAAACACTTGAATCTTAATTCAGTCTTGAGTGCATTAAACCAAAGGAGAAAATAGTCAAGTTTCATGTGCTGTGGCAGGTCGGTGGAAGGAGAAGTTTTAGGAGGTGGGAAAGACCTTCTTAGTCATGGCGCTGGCATTGGGAGACAGCTGACACACTGCAGGTGTAACTGAGCAGCTTAGCCTCAAACCATGTTTCAAAACTTTTTCCTTTTCCCTTTCCTCCTCCCCTCCCCCAGTTTCAAGACATAACTTTGAGACAAACTGCATATGCCTTATCTTTCATCTTGAAATACAGCCTGGAAATGTGCTGTGAACCTCCCCTCCCTTTCTTTTCCCACTCTATGCTCCTCTGTCTTATGCGCATTTATTTACCTAGATGCTTGTTAAATACACACCATACTCACTTATCTGGTCATATATTCCTGTAGAAGCTTCAGCGGCCAGATCCTAATACGGAGCAGACACCCCCAGCCACGATGGTGCCGGTCCCTTCACCAGATAATACAATAATTCAAGTTGAGCCATAGAAGCGGATCATGCCAGCTGGCACCTCCTAGCCCCCACCCCCCACCCCCACCCCCGCCTCTCATTCCAAACCCTCTCTTTAAAAAGTACCGCATTCCCTCCACAAACTGAAGAGTGGACATTTTTGGAAAGAATTTCATTCACTCCTCCCCATGCTAGCATGGATAATAAAACTCATTGGCTCCTTTTTACAAGTGGTGAGCAGCCAGACCTTTTTGCCAGTTACAGAAGTATTGGAAAAGCTAACCAATGTCAGCAGCAAGCAAGGTCAGGGCTGGGGAGTGGCAGGGAAGAGGGGTGGTGGATTCAAACCTCCCTAGGTGGGAGCAGACTAGGACATATTGCAAAAAGGCTTGCAAAATGGCCTCATCCACCTTTTCACCCTCCTCCAGGGATTTCAAAAGGGATTTCATCAACACACATTGTGCCGGGCACGCTGACCCCATCTGGAAGTCATCAAAATCAGTTTTGACTTATAGAGTGACCAACCCTCCCAGTTTCCCAGGACTTTCTTTATTTTGGCACTGAAAGTCTCATTTCCAGGGAAACCCCTCAGTCCCAGGCAAACTGGGATGATTGGTGACCCTGGCTCTCAGAGCCATCTTTGGCTTGCCGTTCAACCCATCCCTGCCTTTCCGGAGGTCCACCTGTCTCCCCACTCCACCCCCCCATGCTCTTGGGTGGGCCATGGTGGCTCTCCAGTGCTGGCTTTTGTTCAGCCAATTGCACCAAATATACCAAACATACAGTCCAGTATAACCTGAGCCACTCAGACTCTGATTCTCAGAAACTGACATTGGAACTCAGAGATGGCAACAACAATGTCAAGAAGGTGAAGAATAAGAATAAGATTTGTGAACATTATCAGTGTACTTAACCACTGCCGGGTTCTCTTTTAAATTACTGTTGTAATTTAATCATCACAAAACCCCTGTGAGATAAGTGCTATTGTTCTCACCACTTGGTCAGAGAAGTCATTAATAGGTAACACGTGTACAGCTAGTAAGTGCTAGACTGGGGGTCAAAATCCAAGCAGCATGTTTCCCGAGTTCTTCTCACTGCTAACATTAGTCTACCCAGCTTGTGTGCTCTATTCTAGTTCTGCTAAACATGTCCTAGGAAGTGAGTCGTATCTGGGCTGGGCAGCCATGTGTGCCCACACGTGTGGACGAGCAGAGAAAGCGAGTGTGTGTTTTTGGGAGACAGAGAGACAGATACAGAGAGAAAGAGAGATTGAGAGAGATGCATGCATACAGAGAGAGAAAGAGACAGACTGAGAGGCAGAGAGACTGAGAGAGATAGATAAGAGAGAAAGAGACAGGGAGAGACTAAGAGACAGAGACACAAAGCGACACAAAGAGACAGAGAAACACAGTGGCAGAGACAGCAGCAGAGAGGTGGAGAAGCAAAGAGAGTGAAGGAGTTAAGAACATGCCATCACAAATTAGCCAGGCGTGGTGGTGTGTGTCTGTGGTCTCAGCTACTTGGGAGGCTGAGGCAGAATGATCGCTTGAGCCCAGGAGGTTGAGGTTGCAGTGAGCCATGGTTGTACCACTGCACTCCAACCTGGACAACAGAGAAACAGCCCCTCCCACCCCCCAAAAAAAGAACATGCCACCCCAAAATACGTTGCTACAGCATATTGACTGTTTTGAGTTAAAGGTGATACCACAGTGGCTCACACCTGTAATCCCAGCACTTTGGGAGGCCAAGGTGGGCGAATCACGAGGTCAGGAGTTCAAGGCCAGCCTGAGGGTGGCTCCCAGCATGGAGAAGAAAGCAGAGCCAAGAGACTCACATAGAATGGACGTGGGAACTAGGGAACTGAGCCTAACACCCAGGCAAATCAATCCCCTGCTCCTGAAAAGCTGCTCGAGTTGGGATTTTGGCCACTGGCAGCTGAAACACCTTCTGTGACTAGGGCTTTAGGCAGTCACTTAAGAAGGCTTCAAGAAATCACTCTACAGAAGTATGAAATTAAAGTGGTAGGTTGGGCCCACCGTGGAGCCCCCACAGGCTGGTGACTTCCCCTGCTGGCCACACTGCAGGCTCCCTCATGGGGTTTATTGACTATTATCTGATGTAAACAACAGCCCCGGTTAGCATCCTCCTCAGTTAACAATGAATGCAGGGAGCTGAAAGTAACTTCCACCCTCGCAGTTCAGGAAGCATCAGCCTTTAGAGGAGTTCACCTGGCCTGTGCAAGGTCACAGCTCCCTTACCTAGGAGGGCTCAGGGAGGTAGGCATGTATGTGTGGGTGAAAACACATCCCAGCCCACCACACCCTTCACAAGAGCCCTTGCTGAGGCTCCTGTCCTTTCATCCCATATCTGCAGGTGGTACTCCCTGATGAATGCCTCTAAACCCTGCAGCCACCACACTGCCTCTCTGTCTGCTCCAGCTCTGTCTTGCTACTAAATCCGGTTCTGCAGGTCCCCAACCATCTGTGCTTTGAGGCTCAGCTCCTCCACCAACCTTCAGGCCATCCACACTGGTCACCAACATGCCTGTCTGATTCCCAGGGCTATCTCCCTCTGACCAGGGCTGTGCCCCCCCCAATATGTCCATCCCTTACTCTCTTGCTACCCAGATGCCAACCATTTTTCTCCTTTCTAGGCTCTCCTCATGCTCTGCTTCCTCCAGGAAGCTTTCTCTGATCACCAGCTCAGCCTAAATTATCTTTTCTCTTGGCACTTGCAGTGTTTGGGTCTCTCTGCCCCTGTTTATGTCATTGTGTGCAATAGAGTAAACTCTCCACGTACACTCCCCAGACTGCTGACTGGTCTCATGCTCGTGCTTGCAGAGGTTTGCCTGCAAGGAAACCTCTTGCCTGCAAGTGATGTGATGTGATGAGAACATCGGCTTCATAACTGTGTGATCTTGGGTAACATTTACTCAACATCTCTGAGTCTCAACTTAGTCATCAAGAAAAACGGAAATAACATGAACTTCTGGGGATACTATGGAGATTAAATGAGAAAACATATCAAATACCTAGCACAGTTTCTAGAATCTAATAGGCAATCACCATTGTAAGGGGCTTCTTCCCTTTGTCACAAAAACCTACATTCCAAGCATGTTCACTAGACTGCGCTGATTCCTTAGACAAGTCCTAAGATATTCTAGTGTCTAAAAAACTGCCTCCCTTTACAGAAAGTCTAACTTTGAGAAATGTCAGCGGGGACATGAGTGCTGCCACCACCATGGCCCTCCATGACAGACACTCTTCTCTGCCAAACCTGAATCCAGCCTCAGAATCTCACCTAACACATTCCTCCAAGTAGCCACTACTGACTAATAAGAGTTGGCAAAAGAGAAGAAAAGCGTTTGTCCTCTGTGAGTTAACACTTTTATCTGAAAAGCAGTTACTGCAGGCCTGATGCGGGCCAATCTGTGTGCCAGACCGTGAACTACGGTGGAGACAAGAGGAAGGTGAGGGAAGACCTGTGATCCCATCTACAGGTGCTCACGTTTGGAAACAACCCAGCATGAGGAAGCTCCAAGTGCAGAGTGGGCACTCCAGGTCTCGGCCAGGTGGAGGAGGCTCTGAGACCTAAGGAATGAGCAGGAACAGCTATGAGTCTGTGCACCTTCCCCAAGTCTTTGATGCCTCCTGGGGCCCACCCCAACCAGTGGTGGATGGGACCTGGTAGAAGGCGCCTGGCCTTTCAGGGAACAATCCTTGGAAGTGGCCCCATTGCCCACAGTGGTGACCTCAAATTCCTACCTTATATTGTTCTTGCCTCCTTTCCTGTTGCCCTCTGCCCCATTTCCTCTCTCCTGCTTCCTTTGGGATCACCTTCCAAATAAAACCCCTGCACCCAAGTGGGCACAGCAGCACTGTGCTCCATGGCATGGCTGGGCTGGCCTGGGACTCTCCTGTGCCTCCATGTGTGGGGGTCTGGAGGGAGGGATAAGAGTGAGTGGTCTGTGGGGTGGCCCTCCCGGGACAAGGGGATCCTGGGTGAGGGGAGGCAAGCGTGGGCTCCTCTGCGCCAACAAAGGGGTTCTGAAGACCCTCCAGGGCAGAGTGTTGGGTAGGGCCACAAACATGAGAGGGGCTGCCTGAGCCCCCTTCAGCACAGAGCTGGGGCTGGACAACAGGGTCCCGCGGGAGCAGCCTTAGGGAACAGGCCGAGGTGGGAGGCAGAGGGAGGGGTACAAGGAGAGCAGGACCCAGTGGAAACCACAGCAGCTGCTTGGTCCTGGGAACTCTGGCCCCCCTAACCCAGAGGTCTCCAGAGAGAAAGGCCTGGGAGAAGAGACCCTAGAGAGAGATGGAATTGGCTGCCAGCCTCAGCCCTGAGGACGTGCCCGCGCAGGGTTTATCTGCTGAGGGAGAGCGTGCGGGTGCGGGTGCGGGTGCGAGAGGACAGCTCTGGTCTCTACCCCCAGAGGGAGCTACGGGTGTGTGGCCCCAGGCCCACCCTCCCCAACAGTAGGCTCCTTCTGGGCCGTGGTTCTCCAGATGCCCGGAGCCACAGGTGTCTTGGCAGGTGCTTCTGAAGGGGCCACAGCCGGAGCGCCTGGAGACCACCACTGTCCACGTGCGCAAAGCGACGTCCCAGTTTCCTCACGCGTGGGCTGCAGCTTCTCCTCCCACGTGGCCCTGAGCGAGTCTCGGGGACCACCACGCGGGCGTCCAGCAGGGCTTCCTGCCTGGAAGAGGGGCCGCGCTCACCCTCCTCTCTGGCCCTCATTCTCAGGGTCAGCCTTCTCCCCTCCGCAGCCCCATAGGAATTCCATCTGGGCCGCTTCTACCCCTGCACCTTGTAGCTTGCAGTGGATGGGACGTTCTTGGGCCCAGCCCTTTTGTGGAAGCACATCCTACCCTAGCGGAATGGCAGTTCCCACGGAGGCTCAGCTCTACAGTGCCCTTGTGGCAGATTTAATCCCCCCAAAAACCCGTGATAAACAAAATATCAAAATCCTAAGTAAAGACAGAACTGACATTACAGATTTTTCCTTTTCCCTCAGGTTGCAATAAAATAAATAAAATAAATTTAAAAATCAGTGCACTGGCACTGATCCTGTCATTTAAATTTTTGATATTTTGCTCACCATGGAAATCTCACATTAACTATTTTTTTTAATCTCATATTAACTATTATATTAAAAAAAATTGACGCCTGAGTACTTTGGGTGCCTTTAAAATGTTTGCCTCCAGTAGAGTGCCTCATTCACCTCACTCTATCCCGCCTGGTTGCAGAGCCACGGTAGTGAATGGTTTACCCTCAGATAGACAGTGGGGTCCCACCAAGCCGTTTCCTGCTGTCCCACTGCAAGATGCATGACAAACCGCCCTGCACCTGAGGTTATTAAGACAGACTTGGGAGAGAAGACGAGACCAGGCAGAGAGACAAAGACAGAAAAAGAGACTGAGGAAAACTGAAGGACAAAGGTGGAAAGAAGTGGACAATATTAAGAACTCTTTTAGAATTTGTCTAGCAGGTTTTCTGGTTTCTACTGGAAGCTTCTTACCCCACCTCGCCTCCCACCACCCCGTCCAAAAAAAAAAAGATTAAAGAGAACAGAATGGACTAGGGTCCAAGCTGGTGACTGGGAGTTTATGTAATGCCTTTCTACCGCTGATGCGGCCTTTTTCCCTCCTTTGCAGGCTTCCCTTCAAAGAAGGGACACAGTGGCAGTGTTATAGAACCAAACTGGTGGTCACTCTCCCTGCACAATAAAACCAGATACTCACACCAAGCTTTCTGCCATGGTAGAAAGGAGGGTGGTTACTGTGGAGCACTAAGCGAGGAGGACCAGGCAGCTAACTGCTCAAGATCTGGCCTCCTGGATGGCTCGCAGGCCAGTGTTTTTAAAGGCAGGGGCAACTTTCAGGAAAACGGAAGCTACAGGTAAATCAATACACAGAGGTTACACATTGGTGTAAGCTTAAAAGGATGGGACATCTTGAATGGGGGCTCATAGATCATGGGTAGATACCAAGATCTGGTTTGCAATTAGTTAAGTAAGAGAAGCTTTGTTTAAACATTAGGGCATCAGCAGCAATACCCAAAGGATTATAAATCATTCTACTATAAAGACACATGCTACTATAAAGACAAGGGGAACATCACACACCGGGGCCTGTTGGGGGGTTGAGGGGCAAGGGGAGGGAGAGCATCAGGACAAATACTTAATGCATGTGGGGCTTAAAACCTAGATGACGGGTTGATGGGTGCAGCAAACCACCATGGCACAGGTATACCTATGTAACAAACCTGCACATTCTGCACATGTATCCCAGAACTTAAAGTAAAATTTAAAAATATAGGGAGTCAGTAGAAAAACATTAACTTGCTAGGGAGAGTGACTTTCTCGAAGACCCTCACAAAGAAACTTAGAACAAAGGACAATAGTTGAACTTTAGTTTGTTTCTCCCTCATCTGGGGTCTCTATGCCAGCTGATCCATTCAGTGGGGGTCCTCAGGGGGGTCCAAGCTTCTGAAAGGCAACTCAGGGACATATGTTAAGACATTATCTTTAGTTTCTATGGGGAAAACAAACATCTCTGGAGCTTTAAGTCCCTTGGCTATTATTCTTAAGCTACTATCCTTGTTTAACAAGTTACTTAATTACCTCTGGGGCTACCCAGATCCCTCTAATTTCTCTTAAAGGAACTTTGGGATTTTCCTTATTTCCATGCTTGTGGGTTTGCAGGCCCCTAAAAGGGAGAGGGGCGTTGTTCCATCTCAGCAGGACTAAAGTGTGTAATTTAGTAGCTTCTAAAAACCACTCCACTGTTTATCTTGGATTATCTGAGGAGTTGAAATAATCTCTGTGAGGACAAAAAGCACATATTCCTTTACAAGCACATTTCATTTGACATCATCTTCAGGATGCCTGGCAACCCTGCTCACCTCCACCCAGGTGATGACCTGTAAGCAAAGGCCAAGGTATAGAGGAAGGTGGTCCTCCCTACGGAGGGTGACTTTCTGTGTAATTATGAAGTGCATACCCTGACCGTCTCAAAACTGGCCCAGTTTGAACAGTAACCTGTGTGATCACCATACATGATGGCTGAATGAGTTATCTGAGCCCCAGAGCAATCCCTTGGGGGCAGGCAGAACACATAAGATTGTGTCTATTTTATAGATGAAGAAACTGAGAAAATCAGAGAGGTTCCAATCCTGTCCAAGGTTGTAGAACTACTAAATGGAACAGCCAGGATTTAAAGACTGATCTACCATGCCATGCAACTGCTATCCAGGTTCAAGGAACAATGGAAAGCCAGTAGGCTTCAAACCAGGTCACAATCTCACCCAGGTCAACCCACACATCCACCCTATGGTACCAACCGCACATACAGGCAGGAGCTTTGCAAACCAGAAAAGGGAGGTAACTGGAAGCTAACTGAGCCAGCTCAGGTTGTCAAAACCCAATGATATTAGTGGTGTCCCTCTGCTTTTCAGGTGGTAGATTTGTGATAAGAAACCAGAACAAACTTTCTCTTCTACTGAAGTCTGTGTCCCACAGGCTGGTGCCAAATAATCCCCTTTCTGGCCAAGTCCATTTTCCACTGTTGAACTAGAGTCAGAGCAGAGAATGAGATAAGATAAGGCAGGAGAAGTGGGCAAGGATCAGATCATGTAAGGTTTTGGCCCTGTTAAGGATCCCAACAGCAACGGACAGCTGTTGAAGAAATGTTATGTAGAGGGGTGATATATGAAGAGCCAAGTGTTTGGAAGATGGCGGGGGTGAAAATGGAACAAGAGTGTATGCATTCTGGCAGTAGAGGAGAAACTGACCAGATTTAGTTAAGATTGGCTCTGGGAGGGAAGAGAAGGAGGAAGGGGATCAGAATGCCTTAGGCAGCCAGGTGCGGTGGCTCACACCTGTAATCCCAGCACTTTGGGAGGCCGAGGCGAGCTGATCACCTGAGGTCGGGAGTTCAAGACCAGCTTGACCAACATGAAGCAACCCCATCTCTACTAAAACTACAAAAATTAGCCGGGCGTGGTGGTGCATGCCTGTAATCCCGCTACTTTGGAGGCTGAGGCAGGAGAATCGCTTGAACCCAGGAGGAGGTTGCGGTGAGCCAAGATTGCGCCATTGCACTCCAGCCTGGGCAACAAGAGTGAACCTCCGTTTCAAAAGAAAAAAAAAGAATGCCTTAGGCTTCTGCGTGGAAAATGATGCCTTTCATTTAAGGAGGAGCAAGTGTCGGAGGGCCTCAAGCCTTGCATTTTGTCTTGGATAGTGGGCCAGATTGGAGGTGCCTTTGCAAAATTCATGTTAGTAGCTGTGTAAGCAGCTGTATACTGAGGTTTAAAGCTCAGAGGAGGAGTCTGGGCTGGAGAGTAAAAGATATGGTAAGTCATCTGCATAAAAATGGTCACTGCATTTTAAAACAGCTTCTAGGTGCAGGTTCATTCAATGCTATGGCCTTCAGCAGGGGTTGGGAGCATTGAGGAGGATAAAGCCTGGCTCATTTCCTTGCACAAAATACAGCCAACCCAGGGAACTGCAATATCATTTGGAAGTTAAAGGATTTACCCAACAAAATAATATCTTCAAATACTCCATTCCCTTCTCTGTGCTCAGACCAATTGGTTTCTTACAGTTGTACTGCCCACCACCTCACCCACCACCCTGGCTGTCCAGACCCCTTGACCCCTAGTTAATCTCCTGCTGGAAATTCCTCCAGCAGCTTTTGTTTTCAAAGAGGCTGCACAGCGAATCTGAGAGCCAAAGGAAGCTCTGGAGGTGTGACACACCCAGCATCTCTCTGCAATGGAGACACCTCCATCAGTGGCTACTCAGGACCCAACCTGAGGCTGCTGTGGGGTTGACAACACCAGCTCATTTAATCCTCACTACCTCCTGGGAGACCAGGGTTATCCCCATCTGAGAGACAGGAGCCCTGCTCAGTGATACAGTAGAACCCAGCGTCTATGAAGGGAGATGGCATGAGTGAGTCGCCAGGGAAATGGGCCAGCACAGCCAGTCTGCAGGGAAATATGAAACGCCCAAATATATATCTTCGGCCTTGGTTCTGCTTTCAAAAGGAATGTTTTTGCTCTCATTTTCAAAGGGAATTTTTTAGAATTCTTTGCTGTAAAGCTTGTAAGCACTTTACCCAGGAATGCAGGGTCCTTGTTACCCAAATACGTTGGCACCAAAAAAATAGTCCACTAAAGGTAAATCTACTTAAAGCAGGAACTGTAATCCATAGGCAACAGTGGGGAGAAAAGCTTATATTTAGACTTTATTTTGAAAAATAAAATAAAAAACTATGAAAGCATTTCATCTTATGTTCAATAAAAGCTGGTTTATAATTATAATGATCCTTTACTCTGTTTGGGGGTTTTCCTTTTTATTATGAAAACTTCAAGCAGAACAGAAAAGAGAATGAACCTAGATTTCACAGTTATTAACATTTTTCTCCATTTACTTTTTTTGGCTAAAGTATTTTAAGGTAAATTACAAGTGTTATGACTCTTCAATATGAATCATTTCAAAAAAATGACATTTACCTACATAAACACATAGCCATTATCACAGATAAGATAATCAACAAAAAAGTTCCCCAATATCATCTAATACCCAAACCACATTTAAATTTCCCCCAGTTAGTCCCCAAAAGGTCATATAGTTGGTTTGTTCAAACATAGAACCAATCAAGAACCACTCATTGCATGGAGCTGCTATGACTTCTAGGCAATTTTTTTTTTTAAGGTGGAGTCACGCTCTTGTCACCCAGGCTGGAGTGCAGTGGCATGATCTCAGCTTACTGCAACCTCCGCCTCCCGGGTTCAAGCGATTCTCCTGCCTCAGCCCCCCAGTAGTTGGGATTACAGGCACCCGCCACCATGCCCAGCTAATTTTTGTAGTTTCACCATGTTAGCCAGGATGGTCTTGAACTCCTGACTTCAGGTGATCCACCCACTTCAGTCTCTCAAAGTGCTGAAATTACAGGCATGAGACACCATGCCCAGCCGAGGCCTTTTTATTGTAGATAATCCACTGCCCAATATGGTAGATGCTTCCCACATGCCACTGTCTAAAGTCATTGATTATCAATAAATAATAAATAAATAGCATTTAAAATGCAGCTCCTCAGACTCACAGCCACACTTCCAGTGCTCACTGGTAGCACTTAGATGATAGAGTATTTCTGTCACCACAGAAAATTCTACTGGACAGTGCTGATCTGGAACATTCCCCTGGCCCTAGGGGGTACTACATGGGGTACTACATAACATTGACCTGGTGAAGACATCAGGCCAGTTGTTATGAAGAATGTCCCCTTCTGGATTTGTCTGATTCTTTCTTCACAGTGTCATTTAATTTGTTCCTCTACCTGTATTTCCTTTCAACTCCAAGTTAGAGCTCATGAGTTGATTACATTTAACTCTTAGAATGAACAGGGAGTCAAGATATGATTTTTTCTACAAAGTATGTGCAGACAGTATTGAGTGTGACCAAGTGTTCCTGGCTTCATGTTCAATTTGTCCTGTACAATCATACCCTATCCCAGGCCTCATGGTTTTGATATTCAAATTGTTCTTTTTTTTTTTTTTTTTAATTGAGATGGAGTCTCACTCTGTCACTCAGGCTGGAATGCAGTGGCATGATCTCGGCTCACTGCAACCTCCACCTCCTGGCTTCAAGCAATTCTCCTGCCTCACCCACCTGAGTAGCTGGGACTACAGACACATACCACCATACCAGGTTAATTTTTGTATTTTTAGTAGAGACAGGGTTTTGGCATGTTGGCCAGGCTGGTCTCAAGCTCCTGACCTCAAGTGATCCTCTCACCCCGGCCTCCCAAAGTGCTGGGATTACAGGCATAAGCCACAGTACCTGGCCCAAATTGTTCCATTCTGATGTGCCTATTCCACAGAGGATTTCACCAAAGTCACATTTAACCGCTTCAGAAAACTTTGCACCTTCTACAAGACCCTAATTTAGCTCAACAGTATATTTGTACCATGTGAGATTATCAGCGCACGGCAGGGCAGATAACTGGTGGCCGGGGAACACTCCGCACAGCAGTGAGTGGCTTGAGGGGGCCTGGGGTCATACATGAAGAGCCAGCAGGGGGCATTCTCATCTGATGGCAACCGCGGTTGCCTCATGCACGCTCATAACTGCGGGCTCTCGGAATTTTTTTAAATGCCTCATTTAAGGACTTCTGATAAACAAAAGTTAAATTTTAAAAAATAAACTGTGGGAGGATTTTTTATTATTTACTTGAGTTTTTCATTTTCAAATATTATTTAAATGACTGAAATGGTAAGAAAAACAGTCTCAATGAAGGTTTAAAACAGTACACAGGACTGACTGATTAAATAAACTATCCTTCATCCACACAATGGAATATGGAGCAGCTGTAATTAGGAATGAGAAGTGTCTCTATATACTGATATGGGGAAAAATAAATAAGCAAAGGAAAGAAGCAAACAGTAATATTTATCATTGGTAATTTTTAGGTAAGTGATGGGGAAGTAGATGACAGAGAGGTAGCTAGATAGTAGAGCATTAGTCAGCTGGGACTACCACAACAAAACACCATACACTGGGTAACCTAAACAACAAGAATTTATTTCTCACACTCCAGGAAGCTGAAAGTCCAAGATCAAGCTGCCAGTGGATTCTGTTCCTGGATGAGGGCTCTCTCCCTGGCTTGCAGACAGCTCACTGTGCCCTCGCATGGTGAAGAGAGAGAACAAGCAGGCTCTCTGGTGTCCCTTCTTATAAGGACACTAATCCCAACATGAGGGCCCCACCCTTATGACCTCATCTAACCCCAATCACCTCCTGAAGGCCCCACCTCCTAATACCATCACACTGGGGCTTAGCACCTCAACATATCAATTTTGGGGAAATACAATTCAGTTCACAGTGCATAGATAGATATTAATTGATATTATCAAAAGAAACCATGGGCAGATAAACCCAAAACCAAACTGTTTTAATGGTTATCTATTGGGAAGAAAAAGAAACAGGGTGAACGGGAAGTTACAGAAGCAAGATTTCTGTGACTGTAACTGGATAAATAGAGAGTTTGGGAGGACGATAAGTGTTTTATGTGATTTTTAAAAATTAAAGTAAACTGAAATGAATGAGTCTTCCTGCATATAAAGTGTGTGGCATAACCACATAAAGCAAACAATTACTTAAAGTGGCTTTAAAACGCAGCATTTTGACTATACATCCCAAGTGAGAGATATGCTATGGACAATAAAAAAAAGGAAAAGAAAAAAGGAAAGAAATCATAAATGGCATTCAGTAGCCATATATTAGTATTGACATTTTTATTAAATTACTATGTTTCCATCATTAGGAACCATAATTTTCAGTATAAAAATGACATAGCATAAAATCAAGGAAGTTTAAGTAAAAATCTTGTAATCTTAAAAGTGAATTGGAAATTGCAGTATGAACTCACATTGTGTTTTACTCTTTAAAAAATACATATTTTCTAGTTCTGTCCACTGAAAAGACCCAGAAGCAATGAAAACCCAGTAACAATGAGCACACTTCCACGGCTGAACTCTCTAGATAACATTTACCAATGAAATTGGCTGATTCTAAGTCTAGGGCAAAAAATGTACAAAAGGAGACTGGATACAAGTCTCTTATTGTACCAGAAAGTGAAGGAGAAATCAAAGACTAATGAGGTCACGTTAAAGTGATACAGGACGACACAGGGCCTGCCTGCAGCAGCTGGTCAATAATGAAGGGATTAATCCATGACTGCAAGACTCGTGGGAAGGAGGGAGTGGGGACTGCAGGGAGGGTCCTAGTAAAAGCAGGGTGGGCCTCGATGAGCACAGCATGGACAGTGCGATTTAAATCCCATCGCTTGTGGGCAGGAGGAGTGAGGATGCCAGAACCTAGTTATCCCCCACCATCCCACGCTCTCCCAGGAGGCGGCGGCAGGAAGTGCAGTCTACAGTAAGGGAAAGCCGCCGGAGCTGGAGACAGGCTGGAAAGAGCAGGTAACAGCCCACAAGGAGCGGGGGCCCTGGCTGTCAGACTCAACTTGCAGGACCATCAAGTGCAGGTGTGGTTCAAGAACCGGGGCCGCTTGCTCTGCGGTAGCAACGGCACATAACCGCAGCGATGACCAGGGCAGCCAAGCCAGCAGCCGGGACCCCGGGATGCTCTTGGCACATGATCCGACTCCCCTGCCTTTGCGGGTCCTGTACTCCCGCGAGGTCCAGGATTGTGCAGCCCCTCCCCAACCGGCCGTTGGGAATCTTCGCAGCAGCAGAACCCGCTGCCTCCAGGTCCGACCAGACCTGCATAGGTAGAGAGTCCCCGCACAGGGCGGCCAGCAGAGCTACCCAGCTGCCCCAGGGCCTCGGGACCCCTGGGCCTGGGACCCAGGCCAGACCCTGACTCATTCGGTGATCTCACAGGACTCCTCCCACCCCAAGACCCTTTCAGGGACCCTGCCTCGAACTCCACGACATGGGAGGCAGGGGCGGGCCTTTTGCAGGGGAAGGACTCCCCCAGCAGGACGTTTACTGAATCTGGAGGGAGTCGCCCTGCAGATATCCCGCGGAAGCCGGAGGAGACCCAGGTGCGCCCCACCGGCTAGCTGCGCCTGCGGGTGCCCAAATTGGTGTCCGGGCCATCCTCACCGCAGTGACTCCTCCGCAGCGCCAACGCACTCCATTTTCCTTCCACCCTGCCGGTGGGGGGCGTTTGCTTGTTCTCACTCTGCAGCCGCAGCCAGTGGCGCCGCTACCAAGGTCCCCGCCTCGCCATCCGGGTCCTGCCTGAGCATCCTTATTGGTGCTCAGGGCTAGGCGTGCATTGCTGCTAGGGGCGCGGAAAGGTTTATCGTGGGTGGATGCTGCCCGGGGCTTGAGTGGTTTTTAGAGGTCTTGAGTGGCTCACTCTCCAATCAGCGCTTTCTAGAGACAGCGTGGTCAGCGTACTTGCTTACTTTCAGGATTGCGAGACGTCTTTAACCCTTGCTGATCGGCTGACGCTGCAGCTTCCTGTGGCTTCCTGCTCATTTCCCGCAAGATAGCACTGATAGGGTATTGGAAATCCTTATGTAAAGTATCTGTTCACTGTTTTTGCCCATTTTCTTGATTTATTTGAACTGATTCTTCTATTCTTTTGAAGTTAATGTGTTGCAATTTTCACATCTATGTTGTTTTTTCATTAGTGGCATTTCTCAACTCCTTGATTTCTTGAATTTCATGTTGTCTATTTCAGTATGTATTAAATTATCTGTGACGGTGGACCAGTTTTGGTTTGTCTGTTTGTTTTATTTCAATCAATGGCACACTGAAATGCTCAAACATTAAACTGTTGAAAAAATTTAATGGCATTCGCAACCTAAGCCCACTCTCTCCCGCTTTTTTTTTTTTTTTTTTTTCAGAGTCACTCTGTCGTCCAGGCTGGAGAGCAGTGGCACAATCTCAGCTCACTGCAACCTCTGCCTCCCGGGTTCAAATGATTCTCCTGCCTCAGCCTCCAGAGCAGCTGGGACTACAGGCACGGCACCACCATGCCCGGTTAATTTTTGTATTTTTAGTAGAGACGGGGTTTCCCCATGTTGGCCAGGCTGGTCTCGAACTCCTGGCCTCAAGTGATCAGCCTGCCTCAGCCTCCCAAAGTGCTGGGATTACAGCCATGCGCCACTGCCCCCAGGCTAAGCCCCACTTTTTTAATCAGTAGAGTAAGCAGACATCAAATACATTGAGGCAGGGAGGCAGGCAGGCAGGCAGGCAGGAAGGGAAGGAAAATACACTGTCAAATTGACATAAAAGTTTCTGAAAGTTGAGTTTTCAATGCATTTACTTGCCCAGTCACGAACTGAAAACAGAGTGTGCAGATGGCACTGGTCTCAGGTCTCTCAATACAACTTTAAAAATACCTCAGTTTATCTTATTTTCCCGTTCTAGAGTTAATAATACTTTTTATCTTTCTTGTTTAAGAAATTTTTCACTATTAAAAGATAGTAAAAAAAAACAAAATATCAAAGATACTAAAAGATATCAAAGATATTCAGCTTTTTTCCCTAAAATCTTTAGCTTTACCTTCCATATTAAAGCCTTTAATACATCTAGAATAGATTATGGCGTGAGTTGGGATTCCAGTTTTTTTCCCATGGATTTCTATTGTCAATTTATTGAGAAGCTTGTAATTTACAAGATCATAAACCAAAGGTCTATTAATGTATGGGTCTGTATCAGAAGCCTATATTTTGAGTCAATCATCTGTATGTCTATGATCAAAAACATGCTGCTTAATTACCATAGCTTTGAAATAGGTCTTGATGTGTGGTGATTCAATTCTCCCACCTTATTCTTTTAAAATGTGGCTTGGCTTGGCCTTTTGCATTTCCGTATACATTTTTGAATGCATATATGTATACACACACACACACACACAGACAGACATATACATACTACACACACACACACGATTCAATTTGAAAGGGCTCCCACTGCCCTAAGATGGGATCATTGAGCACCAAAAAGTCAAGTGATTGAAATGGAATGAAGCATAACAAATATATAAAACTCCGTGAGTTATAATAACATTTCTAAAACTCTTTGGTCATCACTGGAATTTGTTAGGACATTAACACATTACTCTAAAATTGGTGAAGGGACAAAAATCAAGCATTCATTCTGTCCTCCTCTTCAAAATTATATTTTAGAGGGGCCAAAGAGTTGATAAGGTAAAAATTTTTTTAAGAGACAGGGTCCCACTGTGTTGCCCAGGCTGGCCCAGGACTCCTGGGCTCAAGGGATCCTCCTATCTCAACCTCCCAAGTAGCTGGGACTACAGGCGTGCACCACCACACCAGCCAATTAGGTAAACTTGATGAAGAAGCTTGCAGTGGGGGGACAGGTGGACCCCCACTTGAACCTACTAATCAATCTTATCATCACTAAAAGTAGAACAAATATGATGAGTCTCACTGATGGGACCCATTAGAAAGTGACAGCGCCACCTAGGAAGTGTTCTTGCCTTAAAAAGTGAACCTAAATCTAATCAAGTCTCTGGATCTAACCACCAATTTATAGGAAATATGAGGCACAGCAGAATAAGTATTAAAAGCCCTCTAGGCTGCAATCAGCAAAATCCAGGATAAGGGCCATTCTACAGATCCAATGAACCAGTTTCTCCAGGGAACCAGTGGCATCTACAAATAATAAAGAATAAAGCAAAAAGAACAAAGGATATTTAAGATATACCAAACAATGTATGGGTCTTGTTTGGATCTTGATTGAGACAAAATAACTCTGAAAGACCTTTTTGAGAATTTGAACGTTAATTGTGTACTAGATGATATTAAGAAACGAATTTAATGTTGATAGGTGTGATAATGTGTGGTGGTCTTGTTTTTTAAATGCTCTAGTTAATTAAAGATACATACTGTGGTATTTACAAGCAAAGTGGCATACTGTCTGGGATTTACTTGAAAAGACTCCAGTTTAAAAAAAATAATGTGAGAGAAGAGGTAGGTCAAGTAAAGATGACAAAATGTTCATAATTATTGAAATTGGGGAATATGTACATGAGGTTCTTCATTACATTATCCTCTTTTGTATATGTTTTAAATGTCCCATATTAAAAGTCTTTTATTGTTTTTAAATTTTAAAATCTATAATTTCTTTTTTTTATTTTACTTTAACTTCTGGATACATGTGCAGAATGTGCAGGTTTGTTACATAGGTATACATCTGCCATAGTGGTTTGCGGCACCTATCAACCCGTCATCTAGGTTTTAAGCCCCACATGCATTAGGTATTTGTCCAAATGCTATCCCTCCCCTTGCCTCCCACCCCCTGACAGGCCCCAGTATGTGATGTTCCCCTCCCTGTGTCTGTGTGTTCTCATTGTTCAACTCCCATTTATGAGTGAGAACATGCTGTGTTTGGTTTTCTGTTCCTGTGTTAGTTTCCTGAGAATGATGGCTTCCAGCTTTATCCATGTCCCAGCAAAGGACAGGAACTCATCCTTTTTTATGGCTGCATAGTATTCCATGGTGTATATGTGCCATATTTTCTTTATCTAGTCTATCACTGATGAGCATTTGGATTGGTTCCAAGGCTTTGCTACTGTGAATAGTTGTGCAATAAATATACGTGTGCATGTGTCTTTATAGTAGAATGAAAGTCTGTAATTTCAAAAGGCAAATAAGATACTAGGACAAATATTTGTATTTTATGTGATAATCACAGGTTAATGTACATTCTAGATATAGAGTTCTTATGAAAATGTTAAGATACAAGTGAACACTCTGAGAGAAAGATGGGTTAAGAACCTGAAAAGACAATTTACCAAATCACAAATCACTAATAAACTTTAAAAAATTAAAGAGAGTCACTAATTATTAAAGGAATCAAATCAAAGGAGTGACAAAATATTATTTTTAGATCATTGCAGTGTAATGAGAAATAAGCACTCACACATTGCTGGCTGGCTTGTTCACTTTCTGTAAGCTTTTTGGTGGATAATTTGGCAATGTGTATCAAAAACCTTTAAAAAGATGTACTCTGGGCTCCTTGGAGAAATGGCTGGATCTAGAACTGAGGCAAGAAATATGTTTCCTGGAGCATCTTATAGTGCCAGAAAGTAAGAAAATATATATATATCCCACAATGATGGGGGCCTGGCAAGGGACGAAAGAGTCAATTGAAAGAGCTCCCATTGTGAAAGCTGGAACAATTTAAGCCAAAAAAAAAAAAAAAAAAAAAGCATTCAGTTATAACCCAGAGTATAAGATCAATAACCCTGGGTCCATTCTGATATAAATGAACAATTGAATACATAAATAAATGAGAGATAACAGAGAAACATCACGCAGACACATTCCAAAAAGTTTGCGTAATACCTCTGCCTCAAGAAGACGGAACATTAAGTTCCCACCCCATAAGTGTGAGTGTGCGTAGTGACTTCCTTCTAGAGAGCACAAGGTGGAAAGGGGTAGAGAGGGAAAAACTAAACACTATCTCAACCAGGTGACCAAGGTCAACACCAACAGTAAAAAGCCATGTTGACACTATGCACCCTTGATAGAAGGGAAGAAAATGTCACTTTGCCTCAGTGGTCTTCAATCCCAAAACACCAAACCCTAACCTAACCATGAGAAAAAACACCAAACAAATCCCACTTGAGGAACATTCTGTAAAATGACCTGACCCTTCAACACTATCAAAGTCGTCAAAAGCAAGAGAAGTCTGAGAAACTATCACAGCCCAGAGAAGCTAAGGAAAAGTGATGACCACACATAGTATGGGATCCTGGATGGGGTCCTGGGACAGAAAAGGGGCATTAAGGAAAAACTAAGGAAATCTGAATAAAGTATGGATTTCAGTTAATGATAATGTATCAGGGCCCAGCACAGTGGCTCACGCCTGTAATCCCAGCACTTTGAGAGGCCAAGGCAGGCAGATTGCTTGGGTCCAGGAGTTCGAGACCAGCCTGGACAATATGGTGAAACCCCATGTCTATAAAAAATATAAAAATTAGCCAGTCATGGTGACACAGGTATGTAGCCCCAGCTACTCAGGAGGCTGAAGTGGGAGAACCACTTGAGCCGAGGAGGCAGAGATTGCAGTGAGCCAAGATCGCACCACTGCCCTCCAGCCTGGGCAACAGAGCAAGACCTGGTGTCAAATAAATAAATAACGTATCAGTATAGGCTCATTAATTGTAACAAATGAATCCTACTAATATAAGATGTACATAAGAGAAGAAACTGGATGCAGGTTATATGGGACTGCTCCCATACCATCTTCATAATTTTCCTACAGATCTCAAAGTGTTCTAAAATAAAATGGTTACATTTTTTAAATGTATGCCCTTTGTTCCAGCAATTCCATTTTGGAAAATTTATCCTGAGGAAATAAATAAAGATGTAAACAGAGAATAACTTACAGATGTGACGTTTGTGATCGTTAAAACTGGAAACAGCGCAAGAGTGGACGATAGGGGATGAGAGAGCCACACAGCGCATAGAAGATGATCAGTCTGAAGAGAGGGTTTTCAGACATGCAATTAACTGCTATTCACTGTACTTCATTTTAACTGCAAACTAGCAGGTAAGTGTTAATCCATATTTTAAAATATACAGTAAAATATAGATAAATGGACCTCAAAGAACATAGAGGAGATATTTACCGAGGCTGTCCTCACTTGGGGCATTTTCTGGTTTTCCTGGAAGGAGCAAGCTGAAATGTACAGGAAGGAAATAGACTAGTCAACTTGAGTGAGTGTGCTCACAGCTCACATCGATTCTCATTGGTCAGTGCTGGAGCTTGATTGTCGCTGCCTGTGCTGTTTTGGTTGTTGAGAACTTTTAAAATCACTTCTGCAAGAAGGAAAAAAGCATATTCATTTTTAAAAAATCATTATAGTATTTAATTCTGTGCCAACTCCTCCAACACATTCAAGATAATTTTTTTTTTTTTTTTTTGGAATGCAGTGGCACGATCTCGGCTCACTGCAAGCTCTGCTTCCTGGGTTCAAGCCATTCTCCTGCCTCAGCCTCCCAAGTAGCTGGAACTACAGGCGCCCACCACCACGCTCAGCTAGTTTTTTTTTTTGTATTTTTAGTAGAGACGGGGTTTCACCGTGTTAGCCAGGATGGTCTCGATCTCCCGACCTAGTGATCTGCCTGCCTCAGCCTCCCAAAGTGCTGGGATTACAGGCGTGAGCCACTGCGCCCAGCCCAAGATAAAATTTTATTTGTGAATGTTCCGGGCAACTTCACAGAAAAACTAGGGAAATAGAAAAACCAAGTGTACATTCCTACAGGAAGCCGCAAGCCTGTGTCCTCAGGCAATGTCCCCCTCCACTACCACCCCTCTCTGACCCCACTCTCACCAACACTTTTAGTCTCTTTCCCCAGGAAAAAAGAGGTCAACTCGGAGGAGCCAGGGATTCAGCCCACTCTGGACAACACTCAGAGCCATGGCACCTACCTGTATGAAAAAAAATTGTTAAGCAGCTGCCACTCCTAGTTACTGGCCTCTGCTCGGTGACTGATGCACTTCTAACATCCTTGTCCCAGGATAAAGACCTTGTAATGGAGAAAAAAGATGGCAGGGATCCTTTCCATGGAATTTCGGCTGTTGTCTAGTGGACCTTCCAGGAATTGTCTGATTCTATGGGAGTGCGCAACTTTGACTGTTCAGTTGGGCCAATTGGCAACACTGTAGAGACGGAAACTAACTTGTGGAGGGCTGAGGGTGATACAGACATTTTCTGTCCGTGGTAATGCAAAAGGTGTTCATAGCAATGCAAATGGATTTTATCCAATGGGGGAGATAAATATTTGAACGGGCTCTCTTGTTAATTACTAGTTAATCAAAATATTTGACATGTATTCATTCTATATTTATAGGGGAGTCATGATTCTACCTTTTTGGAAATGACCCTCTAGCAGTTTTATTGGTCCTATGAGATACACAGTAGATTCACCAGCCAGAGCCAGATGAGCTGCACAGTTGCCAAAGGGAACTTCAGATGCCACCAGAGCCTCAGCTCTGTCCTCCCTCACCTCCCAAGGTGACTTCCAAGCAGCCACAGAACTTTAATTTTACTTACTCTCTGTTTCTCTAGTTTTATTTTTCTAATCTTTACTGAATTTGTGTCTGTGGTTTTATTTCTGGTTTATTCCTGACTATAAGTTATTCCCTATTCTTGACAACAGTGATTGAGAATTTGGTTTTTGGCCTGACCATTTAGTCATCTCTGTAGATGGATGACACAGATCTAATTCCTTTCAAGTGAGAGACAACAGGAAATCCGGTTTGTTGGTCCTTTCTTGTTTGTTTATTTTGAGCTCCAGTCAGTTAGAAATTTAGTGCCCGCTGCAAAGCACAGCTCTTTGAGACTTGGGATTGGTAAGAGGGTGTGTTGCTTACTTCTGGCCTGTGGCTGAATTTGCAGGGCCAAAGCCAAAATCTCTCCATATGTCTGTCATCTGTGATCCATGTGTCTGCAAGTCTATAACTGAGAAAAGCCTTGATTCCGTGATATGTGAGTGTGAAATAAATTAATAAATTAGTTATGTCTCTTAAATCAAAGGAGCTCTGTTCTTACTAGTTTATAGGAAAAAAGGCACTTATATATCTTATATATCTCATATTTCTAGCTTCTAGTGCTTTCAATGTGTTAGGCTTTTTAAAATATCCTTCATACAGAAACTGCTACCTTAAATACATTTTATAAAACCAAGTTCCTGTAACTAAGGTAAATCTGTGGCAAGTCAAACTAGCTTAATAATTTTGGTTTTTAAAAAACAGATTGGTCTTGTCTTTGATTTACAGTGTTAAGTATAATTCAATTGTGTATTTGATCAAATCTCTCATGAAGAGAATAATCTGGTCTTCTTAAATAGTTTATCAAAAAGATAACATTAGTCTAATACAATGTCACTATTATGAAAACTGAATATTGGTATTACTCTAAATTGAATCACTATTTAGACACATCCGTTACCTCAACCTATGTTTTGTAGTATAATTTATCCAATTAAATAAATGTCCAAGATCTTTAGATAACTTAGAACCTGGAATCTTCAGATAAATCAGAACCTGACCCTGAATGGAGTTAATTAATAGATAATCATCAGATACCTAGATAAACGAAGTAGGATATAACACTAAAACATGGATTGCTAAGCCTACTTTTAGGCTTATCCACTTTTGCTCCTTATTTTTATATTCTGCAGAAAGCCTGGATCTTTGAGTTGTGTTGATGGGCATATTCGTGTTTGCCACTTGAAGGAGTAAGAGGCCCGCGTGGATCTGGAGGCAAGTGGCTGTGCCCTCCTGCAATCTGCTCACCTGCAGAAATGCTCGCGTAGGGCAGCTCTCAATTTTCTGCCACCTCCTCAGCTTTTTCTGTGAAACAGAAGTTGGTTACTTTGGATGAAAATTATCTTTCATATAGGTGGTTGGTACACGAAGCAATAGTGACAAATAAAACTCTGTGTGCGTGCTTCTGTTTTGTCATGCAATGAAAAGTAGTTTTGTTCCAGAATATGAATGAACACAGTGAATGAAGGTCTAAAGAAGTGAATGTTATTTGCCTTGGTTTATAATACCTGAGTCTGAAAAGAGACATGAAGTAACTTAGATCTTAGCAAAGTTTCCTCACTTTTGATGGGCTTGCCGCCTTGGCTTACTGGTCACCGCCTTCATCTACAGCAGGGGTCCCCAATCCCCGGGCTATGGTCCAGCAACAGTCCATGGCCTGTTAGGAACCGGGCCACATAGCAGGAGATAAGCGGTGGTTACAGCTGCTCCCCATCACTCACAGTACTGCCTGAGCTCTGCCTTCTGTCACGGTGGCATGAGATTCTCACAGGAGTATGAACCCCTATTGTAAACTGTGCATGCAAGGCATCTAGGTTGTATGCTCCTTATGAGAATCTAATGCCTGACAATCTGTCACTCTCTCCCATCACCCCCAGATGGGACCATCTAGTTGCAGGAAAATAAGCTCAGGCCTCCACTGATTCTATATTATTGTGAGTTGTATAATTATTTCATTATATATTACAATGTAATAATAATAGAAATAAAGTGTACAATAAATGTAATGTGCTTGAATCATCCAGAAACCATCCCCCCATCCCAGTCCGTGGAAAAAATGTCTTCCATGAAACCGGTTCCGGGCGCCAGAAAGGCTGGGGACCACTGACCTGCAGCACAAAGGCTATTCTTTACCTTCCTTGTGGTCTGCCTGACAGCAAAAGTGTGTGTCTTGCCAGAAAAATTTCTGTGCCTTATGCTGACTTCATTCAGTCCTTGAGTATTTAAACAAAACAATACAAAAACTCACTTGTGAAAGAGATGATTCTTTAAACTCATGTCACCTTCTGTTTACTTTTACATTTGTTTGCATTATTAAAAGAGTAAGCAAGAATTATTTCTTCAGCACCCATGATATGCTCTGAGTCAAGTGCCTAAATCTTCTCTGACAACTCTTTTGATTTTTCCTTCTAGAGATCAGATCCTAAATATAGAAAGAGTAAAAGAAAACTTTTTATCTTGAACTAAAACATTCTTTGAAACTTCCCAGAGGGCCCCTGGAAATTCACGAGATTTGTACTTTCACCCTATGAAGCAAGAGCAAGAGAGGCCAGAAGTAATTATGTTTATTATTCTTTAATCAGCATCTGAAGAGATGCTCAGCCTCCCTAGGTTAAGTTTGTATCAGTAAACTCATTATAAATAGTTCAGACACTGCACACTTTGTAGGAAGGCCCTGAAGCTTTGCCAGTGCCCTCGTCGCCGTCCATTGTATGCTTTACCTTTAGTGAGACACTGATCAAAATGCTTATGAAATAGTTATTTCCCAGTAGAGAATCTTACTTTCCTGCGGTTGCTGTAATAAATTAACCAACAGTCAACTACCAGTAGTTTTGTATTTACTCTGATGTGCACCTGGGACTCTGCTGTAAGCCACTGGTGAGCGGCTGTGCCTTCCACAAGGGGCAGCCTCAGAGGCTCAAGAGGACATGCAGGGGCTCTAAGCTGAGGATGCTACAGTGAATCACCTCGCGGGGACACGCTCCTGAGCGGACCTCACTTAGGCCACCTTCAGATCATCCATCAGACGGAGTCATGACTTCTAGGCCTCTAAGCTCAGAGCAGAGGCTCCCTAAAAGTTCTCTCTTGACTGGATCCAGAGAACAGGAATTATTACTTAGGATTGAATGAGGCAATTTTGTCTTGGTTATTTTTTGGAATATTGCTGATGTTGCTTTGATGTTCTTTCATTTCTAGATCTGTGAGGAAGCTCCTTCTCTTCCTTTTTAACCTACAATTTAATAGACTTTGCTTTTGTCAATTGAAAAGAAACATTTGTAAAATAGTTTCTTATTTTCACTAACCCTCCAGAACTCAGAAAATGACTTAGTCTTAAGTTTTCATGGAAATATAGTTATTTTCATAAATTCAATGGAGAACTTTTCTTCTTTTGCTGGGATAAAACAGCATTAAGCAATAAGGGTTATTGTGGGGTTGTCATAATTGGAGGTGAGTCTCATTTAATCAGGTGGGATAAGCCACTTTTATACAGAATTGATGCCACAAAGCTACTGCAGGAGAACATGCTGGGCCCTTGAGTCCTAGCCTCACAGGTGGTAGGAAAGGTGGTTTCCTGCAGGCCAGGAGCAAGCATCAACTGATGTAGGGAACTTTGAGAAGCGAGGAAGCCATCCAAAGTTACAGATACATAGGTGAGAGCTGGTGGTGACAGTTCCTTGAACTCGGTTTCCCAGCAGATAAAAGAGGCTTTTATAAATCCCAGCTAAGATTTTCTATTCAGACAGGAGCGAATTCCAGGGCCATGGCAGTTGCTTAATGCTGCACAGCACTCTAGATTTGAAAGCTACAGGCCAGGTGCGGTGGCTCATGCCTGCAATCCCAACACTTTGGGAGGCCAAGGTGGGCAGATCACTTGAAGTCAGGAGTTCAAGACCAGCCTGGCCAAAATGGTGAAACCCCATGTCTATTAAAAATACAAAAATTGGCTGGGCATGGTGGCGCACGCCTGTAATTCTACCTACTCAGGTGGCTGAAGCAGGAGAATCACTTGAACCCGGGAGGCAGAGGTTGCAGTGAGCTGAGATCATGCCACTACACTCCAGCCTGGGCAACAGAGTGAGACTCTACCTAAAAAAATAAGAAAGCTAACCCAAGGAGGTCTGGAAAGTCTAGAACATTCTCACTGCACCTGTGTAAATAGGCCAAACTGAGACCCATTGTCTTGTGATCGAGAATCATTTTTGGAGACTGTTGTGATCCTGGGGCAGGGAGACAAAGATTGTTCAGTTGTTATAGGCTTTACATGGGCAAAAAACTCAGTGTCCCTTTGATGGATTCTGGGCAGTGGCTAGGGACCCTCAGGGATTGTCGGATTCCGTGGGGACACATGCCTTCAATTCTCTGGGCAGGGTTGTTCTGCAGTTCTGCAGAGACAGCATCAGCTCGTGTGGGGCTGCTGAAGATGCAGAAGTTTCCTGTTCCTAGCTATGCACATAATTCTGGGCCAAAGCAACGCACATGCATCTTGTCCAGTAGAAAATATAAACCTCTGTACATCCAGTTCTCATTTAAACTGCCTGTAACATCTTACCGCTTCCTTGTTAATTAGTTAAATAAAATGTGTAGCTTTTCTCTTTGTATGAGATGTGTGCGTATATATACGTATATGTATATGTATAATTTTTTTTTGAGACACAGTCTCACTCTGTCACCCAGGCTGGAGTACAGTGGCACAATCTTGGCTCACTGCAACCTCTGCCTCCTGGGTTCCAGTGATTCTTGTGCCTCAGCCTCCCGAGTAGCTAGGACTACAGATGCACACCACTACACCCAGCTAATTTTTGTATTTTTAGTAAAGATGGGGTTTTGTCATGTAGGCCAGGCTGGTCTCAAACTCCTGGCCTCAAGTGATCCAGCCACCTCAGCCTCCCAGAGTGCTGGGATTATAGGTGTGAGACACTGCGCCCTGCCGAATGACTTTATTTTTTTAAAAAATTGTCCTGTAATACTTCTTACTTCACACAACAACCCTGTCAGTTAAGTATTATGGCCACCATCTTATAGGAAGAAAAACTGCAGCCCAAGGCAATGTCTCACCATAAAGGCTAGATGCTTCCAGCTGGAGAGCCCAGCTCTTGACAACTCAACATCTGCCTCCAAGTTCCTGGATGCAACCCAAATATCTGCCTTTTCATTGGCCCTGTGCCCTTGTATCTTCTGGGATCATCCTCTTCTTTGCTCTCAAATAAAACTGCTCAAGGTACCTTCCTATATATTGTGAGGACTTCAATTCCTGCCCCTCTCCCTCCTAGGACCTTTTCCAGGCAGGGCTGGGGAAGGTTGCATTTCTCCCTTTGCTGGGTCAAACCCCTCTCCTCTCCTGTAGCAACTCTCCTCTTGGCTCTGGGTCAGACCTAGTGTGGAACTCAGCCAACTCCTGGAGTCCTTCGAAGGAACACAGACACGCACAGGGTGTAGGGTTAAAGGTGGGATGTTCAGCCCAGCACAGAACTAGAAGTAACTTACAACTGAGTAGGAGCTGTGGGTGTCCTACAGACTCACCTGCTGTTTGCTGCCCAGGAGATTTCTCGAGGCTTGGCCCATCTTCAGGCCTGGTGAAAGGCCATCTCCTCAGGCCCCTCTCTCCCTCCACACTCTCCTCCTCATGCTCTTCCTACCCCACCCCTTTTTGGGGGTCCTCCACCCACCTCCCTCATCTGTCCCCCACAGGCAGGGCAAAATTGTCATTCATTTTTCAGATAGAACAAGTCGCCTCTTTGGTTTCTCCCACCCAGCCCATGGGGAGGGCGGATTAGCTTTCAGAACCAATCATGCTCTCTAAGGTCATTTTTTTTCCAACAAATGACCTTGTGACTCCATCAGAGGAATGTTTTGCTTCTTTCTATTCTAATCCATTCCAACTTCAACCTGTAGGCCACTTTTCAAACAGAAATTTTCTTATTATTACACAAACACCAAATTCCCTGACAGAAGATCTTACCCCATTAGCATGGAATGTATCTGAACAACACTGCCGCTAGCCTGAAGGTGTATCCCAGCGAGGAAATTCTGGAATTTTCTGCACAGCCACAGCCTTTGTTAGAATAAGGACACACACATGGCACTCCACCTCGAAAGATGCTCACATTTGTGTGGATGCTTTCTGCTGGCTCAAAAAATTATGGACACACATCTTAAAATGTGAGATCCCTGCTGTGGGACCTCATGGTCTCTCATAAAATTCTTGTGAACAAAACAGAGAAAGATTAGCAGATTGCAGGACATCAAGGAGACATTAGACTAGCTGGGTGTGGCGGTGGGCACCTGTAGTCCAGCTACTTAGGAGGCTGTGTAGGGAAGATCACATGAGCCCTGGAGGTTGAGGCTGCAGTGAGCTACGATCACACCACTGCACTCCAGCCTAAGCGACAGAGCAAGACCCTATCTGAAATTTAAAAAAAAAAAAAGGGATAAAAGTTGGAAAAATCAACATTCTGAAAGAGAATATCTAAGACAGTGAAGGGCGAGAGTCTATCGTGGTGTGCCCCAGGCTCTGTGGGTGGAGTTTAATGATTTTATTACAGTGCATCGTGTCATCCAACCTCCTCACTTAAAGATGGGGAAGCTGGGCTAGGCGTGGTGGCTCACGCCTATAATCCCAGCACTTTGGGAGGCCGAGGCAGGCAGATTACTTGAGGTCAGGAGTTCAAGACCAGCCTGGCCAACATGGTGAGATCCCATCTCTACTAAAAATACAAAAATTAGCTGGGCATAGTAGCATGTGCCTGTAATCCTAGCTACTCGGGAGGCTAAGGCAGGAGAATCGCTGGAACCCAGGAGGCAGAGGTTGCAGTGAGCTGAGATTGTGCCACTGCACTCCAGCCTGGGCGACAGAGCGAGACTCCATCTCAAAAAAAAAAAAGATGCGGAAGCTGGGTTTGTGGTCTGTAAGTAGGCTACTGGAGGTTACATAGTGGGTTTGCCTGTTCCTCCATCTGTCCACCCACCTGGGCTCAGTCTGGATGACAGGCTTGGACCACATTAGGACACAGGCTGCTATGGCCGACTCAGAGCATGCAGAGAGCCAACAACACCCAACTGCCGGGTCAACTCTAACCAGGTGAAATGTGGCCAGGAGAAACGCCAGAGCCTGCCCTTGAGTTTTTAAAAGCTTCAATTCACACAGGCAAAAATGAAAAAGATTGCTGGGTTGGGGCGAGGGAATTATGACTCATTTTCTCTAGTTATTAGTGGACAGTGCCCTGTGGCTTCTGCAGTGAGCAGCAAGTGGCCACATGGCAGGGGCCCCAGCAGAGTGAAGCAGAGCATGTCATCCACACTCTGAGCCTGGACCCTGGCCTGGGCCACAGAGCTGCACAGGAGGCAGTGTCCGGGTGGGGTCAGAAAAATGGGCAGCTCAACTGCAGGTACACGTAGTGCGACCAGTGCCGCGACTGACAGGTGGACAAACCAGCGCACCCGGAGGAGGCAGGCCCCCCTTGGGCTGGGCCTGTGCACCCTGGAAGGGAGGGGGAATCAGCTGGGAGGGGGAGGGCACCTCAGAGATGCAGGACCACAGCCTGGCAGAGGAAAGGCAGACACTGGGAAGCAGACCCGCAGCTCATCTGGGTTACCAGGACAGGCCATTCCAGACGGGGGTTGGTGGAAGATGGGGCTGAAAAGCTGTTCAGGGGCCAGAGCTTGAAGGAGCTGGTTAAGGGATCTGGGCTTGCATGAGAAATGGAGGTTATTGGAGGGTTGGAACACAGGGCAATGAGGCCAGAAAGGAGGTTCAGGAAAACCACCCTGGCAGCCACGGTGCCCTCCAGGGACTGGCCTAGAGGAAGATACCTCAGAGGCTGCAGGCCTAACCAGGCCTGAACTAGGAGGGGCCAGTGCAGAGGGAGAAACCTATGCAGAACTCTCTAAGAGGCCAAATCTGAGGACTCGGGCAGGACATGGCAGCAATCAGGGAGGCTTCAAGCCACAAAACCCCCACAGATGTGATGCCTTTATTTGTTTCATACAAAAACAAGCCAGGAAAGAAATGGGGTTGGACTGCATACTCTCTGCAAAGCCATATCCCACCTTCTCGCTCTGCCATCCTCAGTGAGTGGCTCTTCATCCTCCTGAGTGTGGCCTCAGGGTCATAAGATGGCTGCTGCACCTCCCGCCCTCATTCCAGGCAGAAGGAGGCAAAGGCCTTTTTCTTTTTTTTTTTTTTTTTTTTGTTGTTGTTGTTGTTGAGACGGAGTCTTGCTCTGTCTCCTAGGCTGGAGTGCAGTGGTGCGATCTCAGCTCACTGCAACCTCTGCCTCCTGGGTTCAAGCAATTCTCCTGCCTCCGCCTCCCAAGTAGCTGAGACTGCAGGTGCACACCACCACGCCCGGCTAATTTTTGTATTTTTGGTGGAGATGGGGTTTCACCATGTTGGCCAGGCTGGTTTTGAACTCCTGGCCTCAAGTGATCTGCCTGCCTCGGCCTCCCAAAGTGCTGGGATTACAGGCGTGACCCACTGCACCCGGCCCAAAGGCCTTTTTCTTAACAAGGCTTTGATGTTTTCTTTGCGAAGGGATGCCCTCTCCCATCTTATTGGCCAGGACTATGTCATAAGGCCACCCACAGCTGCGAGGAAGGCTGGGAAAATGACTGACTTTAGCGGACTGCATTGGTACCCTGAACAAAACCAGAATTCAGTTGGGCAGGCGGAGGGGATGAGTATTGGGTGTGCACCTAGCAACATCTGCTCCAGGAGGAGGGTGTGGAATGAGTCCAAGGACGGCCCACACTGGACAAGTCAGCTTAGAAGCACTTCAAGTTCAAGGTGCCCACGTGCATGGGGGAAGATGGGCAGCTGGATACCTGGAGGTGAGAACACTGCCCTGAGCCACAGATTCGGGCCCTCAATTCCTAATGAAGGATGGCTTCCCAGGAGCTTCCAGGCCATCTGTGACTCTGATCCATGGAAAGTGCATGTCCTCTAGACCCGGCAGCTTGCAAGTAGGTGGAGATGCACCAGCTTCCGGGAGACAAAAATCTGTCGCCTTAGCTCTGAATGGCATCTGTGTGCCAACCTCGGCCCACCTCCAGCCTATCCTTTCCTTCAAGAAAGAGTTGTGCCCCCTCTCCAGCCACCCCCTGCAGGTCACACGGGGCAGGGACATGAGATAAGCACCCCAGGCTGATTGACAGGGGCCTTTAAGTCTCTGCCCAGCCTGGGATTCAAAGCCTCTTCGTGACAAGCCTGGAGGATGCTCTCTGCCCCTGTGCACTGGCCGTGGCTGTCTAGGAAAAGAGGAGCATGCCTTTGCCCTTCTCCCTCCAGCAGCCGATGCTCACTGTCATCGGAGGCTGTCAGGAAGGCAGCTTTCTCACCCGTTGTTAATTATCCTTTTTAATTGCGCTAAGAAGGGCCTTTCCTCAGTGATTTGCTCTTCTGCATAATCAGGGTGAGGAGTACCGGTGGCAGCAGCCCACCTGTGTTCCCGGCCTGTGTTCCACAGCGGCCCCTCTGTGGATCCCCAGGGCCTGAGAGCAGGTGGGCAAGGCCACTGTCCTCAGTCTTCCAGCCTTCTCAGCCCCATCCACCACAGCTGCTTCTTGAGGAGGGAGCTCTTCCTAAGGATGGCACTGAATAGCTCCTTGGCAGGCAGTGCCTGTGAAACCTCCTGCTTCCCTCGTTTTGTTTTTTTTTTTTTTTTTTTTTTTTTTGAGACAGAGTCTCGCTCTGTCGCCCAGGCTGGAGTGCAGTGGCGCGATCTCAGCTCACTGAAACCTCTGCCTCCCTGGTTCAAGAGATTCTCGGCTCCTGAGTAGCTGGGATTACAGGCGCCTGCCACCAGGCCCAGCTAATTTTTGTATTTTTAGTAGAGACAGGGTTTCACCTTGTTGGTCAGTCTGGTCCAAACACCTGACCTCAGGTGATCCCCCGACCTCGGCCTCCCGAAGTGCTAGGATTACAGGCTTGCCTCCGCCTTTCTTTTTTTTTTTTTTTTTTTTTTTGAGATGGAGTCTCACTCTGTTACCCAGGCTGGAGTGCAGTGGCTCGATCTCGGCTCACTGAAACCTCTGCCTCCTGGGTTCAAGCAATACTCCTGCCTCAGCCTCCTGAATAGCTGGGATTGCAGGCGTGCATCACCATGCCAGACTAATTTTTGAGGTTTTTTTGGTTGTTTTTTTCTAAGTAGAGACAGGATTTCACCATATTGGCCAGGTTGGTCTGGAACTCCTGACCTCAGGTGATCCACCCGCCTCAGCCTCGGAAAGTGCTGGGATTACAGGCATGAGCCACCGCGCCTGGCCAGCTTCCTTCCTCTTAAATGTGGTGGTCACCAGCTGCTCCGGTCCTCCTTCCGCCTCCTCTACAAGCTCTCCCAGCACCTTCGCCTCTTCCCGGCCCGTCTCTCTCCTGAGCTCCAGGCCTCCCCAGCTCAACAAACCTGAGGTCCGCTTGCCTGTTCCACTGGCTGCCCCTGCCCGAGGTGGCCTCCCAGGTGCCAGCCCCTCAACCGGGGCACCTACCCTGTGCGAAGCCAGGTGGCGGCTCCACTTCTGTCCCCGGAACCTCAAACGCACCACCCAGACACACCGCTGTGGCCGTGGCTGCTCTGCCTCCCCCAGGCTGTGCACGCATCATGGGTAGGAACCACATTTTATGATGTTATTTTCTCTTTTTCAAATTTTCTTTTAGAATTGGGGACACGTGCAGGTTTGTTACCCGGGTGTATTACGTAATGCAGAGGTTTGGGGTATGGTTGATCCCATCGCCCAAGTCGTGAGCGTTGAACCCAATGGGGAGCTTTTCAGCTCTGCCGCCTCCATCCTCTCTAGTCTAGCAGTCCCGAGTCCACTGAGGAATGCATTTTAATCTTCTCTGTAGTTCAGTGCGGGCCTGGGGAACAGCCAATGAATGAATGGATACGGAAGTGACGGAATCACCATTTGGGACACTGGATCTACAGATGCAGCACATCCCCAGCGCACAAGCCTCCAAACAGCGCAGCCGAGGAGGGGCTCAGCCGTCTACCCTGTCTCCAGCGGAGGAGCTTCTGAGACCAGGAGCGGGGGCCGTCGGGTGAGCATTCCCCTGGAACACGAAGGAGCAAACCTGCCCGGCTGCATTCCGCCCTCCCGCTGCCCTAGGCCCGCTATAGGCTGGATAAAGTGAACCAAGCAAGGGTCCCAGAAACGTCACACGTGAACTCGCCCATTCACACTCACCCATTCCCATGCACACTGGCCATTCACTCAGCCATTCACACGTGCACACATTCGCACGCACACTCGTGCACACATTCACACACACAACCATTCATACATTTACACACAGACGCACACTCGCACTCACTGACCCATTCACACTAACATTTACACTCACCCTTTCACACATATTCACACTCACACATTCACACCTATTCACATGCACACACGCATTCACATTCTCCTCACCATTCACACTCACACATTCACACACATTCACACATCCACACCTTCACACTCACATTCACACATTCACACTCACACATTCACACACATTCACACTCACACCTTCACACTCACACATTCACACACGTTCACACTCACACCCACACTTTCACACTCACACATTCACACTCACATCCACACCTTCACACTCACACATTCACACACATTCACACACATTCATTCACACCCACATCTTCACATTCACATTCACACACCTTCACACTCACACATTCACATTCACACTCACACATTCCACACACATTCACACTCACACCCACACCTTCACACTCACATTCACACACATTCACCCTCACCAACACCTTCACCCTCACACCCACACCTTCACACACATTCACACACATTCACACTCACACCCACACCTTCACAGTCACACACATCGACACTCACACATTCACACCTATTCTCATGCACACACTCGCACACACATTCACACTCACCATACACATTCACACTCACATTCTCTGACCATTCACATTCACACTCACACCTTCACACTCACATACACATACATTTACTCACATGCACACACATTCGCACACACATTCACGTTTGCCCATTCACACACATTCACACTCCCACATTTACACACATGTTCACACATTATACTCATACATATTCACATTCACCCATTCACTCACACATTTACACTCACACATTCACACACACTCATTCACACACAGTCACACATGTACACTTACAGTCACTAACAATCACACGCATCCACACACATTTACATTCATATTCACTCACACACACATTCACACATCTCCTCGCAGTTCCCATCTAGGCAAGCTACCTAGTCTCAGGGCCCTTTCTGGAAGCCACCGTGGAGTGCACATTCCCAGATCTGAGCTCCTAGAACCTATCTCCCCTTCTCCTCAGAAGCCTCACCCCGATTTTCATTCAGGTGTTCATGCCTCCCTCACCCAGTTCAGCCCACCTCCAGCTCCAGATCCTATTTGTCTTAAGCAAATCTGCAAGTGCCACCCCAGGCCACAGCAACTGGCTCAGGGTTCAATGACACACACACACACACACACACACACAAATACTTTCCGGGGTGCTTCTCGGAAGGAAGTGTGCTGGCATCAAACTCGGAACTACTCAGCCCCAAGATGAAGCTGCTGCCCAGGCGCCAAGGAGGCCGAGAGCATCTCGGAGGACCTGAGCCACAGCCACCCAGCACCCAGCACGCCAGCCACAGCTGCTGAGCAGAGGGACCCAGTGTTTGGCCACCCCTCATGACGTCCCCACATGCGGCCTGGTGTTGGGGTGACTGAGGCCAGGAGTATGGGCATTTAAAACCCCAGAGGCATGGCCAAGGGTCTTCAGGCCAGCAAAACTGAGAGAAGCGACACCAACATGATTATCATATCCAATCAAGGACAAGGGCTGAGAGGCCGGGCCAGCAGCAGGGCCAGTGTTGGGGCCGCGGTGGAAGACCGGGGAGCTGGCAGGAGGGCGGGGAGCAGGGGGTCGCTCCCTGCACCGGAAGGACACTTCTGAGAGCCTCTGACGGCGGAGCTGGTGCAGAGCCTGAGGCCTCGGGGCCATTTGCACTGACAGGGGGTGTGTGTGATAATTTTAGCTGCCAAGTCCCATGACTCAAAATCCTGCTCCTGCCAGCAAATGAGTTTGTAACACAGAGTAATAAATAAGTAAACCGATTTTCTAAAGATTTTCATGGGGTTTCAAAAGGGGCCCACACCTTCCAGGAAGCCATGAGAATGCCTCTATGCAGGGCCTGGCCCTCCCTCAGGCACCTGGGCTGCTGCAGCCCACCCCACAGCCCCCACACAAGAGGCGGCCTTCCTAGACCTCTCTCCAGTCCTGGCTCCAAACCGCCACTGTCACTCCCGCCACACGCTGGCTCCGGGAGGCTGGAGGGGAGCCACACAGAGGGCTGCCCAGGGTGGGCCTCTTCCCAAGCTCGTGCTTGGCCCTCCCAGGGTGTGGGGTCTGCAAGAGCCTCCAGCCTCAGTTGGGTCCCAGAACCCACAGCCCGGCCTGCCTGCTCTGAGAGTCAGGAGCCCTGCCCAGGGTCTGGGCCTCCGTGGCCACGTCAGCCCAAATCAAGCCAGATTGCCAAGCCCTCCGGGACATTGCACGTCCAGCTGCCAGGCATGGAGAGCAGCCCGCACCTCTCCCGGCCCCCACCATGGGCCACCTTCACCCCACCTGTTGCTATTTCCTCCACCCTGTCCTGGCCTGGGCCCTCTGCTCTGCCCGGCCCTTCAGCTCACTGGCCTGTTTATTCACGCTGCCTGGCTCTGAATGCCCCCTGCACTGCCATGAACCTAGTTGACTCCCCGGCTCCCAGACACACATCTCAGTTCAGACTTTGGGCCGCTGCCCCTCCCCAGCAGGATGGGAACCTCACACCTGGCCTCCCTCCCTCTGGATCCGCAGGCTCCCCAGCCCCGATCCTGGCCCTGCTCCCTCTGGCAAGAAGCTCCCTGCAGGCCCTGACCTTGTGGTACAGAGCAGGGCCGCTCCTTACCCCAGCGGCGAGGGCTGGGGGTAAAGCTGAAAGCTGCCATGGAACATATCTTGGAATCTTATATTGTCAAAAACCTAATCTAAATGCTTTCTCCTGGATAATGTATTTTAGATGAGGTGGGTTTTTTTGTTTTTTTGTTTTGTTTTGAATTTTCAGGTTGAAATAAAAGCAAAGACTTCCCATGATGGCACTGTGGCTTCACACCTCACAGAGCCCAGGGCACGTGCACCCAGGCTCAGAAGTGGGCTGGGCTCCAAGCCGGCTCCACCCACAATGCACTATGGACCTTGGGCAGGGGAAATGAGGCTGTCAAGGAGGAAGGGATGAAGGAGGGAGTGAAGGAAGGTAGGAAAGGTGGGAGATCTCCAAGCAGGGGCAACCAGAAAGAGGCTCTGTCCCAACTGCTATGACTTCCACTGCTCCTGGAAGCCACGGATGGCAGAGCCAACACTATCTGCCCCCCACAGGACCAGGCAGGGCCACAGCAATGACAATCCTGCCACCTAAAGCAAAGCCCAGGGGCTTTACCCCAAAATAAAGCTCAGACTCTGACAGTCACCTCACTCACCAGCTTTAACTATTACTAAAGAGAGCCGTGAGCTCCTTCCACCTGGAAGTGCAGGCTGCTCCCTGGGCCCATGGGCACAGTCCCCGCAGCTCCTGGAAAGCTGCTGCTCAGACCTGTCCAAGTCTGCCGATGGAACTGAAGCGCCCAGAGCGGGGTCAGCAGGGGTCAAGAGATGAGGGACAAGCCAGGCCAGCATGCCTGCCCCCCACCCAGGCCCTTCAGACCCCACCAGACACAAGCATTGCCCTTGGTCTGGGGTCAAGTGCTCAGACCCACAGTCCAGTGCCATCACTCACCTGCCGGTAACTGGACCTCCGTGGGCCTCAGCTTCCTCATCTGTGAAAGGGAGTCCTGGTACCTGAACCACAGGTTCTCTTGCGTATTAAATAAGGTCACTGAGTGTGGTGGCTCATGCCTGTAATCCCAACACTTTGGGAGTCCAAGGCAGGTGGATCACCTGAGGTCAGGAGTTTGCGACCAGCCTGGCCAACATGGTGAAACCCCATCTCTACTAAAAATATAAAATTAGCCGGGTGTGGTGGCTCACGCCTGTAATCCCAGCTACTCAGGAGGCTGAGGCAGGATAATCGATGGAACCCAGGAGCGGGAGGTTGCAGTGAGCCAAGGTCTCGCCATTGCACTCTAGCCTGGGCGACAAGAGCAAAACTCTGTCTCAAAACAATGAAACAAAATAAAATAAAAAGGTCACTTAGGATAGCACTCAGCAGATTTCTCGGACAGAGATGGCTCGCCAAGCCCCTTCACCCAAGCCCCCAGTCCCTGACCTCCAGCTGACCACCCCTAAGAACCCCAGGGGACAGGGGCTGAAGCCCTGTGGTGCACCAGCCCAGGGCAGCGGGCCTTCGGGGGCAGACCATCTCAGTAAGAAAGCCACAGATAACACGGTTCCATCCGCACTCACGGACAAGAAGAGGGAGAACAAATACACACACGTTTTCTGAGAGTTTTTATCATTTTTTTTTTGTTTCATTTTGTTTTGAACACTAAGATTTATTTTCAAACAGCACACAGACCGTCTGCGGGGCAGAGCCAGGCTAGGCTGGTGTCTGGGCCCCACCCACAGCAGCTGCCAGGAAAAGAGGACCCTTGCCCGGGTGGCGCGGCCGAAGCTTCAGGCAAGCATGGTGGCTCGGCAGCCCCCAGCCCCGCCCTGCGGCCAGGCACACATGCGGGCACAGGCAGGGGCGCCAGAAACTCAACTAGAGGACACAGCAGCTTCAGGAACACTGGTGAATTCCGCCGGACTTGCCGGGACGCGGCTCTTTGGAAAACGACCTAATCTTTGGGAGAACGCCCCTCTGCCTGGGGGTCTCCTCTTGATTTCCCTTTGCTCTTCAAAAGATGAAAAACGAAAACAAAACAAAAAAAAGAACCACACATTTTTCGGGAGGAGGTGTTCTTCACACGCCCGGAGGCTGCCTGGGCCCCGCCGTCATGGGACCCTCTCAGTGAAGTTCTCGGGGAAGACGCCACGGCACTTCTCCAGCTCCTTGTGCTGGTTCCAGTCGCTCTCCTTCACGCCCATGAGCCAGCCTTCATCCTGAGGGGCAGAGCACCAGGTCGCACAGGGATGAGCAAGGGGCTCCACCCCACAGGGCACGCATCCCACTCCAACCTGCTGGGAAGACGGCCCCTCCTCCTGCTGTTGGTGCCTCAGCCTGCCAAGCCCACCTTGAGAACACCTCCTCCAGGCAGCACTCCCTGATGCTGCTGGCTGAGGCTCCTGCCCAGAGGCACCACAGGAGCCAGCCTGTCGTCCGCAGGTGGATCTAACCATTCGTGGCTGGTTTTGATGAGTCCCACTGCATGCATGATGTGCACATCAGCCCTTCCAGGATTCCAGGCTTCTCAAACAACCCCAGAAAGTTTTGGGAGTGACAACAAGTTACAAGTTCTAGAGGGACTTGGGGCCATCCCACCAGTCCCTCCAACTTCGACTTGCCCTTTGCTTCAATCCTGACACCCGCAGGGCCTTCTCTGGGAGTGCTGACAGGCCCCTGGCCCCAGGTGGGTCACGGGGAGCCGTATGGCCATCCACTCCTGCCAGTGGCTGGGCCGAGGCTGCCCCTGCAGCTGGGCTGTGCCTGGGGCCTACCTGGGTCTTTGTTATTTCCCTCTGTGTCATTGTCAGCCTGGTCACAGACCCTACTCATGCCCTATCTGAGCCCCCTCCAGCAGCCCCAGGCCAATTCTCACTGTGGGCTCTGGGTAGCAGTCTGCTTGAAATCCTACCCAGCCAGGGCTGGCCCACTAGGAGGTCCATGAAGACCTGGGGGCTTAGGAGAAAGGGCCAAATCAGTGCCAGGCCCACAAGGTCCTCATCACTCAGGCCTCCTGCCCCGGACCTCAATAAGTACCTGGTACCCCTACATCCCAGCCCAGGACCCCCAGTAGGGTCGGCCTCATCCAAGACCCAGGCAGACCCACTGTCACCCTCAGCCGCTCTGATAACCTATTCACACAGAAGCGTTGATGGCTAAACATGTTCTCTGGAAGCAGGAAGAAGCCGGCCAGGCCCTCTGTGCACAGCCCGAGGTGCTCAGGGGCTGAGCCGTGGAGGAAGCCAGATGCCCACATGGCACCACCGACCCCCCACAAGCAAAGCTGGCTCTACACAGCGGGGAGGCTCCTGCCAAGAGTCCAAGGCCCCCTGGGAGGGGCAACTGACCCAGATCCAGGAGGGTCCCAGACCTAGGAGGGACACACTTAGCACCCACCCAGGCTCAACAGGAGCCCTCACTTCCAGGAGATTAACATGAAGCCACAGCAGGAGGAGAAGGGTCTGGAAGGCATCGTGGGTGAGCCTCAGCCGGGGACACAGCTGGGAAGCCCATGGCCCTGCGTGCACAGGGCAGGGCCCGCCTCGAGGGACGGCACACGGGGCTTCATGAGCCCAACCAGTGCTCCGGCTGGCTGCAGGGTGGGCACCTTGTGGGCGGGGCAGGAGGGGTCAAGCATCCTGTCCCAGGAGGGAGGCAGGCCTCAGGCACAGCTGCCAGGAGAGGAGAAGGGGAGAGACAGAGGCAGAGCTGAGAGCGCCTGAGCAAAGGGGGGACGTGGGGAGAAGAAAGCAGAGGCTACAGGAAGAAGCGGGTATGGGGACAGGGAGAGAGAGAGGCCTAACAGGAGAGGGGCCAAGGGAAGGGAGAGGAGAGGGAGAGAGGAAAAAGCCCGACGTGGAGGGCGGGGAGGAGCAGTTGGCGCGGGAGCCCTGGTGCTCGCGGGCCTCTGCTGCCCCCTGCTGGCCTGTCTCCGCCACGGCGGTGCCAGCCGCAGCCAGGATGCCTGTGGTCCCCCTGCGCTCTGGCGGCCCCACCCAGCCCTCACCTGCTCTTCAGGGTTCTGGAAGGGGATCACCAGCACCACATCACCAGCCTTGAGCTGCAGCTCGTCTGTGTCAGTGGCCGTGTAGTCGTGCTGGGCCTGTACCTGCAGAGGATGCGGATCGCAAGTCAGACCTTCCGTCCCACCTCCAGCCCTGCACAGAGCACGGGCCTTGCGTGTGGGAGGTGCAGGTGGCAGTATGGAGACCAGGAGTGCTCAAAAGCAGCAGGACAGTATGGGGCTCAGATGCCACCTTGCTGGCTGGGAGTGACCTAGTAGCGCCTGCACAACTTTGGGCAAACCACAGAGTCTCCTGAGGCTCAGGGTTCTCATCTGCCCACCAGGGCACCGAGGGACTGCAGCAGTCAGAGGCTGTGGGCTCACCTTGAACATGAAACCTGGGGGCAGGTCCAAGCGCCCGGCCCCACTGCCGCCCTCCACGGTGCCATTCACAGTTGCTGGGAAGGTCTCCACCACGACAGCAGGAAGAGAGCTCTGGTGGCAGAGGTACGGGTCAGCTGAGCAGGGAGGTGGTCCAGGGACAGCCAGGGCCACCGAGGAGAAGAGGGGCGGGGAGGGGAGAAAGGTGTCTGCGCCTGGTGCCAGACCGGCCCGCCTCCAGCTTCCTCAACAGGAGCCAGGCCTGGACCAGCACCAGCAGGGGCCACAGGGGAGCCCCGGACAGGCAGGCGGGCGGCAGGGAGGAAAAGGCAGGGCTTTGTCCCTGCTGTCTTACGGAGGCTGCTTCACTTGCCGCCGTCTCCCCTGGCTCCTGGGCTCCAGCCGCAGGTTGGGTCCCACCCGCCACCTCCGAGGCCTCTGCTGGCTGCAACATAAATGCCGGCTTGGGGTCAGACACAGGACAGGACACAGCCAGGACACAGGAAACAGGCCACAGGAGGGCAGCACCCAAGCGACAGGGCCGGGGGCATCGCCTGGCTGGCAGCAGGGTCTAGAGCTGCCCAGTGCCTCGAAGAATCCAGGGAGCCTCTGCTGGACAAGCTGGGCCCTGGGCCGGGGAAGCAGCTGAAGAGTAGGCGCTGGCAGGCCCAGGGATGTGAGTGACAATGCTGTGAAGAAGCCCAGTGCAAGCCCCAGAGTGCCACCCCCAACCCCGCCTCACAGGCCCTGCTCTCTCGGCACCAAGACCTCGCCCAGCCACAGCCACCACCCGCCCACCCTGCTTGACCCGGCAGGTGGCAGGATCTTGCTGCACCTATAGATAGTCCATGGCAGGGGACAGCAACACACATCTGTCCCAGCCTGAGCACAACCCAGCGCAGGTGGTGCGGTGCAGCCTGTGCGCAGCCCAAATCCAAGAAGGGTGTGGCACAGAATGGGCACCGCAGCACGGGCACCGCAGCACGGGCACCACGGCAGGCCCTGCAGGAACCCCAGAGCTGGGCTGACCTGGGCCGACACTCAGACTTGGCCACTTCTGAGTGCTGGAACCAAGTTACTCAACCCTCCTAGCCCCCATCTCCTCATCTGTAAAAGGAGGAAGTGTCTGGCTGTAAAGGTGATGACGAAGATTAAATGAGAAGATTCTGGAAAGTGCCTGGCATAAACCAGTAGGTGCTCTAAATGCTCCTCCTGCGCTGGGAGGCTGGGCTGGGGTGGGCAAGCAGGAGGGGCTGATGCGCCCAGCTGCGCTCACTCATCCCTGGCAGCCTTGGTGACAAGCCCGTGCTGGGGCAGCCTAGCTCAGGACCCTGTCCTCACCCTCACATCCATGGTGGCCTGGTCCCTCCTGCAACCCCTCCTCGGGGCTCTCCTTCCATGCTGCACCCCTAGAGACTGGGGACAAGCCAGACAGGGGCTGGAGGTGGGCACTTACTTGGGCAGGCCCCGGCTCGGCCGTCTGGCTGGGCCAGGACACAGCAAAGGTGCCCTCGGCAGCGCTGGGCTCCCCGGAAGGCAGGCTGCCGGCTGGACTCTCTGTGGGCTGGTAACAGGCCACGAGGAGAGAACAGGGAGGGGGCGGGGAGGCCGGGGTGGAAAGGCAATGGGCAGGATCACAAGACAAGAGAAAATGTCACCAGCGGCTGGGGTTGGTGGGGGCAGGGTGGGTACCAGCGGAGCCCGGCCAGCCACCCGCCTCCCACATCCTCTCTCCTACCACTGTCAAAGGGACAGGCAGGTGTGACTGTGCTGCCCAAGCTCAGCACCTACCGAAATCCACTTGTCAAAATGGCCCTACCAGCTCGCACCAGGCTGGCTCTTTCTGGCTTCCTCCAGAGGGAAATCCTGCGGTGGAGCCTCCAGAGCTCCCAGGAGCCTGGGCTGCCAGCGCATGCCCCAAGGGCGCCTGCACACCCGCCTGCCCCTCCCAGCATCTCTGCCTGTATCAGGGGGTCTCAGGGACAGAGCCCAGGAGACCCTGTTGGAATTCTGGCTCTACCATGACCAGTTCTTGGGCAAGTACTGAGCCTTCCCTGAGCCTCTGTGTCCTGAGCTATCAGGTGACAGTGACATGGTGCTGTGTGAGATGGCCTTGCACCTGCCTGCAGGCCCTGCTCTCAGAAGGCACTCAGCCACACCCTGTCTTCCCTGACTCTCTCAAACCATCCATTCCTCCCCTCTCCCCTTCCTCGCAAACAGCTCCCCACTGCCAAAAAGCTCAGAGAAGGCAAGAACCTTCTACCCTGAGGCCCTCCTGCCCCACACCCTGAGGACACTCGTCCATCCTGGGTGACCGGCCCACTTCTGTCTGGAGGCAAACACTCACAGGCTGTGAAAACAGGACCAGATCTCAGGGGACCCCTGTCTCAAGCTAAACCGAAGATCCCCTTTTCCAAGGGCCTGCCAGAGGGAGAAGCAGCAGAATGGCTGGAGGCGGGTGGCTTCACCAGCTCCCTGTGCGTGAGCACGTGCCTGTGTGTCCTGCGTGTGGGGGGTGTGTGGGGTGCATGCACCTGTGAACAGGCTAGGAGCATGTGGGCCTGGACACATACGGAAGAGTGGCTCCCCCAGGGGCTGGACAAAGAGCAGACGTGCAGCTTACCTCCCAGAGGTCCCATGGAATTGACTGAGCGCAGCAGTGAGGGCGAGAAGGACAGTTAGCACAGAGGTTAGAGACAGGGCGGCAAGCAGTCCCCAGGGACCCTACCCCCGCTCGCCCCAGGCCATCCAGCCCAGCAGGCACAGGAGTGGCTCGGAGCCAGGTAGACTCCAAGATTTGCAGGTGGCCGAGCTCCCGACACCTCTCAGGGAGCTTCAAGACCCCAAGCCAGGATGCTTCTGCCCCAAGCGATGAGCACAAAGTTGCCAGGAAGTGTTCAGTAACCCCCTACTGAGAGTTCTCCCAGCTGATCAGGGGCTGCTTCCTGCCCTACAACCAGGAGGTGATGAGGGCTGAAGGCTGAGGTGCCAGGGGAAGGGCAGTGACCCAGGCCTAGCTGGGGTCACGTGGCCAATAGGCAACATGAGCCCAGGGTTGGGCACCTGGAAGCTGGTGGGCCCATGGGCAGTGGTGGGCACAACCAACCTGACCAGAGGGCGTGGGTGCCTTCACAGGGCTCGTCACGGGCGGGAGGGGGTCAAAGTCCAGGTCCAGCAGACTGGCCTGCTCCGAGAAAGGCCCCGGGGCCTCAAACTTGGCAGCAGCAGCAGCAGCAGAGGAGGAAGCAGTTAGTGTTAAGCTGGGAGCCCTCACCCCAGGCAGACACTGCAGGCACAGGCACACGCGTGGACACACACACATACACACACCACGCATGCAGAGCAAGCGCACATACACGCACACACGCTGGCACACAGCCCAGGCACCAACTCATCCACCTCACACACGGGAGCACTGCCCAAAGCCACGCGCCCCGGCACAGGCTCCCGCCCACACCAGGAGGACGACCCCAGTGCCCGCCTCAAACTCCCAGTCATAGGTCCGCCCGTGGCCGCCACCCCGCAGGGCCAGCACCAGGCCCCAGCTCTCTTCCGCCACCATCCACAGACTGGTGGGCCCCTCCCCACCAATGCCCGAACCTCCTCTCCGCTCCCTGCGCCAAGAGTTCTGCTGATCTTGCTACCCCCCAGTGGCGAGAGTAACACCATGCCACAGCCACCCTCAGTGCTCCCGACTGGGAAAGTTCCAAAGGCAGAGACTTCACACTGGCTTTTCCTCCACCCCAGACAGGGAGGTCACTCTCTGGCGACACCACCAGCCGTCAGCTCCAGGGACGGAGAAAGAGTGGAGCCAGCCACAAAGCCCAACAGGCCAAGCTTCAAAGTGGGGTCTTCAACATTCGGGGGCTTCAGAACCACCCGGGGCACTTGGGTTAAAACTGCAGGCCCCTGACCCCTCCCAGCAGCCCCTCGCCAAGATCTCCTTCCAGTGAGCCCAGGAATAGGCATGTGACAGGCATGGCCCCAGGGATGGGACACGGTGGCCCTGGCCACACAGGGACAAGCCTCCCCATAAGCTGGGCCAGACTAGCATGGGAGGAAGGGGCTTCCTTAGAGCCCCCGGCACAGGCGGAGACAATGACTCCGGTGAGCCCTGGGGCAGCATCCATGCCCAGGGCACAAGCTGCCTTCTGAGGAGCAGGGACTGGCTCGGCTGCGGTCTCCATCTTGTACCTGGGGCTTCCCTTTGGGGGCCAGAGAGAACTTTGCCCAGGTTTAAAAGGAGAGGGACGTGGCCGGGGTGCTCCCCTCCGGGGCCCTCAGGCAGTGCTGGAAGAACTCCAGCCCCGCAGCCCAGGCCAGCGGCTTCCCGGCTCTACACACTCTTGACAGGCACCGGACACTGACAGGGGCGCCCTCCCACCCGGCCTCCACCATGAAGGATGTGAGACCTGGGGCTGTGGGCCGGGCTCCCCAGAGGCACCTCCATAGCTGAGCCGAGGGCCCATTGGGAGAGACCCAAGGTCCTCAGTCCTAAGAGGACCCAGCTGTCCTGCAGCTCAGGGGACAAGGCGTGGAGCAGTCCACATGGCCAAGCCAAGGTGTCAGACAGCTCAGGCCAAGTGGACTCACTTCCTAGAACCAGGGGCCCTAGGCCCCAAGCCCTGCCCTGGGCCAATCCCAGCAGCTGACTTTCCTTTAGGTCCAGCCCTGTCTGGGGAACCCAGGGCAGGGAGGTCACTGCTCTGCCCCATAACCGGCCGTCTCTGAAGGAGCCCTGAGGACGCCGGTGCACAGCCTCGAGGTGCCTCCCACCAGCGGGCGGCCAGCATCTCTCCCCAGTGGCCCCCACCCTGCCCCAGCAACACCCCTCCCTCCTGTCTCAGAAAAGTCAGCCAACCCAGGCAGCAATATCCGTCATGTGCTGAGGGGAGGGTCATCCGCCAGAGAGCTGACCATCCCTTCGCTGTGCTGCCCCGGCAGGTGGCACCTCGCCATGCAGGCCCGGGACTGTCCCTCCATGCAGGGACACAGGCTACTCACCACCCCACAGCCGGGAAGCCCGTGGGCACCCGTGTCATGGACAAAGGCAAGCCCACCCCTGCCCCATGCCCCACCCAAAGGTCATGGCTCCCCGACCCCAGACCAGACCGGGAAGACCAGTTGCCTGGAGATGGCACACGCGGTGGCCAGGGAGGCAGGTATGGTATGGAGGGATAGGCGCGCTCAGAGCCTGGGTGCGGGTGGTCTCTGCACCACCTCCTGGCCTGGCACACCTTGCTCTGGCGTGGGCCCGCGGCACAGGCCCTGGGTTCCTTTCCTCACCTGTTAAATGGGGGCATGATGTCCTCCCAGAGGGTGATTGAAAACCAAACAATGGGGTATAGGAAGTGGCTGGCACCGTTCTCTGCTCAGTATTTGCCAGTGTCCATGCCATCCCGTCTCCCTCGCCTGCACACACACTGGGCATCACCAGGGCGGAGGCATGCTCGAGCCGGGGAGGCCAGCAGCAAGCAGCCCTGGAGGTCCTCAGCCCTGCCCCCACACTGCTCTTCCTACATCGCCCTCTGCCACTATCCCACAGAGAGGGGCTCCCGCGCCTGCCAGGCCCCTGAACTAGGGCGTCACCCACCCAGACACCTGCAGCCTCAGTTCCTTAGTTCTAGTCCTAGTCTTTGCATAGGGGCTTGAGGCCCACCATCCCCAACCCTTCCTAGCAGCGACCACTGTTCGCAGTTCCCAGCGGCCACTCCCCACACTCACACCCTCCAACCTATCCCCACTAGGCGTCTGAGCTGTGTGAAGGTGTTTGCTGGAGGCCACCACAGCCTGGACTGGACAGCCTTCCCTACAGGCGAGGCTCTGTGTGGGAAGGGTCCTGGCCTACCCACAGGAGGAAGGCTGAGGCCTTGAGGGCTGGACTTGAGGAGGCAGTCAGCTCTCGGGGAGTGCGGGGAAGGCCGGCCACCTCTGGGCAAATCTGACAACACGTCAGCCCACTCCAGCACTGGCAAGATGCGCTTCCAGCACAGGTACTCCAGCCCGACCTCCACCATGAAGGACGTAAGACCTGGGGCTGTGGGCCAGGCTCCCCAGAGGCACCTCCACGGCTGAGCCAAGAGCCCACTGGGAGAGACCCAAGACCCTCTGCGTGGCTCCTTGCTGAGCCAAGGGCCCGTCGGGAGAGACCCAAGCCCCCCTGGGTGGCTCCCTGCTGTATCTGGGCATTCCACGCCTCTTAGGGAGTGTGCACACGGCAGTTCTGCCCTGCAGCCTGGCCGCTGCCCCCGCCCTCGAGGGGCTGACAGCAGCTGTGGGAGCTGAAGTCCAGGTGCTTCAGCCATTCCAGGACCTTCCAACTCTCCCTGGCCCTGGAAGCCTTCCCTGACAGCCACACGTCCTCCACACTCCCCGATCCCCTCTGCCATAGCACCCACTGCGTCGCGAGGGCGCTGCTGATGTAACTGCTGCGCCGGGAGAGGCGGCACCTTCCCCTCTGTGGCCCTGCATCTGGCCTTAGTACATGCTCAGAGATGGGTGATGGAGGATGATGGAGGATGATGGATGGAGGGAACAAAGGGTGAGAGAGGGAAACTGACACTCTCTCTGGCCAGATTCCTGGCTCTTGAGACAGAAGCATAGAGGATGAAGGCCATGCACGCCCTGAGAGGGCAGGAAGAGAGGAGAGCTGGGCCGCGGCGGCCGCGGCTGACCTGGGAGGGGGTGGTCACGCTGATCTCAGGGACAAACGTGTCCTCAAACAGGCTGAGGATCTGCTCCTGCTTGACTTCCTTGGACGGGGTGTGTTTGGGAGGCGGAGGGACTGGTGGGCCTTTCCGGAGCTGTGGGTCGGCGGCGGGTGAGGGGCCGCGCGGGAAGGCACAGCAGAGCACGGGGTTTGGGGGAGACAGACAGAGACAAAGCCACGGTTAGTCACACCTCAGGCCACAGTCCCACCCAGGCCACTGAGCAGGACGCAGCAAATGAAGAGTCACTGCCCTCCCAGCCCCCCAACATAGACACCAAGACCCCAGGCCACCCCCGAGAGGGACACTGAGGCAGGCGGTCCAGAAACGCTGTGTGGAGAGAGAAGAGATAGAGAAGTGAGGGGAGAGGAGGAAGGAGAGCGAAGAAGAGAAGAGGCCCCAGGCTGCCCACTGGCCAACTGTGGGAGGGGCTGGCTCCCACTGGCCTGGTGAGAAGACTGGGGAAGCAAACAGTCGTTGAGAGACAGCCGGGCCCCAGCCTCCCCCTGCCCACCTCTCCCTTCCCGCAGGCCCCTCTCTCCACCTCCCAGGGCACAGGGCTGCCCACAGGGAGCCCAGCTCAGACGAGTGTATCCCAGAGGAAGCCAGCGTGGCACCAGGATGGGGCAGAGGCCACACCCCTGCCCACCAGGTGGGGGACCTCAGGCAGGTCACACACCCATGACGCTGGGCTTCCTCATGCATCAGGTGATGACAGCGCCTGCTTCACAGGGGTGTTGTGGGGACTCAGTGAACGAATACACAGAAGGCACTGGCACCATGTCCAGGCCGGGGGAAGTGCTGTTTGGGACAGGCTCCCACCATGTCCTTAGCCCTGCTATCCTAGTCAGCAGCAGAGCAGGGCGGCAGCAGAAAACGGGGAGCTGCAGGATCCCCGGCTATGAGAACACCCCCACCTGGCCAGCCAGCACCTAGGGCCCTGCAGACACCTGGAGGGCCCGCTGGGGGCAGGCGGGGTGGAGACAAGGACAGTCCAGAAGCCCAGGACCTGCCCCCTTAGCCACCCCACACCCTCCTCTGAGCCCTTCCTCTCTCTGTCCCTTTAAAGGTCCTGCATGGCCACCTGGCTTGGGCTCCTCCCTCAGGCCCCTTTAAGAGAGAGAGGCCAGGAAGAGGGACAGGCAGCCCACTCTGGAGATCTGGATGCTCTGTGGGCTGAGGGCCCAGAGCCTCTGCTAGGGAGGAAAAGAAGATGGAGAAAGAGTCAAGCAGACAAAAGACCAGGGAGAGGGAAGGGGAGGGCGCTGCAGTGGGGGTGGGGGCTGGGGAGGAGCGAGCAAGTCACAGATGCCTCCCGGAAGCATGCCAGGCTGGATGGGGGAAAGGAGACCCAGGTCCAGGCCCAACCCCCACTGGGCAAAGCATCGGGTCCATAGCTGCCCAGGCCAGAAAGGGGACAGAGGAGTGGGAGGATGGAGGACAACAGCAAAGCCGGAGGAGAAGGAGGGAGGGCAGGGGACCTGCTACCAAGACATCACTCCTACCTGAGATGGGGACTTGGGGAGGGTGGCCCCGGGCGTGGCCCCGCCGGCCGGCTCTGGCTCGTGGTTGACTCTGATCTCGGGGGTGGCGGCAGGGGAGCCATCTGGAGGCGAAGGGCTCTTGTTCCCTTTTGCAGGCGCGTTGTCACTGTGGGGGAGGACAAGAAAGGGAGCCCAGTGTTGGGGGGCCAAGGCACAGGAGACGGAGGGGCAAATGTATTGACGTCTGTGTGAAGAGGTGTGTGCATATGGAGGTGTGAAACTGTGTGTGTGTGTGTGTGTGTGTATGTGAGAGAGAGCAGGAGGGTGGGGGGAGCCAAGGGACCTGGGCTTGGGGGGCTGGAAGTGGGAAGCCTGCCTCAGAAACAGGAACAGCACAAGGTGGGACTCCAGGCTGGAGGTCTATGGTCCCCAGGAGTGCAGGCAGGTCCCTTGGAACCATCTGTCGCAGAGACCAGACCAACCACCCCACAGGCTCCATGGGGTCCACCAGGGCCCATGCTGACAGCCCAAGATCCACAGCAGGAGAAAGCCAGACATCCTAGAGGCACAGTGAGTCTCCCACACCACACGCAGCAGCCCCTCTGTTCTGGGGTCTGCTCCCCAGCCTGCTGCCCTCCCTGCCTGTCCATCACAGCACCCTGGTACATGTCTCTAGACCTTGGCTCTCCTGTCCTCTCGGCTGCTGGAGGCCACAAGCAGGGCCTGGACAAACTAAGAGAGGCGTCCTCATCACAGAGGAGTGGGCAGCTGGCGATGGAGGGGACAGGTCCTGAGCCATGGCGTTCAGTGCCAGAACCCAAGGCGGAGGTGGTGTGATGCTGTGCACCCCAGGCACAGGGGCGAAGGTGCAGGGAGAAAATTCTCTACCAGAACCTGCACAGAGACGCCTAGAAAAGTGCTGCCCAGTACGGTTGCCACTAGCCACAGGCGGCAATGCAAACTCAAAGCAATGAAATTTACGTGTAATTCAAATGAAAAGTTCCGCTGCCCGGTCACACTGGCCAGTTTCAAGTGCTCAATAGCCCCATGGGGTAACTGGCTCCTGTGCTGGACAGTGCAGATCTAGAAGCATCCAGCAGGAACCAGTGACCGAGTCACCTGAGGGCAAACAGTGGAACAGCGTAAGAGATGTCGCTGACACCATCTTTCCTTCTGGAATTTGTGTTTTATGGGAATGTATTCTCCTTAAAGAATATATGTATAAGTATATGGTATACACATAGAATTGTTTAAAAAACAAAAAACCCCACAGTGCTGCAGTGTCACCTCCCTGGCCCTCCCCAGGCCTCCTTCCCAGCCACGTCCTCCATTGCTAAGTGCGCTGGTGGCCCGGGCACCACCAGGGCTAGACAAGTGTGGGGCGCCCAGAGGAACGTGCTAAATGCAGCCAGATGCTCAGAGGCCAGCCCGCCCCGCGCCGCCTCCGCCTTCCCACCCAACACGCACACGACAGCCCTGCCGGGCAGCACTGCACACAGAGCCAGATTACGGGTTAGTGGCACCTGGGAGCAGGGCGCAAGGCGCATGCACAGGGCCAGCCAGGGCGCGGGCCTCTGCGCCCCTCCGCAGCACTCACTGCCGGTACCTGTTCTTCTTTCTGCGCAGCCGCGAAAACAGTTTACTTTTCTTTCTGTGGGGACGGACGGGAGGTGGAGGCCTTCATTCTGGAGAAAGGCCAGGTGCAGAACTGGCCTGTCCCCTTCCCTCTTTGCCAACCCTTCTGCTCAGAGGACAAAGGGGCAAAAGCCTCTCCTAAGTGCCAGAGGCCTTGCACAGGGCCTGGGCGTGCTATCCCGGGGTGCCCTGACTGGCCCCTGCTGTGGCCAGGTGCCCGAGGTGATGCTAACAGGGCCTGGTGAGGGGCAGGAGGCTCGGGGCAGTGGAGAGTCACCCTGCCTGTGGTCCCAGTCCCCAGGAGCTCCAGGTGTGCCCAGAGTGCCAGAAAAGGCCCCCAGGCGAGCACAGAGTGCACAAGAGGCCTCTCTGCTGGAAGGGAGACTCCTGGGCCTCTACTGCCCCTCTCTCTTCCCTCCACCTCCTTCCTGAGGGGAGCCATGGTTCTGGCCAGGACGGCCCCACTTACCCCCTGCTGATCCATCCCAGTGTTCCCACCTGTGCCTACAGGCCAGGCAGCTGTCCCTCCCTGCCCGACCTTGAATTCACCTTTTGGCCTTTATTCCACAACCCCCACCCCGCTACCCACCCCCCCAACCACCACCACAACGCCACCGTCCTAACCTCCCCACTCCCAGCCTCAGGTCACCATGGCCCCTCTCTCAGCCACAACTATTTTATGTTCAGGGAAGGAGGGGGCAATCACCACCACCCGATACCCTCATCATCCCAGGCAATACCCCAAGAAGCAGACAGTCGCCCTGTTTTACAGAGTCCATCGGTGTTCTCTGCGTTCTGCTGTGATATGTGTGTGGGTATGCACACACTTACACCTGTCACACACAGTCCCCCTCACACACACACATGCACACATGGCCAGAAGGGAGGGGAAGTCCCAGGCTCGCTGCTTCCTCTGATCCACAGCCAGGAAAGCAAGGCATTTCCCTCCTCCCTCATGGTTTCCCCTCAGGAAACAGAGGCCTCCTTGCAGCTGGGATTCCCGGAGGGGCTGAGGCTGAGGACAGGAAGAGGATGCTCGTGTGGTTGAGCAGAATGCTGCCATCCAGGGACATGAGCTTTTCCAGGAGCAGGAGAGGGAAGGGCGGTGCTATCTCCCTGCTCTGAGAGGACTGCACACCCCGGAGTCTTTCAGTCCTGTTCACACCCCCCAGTCCCCAAAGCTGAGCAGGCTGCCCACCCCAACCCTGGATGCTCGTGCTCCACAATGAGGGGGTCAGCCGGCTCAGGGACCCGCGGACTCCCCAGAGTGCTCCTTCCTCGACGAACACAGCCAGAGGGGCAGGGACATTCGAGACAGAGACCTGCCCTCACCTGCCTCCCTGAGCACAGAGAGGCCAAGACAGGAAGGTCCCTAGACCCCCAAGGCCAAACCCATGGGGGACCAGGGAGGGCACCAACAGGGTCACAGGAAGGAGCCCTGCCCCTGCCGTGCACACAGTCAGGGGCGCCAGGGCTCTCCCCGCACGCACCTGGGCTGGGCCTTGACCGTGAAGGTGTTGCTCCCGTGTTGCTTCTCCAGGCCGACCAGCACATCATTGAGGTTCTGGTTGAGCTGCAGGAGAGACAGTGAGGAGGTGGGGGGCCTCCAAGGCCACCAAACGGCCCCACCTTCCCCAAACACCTCTGCTTCTCCCCACCACCCCCAGCCCCTGCCAGGAACAAGCTCCTCTTTCCCCATCTGTGAGAGCAAGGAACTAGCACACCAAACCCCGAAAAACCAAGGGGGCAACAAAACGGGGCAAGTGGGCTATATCACTAATGCCTGCTGTCTCTGGAAGCCATCTTTTCCCCTCCTACTTATAGGGATATCCTAAAATGCCACATAGAGCTTGCACTGTTTTTACATTTTTCTCTTAAAACTTGTTTTGGCAGACCATTAATCTTAATTGTTAAGGTCATTTTGCCAAGATGCTTTCAGACCACACTACAACTGCCAGATATTTCACTGAAAGCACAGGCACGAGCGGAGGTTTATTCCTCACACACGGTGATTCTCATTACTGAGAATATTCCTCTCTTTGATTTGGCCACTAGGGAGCTCAGAGCCGAATCTTCATCCTATTTATAAACAACTATGTTCTGTGGCATATATTTTTACAGACTAATTTTATATAAATGTTCCTTCTCTGAAACACCTTTCTCTATTTTTTAAACTTTTCGTAAGTTGTCTCCAATCTTCGAAGGGAAAAAGGAAAAGTTAAGAAGGAAAGAGAAAGTCTAAAAGGCAGGAAACCGTACTTAGAAGTGTGAGTCAGGGGAGGCCCCAAGCTGCTTTTCCTCCTCCGACCCTGGGCCTGGAATCCACCATCATCACTTCATCCATCTGGGCCCAAGAGACAAAGTCAGACCCACCACTGGGGGCGGGGGTGCCAGCCCTGGGTCTCTCCAACTGCAAAGTTCAACAGCTTTGCGTTTTAGTTGCCAGATAGGTTAAAATGAAAATAACACAAGAGAGAAAGGTACGCTAATCAGACCAGACCCTGTCGCACAGTGGATTCACGCAGACGAAACAGGCCTATTTAAATGTCTCAAAAGCATGGGAGAAAAATTAAAATTGAGAAAATGCTAGTAATTTTTTCCTACAAATTGAGAAACTGCCACCATTGTCTAACACTGCACTCCCTGGGCCAAGGTTGCTAGAGAACACATTCACAGTTTGAGAGGGCCTGGTCTACATTCTCAGGTGGTCTACCCAGGCAAGGACCCAGGACACTCTCAAAGCCTCCCCAGCATGCCCTGCTGCCCTCCTGGGCCCAGGCACTCCTGAAGGGGGCTGTTCCACAGGGCCGGGAGGGAGCCCTGTGGTCACCGGTGTGTGCTGAACCTGGCAGGGAAGGAGGAGTTCAGGCTGCCCCTCCCACGACTCTGACTCTGACCCTCGGCCAGGGTGGGGTGTGGCCCCTCAGAGGGGTCCCCATGGCCTACCTTGCTCATCTCCTTGTGGAAGTTTTCCTCCAGGCCCGCGATGCTCTGGAACGTGTTGACGTAGAAACCTACGCGGCTACAGAAGGGCGGAAGGATGGGGGCCAGGTGAACAGGCAGGTCAGGACAGCAACTCAGAAATACCCACCCACGAGCGACCACACACGCTCATCAGAGGCACAAACCAGAGAGGGCCCAGGCACCGCAGCACTCAGGCTGGACACTGCAGCACACAGGCTGGGCACCGCAGCACGCAGACTGGACACCGCAGCACGCAGGCTGGGCACCACAGCACGCAGACTGGGCACCGCAGCACGCAGACTGGACACTGCCCCACGCAGGCTGGGCACCGTGCTGGGCCTCACCTGTTCCACAGGGACGGCAGCTCCTCCTGCAGATCCACATTCATCTCCTCAAACACCTTCTGGGCTTTGATGAGCTCCTCCTCGGCCTGGGGGGCAGCACGGGTCATTCCCCTCTGTTGGGCGTCCCAGCCAGCCCAGCCCCATGGCCAGTCCTCCCACCTCCTGCCCACCCCTCTTGGCCAGTGCGCTGGGACCAGGGCTCCGGGCAAGACAGAGGCTGAACTGGATGTGGACACCCATGCTGGCGACCTCCCCCTGCAGCCCTCCAGGACCCTGAGGACATCTGGGAAAGGGAGGGCTGAGCAGCCGTTGCCAAAGAGAGGCCCACGTGGCCGGGAGGGCAGTGAGCGTGGAGTAGGGCACAACAAGAGGGGCAAGCCTGGGGCTTGGCGAGCTGGACACGGGACATGCACAGAGGCAGACCCCAGACCCAGCCAAGTGGGGACCCTGCCCACTTCCACAATGAACCTCCTCAGGCTAGGTGCCAGCCCTGCCACTGCCTTCTGGCTCTCAGGGCAGCATCTGTCGCTGCCCCCAATTGCCCCCGCCCCTGAGTGCTCCCTCCCCATTTCTGAGGGCCAGCTCCTGGCAGCCTCAGCCACCAGCCTTCACTTCACCTCCCAGGGATGGTCCTTCCCACAAAGCCCTCTCCTGGGACCTGTCCCCACCAGAGGGAGACCAGAGGCAGCCACTCAGGCACCTCTAGGAATGTCAGGGGGACCCTAGAGGAGGGTGCAGGGCCAGGGAGGAGGCAGCCAGGCAGCTGGGCTGTGCCTGGTCCCACTCCTAGCCCACACCTTCCCCAGGGCAGGCCCTGCATCCTCCAGGCACTCACACCCACCAGGCAGTGGTGCTCAGGCCCCATCACACGGCCACAGAGTGCTGGGGAAGGGACTGCGGGCAGCAGGTGAGTCACAGACCCTGCCCGGTGCCCAGCCCGCCCAGGGAAGGGGCTGTGCTGGCTCACTGCGGGAGGACACTGCCGGCGAGAGTGACTCAGGGATTCGGGGTCTGAGTCACAGCCCAGGAAAGTGTCAGGCCCCGCCTAGGGAAACTTCCCGCCAGCAGCCTCACGTTCTCAGGCCGGGGCTGGGGCCCAGGCTGGGCCGCCTTCTGGCAAAGGCAGCCAGATGGCCGGAAGGCCACTTAACCACAAAGCACACGATTGCCCCAAGCCCAGCCAGCTGTCCCATCCAGCCTCAGACACCAGGACTAGCCCAGGTCAGCCCCTAGGCCCAGTGACTTGGGTTGGGACTGGAGGAGGGGCCACCATGGCTTCTGAAAGGTTACCTCCAGCTACTCGCTAGAGTGGGCGTGGGCTCCTTGCCTGGCTTTTCAGAATCTAATAAAAATTTAAAGGCAGAATGGGGAGCGGGGGGTGGGGAAGAATGTCTATTCCAACATGCACACCTCTCTTGGATCCAGGGACCCTGGGCACCCCACACCAGGAGGGGAATACTGCCCCTCCTCCGTCTCCAGGCTATGGCTGGGCCATCCCTGCCCTACTCCCCTGGGTGTCCCATTACCTGGCAGGGGGGCTGCCAACCATGGTTCTATGGAACTCATAAAATGAGTGAGTCCTAGGGGTACTGTTGTGAGCTGAGCACCATCACACATACCCCCTGCCCTCAACTGCCAACAGTGGGTCTAAAGTCCCACATTCCGTAAGAACCTGCCTGGACCACCCGGCTCCTGTACCCACTAGGACCCCCTCTCCATGAGGATGCAGCCACCACCCCCACAACTCCCCAGATGGCAACGGTGGGGACAGCAGTGAAGACAGCACCGCAGCTTGTCTGTGGGAACATCTGCACCCAGCCGTGCTCTCACCGCTCAGCAACGCTGCCGAGAGCAAGAGCGGGGACAGTTCCGCTTGAGTTCCTGGAAGTCAGGACCCGTGTCTTGTATTCCCTTTGGGTGACATTCCTCATATTCTGGCTCTTTAGGAAGCATGTGGAAGGGGCAGGGAGTAAGGTGAGGGCTGTCTGCCATGAGGAGAGAGTGCCCCCACCCCAGCTCCACTGAAGCTAACAGTGGGGAAGAGCAGAGTCACATGGGCCCGGGGTCCCGAGGACAGCATTCAGGACGCTGAGGCAGGTGTGGAGAGCAGCTCAGAACTAGCCCAGGGTCTGCATGGAGCCGGCCAGCCCCCTGGTGCAGCCTAGAGAGGATGCACTATCTCCCCAAAGTCAAGTTCCCAAGCAGGGCAGCCCCGGAGTCCCAGCTGTGCCATCTCACAGCCAGCCAGCTGCCCACAGGCCACTCCAAAGGCTCTCCAGCCTCCAGCCAGGTATGAGTGGGCTGGGGACAAGGAGGATGTGCTCAAATAAAGATGGGACCCAAATGGGACAGCTAGTTTGGCCAAAATGTGAAACACCCACAGCCCAGCACCCAAAGGTGTGATCACCTGCCTCACCCTCTCGCTGCTCCCCCAGGGTGGGCGTGGAGGCAGGCCCTCCCAGCATAATCCCAACCACACCTGTCCCAGGAGCCCAAAAGCAGTGGGCAGGCCCCATAGCCTCCTAAGAGGTTCTCCCATCCACAAAAAAATGTTTCACCTGTTTCAGGGAAAATTATTCAGAAACCCGGGCCCTCCGTCAGTAGTCCCATTCCCTTCTAGCCCAAGTGCTGAACTGACTGGCAGGGCATACCCACTCCAGCCCCTGGTTCCTCCTCTACCTCCAGAGGCAGATGAAGTCTCAGGCCTACTGAAGTCCCCCTAGGCATCACCCCCAGCCCCTGGTTCCCCATGGGCACCCTGACCTCAGGATGAGGCTGTCAACACTCAGTGTCTCCAAAGTCAGCCTTGGCCTAAAATAAATCAGGCAGCAGATCAGGTGAGAAACTGGACAGCCAGGCCAGGAGCAGTGGCTCAGGCCTGTAATCCCAGCACTTTGGGAGGCCGAGGCAGGTGGATCGCTCAGCCCCAGGAGTTCAAGACCAGCCTGGGCAACATAATGAGGCACAGTCTCTACAAAAAACGTAAAGATTAGCCAGGCACGGCAATGCGTGCCTGTGGTCCCAGCTACTCGGGAGGCTGAGGCAGAAGGATTGCTTGAGTTGGGGAAGTCAAGGCTGCAGTGAGTCATGATCACACCACTGCACTCCAGCCAGGGGAACGGAGAGAAACCCGTTCAAAAAAAAAAAAAAAATAGAAAAAGAAATTGGACAGCAAGCCATGCCAAGCCCACCCAGAGCTCTCCACGTCACAGGCACTCAATGAAGATGATGAAATCAAGAGGAGGCTCCGAAAAAATGGGGCAGCTGCCCAGAGAGAAACCCAACCTCCGGGGCCGGGCCCCTATCGCCAGCCTCTCGGGAATATGGAGAAGTGTGAGGGCCACATCCAGGCTGTGACTACACTGACCTGAAATGTGCCTCAGTTTCATTGGCGAGAAAACCACATGACCCACCTCTCACAGGGCACTGCATCCAGTGGTCCCTGGCCACACTGTAACCCATTTGGAGGGCAGGGGGCTGAGAAGACCATAGCCTCTATGGCCAGGATGGTGAGATGGCCCAGGAGTTTTGTAAAAAAGCCTCCTCCGGGAAGCCCCCCAGGAACACTGTGGTGCTGGTCACTTGCCCTCCATGAATCCCCAAAGGCCAAGGACCCATGCTTCCCCTCCACGTCTCAGCATCCCATCCAGACTGGAGGGTCCTCCCAGTAACTCCTCCAGAGTCACCACGGGGACCACAAGTCCGAGGAAAATGACGCAGGGGCTTCAGTCAGGAGAGCCCCAACCCTGCCCCTAACCGGCTCTGGGGCCCTGGGAGGAGGCTGTGATGTGCCTCTCTGGGCAGCTTTCTCTGCTCAGTAAATTCAAGATGATCTCAGAGTTGTCATGTGGCTTGAAGGACAGGCATGGCAGTACAGGGGCCTGATGATGTCGCCTCCCTCCCCAGAGGAGCCCTCACAGAGGACAATGGCTCAAAGGCATTCCTGGACCACTAGGATTTCAGAGGAGTCTCCAGGAATGACCACAGATGCAGCCACGGAGCGGGCATAGCTATGCCCCCACCCAGGTCACACAGAGCCCCTCAGCCGGTTCTTTGACCCCTACATTTGACTTCAGGTCTCCTCTGAAGCAGAGCTCTCCCAGCAGAGGCCTTTGAAAAACCCTGCCCCAGCTGGGCTCAGATGCCAGCCCTGCATTCCACCGCAGGGCGAGAGGACAGGACGACAGACCGGAAGGCGCCAGCACGTGCAAGGTTAGAAGCCAGTGTCACCTGATTTCGGAGCAGGTTAGTTTGAGCTACGAGATGAGCCTGCAGTTTGCCTTGGCACCACTGGGGGGCGGCTTTCTCAAGCAGCGAGACAGGCTGGGGTGGGGAGGTCAAGGCAAAGGAAGGTGGAGAGACCAGGGAGGTGGGGAGAGAGAAACAGAGACACACAGATTAAATGCAGGTCCACACGCCCCACGCGCGGGGGCCACCCCAAGCAGATATGGGCCCTTGAGGCCGAGAGAATTAGGGGGAGCCCGGGGGGTAAGGAAAGGGGGTGAACTCCAACTGCAGAGGCAAAAGGTGAGCGTGGTTAGCAGCACAGGGGGCCCAGCAAGCACGGCCCTGCCCGGAGGACGGGGCCACCCCAGCCCCTCACCAAAGGATGAGTGGGGCCAGCTCTGCACCTACTGGCTCGCTCCAGCCAGGGACAGGTCGCCTGGGATCGCGTGACGAATTCCACCCGGCTCGCCAGGCAGGGCGGCGCCGTTCCAGGGAAACCCAGGAGGCCCATTCTCAGGCTGGCAGGTGGCCTGGATCAGGGCTGAGGGGCCAGGGTGGCACGGGGGGCAGGAATGGGCCTAGGGTGGACCTCACCCAGGCACCCACAAGGGCCTCTCACTCACCGGCCTGGGCCCTGTATCGTCCCCACCCCCAGTTCAGCCACCTGGGGCCAGGCAGGAGGAAGCCTCCACCCTCGGGGTCCTAGACACCCGCCCTCTCTCAGCCCCCTGCAGACGCTGCCCCGACCCGCCTCCAGCCCTTACCTTGGCAATTTTGGCTTCATCCTTCTTTTTGGCAGTTTGAAGGGACTCGTAGTGGTGCCGGGCACTGTCGTAGTCCACCAGCTTGCGCCCCCGCTTGGCAATGCGTGACTGGGGCAGACAGAGGAGGGCACTAAGCGGGGCCTGGCACCCCTGCTGAGACTCCAGGTCCAGTGGATCCTGGAGGGACCCGCAGGGCGGGCAGGAGACCCCAGCTCCACAGGAACCCTTGAGCCCTTGTTGCTGGAACCCTCCTCGTGGCAGAGAGCTCACCCCCTCCTGGCCGTCCAGCCCCACTGTGTGAAACCACTTCCTTGCACATGAGCCCATGTGTCCGTGTCCACCAGCTGGTGACGTGTCAGCCAAGTCTTTTCCTTGGCCTGGCCCCTGGCTTCTCATCTCCACAGCCACCAACATCAGACTCAGGGAGCTTGAGGCATCTGCACTGGGGACCCCTGAGGCTAGCATGAGCATGACACCCCCATCCTGCCCACCAAGGGGATCTCGTCCAACCCAATGGTCAACCCAGGCTTCCATGTGCACGTTACCGGGGACCACTCGCCTCGGTGGATACCAGAGACACTGCCAGCTCCGAGCACCAACCCAGGCCTGGCAGAGACAGCAGGCTTTGCGAATGCACACAACCACACGCACACACCCACACATGTAGACCCAGACAACAGGTGACATGCACACATACCCTTCCAAGCACCCATGGTGTAAACACAGGGGACCTGCAGGCACACACATGTGTAGGCCCTACTCACCCTTCTACACCTTCCACAATCATATAGCCAGCCACTCCGCAGCAACACACACACACACACACACACACACACACACACGTGCCGTGAGGCTTCCTCCCATAGCCCTGAGACCCAAAGGGACAGGAAAGGAATGGGGGGCCGTGGGCTGGTGGCAGAGGGAGCAACCCCGGAGGGGTGAAACACCGGGCCAGGCGCTTCCTGCCTCCAGGACAGCCTCCTCCTGGCCTGAGCCGCACGTCCTAGGCCCTGTCCTCTCTCCAGTTCCCTCCAGGCCAGAGCAGGGCAGATCTGCAAGTGGGTCTCTCACCTTGATGTCGGGGAACTGGCCCAGGTACGTGTCCATGGTCAGCAGCGCCTGGTCCACCAGCTTCTGGTGGTAATCCATCCACAGCAGGTCGTTGTTCTGAGACAGGCAAGAGCACGACAGTGCCACCAGGAGGGCTGGGCCACACCCGCCCCAGCGCTCACCTCGCAGGGACCAGCCCCAGCCCCATCTCTTCACAGCTCAGTGGCTTCTCAGAGCCTCAGTTTCCCCATCTGTAAGATGGGGGCAAATGTTCCTGCCCTATTGGGGTGACTGTGAGGATCAGATACGCTGAGGACTGGGGTCAGCCAGGGAGGCTTTGTGAGTTGTGAGCCATAACACACAAATAAGGACGACCACGACCCACCATCTGACCCACCTTGGTGTGAGGGCGTGTCAGGAGAAAGGCCCTCAGAGAGGGAGGGCAGCTTGCCCCAGGGCACACAGCACGCGAATGCCCGAGAACCAGAGAGGCTTGTCCCAGAGGGCACGGCAGAGTGGGACAGGAGCTGAGACCAGAGGGCCCTCTGAGAAGGGCAGGCCCACCTGTCCCATGCTCACCTCTGCGATCTTGTTTGCCTCATCCCTGCCGGGCCAATCGGGCTCATACACCTCCTGCAGACACTCATTCAGCTTCTTGGAAGCCTCGTGCATGGCTGTGGGGCAGAAAGGAAGTATGTGGGCCTCCCACTGATAGCGCTTGTCCCACCCTCCCCAGCTCTGCACCCACCAGCTCTACACGGGCCAGGTGCGCTCTGCCTGCCTCCTACCTTTGACGGAGGCCAGGTAGGTCCGGAGATCCTTCTGCAGCCGGGTGCCCTCCGTCTGCAAAGAGAAGGACAAGGACCAGGTCAGGGACTGGTGGCACACCCAGTCCCTGACCCTCTCCTTCCTGCCACCCTCACGTGAATGAACCAGGCTGCTCTCCTGACAGCAGCCACTGATCAGCTGACCTCCCAACAGGACAGCAGCTACGGTCACCACCCCTGCCTCAGAAGCCCTGCGTCCATAGGCACCCTTGCCCATGCTTGTGGGCACCTGCCATCTTCCAGATGCCATTCTCAGCCCAGGAAGGAAGGCAGGAAGACAAAGACCCCCCTCCGAGATGACGTGCTGGAGGTACGGCTGAATGACACACAAACAGCACAGCACCAGTGTGCAGCAGCCCCGGCACTCACAGACCTGCCCTCAGACACCTGCAGACAAGTGACCAATGAGCACAGGAGTATGGGCAAGGCAGGTGTGGTGACCACCAGGCCCCCTGCTCCACAAGCTCAGGTGGTGCCCAAGGACAGAGAGCTCCCACTGCCTCGTACTAGGAAAAGAGGGCCCGGTGCGAGCCTGTATAGGGACAGAAGACCTGCGGAAGAGACGGCACTACAGCAGGGGTGCAGAATGCGGTGGTCATGGCCAGGATCACTGGCCCAGCTGACAGCAGGGACATAGGATGTAGAGGGAAAAGGCTGAGGGGACAGTGGGCTGGGTGGTGAAGCTCCCTGAGCAGGGAGAGTGTCCTCCAGGGGCTTCCTGAGACAGCAGGACCAGCAGAGACAGTAGAAGCATGGGCCAGGCCTCAAGTCCCTCTGGGACATCAAAACCAGAGCCAGGAAAGCTGAGTGGAGAACTCCAGGTTCCAGGAGGGGTGAACAATAGGTGAGGCCAGCACTGAGGTCTGAGACCATGCTCAGTGAGCTGCAGAAGTTTCCAGAAGCCACGTGCAAAGAGTGGGCTGCACACGGGCTTTGAGGCCATGCAGACCCAGCTGTGTCCCTTACTAGCCACACAGCCCTAAGTAAGCTAGTGAGCCTCTCTGAACCTCAGTCTCCTCGTCTTTCAGTGGAAGGCGAATAATCCCTGCCTGGCACTCCTCAGATCCAGTGAGCTAGGCCAGGCCCTGGAGCTTGAAGGCAGGCCTCAGGAGATGGCCTTCATGCTAAGGACAGGAACACAAGGCAGAGAGGGGACTCGGGAGAGCGGCAGTGGCTGAGGCTGACCTTCGTAGTAGAAGGGCACCCTCCTGGCCTCCCCTGCCTGCTGCCAGCCCAAGCCTCAGGGACACCCATGTTCCAGTCGCCTCCTGCCCTGAAGGAGGGGCAGCTGGCCATGGTCCCAGGAGACCCAGCATGCCTGCAGCGCTCCAGTCTGGCCAGCTTCATGCTTGCGCAAGAGCCGGAAGGTGGGCCCCATCCATTCAGGTCCACCTCCAGGTGAAGGCCAGCAGGGACCCGGCCACATCCACAGGCTCACCCCCAGCACCCTGAAACCCTCTTCTGTCTCCCCACTACAGGCCTCTCCCTGTCCTTAGCCGGGGCTGCTCTTCCTGCCCTGGTGCCCTAGGGGCCAGCACCTTCCAGGCAGTCTTCTCAACACCACTGTCCCACCTGACAGCAAAGAAGCGGACAGAGGGTCAGCGACCGGCCCAGTCACACAGAGACTCGGAGAGCCCATGAGACCCTCCAAGCCTGGGCACGCAGCCCGCAGGGTGTTTTGTGGGTAATGGGTAGTGATGCGGCCCTGAGAACCCACAGATCTGCCTATTATGATGAATGCTTCCGTGTGACAGTAGAGACATCCACAGGGGGAGCTTCAGAGCAGCACATAAGATGTATAATTTAAAGAGAGCATGTGTGAAAAAAAAAAAAATCTCTAAAATTCCTTTAATCCCCCATAGAGTAGGGTGTATAACACTGGCTAATCATCATCTTTACAAACATCCAAGTCCAAGGCCCACCGATGTGAGACTGAGTGAAGAAACAGAAGACTGCTCCACGGACACTGAGACCTCCCTGGAATTCCATCAGGGGGTCGGATGGAGACCCCGCGGGGCCGGGGAATGAGGAAGGGTCCACCTCACTCCTGACACAGCCACCCTAAGTCTTCACAATTAAAGGCTTTGTTGGTCGAGACGAGGATTAAAGTGTGTTCATGATGGGATGCTATCGTGTCCTCTGATGTCACAGAATCTTCCAGATCCAGCTTCTCTCCCTGCCAGGCCTCCACCATCCCAGCCACACCTCTCACGCCGTCCCCACCTCCCCCCCACAGCAGGGGTCCCCATGGGGTGGGTCGTTGTGCTCCCCCGGGCTTCAGGCCGTACCAGGGCTCCTTGTGTTTCCCAAACAACGCTGGGCTGTGCGCCGGCACGTGGCACGCAGATGTGCAAGGGGCCGGCCAGAGCACTGCCTCCCTGTGCCCACTGCAGCTGGCTTCCTAAGCTCCTCATCAGTCCCCAGGGTAGACACAGCCCTCCCCCGACGGAGGCCCCAGCCAGCTACCCTCCGCAGGGCAGCGTCCAGGCCAGTACAGAGCAGTGTGTGTTTGCTTCCAAGTGGCTCCCTCAGCCCCTAAACAGGGATCTGAGAAAGAATTCTCTGGAGGTCCCAGAGTTCACAGAGCCCAGCTGGGGGAAGATAAGATTCGGGAGCCACTGCCCACCTCAGCCTGTGTCCCAGCTACAGGACTTGGGGGAGTCAGGAAGGTCCTGGAGCAGCTCCAGCGCGGCTGGGCTCAGCCAGCATCCCCAAGCCCTCGCTGCACCTCCCTGGACATCAGTCCCCACAGGTGGCCTGAGCACCCAAGTCCCTGTGCTCCCAGTGGGTCTAGGGGGCAGGGACGGCCCTCCTACGTGGACCCCCTCTGGCACCCCTCAGCCATCAATTCGGGGGGCGACCTTCACTCAATAGTCAGGGATGCCCATTTTGAGCAAAACCTTGGGTGGGCCATGGGGACAAGAAGGAATCAGACTTGCCCCACCTCAGTGACAGACAAACAGCAATGACAGCCCTGCAGCCTGGAAAGCTACAGACGGACCCTAGGAAGAAGAGCTGGGATGCCCTGGAGACCCAGGATGGCTTCCAGAAGGGCCTGTGCCAGGTGTGCAGTACTCTGGGGGAGGGGCAAGCAGGCCCCCATGGGCTCTCAGAGCAGGGGCAGAAGGCAGCGATGCTACTGTGACCAGCGCCAGGTGGGCCCAGGAGGGGCTGTGCACCTGGGTCCTTGGAGAGCAGGTGACAGCAGGCTGATCTACACCCTCTCCTAGGGCCCCCCACCCCATAAGAAGGGGTGGGAGGTTCACTTCTTTAAAGACTAAATCACCTGCCATCCTTGTCCCTTGTAGTGCTGGGCCCACTAGGCTTGGGGCTCACAGAATCAGAGGCAAGAAAAAGCTCCACCTCCAGGCTTCCCACGCCCCATTCTCTCTCTCCTTTCCCAGGGCCCCCAAGCCCACTGCAGCCTCCTGAATTCACTCCCCCAACAACAGTGACCTTCACCCCATTCCTTCCTGGTCCCCACACCCTGCCATCCCCACACACCAATCAAATCCAGAACTGGCTGCCTTAGCCCCAGCCTTGAACAAGACCTTAAAACCACCACCCCAACTACCAGCCCTGGCCCCTGAAAAGCCAGCCACCCCACCAAACCTGAGCCCGGGGGCAGACAGAGGCCCAGCTCAGGACTGCTCCACACCCACAGCCCAGCAGCCACCTGGCAGCCCGCAGCACTGGCTATCTTTAGCCCTGGACTCTCTGCCCAACCCCTCTGTCCAAGGAGCAGTGAGTGACTGTTTGCCCAGAGTCAGAGACCCAGAGAGGATGACTCTGAGGGACAGTGGAGACAGCAACACTGTGGTTTCAGCCCTGGGGCCAGGCCACACAGAGTCTCAGCTCCCAACTGTGCTTCCCTCACTCTGCCAAAGCTCAGCCTGTTTTTTGTTTGTTTGTTTGTTTTGAGACCGGAGTCTTGCTCTGTAGCCCAGGCTGGAGTCCAGTGGCATGATCTCGGCCCACCGCAACCTCTGCCTCCCAGGTTCAAGAGATTCTTCTGCCCCAGCCTCCCGAGTAGCTAGGACTACAGGCACACACCACCACGCCTGGCTAATTTTTGTATTTTTAGTAGAGGCGGGGTTTCACCATATTGGCCAGGCTGGTCTCAAACTCCTGACCTCATGATCTGCCTGCCTTGGCCCCCCAAAGTGCTGGGATTACAGGCGTGAGCTACAGTGCCCGGCCAGCTCAGCCTGTTCTAAGGGGCCCCCACCACCTCCACCCCTAACCTGTCTCCCCAGCCTAGCCAGCTGCCCTCAGGACAAGGGATCAGCTCCAGAGAGGAAACTCGATAGTGAACCAAAGGCCACAGAGCCTGGATTTCAATCCCCAACACCCACACCAGCTACATAGCCTTGGAAGATGTGCTTAACTTCTCTGAGCCTCAAGTGCCTCATCTGCAAAATGAGAATATCAGCCCCATCTCAAGGATTGCATAGATCTCTGTCAAACACAGCAGCTCTGGCCCATGGCCACAGCAACTCCCTAAAGGTCCTTCAGAGCAACCCACAGCCTGATGAAGCCAGCTGAGTAGGGACATGCCCTGGGGCTTCCCAGAGATGGAATCAGAACCTAAGACCAGGTTTCTTGTTCAAGCCTCTATTCTGCAGGTGAGGAAACTGAGGCCCAAGAAGCTCTGGGAAGGAATTGCCCAGAGCCACAGAGGCAGTAGATATCCCTGCCACAGGGTCTACCTGGGCCTTGAAACTCCTCCCATAACTGGCCTAAAGGACAATCAGCTAAGGGGGCTCCCCAATCCCTGTCCAGGGAAGCCTGTCAGGCTGAGCCCCTCTGGCAAGCCAAGGCCAACTTGGCCCTGGGGCCTCTCCCCTCTGCTCCCAGCCCTCTCCCAGAATGCTCCCAGCCCTCCCAGCTGCTCCCAGCCCTCTCCCAGAATGCTCCCCGGCCCTCTCCCAGAATGCTCCCAGCCCTCCCAGCTGCCCCCCACCACCCTCTCCCAGAATGCTCCCGGCCCTCCCAGCTGCCCCCCCCACCGCCCTCTCCCAGAATGCTCCCCGGCCCTCTCCCAGAATGCTCCCAGTTGTTCCCTGGCCCTCTCCCAGAATGCTCCCAGCCCTCCCAGCTGCCCCCAACCGCCCTCTCCCAGAATGCTCCCAGCCCTCCCAGTTGCTCCTGGTCCTGTCCCAGAATGCTCCCAGCTCTCCCAGCTGCTCCCCAGCCCTCTCCCAAATGCTCCCGGCCCTCTCCCAGCTACTCCCGGCCCTCGCAGCTGCTCCCAGTCCTCTCCCAGCTACTCCCAGGCCCTCCCAGCTGCTCCCCAGCCCTCCCAGCTGCCCTCAGCCCTCTCTCAAATGCTCCCAGGCCAATTGGAGATGGCTGCGGATGCCTCCCCACAGCCCAGCCTTGAGCCTGCCACACAGCCAGGCACACACCATGCTCAGCAGATGCCCAAATCAAACCCAGCCTGCTCCGCCCCCATGCTAACCGCTGCAGATGCCACTCTCCTGGCAAGAAGCTTCTATAGCTCCCACTTGCCCCTGACATGCAAAGTTTCCCCAAGTCTGGCCACAATCTATTGCCTGCTCCTATCCCACCCTCCCCCTCCCCCTCCCCCAACTACCGTTTCTATGTCTCCTACCAAGAACCTAAAGCATACATACCCCATCCCTCTTCCTTCCCAGCATGCATTGCCAGTGCTCCCTCCTCTAGGAAGTCTTACATGATCTTGTCAGCCCACACTGATTACCCTCCTCCAAGCTCTCGTACTCCACAAATTCAGCTCGTGCCATTTTTCACCTGGCAGCCGAATTTTCACAAACTCCCTAAGGCCAAGGGCCACCCACACTCACCAGCTGCTTGTTGAAATTCTGGACGCACTGCTCAAACTGCTCATCCTTGGTCTCATCTGCCTTCCCCAGCTTCTGGAGAACCTGCCGAAGCCAAGAGAGAAGGGGAGAGTGTTACCTTGGAAAGGAGAGTGGTCAAACCAAGAGTGCTCAGTCACCAACAGCACAGACCAGGGGCTGGGAAGTCTCTAGCCAACATCACCCAGCCCAGGGTGCCCACCCAGGGCTGCAATCCCAGGGCATGGCTGGGTCCATCAGGTTTTCAGGCCTCCCCACCCTCTACCCAGGGCTCGACAATAGGCCAAAAATGGAGCTTAGGACAGGCTTGACGTAGTGACCACAGCCAGGAGGAGGGAGGCTTCAAAGATGGCAAGAAGGATCGGGCACCCTCCTAGCTGATCTCACACTGCACCCCTGGGTGCTCCGCCCCCACCCTGGAAGCTGAAAAGTGAGCCACGCAGGGGAGGGGCCAAGCAGGAGCAGCCTCACTTCTCCGCATGACTCTATTCCCTGGGCCCAGGCCCATGAATGCCACAGGCAACAGCAGAGCAGGCCCTGAACCGGCAGGAGCCATCCCGGAACAAGGAGGGCAGCGAGCGGTGGCCAGGAGCTGCCGGGGGCCACGCAGAGTCTGCTTCTGATCTGACTGGGTTTTTAGATGTGACCTGCCCCAGGCACTCTGCTCTGCACAGCCCACACACACACACACACACACAAAACACACAAGGGCACACACATGAGCTCACAGCTCTGCTCCCAACCATGAGTCTCAGAGGTGGACTCCCCCTCAACCCCCCACGATGAGTGGCAGGGGGAGATGAAGGATGGGTGGGCAAGGGCAGAGAAGAGGAGCCACACCAGGAGAGGGGAAAGCTCTAGGAAAGGAGGGCGCTGGCCAGGACCCTGAGAACATATGCTGACCATCACGCTCTCCCAGACTTCCCTCTCTGGGCCCTGCTCCTCCAATCCCAGAGCTCCACATGACGGAGAGAGAGGTGGGAGCAGGGAGACAAAATACAGAGGCAAGGAGCGGTGGTGGGGCACGGTAGGAAAGAGCAGGAGAAGAAAAAGACAAAGAGCTGGGGCACAGAAAAGGGATGAGGAGTGCCAGATGGGTTTGCAGGAGAGCAGAGGGGAAGACCAGGGTGGCGGCGGGACACACCCGTCTGCAGCCAAAGAGGCACCTCCATCAGGGCGGCAGAAAGGCCAACACTGATGTCTCAGCAGAGGCCTCTCCCAGGCAGTGGGCAAGACCTCACAAGAATGAGAAGGAAACGGGGGTAGGGGATGGGAGTGGAAAGCAAAGGGAGAAAAAGGTGGGCCCAGGAGCGGTGGGGAGCCCCAGGAGCAAAGGGCCAGCCCAGCATCTGCTGAGGCCAGTAGGTCTGCAGACATCCCTCCCTTCCAAGACCCGGAGCCAGCCCATGCTGCCAGGAACATCAGCTTTGGGGCCCAGGGCCCAGGCCACGGTCCTGGACCAACGGATGCCTGGTACCAGGACACAGCCAGGACCCTTCCCACCCTGCCGGCCCTTGCAGGTCCTGTGCTGCCCTGCTGCACTTCCCCCCCCAGCCAGGCCCAGAAGCCTTGGCAAGGCCAGCTGCTCTTGGCCATCTCTCACCAAGCACTTGCTCTGTGCCTGGCCTTGGGCACCTTGGCCGGTACAGCAGAGAGGAATCAGATGTGGGTCTCTGTCCTGACATGGGGGAACACTTAAGGCTGTGGGACCCTGGGGGTAGAGATCTCTTCTAGCCTGGGCAGTCAGTGAGACTTCCTGGAGTGGGTGGCAGCTCAGACAGAGGGGAGAGGTTGCAACAAAGGTAAGGAGACCAGAAAGATGGAGCATCTTACTGGGGAGTTTTGAATTGCTCAAGGTGACTAGAGGTCACAGAGGATGGAGTGGGAAAGTGAGAGTGGCAGCAGGGGGCAGGTGGGCACCGGGAGGCAGCCACCGATGATGTTGTGCTACAGCGGTCGGGACACAGCCCCTTGGGCAACTGCAGCTGGATGCCAAGGGCTGACACAGGGATGAGAGAAAAACCAAAACAAAACCCCCACATGAGCAAGAAAATGTACACTGCACAACTTGCAGGCTCCCCACTGCTGCCCCTCCCTGGCAGCCACATCCAGAAGGGACCCCCCAGAAAGTGGGCTGAGCTGGGGAGGTTCCTCACCCGGCTCTGCAAAGAGCTTGGGTAGGTGACTCAGCCCCTCTGCTCAGGCACCCACCCCACAGCCCCACCCCCTCCAAAGAGAGGAATAGACCACCACATAGAAAAGAACTCCCAGAAGTCTACCAGAGCCACCAGAGAGAGCCAGAAGCTCTCAGAAACAGGGCAGGGACTGCCCAGCTCCCAAGGCAAGAGCACCAGGAAGGATGCCCCTTCCACGCCCTGCCCTCCCTCTCCCCAGGAAGACAGACACACTCAGCCAGCAAAAGGTCCCCAGTCTTCCCCACCCACACTGGCCACCAGGGCTCCTGAGGTGTACAGAGACAGACACACACTCGACCCAGTTCCCAAACACTGCTGTGTGCTCTGCACAGACAGCTGGAGAACTGGGGAGATCTTCCAGCCTTGAGAACGAGACACCAGCCCAGGTGAGACTCCACGCAGCAGTGAGAAGACCCTTGGGAAAAGGGACAGCTACTCTCTGAGCCTCAATCTACAAAATGAAGTGAACACTGGCACCCTCCTCAAGGATTACAAAGATCATGTCTATAAAGTGCAGAGCAGTACCTGGCCCATGATATTCAAGAAATGGCAAATCCCTAAAAGGCCTTCAGAGCAGCCTTCACACAGGTGGGGGATGGGCCTGACTGACACCGCCAGCCCTCACACCGGGTCCAGGCTGACGGCATCCCAAGATGTGAGACAGAAGTCACAGACGCGCACACTCTACCTGCACATGGCAAACTCCTATGCATCCTTCAAAACCTCACTCAGGTGACATCACTGTGAACTGTCCCTGATCTCTCCTTTCCTCAAAACACTCTGTACCACTTAGAGCTTTCCTCACTGCTATGTGATGTGCCTGTGTGCCTCACACCCTCACCCTGAAGGAACAGCTTGAGGTCAGGGACACTGTTCCAGTCATCTCTGTGTCCCCAACACCCACACAGGGCTAAGCACAGGACAGACACACAAGATATTCTCAGCGGCTGCTGCTCATCTGAGCTGTGGGCTTTGAGGGCAGAGACATGACCCTAAACAAAACAACCCACCTCTCAGCCTCAGGCTCCTCCCAGACAAAATGGAAGGGTAATGTACAGAAAGCCCTCAGCCCTGAGGGGTGACAGCAAGCCTGAGGCTGAGCCAGTCTCCCCACTCTGCGAGACCTCAGGCTGCTGAAGCTCTCAGTGCTCCAGTGCCCCCGCCTTGGAAATGGGAGGAATAACAAGGCCACAGCATGGCCGAGGCCCAGGGAAGACCCATGGGCGAGGCTGGCCTTGGCCACATGCCATCCTCACTGCACCTACCCCCATTTCATCCATGAGGGAACGCAGGCAAGTGGCCTGGGGTCCCCATCCTCAAGGAGCTCCTGGTGTGGCTACCACAGGGAAAAACAATCTGGGCACCCCCTGCCCCAGAACAGGAGCTGGGACAAGGCCGTGAGCCCTGGGACACAGATCTCCCACCCCATCCGTTCCACACTTGGTTAGTGGGGCCTCCCCTGTGCCGAGCTCACAGGCAGACCACTGAGGGACACAGGGGACTCCAGGTGTCCAGGAGGGGCTGGCCCAGCAGCGACTAAGGAAAGCTGGGCAGGACAGTTGTGCTGGGTTTTGAAGGATGAGCAGGAGTTGGGTGAGGAGGAGGGTCTGGCGGCACAGGCCAGGATTTGCACTCTGTCCAGGGTTACTGGGTGAGGGCCCCTTAGACAATCAGTTCCACCTACACTCATCACACACTTATCACGCACACTCACTCTGTGATAAACAAAGGGGAGCCTTTGAAAACTTGGCGGCGGACGAGACACACAGAGGCCCAGGCGGCAGAGGCAGCCACAGAGCCAACAGTCCCAGGAGCTTTATCAGTGCCACACCCAATCACCTCCTATCAGAGCTTCCTCTCACCATGTCCTCAACCCAAGGCCAGATGTGAGTGGAGCTGAAGTGCCTTGGAGGGGACACCCCAGGGCAGGGCAGGGAGGGGGGGCAGGTGGCAGGAATGACAAAGTGTGAACCCGTGGCCAGCTCCAGAACCTCCTCCTGCAATCATCCACAGGGTTCAGCCTCGCTGGGCCTCGGCTGTGGAAGGAAACCCTCCCAAGGCTCCTCCCTAGAAAGGCTGGGTGGTTCACTGAGTTGACGCCATGCCTCCGGCACCCGGGTCCACAGGGGCTCAGTGGGAGCATCCCGTGGGTGGGTGCCCCTCCCCAGCCCTCCGCCAAGGCCTTTGTCATGGCCCAGTGAGAGGGCAGAAGGCCCTGGCGTCAGCCGCTCCCTGTGGGTACAGGGAGTCCTGCCACCCTCCAACAGCCCCCGCATGGCAGGCAAGGCCCTGACCCACAGCGTGAGTCATGGGGCACAGGCAGTGCACGGCCACCGAACCCAGAAGGAGGAAGGGTGCCCAGGCCTGTCTTGTTTGAGCCAGGAGCAGCTCACCACGTACAGCACCCACCCACCATGCACGCACTTCAAGTCACCAGGGCCGCCTCCTCAGAAGGGAAGTGTCCTTATGTGACAGATGGCAGGTGAGCACAAACAAATCAGGACACAGCCTGACACCGTCCAGTCAGGAGGGGCCAGGAGCTCTAGCCGCCACAGTGAGGAGGGCCGGGTCTTCGGGCTCACCCGGCTGGGCCCCAGCAGCCCCTCCTGGGGTCTCTGATCCCTCCCTCGGCCCCAGAGACCAGTGGGCCTGCTGCACTTGCGGGACACACACCCACAGTCTGAATGGCATGGCCCAGGGCAGGGATAAGCACTTCCCAAGGCCATCAGAAGGACCAGCCCAGGGGCCCAGGAGGGAAGCCTAAGGAAGGAGGGGTGAGGGCCGCGTTCCCAGTCACTCTGGTCCTGGCCAGGGCCAGGCAGAAAGCTAGGGGCTCCTCCACCAGCCAGCGGCACCCCTCGTCCCTGCAGTGGCAGCAGAGTTCCCAACACCCCACCCCCACACACACATGGAAGGGGGACCTCATCCAGCAAATCTCCCTCCCAGGCACCCACCACCCAGCTGCTGAGACCCCAGAAAACGCATAAGGCCCTCACCTTCCGCATCATCTCCTCCCCACCTGCCTGCACAGGAAGGGCGGGCTGAGAAGTGAGCCCTGTCTCGCCCCTTCCTCCCAGCAGAGCCTGCGGTCGGGGGCCACGGAGGCAGGATGCACACCCTCGTGCCCCGGCGTTCTCACACCGAGGCTCCCCAGGCAGGCAGACACAGACAGAGGACAGGCAGGCGGGCAGGGGGAAGGCCACTGTCAGACACCCGGCCAGGCTTTCTCTGGGCCCAGTCCCGAGGGAGACACCCCAAGAGGCGAAAGGGAGGAGGGCCCCTAGAACAGGACAAAGGCGAGCCTTCTCCCCACCCCCGCCCCCCACCTCTGGGTCCAGGCTCGCTCACTGACTCCCGGGGGCTGTCCCTCTGTCAATCTTTCCTTGCCCCTCCTCCTCCGTCGTCTCCCACACACAGCTCGGGTCAGCCAAGCTGGGGAGCTGTGGATGATGACACAGGGCTGGCCTCGGGGATCTTTCCGCCCTCATGCTCCAGGGGCCCCTGCAGGGGAGACAGAGGGCAGGATGGCCAGCTGAAGGCCTCCGTGGTCACAAGCTCTGAGGCCTTGCAGGCACTCAGCTGGGGATACCAGGGACATCGCAGGACAAGTCTGCACCGAGACCAGGGTTGGCGTGGGCAGGCCATGGTGGGCGCCCAGGCAGGGGAAGGGGTACAAGGCCCTCTGCCTCCCCTCTCCTGCCCCAAGATGCTGCCTGCTGTCTGACACATCAGGCTGGGGTGGCAGTGGTGAAAGGGGTACAATGGGAGTCTTAAACCCCCAGGGGCAGAGGGAGCCAGTCTGAGGACAGTCCCGCAGATCCCATAGTCACCTAGTTCCCCAGCACACAACCCCTCCTCCAAGCCCATCTCTCAAATGCGAGCTGTCCCTGCAACCAGACACACAGGACCCCTCTCCCGGCTGCTGCTCACACCTCCCCATCCCCACTCCGACAGTGGAGCCACCTAAGCCTGCTCCCCACCTCTGGGTGGAGAGTCTCGGTGGCCTCCAACAATCTAGGTGCCATGCAGGAGGCCACAGCAGCCCTGACGAGAGAGCAGAGGGAGGAAAAGAGGTTCTAAGCCCACCACTCACCTCCACATTTCATGTGGCCCTCTCACCTCCTTATTTTCAAAGTATAAACCTCAAAGAAAGTGGAAAGGATACTACAGGGACTATCATCTACCCTTCACCCAGATTCACCAATCAACTGTTACCACTTGGCCACACTCATTTGCTTTTTTCTTTTTTTTTTTTTCTTTTTTTTTGCTTTTCTCTTTTCTTGCTATGTCGTCCAAGCTAGAGTACATGGCGCAATCATGGCTCACAGTAGCCTAGACTTTCTGAGCTTAAACGATCCGCCCACCTCAGCGTCCCGAGTAGCTGGGACTACAGGCCACTGCACCTAGCTAGTATTTTTACTTTTTGTAGAGACAGGGCCTCGCTATGTTGCCCAGTTTTGTCTGGAACTCCTAGCCTCAAGTGATCCTCCCACCTCAGCACCCTCAAGGTGCTGGGATTGCAGGTACAAGCCACCGTGCCCAGTCACTTTTCTCTATATATAAACCGTTCCTGCATTTGTATGTTTGCCCAGCCAACAGAAGGTAAGCAGCAGAAGGGTCACTGGGATGACCTTCGCTCCACAATACTTCACCCCTAAATACTCCAACAGATTTCCTAAGAACAAGAACATGCTCCAAAATGCCCATGATACCATAAGCACCCCCAATACATCCAAAATGTATTTTAAAATACCATCTACCACACGGTCCGCATTCAAATATCCTTGGGTGCCCCCCAAATGCCCTTTATGTCTGGGTCTAGGATCCAACTGTGGTTCACATATTGCTTCTGATTGTCGGGTCTCTTGTTCCTTTAGTCCAGAATATTCCCCGTATGCCTATTTATCAATGTTATCCATTTTTTTTCTTTCGTGATACTGGTATCTTTTTAAGAGTGCAAACCAATCACTTGGAGAATGCCCCACACTCTGGATCCATCTGATTGTTTCCTTGTGAGGAAGTTCAGGTTAAAGGCTGCTTTGGCAAGAGTCCTGCAGAGGGAGGCTGAGCCTTCCCACCGCACCACAGCTGTGTTAGGCTTGACCGCCGGGTCTGAGTCGTGTTTGCCAGATCTCTTGGAAAGGAAGGTCACTTTTCTCTTAGTCATCTGCAGGACAATCACGGTCACTGTGGCAAGGCAAAAAGTTGTTGAAATTTTTGCACAGTGCCTTTACTATCCATCATTCTTTGCTATTCAGTGTGAGGTCTGTGGGCAGCTGCATGACAGTCTTCCAAGAGCCTGGAGGAGAAAAAAAACTGCAGACCTGCTGAACCAGAGTGTTCCCTTTAACAAGTCCCCCTGGCGCACCGTATGCGCAGTGAAGTCTGAGAAGCACTGCAATAGCATCTTGGCTGGAACCCGCTGTTACCCAATCTCCTCCACGTGACCCGGCATTCCACAAACACGAGCCTCCCCTGGTCTTGCCTTTGCGAGGAGGGTGGTGAGGATATCGTGAGTCCTTCGTTTTGCGTTCGTGATTCATTTTGATGCTCAAACATCCCAAGTGCGACCAGTGGGAGGTTTCGGACACGTCCTCATTCATCTCCAGGCGCTTCCTTACTTTCTGGCACTAGCAGATTCTCCAGGCTCAGCCTGCACTGTCCCTGCCCCAGCCCTGGCATCAGCCATTTCTCCAAGGAACCCTGATTTCCTTCGGTGGAGAGGCATGCTCATTGCTCTTAGGCATTTCAGCGTTCCCTCATGCTCAGAGCCGCAGATTATTACCCCTGCTTTAGAGATAAGAAAGGAAAGGCTGCGGCACTGAAGGATTTGGCTCTGCAGCGAAGAAGCGACCGAGCTCAGATTCTGTGGCTTTGTGGTGGTGGTGAACAAGCATCATCACTCAGGTCTGTCTGCTTCAAGAAGTGAGAAAGGAGACAGACCCATGGCCTAGCAGCTGCCCTCTGAGCCCATTGCAGTGTTCCTTAGGAGGCCACACTGACTGTGGGCTGTGGCACCTGCCCCAGGCTGGTGACTGCACAAGGGGCAGCTTCCTGGTCTCATCCAGCCCAGGGAAACTCTCTTCCTCCTCAGAACCCAGTGAAGTCACACGTACAGAGGCGTCTTCAGAGCAGCAGTGCTTAACCCAGAAGCTAGCAGTCTCCTGGTGACGATTGAGGCCTTGTTCTCCCTCCATCCCCCGCCCCGCCCCACCCCAGAGCTGCTGCTTCACCCTCAGGTTGGGAGGGGAGGGCACCCAGACCTGCAGCCAAGGACAGAGGGGCTAGAATGAGGGTCCCAGACTCCTTGGGAAAGCTACGGGCAGCTGGGCCCCTTGCAGCAGCCCCAGCTGTGGCTGCAAAGGGGAGAAGTGGCCCAGGTTCCTGCTGGAGAGCAGAGCCCAGGGGCACCGGGAAGTGAGTCCCAGGAAGCAAGCCCAGAACACACAGCACACTTCTTAGCGGCTAGCCACCCTTCAGGCTATGCCTTCCAACTTCTCAAAGGCACAATGACTTTAAAGATAAGTGCATTCCATCTGGAGGCAAGAACGCTCCCCAGCCCTCAGGGCCCCACACAGCAGCACAAGCTCGGCCATGTACATGCAGCAAGCACCTCCAGTGTGAGATGACGCCCACACACGCTCACACACACCCTCCCTGGCAGAGCCACCTGTTCATGGCCCTCCTGGGCACAGTAGGAAAGTGGAGGAACCACGAAGAAGCCACAGAGACAAGCAAGAGGCAGAGGGAGGCCCGGGGAGAGCCCATAATGAGGAAGGAGCCCGAAAGAAAACCAGAGATGGGGAAACCAAGAGCGAGCCCAGGGTGGCCAGACGCACCCCCAGCAGGAAGGGCCCAGCACCTCTGGGGGAATGGGGTCCTCCCCCTCAGCTCACACCCTCAGGGCTGCTCCGAAAGGGGGAGCTGAGCCAGGCCTCAGCCCCCTTCCCTAGCTCCTCTGTGCCCCCATACCTGGGGCCCCCATGTCCCCTGGGCTGGATATGAGGTGGTGGCAGGAGGGGCTGGCTCTAGGGACAGGCATCTGTCAACCTGCCCTCCCTCGAGGGAGATGCTGCCAGCTCAGCTCTCACTTCAGAGGGGACTCCCTCCCCATCAAATTCCTTCCCTATGGAGCCCAGTTGAGGCCCCCACATGTGCCCCTCTAGGTAAGCTCCACAAAGCTCACAGTGCAAAGCATGACCACCAGGGAATCTCTCCTCCAAGGACTCACCTTGGGGGACACATCACCCTTGAACCCCCTCCCGTTGGGTTCATATCCCTAGGCCACCCTGAGGTGATGACCGTTGGTCCTATTTTACAGATGAAGAAATCGAGGGTCAGGGCGGTCACTCAGCTAATGAGCTCTAGAGCCAGGATGCCACACCTGATCAGTTCCAAAGCCCAGACTCAACTTTTGACTCCCAAACTGGGGCACACAGACACTGGGGGGAGCGGGCGTGTGTCTGGAGCTTGCTGAAGAAGATTCACACTCCATCTTGCTTTGATCCAAAGATCGAACTGGTAAAGAAAACACTTTTGTGACATAACCAACATAGACAGCTTGTGGATTAGAACGCAAAGCTGACAAAGATTTTCACGATGAAATACAAAACCGGGAAGACATTCCTCCCAGGAAGGCCTGGCCTCGCCCCCACATGGTAATCCATCTTTTTTTCTTTTTTTTTTTTTTAAGACAGAATCTCGCTCTGTTGCCCAGGCTGGAGTGCAGTGGTGCAATCTCGGCTCACCGCAACCTCTGCCTCCCCGGTTCAAGCAATTCCCCTGCCTCAGCCTCCAGAGTCGCTGGGACTACAGGCGCACGTCACCACGCCTGGCTAATTTTTGAATTTTTAGTAGAGATGGGGTTTCACCATGCTGGCCAGGCTGGTTTCGAACCCCTGACCTCGTGATCCACCCGCCTCGACCTCCCAAAGTGCTAGGATTATAGGCATGAGCCACCGCGTCCAGACAGTGATCCGTCTTTTTAACAAGTCCATGACCCCCAGGAAGCGCCTGGCCTCACCCCCACATGGCGATCCACCTTTTTGACAAGCCCCCATGCTCCGTCCCCTGACACCAGTCCACAAAGACTCATCACACTTTTCCGTGGTCCCCTGCTCAGAAAGGCTGACTGAGGAAGCTGCCTGGCCTCTCTTGGGAGGCCGTCACTCTAAAATGATGATCTCCTTCCTCTTTTTGGTGATTTTCCCTTTCCTTTGTGAAATACTGGTGAGAGCAAAAAGTGGTGTTGGGTTTTCTCTTTTACATCCTTAACTGACAATAAAAACTTGACCAACTACGTCAGCCCCACCACAATGCTTTGATGGTCAAAAACGAAAACACAGAGAGCCCTCCCAGCCCGGCCGGCCCCTGGAGGTCCTGTCTGCATCAGAGCTGGCAGCCCAGCCCCGCCCCTGAGAAAGAAGGGGGAGGGGAAGGAAGTTGCAGGGTCTCCTCCTCCACACTCATCTCTGCAGCTGGAAGGGAAGGCTCCCGCCCCAGAGAACGAGTGTCCAGTTGACTCCAGGCCAGGAAGGCCCCCTCCCCGTCCTCTCTCTCATCCCTCCCAGGGTGCCTGAAATTCCAGCCGGTTCTGTAGATAAGCCTATGGCCTGCAGCCAGGGTGGTGCCACGTGGACCCCAGAGGAAGCCAGGGTGGGCTGCGGTGGCCTGGGGAGCCCCGAGCAGAGCACACAGCGTGAGTGGAGGCAGCAGGGGCCAGAGTCAGGCTGGGAGGGGGCTGGGGTGAGCACTCTCACAGTGGCCGGCGGGGCTGGACCAGCCAAGGGCAGTGCAGGACGGACGGCAGAGCAGGAACCGCTCATCCAAAGACCACATGTGCTCCAAATCCTGGCAGGGGAGGGAGGCGTTTCACAGTGAGGAAACCGAGAGTCCCATGTCAGTAAGCAATGAGCTAGAATCCGCACACGGCCCACCGCTACCAAGCCCTTGGATTTTATCAGCCACCCCACCACCTTCCAACCAGGAGGGCTGGAGGACCCCCTGGATCATGACTGGCTCCCCTCCCCTCGGGACCATCCCCCAAGCTGAGTCTATTCTTAGCCATCAGCAGAACCAGGTGTCCACCAGCAAACAGAGGAGTTTCTAGAAGGGCTACGCCCACCCAGACCATCATCAAGCGCCCAGCCAGCTGCCCAGGCCTCACCCTCCAGCTTCTTCCCCACCCAGCCAGCACTTAGTGGAAGAAAGGAACCTTCCACCAGACCCACCACTGTGAAGAGTCCCCACCCCGGCTCTGGGACGTGGCCTCTCGGCTGTAGGGCCTGGTGGCTGTGGTGGTCACACTGTGGGTGAGCTGGCCAGACGCAGGAGGGATCTTCTCATAACTCAGTTCCTTGAGAGGGGTGCCAAGAGCAGGACAGGCACAGAATCAGAGCCTCCCCTGCCAACGCCCACCCAAAAACGAAGGTGGCTTCCTCTTCTGCACTATCACCTCACAACAGGCATTTGAAGACTCAGCAACGTGCCCTGGTGGCAGTGTGCCTGGCCATGCTCTATGGGAAGCCAAGCAAGGTCTCTGCCCTGGAGGAGCCAGCACTCTAGGAGGGAGGCAATGTTGAAAGGTGCTGTGAGCCTCCGAACAAAAATGCAGCAGGGGGACGGGTGCGGTGGCTCACACCTGTAATCCCAGCACTTTGGGAGGCTGAGGGGGGCAAATCACCTAAGGTCAGGAGTTCCAGACCAGCCTGGGCAACATAGTGAGATCCTACCCCTACCAAAAATAGTTTTTAATTAGCTGAGTGTGATGGTGTGCACCTATAGTCCTAGCTACTGGGGAGGCTAGGGCAGGAGGATGCCTTGAGTTCAGGAGTTCAAAAAATGCAGTGATCCAGGACCGCACCACTGCACTCCAGCCAGGGCGACAGAGCAAGACCGTATCTCTTAAAAAAAAAAAAAAAGAGAGACACTGAAGGGCTGGGGGTGAGGGGAGAGGGCGGCTGCTCTTAGGAAGGAACTCAGGGAAGTGACAGCTGAGCAGAGACCTGATGAAGGAGCAAGACACCAGGCCAGGAAGGAAGAAGAAGGTAGAACTCACTGGACAGAGAACTCAGTGAGTGCAAAGGCCCTGAGGTGGACGGGAGGGATGCCACAGGACAGCAAGACCGGCGTGGCTGAGAGTGGCAGGGGGCAGGGAGGACCAGGAGGCCCTGAAACACCAGGTGCCAGGCTTCATGCTGAGCCCTTGGGCATGATTCCATAGCCTCATGGTGGACCCCTCCATAACCTCATGAAGGAAATACTATTATATTCTCACTTTGCAGGTGAGGAAACTGAGGCACTGCCTTAACAACTCCCCAGGGTCACGCAGCCAGGCCCAGGATCCCAACCCCAGGCCTGGGTCCATCGGTGAGGAGCTTTAACCACTGCACATGCGGCCTCGGCCCCCAGGACCACAGAGGCCCCTGGAAGACTCTGGCCCTTAAAACCCAGCATGGAACGTGGAACCCTGGAAAGCTCTGAGCCAAGACTTGATTTTGCAGCCTGCAAAGCTCCCAGGCTGGCGCGTGTACACACTTCAGGAGCGCAGTGGGGCAGGGTGCCTGTTCAGAAGCTGACTGCACTGACCCAGGTGGGAGGCAAGGGGACTCTGTGATCTGAGCTACTAGAGGGAAGGGGTGGTCATCACCTGAGATGGGGACACGTGTTGGGGTAACAGCTGGGGGTCACAGTGAGTTTGCAGTGCCCAGAGATGTCCAGGAGGAAGGTGCAGACACAATGGCCAGGAACCCTGGGGTGGACTGGACACACCCCACCGTCAGGTTTCTATCACACCCCGGCCCCACCCACCTGCCCCTCAGTCCCTCCCACTGCCCACTCTGGATGACCAGCTCAGGGCATCTAGTCTGGGCAGCTGGCCAGGAACCCCTTCTGGTAGGAGACACTGCTGGGGCAGAAGGTGCTGGGAGCAGGCCCAGGCTGTGCAGCCCTGGGCAAGTAAGCTCACCTCCCTGACCTGCTGGGTCTCATCACTTAGAGCCAAGAACTCCCTCAAGGGTGTTTAAAGGTGAAGTATGATCATGTAGGTAAGAGGGCCCAGCAGAGCCGCTAGCACTGGATTCCCCCCTGCTCCCCCCACCCAGGGCTGAAAGTTCCTGCAGTCTTCCCACCCTAGTCCCCAACGCCCTACTCCCCCAACCCCCAGCTCACATAAGCCTTCCCCGCACCTGCCGCCCAGTGCACCTGCTCCTGCGGCTCACAGTCCACTGCAGCATGGCCAGTTCCTTGGAACAGCATATACCAACCACCCCCCTTCCTCTCTCCAATCAAGCTCCCCTCTGCAGCCTCCTTGCCTGCAGCTCTGCAAGGACCCTGCAAGCCACCCCATTACGCTGGGCCCCTTTGGGAAAAGGGTAAACCGACAAGAGGCCCCATGGAAATCAACCAAACAGCTGAAGACAGTGGCCATCGCAGCAAGGCCAGCCTGGTGCAACCCGCTGTGGCCACATGAGGAGCCCTGATGGGCCTTGCTACTACTCCACATCCCAGTGCCACCCCCGCAGGCAGGCAGCAAGGGCATGGCCGCGGGGCATCAGTGACACAGGGCGACCCTCCACCACTTCAGTTGTGCTGGGTGGGGCTCGCTGAGGACAGCCTGTCTCCACAGGCACGCACCCCACCCTTGGCCCCAGCCCTCCGCCCATCTGTCCCTCCACACAAGTGCGGGTGCTATTCTCAGCCCAGCTCCAGGACACTGGCCATAAACACACGGTGGAATCTGCTTCTCCAGCCCACCCGCCTCCCACCCTCATCACCTGCTTCCTGAGCTCAGTGGGGGAACAGCCTGTGCTGGGAGGAGCAGAGCACCAGCCCAGCCCCAGCCAGGGCACAGCTGTGGGTGGGGGGCGGTGGCAGCTCCCCAGCAGCCAGGGCAGGGGAGGGGGAAGGTCTGGCCAGCACCCACCTGCCTTGGGGCCAAGTGAAGGTCTGAGCTGGGTGGGAAGGCAACAGCCACGGGTCGCCACACACTCCCACAGTCTTCATTAGGAAACTTTGCCTCCCTAGCAATGCCAGGCTATGCTGGCCCTTCACATCACCTCCTCCAGGCAGCCTTCCCCGACTCCACTCCAGGCACAGGAGCTGACTTGTTCTTCTGGATGCCTTCAGGTTCTTACACGTCTGTTCCTGTCTGAGAAGCTCAACCTATACATGCAACCAGGCTATTCATTCCTTAATCAAAGTCCTCGGTTTCTATATCCATGACACTGGAACTAGTAAATGGTGCCTACGGGAGGTATGTGTTTATCTCAAACACATCATTGGTATTACTTCAAACAGTATTGTTGTCATTTCTGCTATTCAAAGGAGTGAATGCCCAGAGTCAGCTTTAGATAGCGCCCACCCAGAAGTGCCCACTGAGGCACCAACAGGCACCCCACGCAGCACAGTACTGAGGAGGCTGCCCTCACCCCAGCCCCGGGGCATTCTCAGGCCTTCCTCTACCCAGTGCTGTTCTAGGGGCTTCCCTGCCTCACCCTGGCCTGTCCAGCATGCCCTGCCCCTCCACACAAGTGTGAGTGCTGTTCTCAGCCACAGGGGCTCCCCATCTTTGCCGATGCAGAAACAAAAGCCAAGGCTGGCAGGTTCTGAGTCCCAGAGAAGAGGAGAATGGACCTACTTCGAGTCCAAGGCTGATTCCACTGTATTTGGCCCCAGAAGTAGGAAATCAAGGCTGGAGGAAAGTTGGGAAGGAACCAGAAGGGGACGAGGTGTTTGATCAACAGGTATTCAGATCAAGAATAAGGGTTGGCTGACCGGGCGTGGTGGTTCATGCCTATAATCCCAGCACTTTGGGAGGCCAAGGTGGGAGGATTGCTTGAGGCCAGGAGTTCAAGACCAGCCTGGGCAATGTAAGGAGACCCCATTTCTACAAAAAAAAAATTTTTTTTTTAATTAGCCAGGTGTGGTGGCATACACCTGTGGTCCCAGATACCCGGGAGGCTGAAGCAGGAGAATCGCTTGAGCCCAGGAGTTGGAGGCTGCAGCAAGCTATGATTGTGCCATTACACTCAGCCTGGGTAACAGAGCAAGACCCTGTCTCAGAAAAACAACAAAAGAATAGGGGCTGGTGGGTGGGGGGAATGGAACGGAGAGCCAGAGGGGACAAGAACATGCGGAGGGAGTCACGTGGCTACCCCTGCCCTACCCCATGGCCCCTACCTTTGGCCCTGCCCCTAGCCTTGCCCCTTCCCCAGGCTCTTGGCCCAGCTCTCCGCCTGGCCCCTACCCCACATACCACCCTCCACCACACCCCTACACCCACCTCTACCCCCTGTCCCTGCCCCTGCCCCAGGCCCTGGCAGGTGGAATGAATGTTCAGGGGAGCAGAGGGGCTCCGGGCTTCCTCCCCCTAACCCTGCCCGTCCTGTGCTGTGTGGTAAGGAGGAGTGGAATGACATAAATGTGAAGGGCTAGAGGGACATGGATGTGGGGGACAAATGCACTGCCCCTCCCCACCCGATTAAGGATGTCAGCACACAGTGGGACAGAAGTGGACATAGCCCAGCCCCACCCTAATGGGCTGTGTGACTTCAGCAGGTGCCATCCCTCCCTGGGCATAATCCAGGTCCCACTAACCTTAGAGGGAGGTAACAGGAGCAACAGGGCCCACAGAGGCTGACCGCTGCTCAGCTGGCTGCCCCGTGTGGGAGGCAGTGCTGCTGACTAAAGGCCCCAAACACCTGCCCGCAGTCCCTAGCACCACCAGGCTCAGCCCTGAGGCCAGCCACCAGCTCAGGGGCATGCTGCAGGGGGCAGCAAGGGCCTCCCACTGACCCGCAGCCCCGGGCAAGTCACCAGCCTTCCAGAGGATCCACCCTGCAGTCCCAGTCATCATCTAGAAAGGTCCCCAGAGTGTGCCCAGGTTCCTTCACTAACACATCCAGTCCTCCTCCAAAGCTCCCGGGGAAGGGCCAACACAGTGCAGTGCACTTGGGAAGGGGAGGCAGGGACCCCATGAAGGAGAGAGGACAGAGGTCCCAGAAGCCACAGCCCACGCCTGCACCCCCTGTGCCCGAAAGGAAGAGGAGCTCCTCCTGCACTGTCCCCTCCTCCCCAAGGGCTCTCTCCATCAAGAGCAGCACAGTTCAACAGTAAGGGGCTGAGCAGACAGACAGAGGGGCCAATCCCTCTAAAAAAAAAAAAAAATCCCAGGAGGGAGCCAAAGGAGTGGGGCACAGCCTGGGGGCCCCCCCACAGATGCCAGGTCAGCCCCCAGCCACCCCCACGCTAGGGCTGTCCACAGAGAGAGGGGTCAGGGAGGGAGGGCGGAAGGGGAAGTGGGGGCTTACAGTATCACCTGGAGCCTGGCCCCCACAAGGCCCTGTCGGGGCTCAGAACACAGCACCCCAAAGTGTGGTGCTGTGGCTCACTGCAGACTCTGAACAAAGGGCATGTGAAAGGCCTCAGAGGTAAGCTCTCTGTGACCTTCTCCTGCCCTTCTGTCTCTCTCCCCTCTTTTTCCCTGCCCAGGTGAGTCATCAAAACTGGAATTTTTCTTTCCCAAGGTGAAGCATAAAGACCAAAACCCCTTTTCCCCAAAGCCAGCCATGAAACCCAGATAGTTCACTCTCTCCCACTCCCTTCACCCCTGAAGACCCTCATTCCACAGGGGTCCTGCGCTGTATGTGGGAGGAAGCCACACAACACAGAGAGGCCGGAAAGAAGCCGAGCCGACAAGCCTTGCTGGGTTCCCCCTCGGACTATCACCATTAGGTCACACCCGTTGTCCCATCATATGTCTACACGGCTGTCCATTCCTCACCAACTTATGTCTGAAAACAGACAGTTCTCTCTGGTCCTTGCATCTTCATCGTTGAAGGCTCCCGTGTCATGTAAAACATTGATTAAAGAAATGTGATGCTTTGCTCTTGGAAACCTGTCTTTCGTTAGAGCGGTGTCAGCTGTGGCCCTTATGATGGGTGAGAACGATACCACACGTTTCCGCCCCTGCCGCTCTCTCTGGACAATCCCCTCCCCTTCCTTCCTTCCCAAGGCCTCAAGCCCTACCATCTGGATCCTGAGCTAGGCCTGGACTCCCTGGACTCCTCCAGTGCTGGGGGCCCCAGGCCTAAACTCAGACAGGACGGCCCTAGAGGATACACACGGAGGGCATGGGTGCAGCTAGACACCCCCCACTGGCCTAAGGCCCTGCTCCCTGCCCTGGAGCAGGGCTGGTCCACGAGCCGGCACCCCGACCTTCAGGGTCCTCGTGTGTGAAATGGAGACACCTGTTCTCCCGTTTAATCCTCATGACAACCCTCCCACACAGGATACTATCCCACCTCACAAAAGGGGACACTGAAACTTGGAGGGGGAGTAACTTGTCCAAGGTCAAAGCACTGAGGAAGAGCAGAGCTAGGATTTGAACCTGGGGCTCTGAGACTTGAAAATCATATTCTTTCCACCTTGCTGCATTGTGTAAGGTGCTTTGCAAAGCCTTATACAAAGGCTTTTATCCTCCGAAGCCTCACATGCCAATTCACTTGGCACTGTGTGCCTACTATGTGCCAGAAGCCAGGAACACAGGCACGATGGGTCTAGCCTCCCCCTTCAGGATTGAGACCAGCAAACAGGGTTTGCTGTTAGCCCGTTTTATGGAAGTCAAAAGGAGATGAGGAGGGAGAGCAGGAGCAGGAACCTGGGGGGGTCCCGCTGCCTGCTAGCCAGGAGGCCAGTGCAACCTGGGAGCTCCGGTCCCTCTGTCTCTCCCCGCATGGCTCAGGCACACAGTCTAAGCACTGGAGTGGCGCGGAGCCGACTGCAGACTATGGGGAAGGCCTCCCTAGTCTCTCGCAGTGCAGCAGGCAGGGTGACCCGCAAGTGCAGTGGCACAAAGCCGGACGCTGGCATCAGGTTCTGTCCTTGCTGTGATCAGGGCTCCCACAGTGCTGACTCAGCTCCCCCCGCCCAGCCCTGCAGCCCACACCCATTCCTCAGGGAGGCTTCTGAAGTTGGCCCCAGGCCAGAACAGCCCAGGATCAACAGACCCTGCCCACCAGCCCCCGGGTGGTGCTGCCCCGAATGCCCTCAGGAAAGGACCCCCTCAATTGGGGAGGTTGACCCCCTCAACCATGGGGCCTCCTCCAGGCCCATGGTTCACCAGACCAGGAGAACAGGGTGGGCGGGTCAACTCGGGGAAGGCGGTGACATTCCAGCTCAGCCAGGCTGCCTTCCAGGACAGGCTGCTTCACTGAGTCCTTGCAGGGAGAGGGGACACAAATAAATAAACTCCTGGCTTGGTTTATATTTCAGAAAAAGAACAAGATTTGGGTCCTGTCCCAGGTTCAGCAAATGCATCCAATTAATTGTGGATTCTGTTTCTCAGTTTAGAACAAGAGTCAGCTCATTCCTCGTCCTGGAGTCCCCTCCCAAGCCACTAACATCCCCCAGGATCCCTGCAACTCTTTCTTTGTGGGAGGTGGGAGGTATGCTTCTCAGGAGCACAGTCAGGCCAGCTTCATTCAAATCTGATCCTCCTAGGTCCCTGGATTCCTGTCGGTACCCAGGTCCCCTGCACCATGCCTCCCTGGCGGGGTCACTGGTGGATCCCGGAGTATGGAAATCCCAAGGTGAAGGGCCTGGCTCTGTGGGTTCACCTTCCCTTTGGTGTGCCAGCCTCCTGGAGCCACCCAGGGGCCCCACTCCCACCCCCAAACATATGCCAGGTGTTCCCCAACAAAGGCAGCCCCCACACTGATTTTCATTTGAAGACAATGAAGACATCTGCACCTTAACAGTCCCTTCCAAGCTCTTCTTACCACCTCCTTCCCACTCCCTGGACTCAGGGATGGGGGTGGCAGCACCTGGGAAAGGCCAACTTGGGGCCAAGTCTGAGGCCCAAGAGGAAGGGAATCCCAGAGTTTCTCCAGCCTCTGTTCTCATCTGCCAGATGGGGCCATGGTTTGGTCCCACCTACCTCACAGGGCACAGAGAGAAACAAATGGAAAGCGGCGGGTGTGATGGTTCTTAGTAAATTACATAATGCAACAGAGGTGCAATGGCTCTGCCCCCCTGAACCTTCCAGACCCAGCCGGACCCAGCAGGAACTCAGCTGCTGCCATTCTCACTTACAGGAGTCGGGAGTTCACCTTGTTTTGCTGAGAGAGGAGTCTCCCACTTCCCGGTCCCCAGGTGGGTACACTGAGGCTTGGTGGCCCACCTGGAGCCTGTGGTCTTCCGCTACATAGCAGGTTCCTCCAGTGAGCAAGTGAGTGAATGAATAAATGATGCCAGACCCTCACCTCCACCCCCAGCCCTGTGCCCCTCATCTGGCCCCCTCCAGCCTCGGCCCCACCTGCAATCTTTCGCCCTCTCCTCCCCATTCTATCAGGGTCTAAGTCAAAGGAGAGCTGACTTCTGTCCTGGGAAGGTGAGACCATCAGCTCCCAATTTAGCTTTTTCAGCCTCTACAGGTGGTGGGGAGAGAATGGCAGGGAAGCTCACTGAAGTTCACTTTCAAGAAACCTGTCATAAGCACAGACAACAAACTCAAAACACGAAAGCCAGAATGACGCCCGTGGGCTGTCATGAGATGCTCCCTGGGAAAGAGCGTTTGCATCACCCACCAGGGAGGGCAGAGCTGCGTGCTTCCCTCACACATCCTCCCAGACCCTCCAACAAGCCATAGGCAAGTGACTTGCCCAGCGCCACACAGCGGGGGAGCAGCCCCAAGGGGATGAATTCCTTCCTCCCTATGTCCTAACTTTCCTCTTCCCCTTTCTCTCATTCGGTGTCTCCCCTCCCTTTGCCCATCTGCCTGTGGTCCCAGGGTCCAGCTCCGAGCTCCATCCACCCCATCACCTGCATCTGGCCCCTGACACATAATTAGACAGCTCATACCACTTCAGGCCAGAGAAAAAAGGGGAGCTGCCATGGGCCAAATGGATAGGAGGCCAAAGACCCTCAAGGGGTCTTTCCCACCCAGGCCTCTCTGTGCCAGAAGGGCCCCTGCTTGCCCTGGACTCAGGCATCTTGGCCTCAGCCCCAGAGAGATGGTGAGCTGAGCAAAGGTCCAAAGAAAGTAGCAGCAGCTGTTGGAAAAAAGGGCTGGGCTGGCAAAGGCTCTCCTGGCACCCACTCCTGCCAGCCCTGTGGTTCCAACAAAGCTTCTCCAGCCACAGGCCTGGTGGAAACCCCTCGCTGCCAGACACTGCCCCCATCTCCATCCACACAACAGAGACTGAGGCATTATTCACGTTACCGTGCCCACTCCCCACTCGGGGGTCTGTCCTGGAGCCAGGGGTCCCCACAGCTGGCAGGACCACTCCTCTGAGGCCCCTCCCTAGCTCTGACCCAGCTCTGCAACAAAAGGACCCCTATGGCCATCCCAGTCAACGGCCTGGCCACACAGGGCCGTGCATACAGGGGCGCCCTAAAAAGGGTGAGCGGATCCACTGATAGACCTCCCAGCCGCCAGCTCTCCAGGCCCAGCAGCGTCAGCCCTCCAGGCCCAGCAGTGTCATCCCTCCAGGCCCAGGAGCGTCACCCCTCCAGGCCCAGCAGCGTCACTCCTCCAGGCCCAGCAGCGTCAGCCCTCCAGGCCCAGCAGCGTCACCCCTCCAGGCCCAGCAGCGTCAGCCCTCCTGGTGTCACCCTGGGCTGTGCAGCAGGTGGAGAAGCAGGCATGCATGGGACAGGGCAGGTACAGGATGTTTTCCACCTGCCCTTCCAGCGACAGGTGTCACCTGGCCCCTGTGTCCCCAGCCCTAACAGGGGTGGACTCCAGGCCCAAGCCCTGCCCCAGACCCTGGGCATGGCTGGATTCTAATCTGGCCCAGGCCACTCCTTCTGGAGACTCCAGGCTCATCCCCTCACCCGCAACCCAGGACAATTAAGATACAGTCCTTGGCTGAGGCCAGACCAGGAGACAGAAGAAAGGTTCAGGCAACACGTGGGGAGGGAAGCTGAAGAGCCCAGGGCAGGGCCCGCCTCACCCAAGGGCCCTGGGCTACAGCCCAGGCCCAGCCTCTGCCCATCTCCTCAAACTCAGGCCCTGAATGGGCCCTGACAAGCACTGTTCCCGCTGCCATCCAAGCATCTCTCCCCACACTACCACCTGCCTCCTTTGCCCTCTGAACTTGGCTCAGGTTCTGAGGAGGCTTCCCTGACTGCTGGGGCCTGAGGGAAAGCCCCTCAGGCTCCAGTGCCCTCCCCAACCCACAGTCCTGGGATGAGTGCTGTGTGCAAGGCTGGGAGCTCCTGAGAGCAGGCACCCACAGTGGGCAGGTCACAGATGACAGAATGACTTAGGGTGTAAATGCGAAGCCATCGCTGCCTCTACCCAGGTGATCTGCAGGCTCCTCGGGGGACTTCATTCAGAGTAAGAAGTTGACCCACAAAACAAGGACCATATTTCAGGAGCCAGCGGGGATGCCCCAGGGGCTCTGAGGATGGGGAGGCCTGCAGGGAACGGAAGGCCTGAGCTCCACAGACCCTGGTAGTGATAAATCCTTCCCCCGCCCCCAACCCAGTCCTGTGGCGGCTGCTGCAGCCACCCACTCACTCCCCGTAACAATCCGGGCTCAGCCACCAGACACTGCGGCCTTCACACAGCAGAGGGGAGATGTCTGCAGACTGGAGGCAGCAGTGGGGGCTGGGCATAGTATGGAGTCATGAATGCCCACTCCCAGGGGCACCACAGGACAGTCCTCAGTGCCCCAAGGCCACTGTGGCCCCAGGCTCCAAGGCCCAACCACCCCACCCCCACGCCCCATGCTGTTGCTGTGACCCCAATCCCACCCCACCTGCTGTCGCACTTGGGATCTAGGTCACAACGGGGGCCGAAGGTGCAGGCCCGGGAAGCAGAGGGAAGAGGCTTTGCAAAAAGCCAGCAAAATGTGTCCAAGGGCAGCAGCTCTCACAGTGATGTCTGGGTCCAGCAAATCACACTGAACCCCCAGCCAGCACTGCCCAGTACTGCTGTCACCTGAAAGCTTTCTCTTATAGGACAGGCCCCTGCAGAGGACCGAGGCCAAGCCCTATTTGGCATCTGGCCTAAAATCAGGCAGGACTCCTCGGCTGGGCCTGGGCCAATCACAAGAACCCCATTTGTGGGCACCAAGCATTACAGCCACCAGCTCAGGTTAGGCCCCACCACAGCCCTGAGCAGCTGACCACGGCTGCTTTATCACGGGGGAGTGTGATGAGGAGCGATCCTGGGTCCCTCCAGGGTGGCCGGGGCAGGGTGGGATCTGCACCCACTAGCCTAGCCCCAACCTAAATCCTGCAGACACAGCATCCCTCCCGCTCCCACCCTGCACCCTCAAACCCAGGGAGCCTCCAGGGCCTCTGCCAGCCATCAGTGCTGTCTCCCCACTGCCTAAAGAATCCATGCAGCCACATGTGCAACAAGTATGCACCTACTGTGAGCCAAGCTGAGGGGATGAGATGCCTTGGTGACCACAGGGACCAGAGACACATGGGCCTGCCTGGGTCAGGAAGCAAAGCAAAGTGCCCAGAGTATGGGATTCCCCCCAGGAAGTCTTCCCAGGGTGCATGTGTGTGTGTGTGTGTGTGTGGTAGCGGGGGCAGTGTCGGCAGCATGGTTCTTTCCCCCCCAGGAACATTAAAAAACAACTAGTATGACCATCATCTCATTAAAGAAATACTGTAGCAGTAACAGAAACAAAATTAGAGGGACGTAAACTTTATTTTTATTTACTTATTTATTTATTTGTTGAGACAGAGTCTCACTCTGTCACCAGGCTGGAGTGCAGTGACACGATCTGGGCTCACTGCAACCGCCGCCTCCCGGGTTCAAGCGATTCTCCTGCCTCAGCCTCCCAAGTAGCTGGGATTACAGGCGCATGCCACTACACCCAGCTAATTTTTGTATTTTTAGTAGAGACGGGGGTTCACCATGTTGGCCAGGATGGTCTCGATCTCTTGACCTCGTGATCCGCCCGCCTCGGCCTCCCAAAGTGCTGGGGTTACAGGCGTGAGCCACTGCGCCTGGCCTTTTTTTTTTGAGACGGAGTCTCGCTCTGTCGCCCAGGCCGGAGTGCAGTGGTGTGATCTCAGCTCACTGCAACCTCCGCCTTGCAGGTTCAAGCGATTCTACTGCCTCAGCCTCCCGAGTAGCTGGGATTACAAGCGCCGCCACCACGCCAGGCTAATTTTTGTATTTTTAGTAGAGACGGGGTTTCACCATGTTGGCCAGCTGTGGTCTAGAACTGCTGACTTCAGGGGATCCACCCGTCTCGGCCTCCCAAAGTGCTGGGGATTACAGGCATGAGCCACCGCACCCGGCCAAGAGTGTTCTTTTAGACTGGAATAAACTGGAGACAACTTTTACTATTTGGGAAAAAACACACAGCACAGGGTCCTGTCTGTCCTCATTTGCGTGCATGAACCCCCATCTCTGGACTTGCACCTAGAAACCCCAGGTGTTCCCATCACCCCAGAGTCTACCACACACTCCAAAGTGCAAGCCTAGACCCCAGGTGGAGCTGGGGGTCCGACAGGGGCCCCAAGTCTTGGGAGGGTCTTGGGGACCAAAGTCTGTCACAATGACACTCCTTCACCATCAGGGCTTTATGCAGGGAGTCCGCTGGACGCCTCCATCTCATTTGCTTGTCTCCAAGGCCTTGCCCCAGGCCAGACCCCACTACTGATCCTACTGACCACAAGGGAGGTAGAAGCCCAGACGGCCCACTGGGGAGTCACACAACCACTCCAGCTTCAGTTTCTTCCTTTGTGGATGGGACGTATAATACTCTCACCTGTCCACAGTGATGATGGCATGCAGCCAGTATGCAGGAAACAATGCCATTATGTTTAAGTTAATATTTGACAAGGGCTTCCCTGTAGCAGGAAGAGCCTGCCTTTCTCTCCTCGGCTCCCCAGCCCTGACCCCTGTCAGCCCTTGGCAGGTCCACAACCCTGCGGCCTCTTTAGGAGGTGGCAGCCTCTCAGAAGCCCGGGTGCTGGGCCTCTTCCACAGCACAAGAACAGCAGTAGGCTGAGTCCCTCCAGTGGTCTCCGCAGGAGCAGAACCTGGAGCCCCACCTGAGTGGGCAGCCTCTCCAGCACATTTCGATTTCGTCTTCACCACAGCCCCAGCGGCAGAGATCATGACCCCTGTTTCAGATGAGGAAACCGGGATTCCAAGAATTCAGTGAGACTTGCCCAAGGGTAGGAATGTGCGGGGGGTGGGGATAGACTCAAACTCAGCTGTCTAGAGCTTTCTACCGCACCCAGAGTTGCTGCCTGGCATGAGAATCTTACAAGTGGCCCTGGGCAGCAGAGGCCATCTTTGACACCCTCCTCCTCTCCTTTAGCAGCCCCTCCTGCCTCCCCCATCCTCCATCCTGGACAGGTACCCCTGCCCACCTGCCCTGCACAAACACCCAGCGAGGCTGCACATCTGCACTCTTAATCCTAAAAGGAGGCTTGCCAAACAGGCAGCTTTAGGAAAACACAACAAACCAGGGTGGCATCCAAAAGGAAGCCATCCTCCCGTGGGTGCCCCTCACCTGGGACGGGAGCTGCCCACCTGACTCTCTCCACCCAATCCACTTGCTGTGTGAGCTCCCACAGTCACGTCCACATCTCAATCCTCAACCTAGCACACTCCTCCCGCACGGGACACATGCAGAAAGTCCTGAGGGCAGGTGAGTCCCTGCCTCACCACCCCTCTAAGCACCTGCCACTATACTTGGTGGTTTCTTCACCATCTCCCCTGGTGAGAATGTCAGCTCCAGGAGAGCAGGGGCTTGGTTCTGCTGACTCCTGGGTCCCCACTCCCTAGAACAGTGCCCAGTATATGGTGGTGCTCAATATTTGTTGCATGAATAAAGGAATGAACACACAAACTTCATCATATGCCAGTGGTGAAAAGTTAAGCCCAGAGACAGAAAAAAACTTATAGTTTATGGTGGGAGTAGTCAAGATTCACTCTAAAGCTCTCTGATTCCCAAGCCCAAACCCTCCACCCCTGTACACTGCACCCACACACATGCATGCACATACACTCACTGCCCCGGGTCTGTGAACGTCATAAGCCTGATCAACCCCAGGCTCAGGAGGGATTAGCTGTCTATAGAGGCCTGTAATGGACACTCTGGGGACAGGGGCTAGGAAGCGGGGCCATGCAGGAAGAAGGTGCCACATGTGGGCTCAAGGTGCCGCTCTGCCACAGAGCTGGCATTCAATGAGCACTTGCTATGCCCCAAGCACCTGCCTGGGGCTTTACTTCCCACAACACATGTGTGAAGAGGAACTGTTCTTATTCCCTATTTGATACATGAAGAAACAGGGCTCAGGAAGGGTCCGCAGCATGTCAGGGAAACCCAGAGCCTGTGCACGCCTGTGCATGCTGTTCCTTACAGAGATATGAGGACAGAGGGCCTACCTCCAAGGGTAGGACTCAGGGATTCTAGAACCTCAGGGACAGTCACACAGCTTGTAAGGGACCAGCTGGGCTGGACGCTGAGTCCAGGGACAAGGACCTGGTCAGATGCCAGTGAGAAGGGAGCCCCGATGTGGTGATCTTGAAGAGGGCGCAGAGAGTTCAAGCCTCAGCTTCTCCAAGAATCCTTGCGATCCATAGATCTTCCTGGCCTTCACAACTTCATGAAATATGGAGGGAATCTACCACCCAGGCACCCCTTCTCTTCAGAGAGCTGGCATCCTCAATGTCCTCACACCTCTCTCCACACCTTGGACCATGCCTGCACCTCCTGGAATGCCTTCTCCTTCCCCATGCCCCATGCAGCCTCCCAAGTAGGCTGTGCCTGGACAAGTAGCCTGTGCCTGGCTTGGTCCCTGCATGAGCCAGAAGGCTGTACTCAGGCCATCCAGGGCCCCTGGGGGATTGGGGAAGTCTGGAAGCCATGCTTCCAACCTCCCATGCCCACACGCCTTTACCGAACACCCAAGAACCCACACACACCTGGGCCCACCCACAGAAGATGCCCAGCTCAGAAGCCTTCCCTGCAGGGTGAGATGAACCATCTACATAAGTAACTCGGGTCCAGGGGAAGCTGAGACTGGAGAGATACAGGAAGAGCCTGAACAGGTTCAGAGGGAAGAGGCCCAGAGCAGGGAGGTACAGACAGAGACAGAGAAAAAGACAAGACAGTAGCCGGCAGGGAAGAACCTCAGACATTCAAGGACAGAAGGACAGAGATGGGCCCCAAGATGGACAGAGATGGGAATGTGGGTAGAGGGGGGCATCTTTGTGCTAGGGCCTGGGAAGGGGGCGGGACCCCTGCAAAGTCAGTGGCCAAGGTGAGGAGACCAGGGCCTCTGGGTGGGCTCCCAGTGCCATCACTGAGGGCCTGGGTGACTTGGGCAGGTGGCTGGGCCTGCCTATGCCCCCATTGTCCTTTCTATTACAGGGACCATGCACCCACTCTCAGGTGTAGCATTGCTGCTTCTGAGGTTGCTGCAAATATAACGCTTGGTGTACAGGCCTGGCTCCTCCGGAGGAGGCTAAGGTGGCTACTGCGTGAGGAGACCTTGACCACGCAGCTGAGCATAGTGCAATTCATGGCCATGCATCAAGGCTCTAGGAATCGCCACCACTGCACCTTCCTTTAGCGAGCCTCTTCTCGGCATGTCAGCGCTGTGCTGGGCACTGACAACCCTGGGCCCTCCCTCTGCCCAGCTGGCCCTCCCCACTATCCAGCCTGCACCCCTCCAGCATGCTCAGGACCTGCCGGGAGGGAGGGACAGCATGCACACTCCCACCCTGCCAGAGCCTTCCTCCTGTGCTCACTGTCAGCCCAGCGTGGTCAGAGAAAGGCCCAGCTCCGTCAGGCCGGCTCCATGAGGACTCCCAAGCCGTGGGCCTTCAGGGGCCAGCAGGCCAGATCCCCACCCCCTCAGCTGTCCTTCTCCCCAGGCGCCCCATCCCGCGAGGGGCCCAGCCTGCCAACCTCTAATCCTCCCCGTCATCTGACCCAGGCTCCACCCTACACTGGCTTTGCCTAGCCACTCTTCTGAGGCCCAAAAATGGACACAATCATTTATAGAGGGTTCGACAAGCCAAACGCAATGGGAAGATGACCTCACGGCGCCCACAGGCTCAAGCTCCCAGCACACACAGTGCACCCCACGCATTCCGGGGGCAGTGGCCAGGGGGCCAGGAGCAATGGTGCCATGCTGGAGGCCCTGGCAACCCTTCCAATTTATTCTCATACCCTCCTCACACCAAGGCCACAGGCCATGGGACCTTCAAGAAAAAGCTCCAGACAGGCCAGACACATGCACCCTGCCTGAGACAGCATCGGGGACTCAGCCCAGGAGGCACTGGGCCTGTGTCCAGGCAGGATTTGATGAATGAGTGATGGCAGAGAACAAACAACACAAATCAATCCACCATCAGCCTGCGTCAGGCCCAAATCCCTTGTTCAAAAACATTCACTAAGCACCGACTGGGGCCAGGTAACATCCTCAATGCACACACCTGGATGTGCCCTGCCGTGCCCTCAGGGATCAGCCAGACCAGTGGTGGAGGCAGAAGGGTCAACAGGTAACAACAGTCAAAAAAGAGCTGGCTTGGGGACCCTACAAGAGTGCAGGCTGCCCTTGACCACACTGTCACCCTCACAGTCTGGATGTTTGTTTGGGCTGGAAGTGGATGTGGGAAGGCCGGGGGTGAAGGGTGGATGCAAGATACGGGCCCTTCTTCCTACGCCAGGACGCCAGGACTCTCCCAGCCTCCCAGCACAGCTCCTGCCATCCTTGCTCAGGAAACGCCTTCCTGTAGCCACAGGGAAACTGGAATTGCCCTATTACCCACTGATTTCACCAAGGCAAGGTAGGTATAGTGGTGGGGCTGCCTGTAAGAGACTAGGATTCCAGTTTCATTGACAGTGGGAGTTAGAGGCGGCACTGATCACCAACAGAAGACACTGAGGATGACCCTCCAATGATGGCACAGACTCTACAGGAAGGCACACAGCAGAGGCTGCTGTGGGTTGAGGCATGGGGCTTCCTGCGAGCAGGGCCTGCAACCCAAAGGGAGGGGAAGGCTACTTTCAGAGACCTGGCCTGGATGCCTGTCATGATGGTCATGCTGCCTTGGTTTCTGATGGGGGGAGGGTCCCTAACTAGTCTCCGGCAGGCAGAGAGCAGCTGGAACACTAAACAACTCCAGTCCCAGGAAGCCCGGCATGGGCAAGGTCAGCTGTTGGCCAAGACCAGCATGCCTAGCTGACCAACTGTCAGCCAACTGCCCGTGGCCACAGAACAGGGGCTCAAGAGAGAGGGATGGTGTCTCAGGAGCTCAGTGATACATCACCACCTCCTTGGAGGGGACACAGCCCTTGCCTACTGCCCCGAGAATGACATCAAAGATGCTGCTGCAGAGAAAAGACAACCAGGGCAAAGGAGACACACCAAGAGCCTTGGGGAGCCAGGAAGGGGTGGGACACCAGTGGGAAGGGGGCAGGGAACACAGCTCAGCTAACCTCCCTTCCCATTCATCTCCCTGGCCCTTTAGGGAAGGAAGCAGGCTCTGGCCCAGGGCTGCCTGCTCCAGGCACACAGATGGATTACCCAGTCATGGCAGCCCGGAGCAGGGGTGGCTGCATCTGTGCTGCCACCCCCCCACCCCACAACCTGAAGTCTTCCCAGCCCCCAGCCAGCTATTCCTGGGGCTTTAATCCCTCCTCCTCCTCCTCCTCCTCCTCCTCCTCCTCCTTCCCTGGGGTGGGGGGTTGGGGAGCTGGGTCTGGGCAAACCTGGACTTGGCTGAGGGCCCTTCCTTCAATGCACACCCACCCACCTCCTTAGCCAGGAAACACAGGGATGAGCAGTAGGACTCTGAGGGAGGTATGGGGAAGCTCTAGGCGCCCCCCTCTCCCCCATCCCCCAGCAATCACGTGGTTGCATCCTTAGGGAGCCCGCGGGTCTCAGAAGCAAAAGTCATTGTTTATAAACAGCCACCAGGCCTGGCAGGGGAAGGCCGGCCTGTCCCTGCGCCTCCACCCGGCGGCCGCGCAGCGGGTGGGAGAGGGGGCAGGCCTGGCCGCGGGGCACTGGGGGGCCACCCTGGCAGAAACACAGATTCTGCAATCTCAGATTTCAGAGTTGGAGTCGTCAGGGGAAGTGGCGTCAGCAGCTGGCGTGATCCAATTCAATAAACCAGAGGTGGCTTGGGATAGACAACTGACCGGGTGCAGACCCCCGCCCCTCAATCTCTGCATTTCCTGCACGCTCTGGGCACCCTGGGAGGCCCCGGCTCCATCCCCCATTCCAGCTCTCCGCGAGGAGGGGTCGGGTTTCCTGTGGCGCCTTCCACGCGCCTCCTCCAGGCCAGCTCCCCACCCGGCCGTGGGCTCCCAAAGCCAGTGCCGCCACCCGCTCCCCGGCCGCCGGAAACGCTAAGCCCCTGCTGGGGCGAGGGCACCTCCTTGCGGGGTGCGTAGCCCTGGGCTCCCGGTGGGGCCGGGCTGGGCGGGAGCTTCCAGGCCGCAGGCACCTCTCGGGAAAGGAAACCCAATCCCTCCTTCGGCCCACGGAGAACGAAAGTGGAGAAGCAGTGGGAAGGAAGGAACTGTGGGTGCCGGTTCGAGAAGCAGCCTTGGGAGTCCGGGGGAATAGTGTCCCCAGGGGCAGAGGGACATACTCCCTCTCGCCCCGAGCGCCGGCCCAGCCTAGGTTGCCTGCATGGGCCTGGAGAGCTGAGGGTCACCACCTGGCCTCCCAGCCTCCCGGCCCTTGGCCTCCAAAGCGGGGTAGCCTGGAGCGCGCGCCTGAGAAGAGCCTGGAGCAGGGCCGGCCACTGCTGTGCAGCCGAGCCACGAAGGTGCAAAGCGGGGCCCTGTCCTGCCCCGGCCGGGTGTGGGGAGACAGAGGACGCAAACCTAAGAGGGCACCCAGAGCGCCGGGGAACGCAGCCTGGGGACCTCGAAGCCCCTCGAAAGCGCTCCTCTAGAGGTGACAGCACCAGATCCTGGCGAAGGACCAGGCCCCGGGGTCGGAGGATAGGGGGACAGGTGGCCGGGGCTCCGCGGCGGCTGGGACTCCGCGGCTGCTGGGGCTCCGGCTCGCTCACCTTCTCCTGCGCGCGGGTGAGCTTCTTCTGCACGTTGCTGGCGATCTTTCCCGCCGTCACCCCTTTACTGCCCATCTCTGCCATCGCGGCGCAGGCCTCGCCCGGTGGCAGGGGCCGCTCTCGCGCGGGGAGATCTTGCGCGCCGCGCTCCCAGCCCCCAGCCCCGGCCGCGCGTCCAGACCGGCTGCCGCTCCACGCCGCGCACCCGACAGCGGAGCCAACTGACGGAGGCGGAGCGTGCGCCGGACGGGCGAGCGAGCCAGCGAGCTAGCCAGCGAGCGACGCGGGGACAGAGGGAGGGAGAGGGGAGGGGCCGGGCCTCAGGCCGCGGTCGGCGCCCCCCGCCCGCCCCCTCCGGACAATAAGCTGCCTTTTAAAGGGCCACTCCGGGCGCCGGCACCGCCAGGTCCGCGAGGAGGGAGGGGCGCGCGCGGCGCTGGGGCTGCGGCGAGCGGGACTCCCCTGACGCTCCAGCTGCACCGCCCCGGGGCGGGGACTAATCCGCCGGCCTGGCGTCTTGGTCTTCCCCGCAAGCAGTAATCTCCTGCAACCCAGGAAAGGAGACTAGGTGGAGGAGAGGAGTGCTTTCGAAATCAAAGAGAAAGTGCGGCGAAGGGGGCGCGGCCCTGAACAGAGGAGCCGCGGCTGCTGGGAGAACGCGCCCGGAGCCCCCTCCTTTTCCAGGGGCTCACCTCCCGCCCGGTGCCCGGTGCCCGGTGCCCGACGCTCCGCCTCCTCCCAGCCTTCGGCCCTCGGGTTTTCGCCCGGATACCCTAGGCGCCTCCGGGACATCTCCACATCTTTGCCTACGGCGCCTAGCCCAGTACCAACCGGTGCTTGGTCTTCCCGTTCGCTAAAAATTTATTATAATAACAACAACCTAGCATTACTGAGTGCTTACTGTGTACTAAGTGACTTGACAGGCATTATTTCATTCGGTCTCCGTGGCCCTAGAGGTAGGTGCTATTACTGTTCCTACTTTACAACCAACGCGCCGGGATCGAGGAACGAGATCTCTGCCTCTGTCTCCCAGGTGCTCCACCACCATACGCCGGGTTGTCTCCTACCCCCAGCAGGAAGGAATGATTAGTGATCATTATTCCTGGAGAAGATAAGGTTATTGCTAACCAGCTTTGCCAATAGACCAATGACACTTCTTTTAAGTTAATAAATACGTATTGAGTCTGCTGATACCCACCCCCATTCAGCCCTAAAACATGTCAGGGGCTACAGCACTTTGCTGCCCCTGGAAATTTCTAAAGAACTGTTGATTGAGTTGAGCAGAGAGATAGGTCCCGCTGAAGAGGCCTAGACGTGTCTGGTGCACACACAGGAGCCAGGGCTATGGCCTGCAGGACCCGCAGCGGTCAGAGGAGCAGAGCTGGCCAGGGACAGAGGTCCCTGAGAGGCTTCCTGGAGGAACAGGAAGGGCTCTTGCAGACCACAAACCAAGCAGTTTGTACAAATGGAGAAATCGAGTCCCAGGAATGAGAGGTTCAGCCTGGGTTCACACAGGCCATTCCCTCTTCCCTGGAAGGCCCTCCTGCTCTTTCTCCGGCTACTCGGGGTTCTTCCACCACCGCTCAGTGCTGCCCCATGGCCCAGTGTGTTCGTCTGTCCTCTTCCGGGCCTATTATCATGATGTCCCTCGGTATCCCCCAGGGGACTGGTTCCAGCACATCCGTGGATACCAAAATCCAGGGATGCTCAAGTCCCTCATATGAATTGACACAGTATCTGCATATAGCGTACACAAATCCTCCAAAATACTTTAAATTATCTCTAGATTCTTGTAATAGCTAATACAATTTAAATACTATGTAAATAGTTGTTAACGCTGTATTTTTTATTTATTTATTTATTTATTTTTAGACAGAGTCTCACTCTGTCGCCAGTCTGGGGTGCAGTGGCGCAATCTGGGCTCACTGCAACCTCTGCCTCCCGGGTTCAAGTGATTCTCCTGCCTCAGCCCCCCGAGCAGCTGGGACTACAGGCACGTGCCACCATGCCCAGCTAATTTTTGTATTTTTAGTAGAGACGGAGTTTCACCATGTTGGCCAAGATGGTCTCCATCTCCTGACCTCGTGATCCTCCCGCCTTGGCCTCCCAAAGTGCTGGGATTATAGGTGTGAGCCACCGTGCCCGGCCTTGTTTTTTATTTATATTATTTTATTGTTGTAGTCTTACTTTTTATTGTATTTTTCCAAATATTTTCAGTCCACAGTTGGTTGGATCCATGGATGCCCAACCCACAGATGCAGAGGGCTGACTGTATTCTTATTCTGCAGGAAGACAGACTGAGGCGCCGCTGATGTAGGTCACACAGACAGCAAATGATAAGCAGAGATTCTGCATCAAGCCTTCCTGCACCAATGCCCTCAAAAGCACCAAGCGCTGCATGAGTGAAAAGCATCTGTCAAAATTATTATAAACTCATGCCCGATTTGTGAGTCACAAAAGCAAAACCTACACAGTCTGGGCTTCTAAAGCAGCTTCCTCCTAAAAGCTCAACATGCTTTCAGCTCATGATCTCCTTCCTCCTCATTTTCTGTTGGTCGTTTTTCTAACCATTCTCTAAAAGTGATTTCTTCCAACACTCCTCTGAGGAAAGGAGGAAATGAGCAAAGTCAAATTGCATTACAGTCAGCCCCCAGGGAACAGTGGGAGATTCTGCTTCACTGGACTCTGGTGTTTCTAAATATCGCTTGACAGAAAAATTGGAAGCAACGGAAGTGTTCATTAGAGGGATGGGGTCAGCTGTGACAGCACAGCCACAGGAGGGGCCATTGGGAATCATTTAAAACAACCATTACCGAGACTACGTAGCAACAAGAAAATAATGCTTAGGGCATAATTATGAAGGAAAGGAAAAGATAGGAAATTGTACTTGCAACCATATAAAAATAAATTAAAATAAATTAAAAGCTCATGATCAATGTCTTGAAAGAACAATGCATAAAGGAAGCAGATGTGTTAGGGTCCAGGCATTAAGGCTGACTTCTTTCCCCCTTAATTTCCTTAATATTCTATAATATGACATAATGCCTTGCCTATAATCCCAGCACTTTGGGAGGCCAAGGCAGGCGGATCACTTGAGGTTGGGAGTTCGAGACCAGCCTAACCAACATGGAGAAACCCTGTCTCTACTAAAAATACAAAATTAGCCGGGCGTTGTGGTGCATGCCTGTAAGCCCAGCTACTCGGAAGACTGAGGCAGGAGAATCACTTGAACCTAGGAGGCAGAGGTTGCGGTGAGCCGAGATCGCACCATTGCACTCCAGCCTAGGCAACGAGAGCAAAACTCCATCTCAAAAAAAAAAAGAATCACAGCTCTGTTTTTTTAGAGGTGATTTTTTATCAGATCGCTAGATTAAAAAGATATTTCTAAACACAAAAGCACTGGAGAATATATTGAAATTTTAAAATGCTTGCTTTGAGGTACATAAAAATTAGAATTCTTAAACTTCAGAAAATACCATAAAAACATAGGATAAAAGTTTGGGAGGAAATGATCTAAAAATGTTAGTACAAGTTCAAGGGGTAGAATGTAGATTTTTACTTTTTTCTGTATAATTTTCTATAGTATGTTATTTTTTTTTACCATGACAGCCCGTTATTTTAATTACCAGGAAAAGAGTTATTCCCATTTTGAAAATAAGTTTGACATAAAAATTAAACTGTAAGAAACTAGGGAAAATTTTTTTGGCAATAAAATAGAACTCTTACAAATTCATAAGAAAAACATTAAAACCCCAATATATAGTAGACAATTTATAAAATTGGATATTCAAATAATTAATAAATAGGTTTTCGAAAGTCAGACTTACCAGACAAAAAGAAAGGTTCATTAAATCAATGAAATACCATTTCTGTTTTCATTTTCATCAAATCAACAAATTATTTTTTAAATTATGTTACTTAATAAAACCATAGAGACAGAAACTCACATTCTACTTCTGAGAGTGTAAACAGATAACAGAATTTCTAGAAAGCAATCTTGTAATAGAATAAGAATAACCAAAATATCCATATTCTTCCACCCTATAATTCCAAGTCTATGATTTAATTCAAAAATTTGGCAAAGCTTTCACCACACAGATGTTCATCACATTATTTATAATAATGCAAAACTGAACACATCTAAATATCACCACCTGAATGCCGAATGATTAACTAAACTATAGTATGGCCATGTATGAAATGTTTACCAAAAGAATATGTTCTTGAAGTTTCTCATGATAGGGAAATGTGATGTTAACAGGATAATACAGTTTAATGTAAACAGTATCGTGCCAGCCGCGATCCAAAACGTGATTGATATCTCCAGGTGGAGCAATTCGGGGTGGGGTTTTTTTCTCCTACTTCTTTTTCTTTTTATTTTCCAAACTTTGTACATGTACTCTTTTTGTCATCAGAAAGAAGTGCTATTAAAAATACAAATTGAAATGAGGACAATGTCCCCTGGGGCAATAGTTGGGAAACCTCAGTGTGGCAGAATAGAAAGATAAAGCACACAGGCAGAGGGAGTGTGCCGTGCATCCAAACGGTGAGGGCTGGAGAAGCCATGTTTCTGTGTTTGTTTGCTTGTTTGTTTTAAATAGACTTTATTTTTATTTTTTTTTTTTTGAGACGAAGTCTCGCTCTTGTACCCCAGGCTGGAGTGCAATGGCTCGATCTCAGCTCACTGCAACCTCTGCCTCTCGGGTTCAAGTGATTCTCCTGCCTCAGCCTCCCGAGTAGCTGGGATTACAGGCGCCCAACACCACACCCAGCTAATTTTTGTATTTTTAGTAGAGATGGGGTTTCACCGTGTTGGCCAGGCTTTTAGAACACTTTTAGGTTCAGAGCAAAAGTAAGCAGAAGGTACAGAGATTTCCCATAACCTTTGCCCCACACATGCACAACCCCCCTCACTATCAACATCCCCAGCACAGTGGGACATTTGTTACAACTGAGGCACCTCCGTTGTTGCATCATTATCCCCCATAGTTCATAGTTTATGTGAGAACTCACTCTTGGCTTGTACGTTCTATGGGTCTGGGCAAGTGTACAATGGTACGTGTCTACTGTTAGAGTATCATATAGAACAGTTTCGCTGCCCTAAGAATCCTCTGTGCTCTGCCTGTTCATCCCTCCCTCCACCCCCCAGCCCCTGGCAACCACTGATCTTTTTGCTGTCTCCATAGTTTAGCCTTTTCTAGAATAAATGCCGTATTATTGGAACCATACAGTTTGTAGCCTTTTCAGACTGGCTTCTTTCACTTAGCAATATGCATCTAAGTTTCCTCCATGTCTCTTCATGGCTTGATCATTTCCTCTGGCACTGAGTAATGTTCCCTTTTCTGGATGCACCACACTTTATTTACCCACTCACCTATTGCAGAACATCTTGGTTGCTTCTGAGTTCAGGCCATTATGAATAAAGCTGCTATAAACATCCATGTGCAGGTTTTTGTGTGGACATAAGCGTTTGACTCCTTTGGGTAAATATCAAGAAGCATGATGGCTGAATCGTATGGTAACAGTGTGTTTAGTTCTGTAAGGAACTGTCAAATTCTCTTTCAAAGTGGCTGGACCATTTTGCATTCTCACCAGCAATGAATGAGAGTACCTGTTGCTCCATCCAAATCCTTGCTAGCATTTGGTGTTCCGGACTTTGGCCATTCTAATAGGTATGTAATGATATCTCATTATCATTTGGGAAATGATTTTTTTAAAACCATGAAGAACAGAGGCAAGCAAAGGACAGTCCTCCTATCCCTTGGAGAGAAAAGATCACCTGCCCCATTTTCTTCTCCAACTCAAGAATTGATTAAGAGGCTCCGAGCTAGCAATATTACTATCCTCATCATCATTCTATCTTACAAAGCAATTTTTGTTTATACTATTTTGGCTATCATAATAATCCTGCATTTGATAGAACTTTTGCTCACCTTTTATAGATGGAAACTTGGAAAAAGTAGGCTTACCTGAAGGCACTTAGCTGGTGGGTCCTGTACTGAGATCAGTTAGTACTTGGTCATCTGTGGTGTCTGGAACAGACCAGCTTTGTACCTCCCTCCTGAGACAGCCAACTTCACCTCTTACAGAGACAGGGAGGGGGCTGTCTTGCTCAGGATGCAGAAGATTCTAAGGCAGCACCAGTTATTTCAGGGCAGCGTTAAGTGTGATGTGGTATTCAGGAAGGGCTCCCTGACTCAAATTGTCCTCCATCTTTCTCACATGTAAAATGCCACCACTCTCAAGTTCCATGATATTTTGGAAAGGGCAGATAGACCTGGGTTCAGAAATCAGCTCCTCGGCTCGGTGCAGTGGCTCATGCCTGTAATCCCAGCATTTTGGGAGGCTGAGGCAGGCAGATTGCTTGAGCTCATGAGTTCAAGACCAGTCTGGGCAACATGGTGAAATCCTGTCTCTACCAAAAAATTTAAAAAATTAGCTGAGCGTGGTGGTGTGCTCCTGTAGTCCCAGCTATTTGGGAGGCTGAGATGTGAGGATTACTTGAGCCCAAGAAGCTGCAGTGAGCCAAGATTGCACCACTGCACTCCAGCATGGGTGTCAGAGCCAGACCCTGTCTCGCAAAAAAAAGAAAAAAAGAAAAGAAAAGTAATCAGCTACTCCATTTACCACTTTTCCATCCTTGGATATGTTATTCAAGCTGTTCAAGCCTCATCTATAATGTGGGGGTAAATTAACCTCTAGGTTATTGTGGAAATAGTGAACACTATATTTACAGCCCCTGGAATATCAGAAGTGACTCTGTAGATGGTGGCTATCTATAGTGGGTAGCAGATGCTATAACTGTGGTGTGCCCTGCCCATTGTCCTGCTTTCCTTTGGAGCTCCTTCTTCGGTGGGTGTGCTTTGATGAGCCCTGTCTCTTACACTGTGATGTGCACATAGCCCAGGCTTGAGGATGAGCACATGAAGTTTGGGCTCTCTTGGGAAAAGCCCAAGAAGAGCTTTCCTAGGATGCTCTATACTTGTAGGACCCATAAGTTCCCTTTTCTTCTAGACTAGCAGAGTTGGGAGGATGTGAGTCTAGAGCTACCAGATGCCAGCTTGCCCACTACATGAAAGACCTGCCTAGAAGTTGAGGTCAAGACGAGTGAAGAGACGGAGAAACAGGGACAGAGAGAAATGGAATTAATGACATTTCTTAAGAACCTGGTCCCAGTGATGCCCAAATCCTGGCCACTCCCACCACGTACTATCAGCCATAGGAACCAATACATTTTTTTCTTGCTAAAGCCAATTTGAGGCCACTTGCAAGAAGTGTTATGACTAATATACCATTATCTTTTTGTTGTTGTTGTTTGGTTTGGTTTGGTTTTTTTGAGATGGAGTCTTACTCTGTCACCCAGGCTGCAGTGCAGTGGTGCTAACCCAGCTCACTGCAACCTCTGCCTCCCAAGTTCAACTGATTCTCCCACCTCAGCCTCCCAAGCAGCTGGGATTACAGGCTCCCACCGCCATGCCTGGCTAATTTTTGTATTTTAAGTAAAGATGGGGTTTCACCATGTTGACCAGGTTGTTCTCAAACTCCCGACCACAGATGATCTGCTCGCCTTGGCCTCCCAGAGTACTGGGATTATAGGCGTGAGCCGCCGCACCCAGCCAATATACCATTATCTTAATAAAGACCTTCAGAGAGCCAACTCTAATGCATTTGTTATGCTATAGGTATCATCAAGCTAGTCTCTCCTGAGTGCCTGCACCTGACCCATCAGTATTAATATGGAGTGTCCAAACTAGGACAATTTTGAGTGAAAGGGGAAAAAAATAATTACACCTAGGTAGCAGGTGTAAGCCAGAACTGTCCTGGGCAAATGGACGTATGAGTAGGTGGTTGAAGGGGTAGGAGTTCAGAATGAAGGTTGGCAAAGAGGCTAAGGACATTGTACACTGTGCTGGGGTTGGCACCAAACACTGAGGCTTGTGCAGACTCCCCAGCCTGTCCAGCTTTCCTTGAGGCGATCCTTGCAGAGACAAAAAGACAACTCCCCACAGAACCATCTGGAAGGCCCTGTCCCTGGGCTTCTAAGGGGCCCAGATGTTTAGATCCAATTTCAGCAGACCGTGTAGGAGAGACCTGTGGAGTGAGCCAGTGAGTGGATCCCCCAACTAATTCCAGGATATTAGCAAGGCCTCCAGGAATGAGTTACTTCCTTTTGCCACCAGCAAGTGAAGTCTCCAAAAGCAAAACCTTTTTCAAGATGATCAGCTTAGCCAGGCACGGTGGCTTACACCTGTAATCCCCAGCATTCTGGGAGGCTGAGGAGGGTGGATCACCTGACATCAGGAGTTCAAGACCAGCCTGGCCAACATGGTGAAACCTGGTCTCTACTAAAAATACAAAAATTAGCTGGGTGTGGTGGTGTGCACCTGTAATCCTAGCTACTTGGGTGGCTGAGGCAGGAGAATCGCTTAAACCCCGAAGGCAGAGGTTGTAGTGAGCTGAGATCGCACCACTACATTCCAGCCTGGGAGACAGAGCAAGACTCCATCTCAGAAAAAAAAAAAAGAAAAAAGGAAAAAATCAGCTTGCTTGTGTTTGTCCTGCATGTCTTTAAACCTTGACCCCTGCGTGGTCTATGCTGTGGCTAAAAAGTAGTAGACTGAGATGCTGACGACGACACACAGGCTTTAGGCCAAAGGCCCTGGCTCCATCGGTATGAGTACTGTGGCCCTGGGCCAGTCACTGCCTGCTTCCTTTAAGTGGGGCCTTCATACTCACCAGGAAAGGCTGCCGATGAGGATTAGGGGTACCAGGCAGTCCCTGGTAGGGCTGATTGAGCTTGGTAAAGCATAGTTGCTATTATGACATAGCGGCTGTTAGTCCCTTAGTTAATCTAGTATGTGCCCGCATTGCTGGTGAGACACAGGGGGCAGACCTCTGTTGGCTCTCCAGGTGGTCAAATAAAGGTGCAGAAAAGCAAACAGCCCTTTGCCCAGCACTCCTTCTTTAATAAATCACTGCTTAGTTCCTGTAGAAGATTCCAGACTTTGGAAATACTCACTGGAAATTTACCCTAATTATCTATTTAAAAATGGCTTTCTAAACAGAGTGCTGAGATAAGATGGCCCATCTCCGTGTTTAAGCATTTCTAAAGTCTCGTTTGTTTATCAACACGCCCACAAGCTATGAAGCTACTAAGGTGACTGACCGGTTCCTTGAAACTGGGCTTCATTTACAAGTTACTAGGTGCACTTTAGGAGGGCAATTTCAGGTGTTTAACCAAAACCTGACAAACATATGCATCTGAGATTCTGTCCTTAGAATATAGTCACTAGCGCAGTCATGTCCTCACAATGAGTGAAATAGTGAAAAGTTGGACACAATCTAAATGTCCAGGCGTGGATTGTTAAATTTGCTTATTTTAAAATTTGGTTTATCCATACAGTTGATCTTTGAACAACATGAGTTTGACCTGCATGGATCCACATATACGTGAATTTCCTTCCGCCTCTACCACTCCTGAGACAGCGAGACAAACCTCTCCTCTTCCTCTTCCTCTTCCTCCTCAGCCTACTCAGTGTGAAGACCTTTATGATGATCCATGTCCACTGAATGAATAGTAAGTATATGTTCTGTTCCTTACAATTTTCTTATAACATTCTCTTTCCTCTAGCTGACTCTAGTGTAAGAATACAGTATATAATACATATACAGAATGTGTATTAATCAACTGTTTATGTTATCAGCAAGGCTTCTGATGAACAGTAGGCTATTAATAGTTAAGTTTTGTGGGGGCCAAAAGTCATGCACAGATTTTCGGCTGTGTGAGGGGTCAGTGCCCCCAATCGCCGCACTGACCAAAGGTCAATTGTATTTTGAATATTAAGCTACCGTTAAAAATTGATAAATGAGACTTCAAATTTTTTTTTCTTTTTCTTTTTTTTTTTTTTGAGACGGAGTCTCGCTCTGTCACCCAGGCTGGAGTGCAGTGGCGCGATCTTGGCTCACTGCAAGCTCCGCCTCCCAGGTTCACGCCATTTTCCTGCCTCAGCCTCCCGAGTAGCTGGGACTACAGGCGCCCGCCACCACGCCCAGCTAATTTTTTGTATTTTTAGTAGAGATGGGGTTTTTTAGTAGAGACGGGGTTTCACTGTGTTAGCCAGGATGGTCTCGATCTCCTGACCTCGTGATCCGCCCGCCTCGCCCTCTCAAAGTGCTGGGATTACATGCGTGAGCCACCGCGCCCGGCCGAGACTTCAAAATTTTTAAAGCCTGCTCTTCCAAAGACACCACTAAGAAAATGAAGAGGTAATCCACTCAGATAAAACTTTTCATGGTACAGATATCTAATGAAGGACTTGTATCCAAGAACAAATTAAGAATTGTCATAACTCAATAAGGAAAGCAATCTTTTTTTTTTAAGGCAAATGATTTGAAAAGACCCTTCACTACAGCAGATATACAAATGGCAGTAAGCATGGGAGAAAATGAGTCTTCATGAGTCTTTAGGGAAATACAAATTGAAACCACAATGAGTTAACGCCATACACTCACAAAAATGGTTATATTTAAAAGGCGACAACACCCAACGCTGGTGGGAGTGGGAGCAAATGGAGCTCTCCCCAAAGCCACTGTCCCTTATAGCAGGGTCCTCCTTCAGTCATGATGAATTTCTGCTTTTCTTTTTTCCTCCTGCACCATCTCCTACCCCAGTTCATTGTACATATCTGAAATCTGATCATGGGCCCAGCTGCTGTTGTATCCCATGAGAGTCCCTGTGACCACAAATAAATACCTGGATGGAGAGGGGCTCCCCAACTCCAGAGCCAACATGGCCACCTCAGCCTTGCCCAGACAGCCCCCCAACACCCTACGGGGCTTTGCATGTATCCTTCCTAAAGACATGGGCATACATATCTGACTTCCCCAACTCTCCTCCCCGATTTCCTCACCAGGCAACTTGGCAACCTGCCTCACCTTTACAGACACGCGCAGTTGTCACCTCCTCCAGGGAGATCTCTTTGACTCATCTCAGGTGGGGCTAAATGGCCCTCGTCTATCCTCCCCCGGGGTCCTGCGCTTGCCTTTCTCACAGACCCAGCACCCCTCCAAAACAGTCGTTCTGCAATAGTGGGGGAAAGGTGCCCTGGGACCCAATTCTTAACTCTGGCCATGAACGAGGGTACATCTACTGGGATTCCCTTTGCCTGGTGAGGATTGGAGTTGGGGGAGGAGGTTATGAAATATCCTCCTGCTCAGAGGCCACATTGAGAAGTGACAACTCCTTGTACAGAATGTGGGCTGTCTTTCAGTAGAAGTGATGCTCAGAACCGCGGCCTCCAACTGTGGCTCCTGGGGGCAGGGCTGGGCCTGCTTAGCTCTGACCCCCAGTGCCCTCCCTGAAGCTGGCCGCAGATCAGGCACCCAACAAATGTATAGACGTGGTCCACCCAACCTCAGGGAAGGGTCTCAGCACCAGCAGGGTGGGGCCCACCTGGAGCTGGGGACTCATCCTCCAAAGTCACCCACTTATCTGTCTTTTTGCTTATGTCCTGCCCTGTCACCTCGTCTCTCTCTGTTACTGACATTTGGCATGGGTGTGATCTTAGGGTTTTATAAGTCACTGGACATGTTTGACTCACTTTTTCCCTGCTGACCTGTACTGCTTCCAAAGCTGGCTTCTATCTACCCACCACCTCATTATTGTGTTCTGGGCACGGGAGGAAGTGCAGGGCCCAGTGAGCCTGATTGGCAGGACCTCGGGTGGCAGCATGGCAGGACAGACAGAGATGAACATTCACCAGAGCGCAGGTGGTCCACGTCACTCTTGCAGTGAAATCATGTTTCTCGCATTTTAGATTTTACAGAAGAGGACACAGAACATAATCATTGTTTTTGTTCATTCTAAGTAAACATCTGACAATGCTCAATTCAATGGGTTCTGTCCCACAACACAACAATGCTGCCTTAAATAAAAAATGCCTGAAAATATATGCATCTCCACTCACAATCCTGTCTGTGCAAGAAACACTTGACTTCCTCGACTCTTGTCTTTCAAGTCCTTCTTTTTTTTTTTTTTTTTTTTTTTTAATTTATTTTTTTATTGATAATTCTTGGGTGTTTCTCACAGAGGGGGATTTGGCAGGGTCATGGGACAATAGTGGAGGGAAGGTCAGCAGATAAACAAGTGAACAAAGGTCTCTGGTTTTCCTAGGCAGAGGACCCTGCGGCCTTCCGCAGTGTTTGTGTCCCTGATTACTTGAGATTAGGGATTGGTGATGACTCTTAACGAGCATGCTGCCTTCAAGCATCTGTTTAACAAAGCACATCTTGCACCACCCTTAATCCATTTAACCCTGAGTGGACACAGCACATGTTTCAGAGAGCACAGGGTTGGGGGTAAGGTCACAGATCAACAGGATCCCAAGGCAGAGGAATTTTTCTTAGTGCAGAACAAAATGAAAAGTCTCCCATGTCTTCTACTTTCTACACAGACACAGCAACCATCCGATTTCTCAATCTTTTCCCCACCTTTCCCGCCTTTCTATTCCACAAAGCCGCCATTGTCATCCTGGCCCGTTCTCAATGAGCTGTTGGGCACACCTCCCAGACGGGGTGGTGGCCGGGCAGAGGGGCTCCTCACTTCCCAGTAGGGGCGGCCGGGCAGAGGCGCCCCTCACCTCCCGGACGGGGCGGCTGGCCGGGCGGGGGGGCTGACCCCCCCCCACCTCCCTCCCGGACGGGGCGGCTGGCCGGGCAGAGGGGCTCCTCACTTCCCAGTAGGGGCGCCCGGGCAGAGGCGCCCCTCACCTCCCAGACGGGGCGGCTGGCCGTACGGAGGGCTGACCCCCCCACCTCCCTCCCGGACAGGGCGGCTGGCCGGGCGGGGGGCTGACCCCCAACCTCCCTCCCGGATGGGGCGGCTGGCCGGGCAGAGGGGCTCCTCACTTCCCAGTAGGGGCGGCTGGGCAGAGGCGCCCCTCACCTCCCAGACGGGGCGGCTGGCCGGGCGGAGGGCTGACCCCCCCACCTCCCTCCCGGATGGGGCGGCTGGCCAGGCGGGGGGCTGACCCCCCCACCTCCCTCCCGGACGGCACGGCTGGCCAGGCGGGGGGCTGACCCCCCCCCCCACCTCCCTCCCGGACGGGGTGGCTGCCGGGCGGAGACGCTCCTCACTTCCCAGATGGGGTGGCTGCCGGGCGGAGAGGCTCCTCACTTCTCAGACGGGGCAGCTGCCGGGCGGAGGGGCTCCTCACTTCTCAGACGGGGTGGTTGCCAGGCAGAGGGTCTCCTCACTTCTCAGACGGGGCGGCCAGGCAGAGACGCTCCTCACCTCCCAGACGGGGTCTCGGCCGGGCAGAGGCGCTCCTCACATCCCAGATGGGGCGGCGGGGCAGAGGCGCTCCCCACATCTCAGACGATGGGCGGCCGGGCAGAGACGCTCCTCACTTCCTAGATGTGATGGCGGCTGGGAAGAGGCGCTCCTCACTTCCTAGATGGGATGGCGGCCGGGCGGAGACGCTCCTCACTTTCCAGACTGGGCAGCCAGGCAGAGGGGCTCCTCACATCCCAGACGATGGGCGGCCAGGCAGAGACACTCCTCACTTCCCAGACGGGGTGGTGGCCGGGCAGAGGCTGCAATCTCGGCACTTTGGGAGGCCAAAGCAGGCGGCTGCTCCTTGCCCTCGGGCCCCGCGGGGCCCGTCCGCTCCTCCAGCCGCTGCCTCCCGGGCGGCGCTCGCCGGCGCCTCAAGTCCTTCTTTCACCCTAGGTCACTTCTGCCCCCTGCCCCCATTCTTAGAAAGCGCTGGTCCTCCTGTCTGTCCCCCAGCCGATACTCCATGCATGGCGTGTTGGGGTGCTCCTTCCCTCCTCGGCCCTCCCTCAAGCTCAAGTGTCACCTATACAGCTGCACCCCAGGTCTGTTTCAGGGTATGGGGAAACAGTCTACATCCTGCAGGCCTTAGGATGCTCAACTCTGGTGGGTGTCTCAGGTAGGTGGCAGACAGACATAAAGAGTCATTTTGCTTCTCCTTCCCGTTTGCGGTTGGGGACAACACTTTGAGGCTTCCTGAAGCCTACTGCCCAGACTGGGGCAGATGTTTCTCCTGCCTTCTGTTCTGTAGGACTGCTGGGGGCAGCTCCAGGCAAGGTCTTCTCTGCTCTCAGATTCTCCTAATCCTAGCTGGGATTTCTGTCGCCCTCTCCCCACCCCTGGGGATTGGTCCTGGGTCTAGGGTCTCTCCTGGGAACCTAGAAACATCCAAGTTTCCTTCACTTCCTCTCTGATTCTTAAAGATCCTGCCCTCAGGATGCTGTTCTGGTCAGGCAGGAGGAAACCTTCCTCTGGGATAACTCATCCGGCATTGTCCCCAGTCTGCTGGTTTATAAACCGGGCCGGGCTTTTAGAAGTCAAAAGCCAAGATTTTGACCCATTCGTGGAGGTCATGAAGGCAGAGAGCTCATTGGCTTGAACAAGGAGGGGAGAGGTAACAGGAAACGTGGAGGGGAGACCACTTGTTGGCTAGCATTCCAAATACTATTCTGTGTATAGCTATATTTACATATGATCATTTATGCAAACCCCACTGTAAACTCAAAGATGAAGGTGTTTTTTGCAGTCTAGTTAGGACCTAGTGCAGGCTGCCTCTAAGTGCAAAAACAGCTGTTTGATGTGAATTCTGCCTCCTAGGCAGTAAAATCTCCCCAGTCAGCATTCACTGAGCCCTGAGCAAGCCTGGACACTGGGGACATGCACAGAAGAGAATCCATTAAGTCCCTGCCCACATACAGCCCACAGTCTGGAAGGAGACCGAAGATCATCATTAACAGAATAAAGTGCTGCCTGTTGCCAAAATTCCTACAAGTAGGAGAGCACCCTGAGCAAGGGTAGACATCTAAAATTGGCCCACAAACTTAGCATCTTTAGAGGAAAGCAACTGCCTCGAGTGAGACCTCTCCGGGGCCTCACTCACTGCAGCTGAATCTGCCTCGGGGTGGGGCGGTCCCTGCAGCCAACACTGTGACTTACCATTCTAAAAGGCTGGCCCTCATGCAGGCCATCTGCAGGAACTAAGGCATTCCCAAGCAGTGAGCCTGCTCTTGGCGGCGCATCTTGGAGAGTTATGAGGCAGCTCAGGCCTAGGCCCACCCTGCCCCAGGGTCCAGGTGGGGTCATTTTGGCAGCCTGGAGGGAGCTGGGTTCCAGGATTCTTGGAGGAGGCCTGGCTGGGGCACTTAGCTCCCATGGTGCTCTGTAATGCACTCCCCATTAGAGCTGCATGTGTCGACACCTCCCTCCAAGGCTATCTTCCTGAGCTGTGCTTATGCCCGTAGCCTGCCCTCCTTTAGGCCTCCCCACCTCTTGCCTGCGTTGCTCTCTTGCTTGGACCCTGGCCTTCCCCCTCCAACCTGCCCTCTCCTCTGCTCAGAGGAGATTTTTCTAAAATGTCCATCTGACCATCCAACTCTCCTGCCCCTCACTGCCTCCCCAAGGAGATTTTAAGATAAATTCCTAATATCTTAGATTAGTACAGAGCCCTTCCTCCCACACGCCCACCCCCAGCCCCATCCTCGGCCCAGCTCCCTCCTATTTCTGCTCCTCCCTCTCCCTGCACATCAGCTTCAAGCCAGCCCCAGCCCTGCCTGCCAACCCTCACCTGCAGGCCTCGGCACAAGCTGCACTTTGCCTCACTGGTTCCCACTCATCTTTCTAGACCCAGTTCAAGATCCTTACCATCCTGGAAGCCTTTCAGGTTCACCAGCTGGGCCAGCACGATTGTCATGAGGTCTCACAGCACTTGTTCCACCCTATTAGCCCCTGTCTCTCCCAACAAGGAGGTGCCGCCTTATTTATCACTGATCTCCATCTGGCGCGTGTGCACTCAAATGTGCATCCTGGGAGAAGCAGAGGAGGAGAGCTGGAGGGAGGGGGGAAGGAAGGTTGTTCTCCTTGCTCCTTCTCTGACTGGATGAAGCCCTTCTCTGGGGAGGGTGCTGCTCATTTCCCCAGTGCACCCTCAACAGCAACCAGACAGCGGGCCTTGGAGGCGGACAGAGATGCACAGAAAGGCCCATATGCTCTATTATCTTTTTTTTTCTGAAGAAGTCTTTATTTCATTTATTTATTTTTTGAGATGGAGTCTTGCTCTGTTGCCCAGGCTGGAGTGCAGTGGCACAATCTAGGCTCACTGCAACCTCCGCCTCCCAGGTTCAAGTGATTCTTCTGCCTCAGCCTCCCGAGTAGCTGGGACTACAGGTGCTGCACCACCACGCCCAGCTAATTTTTGTATTTTTACAAAATACAAAAGGTTTCACCTTTTGTGAAACAGGGTGAGACCGGGTTTCACCATGTTGGCCAGGCTGGTCTGGAACTCCTGATGTCAGGTGATCCACCCGCCTCAGCTTCCCAAAGTGCTGGGATTACAGGTGTAAGCCACCGTGCCCAGCCAAGAAGTCTTTATTTTGCATTATATTTTTTTACTTTTTATTTTGAAATAATGACAAATTCACAGAAAGTTGCAAGATAATATAGAGAGATCCCGTGTACCATTCACCCAGGGTCCCCCAATGGTGATGCCTTGCATAACTACAGTATCATATAAAACCTAGGGATTTGACATTGGTACAATATGTGTGTATAGGTCTTTGTCATTTTATCAAATGTGTAGATCATTTCCCAGACCAAAATGAGGGTTGGGCTGCTATGTCTTGTGGCCCAATAATGAGATGCAGATGAACTGGGGAGGAAGAAAGTTGGTTTTTTTTGTTTTGTTTTGTTTTTTGAGATGGAGTCTCGCTCTGTCTCCCAGGCTGGAGTGCAGTGGGTCAATCTCCGCTCACTGCAAGCGCTGCCCCCCGGGTTCATGCCATTCTCCTGCCCCAGCCTCCTGAGTAGCTGGGACTACAGGCACCCGTCACCATGCCTGGCTAATTTTTTTGTATTTTTAGTAGAGATGGGGTTTCACCATGTTCACCAGGATGGTCTCAATCTCATGACCTCGTGATCCACCTGCCTCAGCCTCCCAAAGTGGGAAGAAAGTTTTTATTTCTGCAACCGGTTACAGGGAGAAGGTCTGGAAATTATCACCAGACCAACTCAAAATTACTAAGTTTTCCAGAACTTATATACCTTCTTTTTTTTTTTTTTTTTGAGATAGAGTCTCTCTCTTTTCATCTGGGCTAGAGTGCAGTGGCACGATCTCAGCTCACTACAACCTCTGCCTCCCAGGTTCAAGCGATTCTCCTGCCTTAGCCTCCTGAGCAGCTGGGATTACAGGCATCCATCACCACACCTGGCTAATTTTGTACTTTTAGTACAGACAGGGTTTCACCATGTTGGCCAGGTTGGTCTTGAACTCCTGACCTCAGATGATCGACCCACCTCGGCCTCCCAAAGTGCTGGCATTACAGGCGTGAGCCACTGTGCCCAGCCTACCTTCTAAGCTATATGTCTATGTGTAAGTGTGCATTCACCTAAAGACATAAGTGATTAACTTCTTTTAATCTATAACTAAGGTCTGAGTCCTGAAGACCTTCCTCTGGAGCCTCAGTAAATTTACTTAATCTAAATGGGTCCAGGTGCTGGGGTGATTACCCTTATCTTGTCTCCTGCTGAATCATGGAGGTTTGGGGAGTTCCTTCAGACTCTCAATAAGCTTGTTTGTGGGGCCTGGGGAGTTTCTTCAGACCCACGATAAAACGTATTTAATCCTAAATGGGTCCTGTTAAGAATTCCTTCATTACGTTGTCATGCGTTAAGGCCCAGGAAAGACCTAGGCAAAACTCTTGGTGGGCTCTTTGTTACATTCCAGCCTTTTCATAAGGGCACTGGCTTTTAATATTTAACTTAACCACTCAGTACTGAAACAGTTGTTACGGAGGCCTGCATTAGTGAGACCTGGCCTGCCACAATAGTAACCACTGCCACGATGGAAATACCACCCCGCTAGGTGACTGGTGCTACCCCTCAGTCACATCCGCCCCTACCACCCTTCACCTGGCAACCACTCACCTGTTTTCCATTTCTAAGATTTTGTCATTTCAAGAATGTTACATGGGCTGGGCATGGTGGCTCACGCCTGCAATCCCAGCACTTTGGGAGGCTAAGGTGGGCAGATCGCCTGAGGTCAGGAGTTCTAGACCAGCCTTGCCAACATGGTGAAACCCCATCTGTACTAAAAATACAAAAATTAGCCGGGCATGGTGGGGCATGCCTGTAATCCCAGCTACTCGGGAGGCTGAAGCAGGAGGATTGCTTGAACCTGGGAGGCAGAGGTTTCAGTGAGCCAAGATGGCACCACTGCATTCCAGCCTGGGCAACACAGCAAGATTCTGTCTCAAAAAAAAAAATGTTGTATGGCCAAGAGCAGTGGCTTGTACCTGTAATCCCAATACTTTGGGAAGCCAAGGCAGGAGAATCACTTGAGCCCAGGAGTTCGAGACCAGCCTGAGCAACATAGTGAGACCCTCACCTCTACAAAAAAAATTAAAAATTAGCCAAGTATGGTGGCATGCACCTATAGTCTCAGATACTCAGGAAGCTGAGGTTGGAGGATCCCTTGAGCCCAGGAGTTCAAAGTTACAGTAAGCCATGATCATGCCACTGCACTTCAGCCTGGGCAACAGGGCAAGACCTTGTCTTAAAAAAAAAAAAAAAAGGTTGTATGATGGAATCATAAAGTATGTGGTTTCACTGAAAACCACACCTTTAGAGCCATCCAAGCTCCAAGCTGTTGCATCTATTAGTAGTTCATTCTTCAGCATTGCTGAGTAGTATTCCATGGTGTAGGTGAATGGATCACAGTTTAACCATTCGCCTATTGGGAAACATGTACATTGATTACAATTTTTGACTATTGCAAGTAAAACTACTTTGAACAATGGTGTACACACCTTTGTGTAAACATAGTTTTCATTTCTCTAGATAAACACCCAAGAGTACAATTGCCAGATCGTATCACAAGTATATGTTTAGTTTTCTAAGAAATTGTCAAACTCTTTTCCAGACTGGCTGTACCATTCTCCATTCCCACCAGCAAAGTATGGGAGATCTAGTTTCTCTGTATCCTCACCAGCATTTGGTGTTGTCACTGTTTTCCATTTTAGCTGTTCTAATAAGCATATAGTGATATCTCATCATGGTCTTAATTTGCATTTTCCTAATGGCTAGTGATGCTGAACATCTTTTTATGTGCTTGTTTGCCATCTGTATCTCCTCTTCAGTGAAATGTCTCTTTATGGCTTCTGCCTAACTTCTAATTGGATTGCTTCTTTTTTTCACTGTTGAGTTTTGAGAGCTCTTTATGTATTCCAGATAATAGTCCTTTGTAGGAAATGTGGTTTGCAAATATTTTCTCACAGTCCGTAGCTTGTCTTTTTATCCATCTAAGAGGGTCTTTTGCAGAGCAAAATTTTTTAATTTTGATGAAATTCAATTGATCCATTTTTTTTCTTTCAAGGATTGTACTTTTGATGTCATATTTAAGAACTCTTCACCAAGCCTTGGGTCCAAAAGATTTTTCCATATATTGCCTTCTAAAAGATTTCTAGTTTTATAACTTACGTTTAATCTATGATCCATTTTGAGTCAGCTTTTGCAACAGATGTGAAGTTTAGGGCAAGGTCTATTTTTTTGCCTCTCAGTACCTAATTGCTCCAGCACCAGTCATTGAAATGACTATCATCCTTCCATTGATAACCTTTGCACCTTTGTCAAAAATCAATTGGCAACACTTCTGAGGGGCTATTTCTGGATTCTCTTTTTTGGGAGTGGTTCTCTATTTTGTTGCTTTATCTGTGTGTCTGTTCCTTTGCTGATCCCATGTAGAGTTAATTACTGTACCTATATGAAAGCAGGTAGAGAGGTTTTCCCCAATTTATTCTTCCTTTTTGAAGTTGCTCTAGCTATTGTATAATAAAGAATTTGATTGGCTTTTGTCCCTGGTTCCTGGGAAGGAGACTAACTACTCAGAATTTTCCAAGGAACGGGAATGTCTGTTATTTACAAGCGCCTTGGATCCCACCTGGGTTTATGACGAGAGATGAAATGACTCAGGATGGGGCTGGTCACCAGAAAGGCCAACCATGTGGTTAGAGGGTCCAGACTTTGAGCCAGCCCAAACTCCACAGAAAGGAGGGGGCTGGAGAGTGCATTCAATCAGATGATCCATATTCAATCAGTCATGCCTGTGTGATGAAACTTCCAAAAAAAGTCTGGACACTGAAGCTCAGTGGAGCCTTCAGATTAGTTAACACACTGGCGTACCAGGATGGTGATGCATCTTGATTCCACAGGGAGAGAGCACAGAAGATCCACATCCAGGACCTCCCAGGCTTCTCCGCATGTGTCTCTTCATGTGGCTTTTCCTGATTTGTATCCCTTATTTAAAAAACAGTAATCATAAATATAGTGGTTTCCTGAGTTCTGAGTGTCATTTTAGTGAATTCTTGAACCTGAGGAGGTCATGGGAACCCCCCAGGTTTGTAGCCAGTTGGTCAGAAGTGCAGGTGTCCTGGGAACCCCACTGTGGCTGGTGTCTGGAAGAAAGCAGTCCTTGTTGAGGTCCATGCCCTTTAATTTGTGAGATCTGTGCTAACTCTGGATAGCTTCTGCCAGAATTGTCCTGCAGTACACCTCACTGGTGTCAGAATAGTTTGGGTTGGTTGAATGGAATAACTTTTCCAGGCCCTATGCCTTTCCATATAAATTTTAGGATAATCCTAAATTTTATATTTACAAATATAAAATTTGTATATATTTACAAAATTTTTGGCTATATTTACAAAATTTCTGGCTGGGATTTTTACAGGAATTGCATTGTATATCAGTCTGGGGAGAACTGACATCTTTTCAGTGTTGAATCTTCCAACCTATGAATACTATATATCTTCCATTTATTTAGATCTTTTTTGACTACTTTCATTAGAATTTGTTATTAGATGATCAAGTCATTTACAGATAGGGATAGTTTTATTTTTACCTTTCTTATCTGTATGCCTTTAATTTCCTTTTCTTGACTTACTGCCCTGGCTAGAGCTTCCAGTACTATGTTGAATAGCACTGGTAAGAGTGGGCATCCTTGCCTGGTTCCCAATGTTAAGGAGAAAGCACCAGTCTTACACCAAGTATATTAGCTGTAGGTTCCTTGTAGATGTTCTTTATCAAGTTGAGGAAGTTCTCCTAAATTCCTAGTTTTCTGAGAGTTTTCATCATAAACTAGTGTTGAATTTTGCCGAATGCTTTTTCTAGATCAGTCGATAGGATCATATGATTGAATATTAAACCAGCCTCGCTGGAATAAATCCCTCTTGGTCATCATGTATAACCTTTGTATATATTGCTGAATTCTATTTGCTAATATTTTTGTTAAGAATTTTCGCATCCATATTCATGCCATATATAATCATCTAAACATTTAACATCAGTATTTTCTGAATGAATCATTTGAGAAGATCTTTTTTGTAGGTTAAGTCAATGAACACTGGATTAAACACTCAAGAGTTTATTTTTCCCATATAATAATAAGTCTGCAGAAAGGTAGCCTTGGGCAGATGCAATTGTGCAGGGGTGTCATCAAGGACAGAGGTTCCTTCCGTTTTCCAACTCAGTCTCTCTGAGAATAGTTTGTGAGAGATTTGTCCTCACAGCTGCAGGACAGCTGCTGTGCCTCCTGCATTAATTAGGGAGGAGGGGAGGGGCAAAAAGTAAAGAGCTGAAGCGACAGCCCCCCAAGGGTGTCCCTTGTACAGACATCCAGAAGCCCCGCCCAATGAGTGACTTTTGCCTTCATCCTGTTGGCCAGAACTGGGTCACGCACCATGCTTAGCAACAAGGAGATCTGGGGAAGTGAGTATTAAAGCAGACACAGCACTCTGACCACCCTGCTGCCAGTGTGGAGGCAAAGCAGGCAACCGGTGCAGGCGCCCTGGATTACCTGCCTGACCACGTGACAGTGAGGTCCTGTTGGCCACATCTGTGTGGAATTTCAGTTTCTGTTTAAGATCATACTGGCACCGAGTAGAATTCTGTGTCTCCAGGTAAATGTAAGAGAACAGGGCAGATTTCATAATGTCAAAGTTGGCGTCAAGTCAAGAGAAGGCCAAACAACTTCATAATGCCCCATAAAAAAAAAGCTTCACAATAGTTTGGGTAAAGTAGTTGGAGAATTGAGTCTTCTCCTGACACCAAGTTCTATGGGCATGCCAGCTAAACCTGTAAATTAAAACAGAGCAACAGCCTGTACCCCTGCAAAGAGGATAATAAAGCAATATCCTTCATCACATTCAATTTATGTTGTTAATTTTATTTTATGGGTTTTACCGATTGTTTTCCAACTTTTCCTAATGGAAAATTTCAAACATAAATAAATGGAAAAAATAACACAACAAACCCTCATATACCCATGATCTCCATGCAACAGTTGTGACCACTTTGTCACACATATCTGTGGTGAAAAATTATATATTTATTATAAATATATATACGAACCATTTGAAAGTTCATTGCAGGTGACACTTTACTCCTAAAGATTTCAGTGTGGGCTGGGTGTAGTTGCTCATGCCTGTGATCCCAGCACTTTGGGAGGCCAAGGCCGATGGATCACCTGAGGTCAGGAGATCAAATCCAGCCTGGCCAACATGGCAAAACCCCGTCTCTGCTAAAAAATACAAAAATTAGCTGGATATGGTGGTGTGCGCCTGTAATCTCAGCTACAGAGGAGGCTGAGGCAGGAGAATCACTTGAAGCTGGGTGGTGGAGGTTGTAGTGAGCCAAGATTGCACCACTGCACTCCAGCCAGGGCAACAAAGGGAGACTCCGTCTCAAAATAAATAAATAAATACATAAATAAATATTTCAGTGTGCAACTCCTAAGAATAAGAATTTCTACATAAACACACTGCCATTATCACGCCTTAGAAATTTAACAATAATATATCTATTATCTAATATCTAATCCACATTAAATTTAATTTAACTTTACCAGTTGTCACACTGGTGTTTTTAACGGTGTTAAAAACAGGATTCAGTTAAGGTTCACACATTGGATTTGTTGCTAGGATATTTTAGGCTGTTTTGAACAGCCCCCACCAGCTTTTGAGACGATATGATATTACCTGTTTGAGGAAACCAGGTCAGTTTTCTTAAAGAACGTTCCATATTCTGAATGTTGTTTCCTTGGCCTTTGGTTTAACTTGTTCGCCTGGACTTATCATAAACTGGAAGTCAGCTCTGGATCCTTTTCAGCAGACACTCTTCACACTGCTTTACAACAGGAGGTGCCTAACGTCAGCTGGTCCCGTTGTTCATGAGATTCGGGTTGATCACTTGGCAGAGTTGGTGACAACCTGCTCCTTCCGTCGTCAAGGTTTATTTTCATCTCGCAATTAGCAGATGAGCTGCGGGATGGTCATTTGGCACCACGCAAGTATCCTGACCCCCAGCAAGCTCCAACTAGTGGCTTAACCATCCCTGGATGATCGATTTCCAAATCAGTTATTTCACTGGGGTTTGCCAAGTGGTTATTTTCTAATTCTGTCAATCTTTCTAAAAAGCATTCTTGCTAAAAAATAGTATAAATGCTTAATTCCTTCTCTTTATTTCCAGAATACGGAATTGATAGAATAGTCATCGATGTGGGCAAACAAGACGGATTTCCCCTCTTTCTTTCTCTCTCTTTCTTTTTAAACTTGCTATGGACTCATGGATTTCTATTTATTCGATGTTTCCAATCAATTCAGTCCTTATTCTTTTTGATGCTCATATTATATTATCTCAAATCTGGCCAGCAGGAGTCCCTTCTAGCTGGCTCCTTGTCCTTTTGGTATGCCCCTATTAGTCTTTGAAAGTGATTTAGTGAGGGTTCCCTAGAGAAACACAACCCAAAGGAGGGGCATGTGAGTGTGTGTGTTTGTGTGTGAGATATATATATATATATATATACATACACACATATATATACACATTCTTTTTAAGGACTTGCTTCACACATTTGTGGAGGCAGGCGAGTCTGAAATCTGTAGGGCAGGCCAGCATGCTGGACATGCAAGCAAGGTTTCTATGCTACAATCAGGCAGAATGGCTTCTGCTCCAGGAAACTCCAGTTTTGGCTCTTGAGGCCTTCAACTGATAGGATGAGGTCCCCTCACACTATCAAGGGTAAACTCCTTTACTTGAAGTCAACAGATTGTAGCTGTTAATCCATCTACAAAACACCTTCATGGCAACATCTAGACTCCTGTTTGACAAAACTACTGGGCACCATAGTTTAAGGTGACACACGAAATTTTCCAACACAGAATGGTCCCTTTTTTCCTGACATACTTCAGGTTCATTCATATAGGTTAAATATTTGTGTCCCCTGAAAAAATTCACATGTTAGAATCCTATCACCCCATGGAGAGGATTTGTAGATGAAGTCTTTAGGAGGTGATTAGGTCATGGGATTAGTGCCTATACAAAAGAGACCCCAGAGAGCTCCCTTCTGCCTTCTGCCATCTGTGAAGGCACAGAGAGAAAACGGCCATCTAGGAACAAGAAAGTGGGTCCCCACGAGACACCAAACCTGCTGGTGCCTCGATTTTGGACTTCCCAGCCTCCAGAACTGTAAGAAATAAATATATGTTGTTTATGAACCACCCAGTCCAGGTAGTTTGCAGAAAATTGACATTTGAAAAACCATGTTAATATTTCCAATTCAGCTTTAATATTATAGGGTTTCTTCCCCTTTAACGTTTTTTTAATTTTATCTTCATATATCTTTTCCTTTAAGCTGAAAAAATCTTAGTTTCAGTTAGTATTTTTACTTATTTACCTTCACCTACAACATGCATCAAATAGTTCCAAAATTACAATACTGATATTACTCGGAGGACTAAAACTATCAAGCGAAGTTTAAGACTTGTTTTTCATTTTTTTGACCTTAGAATATGTCAGAATACTAAACCTGCTGAACAAAGACGAAAAAAAAACAATAAAATAAAAGAAAGCCTTATGCCTGCTAGTGATACTATAAATTGTTCATTTTCATTAAAACATTATCAGCCCTCATGTTAAATTAATGTTGCTATTTTGTATTTTATTGGTTTTGTATAATTGTTGATATATGATTTCTAAATGTGCTTTGGTTTTATAGTATTATAAGAGCTATCAGCATAAGAAGTGTATGCTTAATTTTATATTTGTATACATTCAAAAGACATAATAATCAAAACCATTTAGGCCATAGTTTCAAGTAAACATGTCGCAGTGAAGTTTGTTGTAGAGTCTTCTTTCCTGAATAGCAAGAAAATGTACAAAGTTAGTTTTTAAAAATTTACAAATTTAGTTTCTTAATATTTCTATAAATGAGTTCTTTATAAGAAGCTTGTATCATTCTCACAAATTAAAAATAATAATATTTTAGCAAGCTATTTTTAAAATATAATTTAAGCCCACACTTCCACATTTGGGGTAAGTGATAATTTTTTCCTCTGAAAGACAACAAATACTAACACAGGCCCAGACTTGGCTTTTGTGAGTCAATTAGTGATCCGAAGGTGAGTGGTATTTAAACGTATGATGAGGGTAAGATTTGATTTATTTTACATATATATCTTCTGGTATCTGTGTGTGTGTGTGCTTTTTTTTTTTTTTTTTTTTTTTTTTTTTTTTTTTTTGCAATTTTGGATAATACATGTCCAATTTTAGAAAGAGCAGAAAACACAGACAAGCTCAGTAAAGAACAGATGTTCTGATTCAGGGCTAATAATAAATCAGCACCTCCCTAGAAAGAAAAGGCAGAGGCTGGGCGTGGTGGCTCACGCCTGTAATCCCAGCACTTTGGGAGGCCGAGGCGGGCAGATCACGAGGTCAGGAGATCGAGACCACGGTGAAACCCCGTCTCTACTAAAAATACAAAAACTTAGCTGGGCACTGTGGCGGGCGCCTGTAGTCCCGGCTACTCGGGAGGCTGAGGCAGGAAAATGGCGTGAACCCGCGAGGCGGAGCTTGCAAGTGAGCTGAGATGGCGCCACTGCACTCCAGCCTGGGCGACAGAGCGAGACTCCATCTCAAAAAAAAAAAAAAATAGAAAAGGCAGAGAGGAAGGAGCCCCGATGCCCTGACGCGTTCCCATGACAGAGTGAAGGGCTTGCCCATGCTGCCCTGTGCCCCCCAACACCCTGGCCCAGCCATGGCCGCTACAGCCATCCTGAGCCTGACAGCCACACCAAGCGTGCTGAGCGCTGCTGCTCCGGCCACACACGTAACCACAGCCTGCTCACTTCCATCTGGTTGACCCAGCACGGGGGATGCTTCAATCTAACATTTTTCAGTTCCAGCTGCCTACAAATATATCTCTATCAACGCATATATCCTCAGATACATGCGTATTTTTTCTTTTTGGCCTTCGCTGTGTTCTTTCCCTCTGGCCTCCACACAGGACCTCACGAAGCCAGACCGTAAGATCTACAGGGGCTCTCAGACACCACCCCATCCAACAGCTCGGTAAGGAGACAAAAGCCAAGGTCCGGGGAGGGAACTAGCTGAGGGTCACACCTCTAATAACACAAAGAGCCTGCCCCAGGCCCAGATTCTGCACTTGGCTTTCCTCTTTCGTGTACTGTATTCCAGGCACATTCCTGATAAGCCCCCAAAATGCCTCTACCCCACAGTCCCATCAGAAAGAGGAGGGCAGGAGAACCTAAGGCAGACTGCAGAGAGAAAAGTGAGGATTTCATCCCCTGTCCCTTGCCACCTCCCCTAAAGAGCCTGGGAAAGGTAGAGACTTGCTTTACTAGCTTCTCCTGCAACAGAGTGGACATTTGACACAGTTCTGGGAAATGAGACTTGAGTGAAAATCTTCCAGAATTGGGAAAGGTTTGTTTTTTCTTTCCTTTTTTTTTTTTTTTTTTTAAGAGGCAGGGTCTTACCCTGTGACCCAGGCTGGAATCCGGTGGCACAATCCTGGCTCACTGCAGCCTCGACCTCCCAGGCTCAAGCAATCCTCCTACCTCAGCCTCCTGAGTAGCTGAGAACACAGGTGCATGCCACCAAACCCAGCTAATTTTTTTTATTATTTTTTGTAGAGATGGGGGTCTCACTAAGCTGTCCAGGCTGGTCTTGAACTCCTGGCCTCAGGTGATTCTGCCACCTTGGCCTCCCAAAGTGCTAGGATTGCAAGTACGAACCACCACACCTGGCATGCTTTTCTTGATTAAAGGGAAATATGCAGCTGGCACCTTCTCTTCCCCCTCCCTGCTGCCTTGAACACAAATGCAATGTCTGGAGCTACAGCAAGTCTTTTGAAATCATGAGGCAACAAGCAAGAGCAAAACCCAAGAGGCCTGCAGACAGGACTCCACGGACATCAGGGCTTGCTGAACCAACATAGCCAGTTCGCTGGTTTGGCCTCTAGCAAAAGAATTTTCTGTTTCTTGTAGCAAAAACCTTCCTAATTGATGCTTACACCCACCACTCACAAACAAATCCACTTAACAGATAATCACTGAACTCTGATGTGAACCTGACTCTAAGGATACAGACATGAATGCATTGGGGCTAGGAGTAAATGAGTGTTCTTCAGACAATTCTGTAAAATAAATATTCTTGTCTGGGGCAATCGATGCATGAGCAGGCCAGCACCAGACATGATTTATGATAGCGCTGAGCCCAGATGATAAGACGTGTCTACAGACCTCTTCCCCTCAGGCTCCTTTCTTCTTTAAATGAGAAGCTCAAAGAAAATCAGTTGGTTGGCAAGGGACACTGAAGTGGAAGGTGGGAAGCGGAGGCACCCCTGGAGGGAGAGAACAGAGTGCTGGGGGACAGAGATGGACAGAGAGAGAGAGTGGGAGACAGAGAGACAGACAGAGAGAGAGAGAAGGAGAGAGTGCGGGAGTGAGCAGCACACACAGGCAGGAGCACAGCAGGTCCAAGGGCCCCCACTCCTGCCTGATAGCCCCCATGAAACCATAACAGGCAAGAAGAGACCCAGAGGTGCTCAGACCCAGAGTGGAGCCACTGGGGACCCACAGTGACCTCCTCCTCAGTCTGTGAGGATGTGGGCCACTCACTGTTCCCTGAAACAAAACAAGTCCCTCTGGTTGCAAACAACAGAAACTGAGGCCAACTCCAGCAGCAAGGGAACAGCCTGCCACGGGTGCAGATGGAATCGAGGGGTCTCCTGGCCCTGCACTCACCTAATTGCCCCCCAACTGCAGCGCCTCATCCCCTAGAGCACCCTCCGAGCAGACACACTTGGAGGGGCAGAGGCTTCTGAGTGCAGGGACCCCCCACCCCCCGCCCCTGAGCCCCACTAAGATGACTTCTTTTATTCCCTATGCATAGCCAGTGACTTACGCTGACTTTTCTGGAAACTGGGACTTTAAATAGGAGTTTTTAAAAAGGAAAGAAATCTCTGTTCTGCTTCTTAAAAACACCCTTTTCCCCTTTTTACTTTCAGAAGAAGGAACCAGAGAAGACTAGAAACAGGATGGAACGGGAAGGTGGAGGGAGAGGCGAAGGGGAAGTCTCGATGCTGACTACAAGGCCCCCTCATCCTCCGGCCTCCGGCTTGCAGGGACTGCCCCTGCCTTGGGAGAGTCCTCACAGGCCACACCTGCCACTGGGCCAGGCCCAGAGCAGACACTCACGACAGATGATAAGAATGACAGCTGCCTGCGTTTGAGCAGGCACTCTAGGTGACTGTTGTACACAGTGCTTTTCAAGCATAATCTACCCTAACCTTCACACCAGCCCTGTGGGGTAGGTGAATCTCACCCCATCTTACAGAGGAGGAAACAGGGGTTTGGAGTGGTTGAGTGACTTGCTGTCAGACAAGTCTAAATCTGACAGCAACGCCTGTGTTTGGATCCCATGCCAGAGACTGCGAGCTAGCCCCAGGCTGGTTCCAGGCTGTACACAGGTTTCACTTGATTCACACACATGGGGCCTCCTCAGAGTTTTAAATTTTATTTGTTGTCAACATTTAGCAATCAGAAGAGTTAACATTAAATCTCACATTTCTGAATTCTCTAGAAAAATTAGGACATCAGGCTCCACTGGGCTTATGTTTCCTCCTGGGAATAATTGGCTGAGCTGGGTAGCAGCTGACCCCTTTACATCAGACTCTTCTGCCTTGTTTGCCCCAGCCCTCACCACTCCCTATTGTACCTCCAACACCAAAGACAAGAATCAAAGGCCACTTTTCACCCCCTTCCTGGTCCACTCCATTCACTCATGGTATCCACGTAGCCCTGTGAGCAGGGGTTTGTGACTCTGCCACTAAGCTATATGGCTTCATGGATGGATGGATGAGGGGAGGGAAAGACAGAAGGATGGGAAGGGCTGGGGAGATTTCAGCTGCCTGCTCAGGAAGTACCTATGGACAATGCCCAGCATCCTACAGCCAGCTCACCAACCCCTAACTGTGCTGCAGGACTGCAGGATGCCTGTCCTGACAAGTTGGCCTGCTCATCCTCTTCCCCCGAAACCCAGGCCCTGAGAGTCCCCAGCAGCATGAAGGCCTCACCCTTCGTGCAGCGATCCATCGGTCACCACCTAGGGCAGAGCAGGCCCACCTTTGATGCAGAAGAAATGAGATGAGGCGGGCAAGTGCCTGCCAGTGCCCAGTACAAGGTGGGAAGTCAGGGAATCGTGAGCATCAGAGAGGCCACGTGAGCAGTTGCCATGCTGGCCCCTGATGCTGGGGTGGGAGGGGCCCAGGCATCCAGGAGCAGAGAAGGGTGTGGGGTGGGAGACGGGGGAAGACGGAGAGAGGAGGCATCCTGGGGTGGGATGCGCGTACAGGAGGACGGGGTGGGGAGGAATGAGGAAGGAAGAGCCAAGGCCTGAAAGGGGCCATGCGGGAAGCTGGAGTCTGCTGACCCCATCTCCATGCCCAAGATGGAACAGACAGGGCTGGGGTGACCAAGGGACTTACAGGAAGGTCTAGTGTCCATTTCCACCCATAGGGGAAGGAAGATTTGGAAGTCTGCCCAAAGATTAATGCTGGAACCACATCTTAGCCACAGAACAGGAGCTCCAGGGGTGCAGGAGGGGTGTTAGCCCCCATGGGGACGGAAGAGAAGCAGGGCAGGAAGGACATTGCTAGGTCAGTGTGGGTGGGGTGTGGGAGCTGAGGGATCTCACCTTTGACCTGACTAACTCCCAGGATGACCCTGGGAGACACTGGAGAAGTCCTGGTCTGAAAGCCAGGGCAGCATCATGGGCAGCCTCTGAGAGCCTCAGACCTGCCTGTCCCTGGTGCCTAGGTCACCAGCGAGGCCTAATTTGCAGTGGAGGCTGGTCATGGGGCTTGTGGCAACTTTCCCTTCAGCCTTTGAAGTCCCTGACATACTAATAATCTCCTGCAGAACTGGGCTGCAGCTGCTTTTCTTGCAGAAAGACAGGAGGCAGTTTGAGGAGGAACCTGCCCCTCCAGTCAAGGGCCAAAGCACCCTCCCGCTTCAGAGCCCCTGCAGCACCGTGGCCCGAGCCCACAGAGGGGTGCTGGGAGAGCAGAAGAAGATGGACTGGCCTGGGAGTGGGCAGCATGCCATGTGGAGGGCTCACCCTGGCAAGCTCAAAGGGCCCCTGATGTCAACCAGTCCCAGGGGACAGGCCCGGGGGCTCATCACAACGCAAGCACCAGCCAGACACCAGCGCATGAACTGACAAAGAGAATGTTGCTGCCGGGGGCCTGTCCCTCTCTCTGCAGCTGCCGCGTCCTCTCGCGGCAGGGGCATTGCCACAGGAAGCCAGAGGACCACTCGGAAGTTCTGGGTGACACCAACTCAGTGCAAAGGGCAATGGTTGGCCAAACTCCACGGCCCTTGTCCTGGAGCTATGTCCAGATGCTGACGCTCCCTCTCAGGGTTTCTTCACACGCTTCCTTCAGCTCCATTCCTCACATCCACCTAGATGGCAGGGTGTGACAAGGACAGTGTCTGCGGACTAGGCCTGTCACTCATGGTGTGTCTGTCACATCAGCTTTCTTGGGGGCGACCCATTCCTTGAGGCCGCCTCCCATAGAGCCACTCCGCACGCGTGGGGGTGTGGGCACGGCCTACCCTGCTGGCCACAGGACAGAGTGCTGGGCACATCTCCTCAGCCGCGCTCGCAGACAGCTGTCTTCCAAGTTCAGGGTGGGACGCAGGTCACTGGTCACCACCACTCGCCCAGCAGACAGGCTGAGCCTAGTTATGCAGCAGCACCAGCCAGTGAGGAGGAACACCTTTGAGAACATCCTGTCATGAACCCTCGCCCAAACGGACTTCCAGCCCCAGGGCATTTGGCCTCACTGCAACAGGATGCCAGGGGTGGATGCGGGGGCAGGGGCAGCAGGGTGGGGGGCACAACCCTGGGGGTTTGCACATCTTTTTGCTCTGCCTTTCTCACTGTCAGCTTCTGGGGCTGCCCGCTGGCCTTTCAGGCAGACATCCCACCCCCACCTCCACCCCCCACCCCACAGTGGCCCTGGGGGCACCAGAGATTGAGAGCCACTGGTTTAGGCATTAACCCTTCTGCTGGGATGTACCCTCCCTTCCTCGGACTCTGCCCTGTGCTCAGCCATGCGCTTCGGGCAGGTGGAGGCCTGGAGGGTCGACTGGCCACAGCCACCTTTCCCACTGCCCAACAGCAGGGTCCCACGACTGCGGCTGCATGCCCTCTTCACTTTCCTCCGGGGGCCTCCCAGACCCCCACTCTGTGTGCCAGCACTTAGTCCTGCCTAAAACAGCAACTCTTCCGGGGCGAGGGAGACTCAAGGCAGAAACAAGGTCTTCACAGCCCCTGGCTGTATCCGCTCTGGACCCCATCCCTCCTCCCTGGTTCCACCCAGGGCTAGGCTCTCCCATCTGCCCCGGCCACCCCAGAGACAGACGTTCAAGCTGAGGCATCAGGAGATTCAAGATGGCTTTTCTGGAGAGTTTCAGTTTGAAAGAGCAGCCTGCTCAAGAAAGTAAATCCCTAATAGTGGACTGTGGTGGTGGTGGTGGCATTTTCAATTTGATTATTGCTGGAACATAGGAAAGGCCTACATTAGCTTGTTGCTATTGTAACCTAGCCAGCATGCTAAATTCCTTCATTAATTTTAATCATTTGCCAAATAATGTTCTTGGGTATCCAAGTAGAAGGTTGTACCATCTGCTAATAAAACAATTTTCTTCCTTTCCAGTACCTATGCATTTTATCTCCATTTTGGGTCAAAGAAATATCTATTTTAAGAGGTACCAATGGGCATAGAGTAGAAGAACAGTCTCTTCTTCTCATCCCCCAATCACCCAGATTCTTTCCCTGGGAGTAGACACTGTGACCAGTTTCCTGTGAGCCCATCTGAAACCAAAAAAGAGCCCACATAGCTAAGACAATCCTAAGGAAAAAGAACAAAGCTGGAGGCATTACGCTACCTGACTTCAAACTATACTACAAGGCTATAGTAAACAAAACAGCATGGTGTGCTTTTCTCCCAATACTTTGATGTTAGGTTGTTAGATGAATAAAAGTTCATAATTGTTACATCATTATGAAATATTTTCTTTTTTCCTTTTGTTTTGCCTTGAATTCCATTTTTATGACATTATTAAACTTGTTACCTTTTTTGTTAGCATATATTTGATGTACCTTTTTTCCATCCTTTCGTTTTCAATTTTTCTGTCATTATTTCTTTGTATCTCAGAAATAGCATGTAGCTGCATTTTAGGGATTTCTTTTCCTCCTGATTTGTTGTTTTTCATGAGACAATTCAAACCATTCCCATTTATTGTGATTACTGACATGTCAAAGCTTGTTTCTGCCATATTGTTTTATATTTATTAATATATGTACCATGCTTTCTACTTTTCCCCACGGTTTTCCTTTTTTATCAATTGACCAGCTCTTCTTCATTTAATTTCTGATTAAGTGCTTACCTTTAAATTTTAACTCCAACATCTGTCCATTATTTTATTTTCCCTTATAGCCTGTGTAAGTGTAGTGCCCCTTGTCATTATGCTCGGCAAAGCACAAACCTTAGCCCACTTGGACTTCCTTCCTCTCCTTCTCCTCCCCACCTGCAATGTTAATACCACTTGAGCTTTTAGTTCCAGTTCCATTTAGACTTAGCAGCAAATTCTAATTCCTTTACTCACCACTGCTTCTTGAATCTGTAGCTTTCTCTTGGATTTATTTTCATTGTGTTGAAGTACCTCCTCCTACAGGTAGGATGGAAGGTGACTCATTTTCTCATCTGTGGATGTCTGAAATTGTCTTTACATATTTTACCTTCACACTTGAATGATGGCTTTAGCCGATTCAAACATGTGTCCCTTAGATCTCTAAAAATATTTCCCCTGGGTCTCTGAAGATCTTCCAACATGCAGTGTTGTAGCTAAATCTAATATTAGTCTGCTTTCTCTTAGGAGTAATCTGTTTTCCTTTTCTCCATCCTTCATGTTCTAAGTTTCAGCCCAGCCAGTCTATCATTTTCTGTTCTGCTTGTCATGAAGTGGGCCCCTTCAGGATGAGGACTTTTGTCTTTTGTAGACTTGAGAAATTTCCTTCTCTATTAATCTTAGCGTTCCCCACATCCAACCTCTCTAGTCCCTCTTTCTGGAGCTCCTATTTAAAAGGTATTAACATTTCTGAATCTAGTCTTCATATATCCTCACTTTTATTTTATGCTTTCTATCTCTTCTTTTTGCGGGGCATTCTAGATGAAGTCCTCAATTTGATTTTCCAGTTCACTAATATGCTATTATTGACCTACATCCAGTCTGATCATACTCCAAAAGCCCCTTTTTGAATATACCTTTGAGCGTCTTCTTTTTTATTTCTAAGGCCTCACACCGTTTCCTCTCACAGCTTTCTGAGATTAACTGTGCTTCGTCCGTGTGCTCTGCTTGCTGTTTATCTGGGTATCAGTCTGTTTCCTGTGCTCTGCGTCCCAGTCATGGCAGTGCTTTCCTCAGTGTTCAGCGGCTCTGGTGTGTGCTCGTCTTGTGTTTGAGGTTCTTTGTTACCCAGTCTATGGGTGATGCCTCCAGCCACGGTGTGGGAGAGATGACCGTGGGTGGAAAACAAGCTGGTGGACGTGGTGTGCCTGCATCCGAGGTCCGTTTGTCCAGAGTGTCACCTTGCCTCCCTAGGCTGGGCGTTCACACTGGCAGGAGGGAGACAGAGATCCCTGCTGCCTGCTATTTGGCTAAGTGGGAAAGGTGTGGTGGGAGGAGTAGATAGCTGGCTGGCTTTGTGGTTCCTACTGCAACATCCTAACCCACGACCTACCAGTCACCACCACCCCATTCACCATCTTCAAGCTTAAATTCCCTTCAAAACTGCCTATGACAGCAGGTCTCCCTATACGTATTTTGGGCAGTGGTTTCTTCCTTTCAACCCCACCAATTTCCTTCTTTCAATAATTCCTCGCAACTTTAAATCCACCGAGGCCCCTTCTCGTCTCCTAGAACATTTTTGGATGACATGTATTTATTTTTTCTGGTATTTCTAAGGGTTTGGGACAGGAAAAAGTGGTTGGGGTTCAGTCTGCCATTTTTAGCTAATTTCTAAATAGATTTTTCAAGTGCTCAGAGCAACCCTATGAGCTAGGTATTAGTAATAACTCTCAATTTACAAATGAGGAGACAAGCTTAGAGAAAAAAATACAAAATTTTCTCAAGATTTCACTGCCGGCAAAGAGCAGCACTACGTCCCTAACTCAACTCTGTTCAACACTAAGCCCACTGCCGTCCCATGCGGGTAAGTCGAATGCAAAGCTCTGCCCCGTGATTTTTCCAAAGCATCCAGAAAAAGCCTTACAACCTCCCGGGCTTCTGCTTCTGGAACACACTGGAGGACCACTGCAGCAGGCCATGTCTCCAAAACTCTCCCAATGATCACAGCCGCTAATTCCATTCACTCATGCACACACTCGTTAATGTAGTATACACAGAGCATAGCCTGTGCTACAGACACTGCCAGAACAAAACAGACATGGTCCCAGCTCTCGCGGAACTTCCTGTCTGCTAACAACCCCTCGTGTTACAGATGAAGACTCGAAAACCAGAAAGGAAAGGACTTGCCCAGGATCACACAGTCAGTTAGAGGCAGAGTTGCTGTCAGAATGCAGTCTCCTTACTCCCAGCCCAGTACCCCCCTTATCTTTTTATTTCTTATTAATATTTTATTTATAACTAATACATAATAGCCATACATGTTTATGGGGTACAGTGTGATGTTTCAATGCATATATACATTGTATCATGATCAAGTCAGGGTAATTACCATATCCATCACTTTAAACATTCATCTCCTGTCTTTTCTAAATAAGTAACACATGAACGTTATTGAAAAATTAGAAAATACAGGTGAACAATAAAGGAAGGGGTAAAAAATCACCCATAGCCCCATCTTGCAGAGGTCCAGGATGAACATTTTAGCATTTATCCTTCTAGACATTTTTCTATGCATACGTGTATTTTTTTCTCCTAACAATATTTTTAAGGTCTTACAACATTTGTTTTATCTTACAAAAATACAATAATATTATACACATACGATTTCTCCTTAAGATATACTGGGCAACTTTTACATATTTTAATGAAACATTTCATTTCATTCTCATTTATATAAAATCTATCCCCGTAACACATTTTTCTTGATTAAATGATTCACACAGAAAGTTTATGAATTTCAACTACATTAATAAAGATGAATGACACCATTTTCATAAAGAAAAAATAAATGGCATATGAAATAAGGTAATATACTGAGTATTACAAGTAGACCCACAGCTAGATGTTTTCTATAGCAAAAACTACATGGTTTAGGAAATTGGTCGCCAGAGTTTAGAATATATCCCCACTTTGACTTGAGTCCCTGTACCTATATTATTAATAAGCACTTATCTATCTTTTTTTAAAGCATATTGTGAAAAATGTTCCCAGGTCAACAAATACTGCTGTATCATTCTTAGTCGCTATACAATACCCTACTGTGTGGTTGTATTACACATCAATACCCTATTGTTGGAAATCAAGGCTGATTTCCAATTTTTCACATTTACAAATCAACCCTTCAGTTACTATTCTCATATCTCATAATACTAATCTTCAGCTAGCTTTGTCACCTGCATGATCTTTACCTCTTTATGTCTCAGAGTCCCCATCTGCAGAACAGGATTAAGTGGCCCAGACTGCACACCATGTTTGTCATTATTAAAGGAGAAAGGCCTGGTGAGGCTGCTGGTTCCAGCTGCTGTGTGATGGTGATAATGATGAGTTACCACTTGATGTCCTAGGAGTCCTAACCTGTATAAAAGAGAAAAAAATGAGGGCCCCTGGTCCACCTCAAACATTCCCCAAAGGATTAGCTTGAGTCTAGCACTAAGGGGATGTCACACACACAGCCATCTCCGTTGTAAGTGGACTTGAGGGTCACCAGCTTTCCACAGCCACCATCCTTCTGCTCCTCCAAAGGTCCTCTCACCTCTGCAGAGCACATGTAGACTGGTGAATTTCCAGGAGTGAGCAGTCAAGGGTAGTGGAGACAGAGGGTCAGTTGGATCCCTCAGCTCTGGAATGAACAGGAGTGACCAGAGCCAGGATCTTACAAGAGCTAGTTCTCCTGCTTCTAAGCCTTGCTATCCAGGAATTCTACATGTCAGACACAGCACAGCCTGCTGGCTGCTCTCAAAGAACCCAAATCAAGATCAATTCACAGGCTGGAAACGGTGGCCCATGCCTGTAATCCCAGCACCGGGAGGCTGAGGTGGGAGGATTGCTTGAGCCCAGGAGTTTGAGATCAGCCTGGGGAACATAGTGAGACCCTGTCTCTACAAAAATAAAATTAGCTAGGTGTAGTGGCACCGCCTGTAGCCCTACGCAGGAGGCTGGGGTGGGATTACTTGAGCCCAGGAGGTTGAGGCTACAGTGAGCCATGATCATTCCAGCCTGGGTCACAGAGTAAGACTCCATCTCAAAAAGAAAAAAAAATTCACAGAGGAGGTGAACATCAGAGCACATCCCTAATTTAAAGAAAAAGGCCCTTTTCCCACTTTTATTGCTTTCACTTCCTGTTCCTCTTTAGTGTGGAAACCAGGAGGGTCAGGAGAGAAAGTTCAGAGAGAGACAGGGACCCGCAGGGAAAGCACAGACAGGCCCATCACAGCCTTCTCACATCTCACAGTGGGCGGAGGAGAGACGAGGCCGACCCACAAGTGTTGCCTCTAATTCTTACTGAGAGCTCAATGTTGTCATTTCCATTTTAGAGAGCAGAAAGTTGTTCTAAGAGATCAACCACTAATATTAAAGCTAGTATTTAAGGAACGCTGTGTACCAGGAAGCTGTTAGACACACACAGGTCATTCTCGCTATGAGAACAGAGACTAGTGTTATTCCTGTTTTGCAGATGATTTAACTGAGACACAGGGAGACTCTGGAGTCAGGTCTGTGGCCTCTTAACCACTGAATCATACTCTCTTCCAAACCAGGCTTTGAAAGCAAAGGGCTACTGATTTCCTGGGCCTGCCCACCCGGTGCTCTCTCCTGGGCCGTCTGCCCCAGGGCCTTCCTGGCTCCTGATGCAGAGGAAACTTTCAAGGCTGGGGCTTCAGGGACCAACGCCTTCTTCTTCAAGGACTTTGAAGAAAAACTGGAAAGTGTGACAACCCTAAAAATTCATTCATTCATCCATTTGTTTATTTATTCACTTATTCAGCACAGATGCATTGAGCATTTACTCTGGCTGAGCCAAGCCCTGGAGCAGTGCTGGCAGCATGCAGATGAGGCAGGCACTGCCCTCTGATGAACAGTCCTTCAAGCCGCAAATCTCTGTCCCTCGGAATACTGAAGACATTGTTCCATTGCCTCCTATTGGCCATTGTTGCCATCTGATGTTACTTAAGTATGAAATAAAAAAAAAATTCTTTCAAATTCTGTGTATTACTTTTTTAAAACAACTACTAAATTGTTGTTTGGACCTAACTACTTAAATGGAACTATTAGGTGCTTCTTTTGGCCTAGGAAAAGCCATGAAAACATTTCTGAAACACTAAAGGCACCAAGAACCAAGAAAGCTTGGGAAACTCTGCTCTAAGATAAATTCCTACCATTGTATTTGCTGCAGCCGCGGCAGGTTTGTCTTTTTGTATATATACATGAATCCAACTGTCTTCTAGAAGAATTAAATTTAAATTTATAATCTAACAATCAGACAGAGAGAAAGGTTAAAAGTGACATTGATGTAGAGCCTCCAAATAGCTGATTTCTTTCCTCCAACAGACTTTCTTGTCACAAAGAAGCCAAAGACTTTCTTGGAATTATCATTTATTTCCATATATGCAAATTATGCATTTTTATTTTTCAAGTCTATGGACTTTTAGGGGGTTTTTTGAAAAGCACTGGGAGGGTTTTTTATAAGTATGCATCAACATGCCAACAATTGTTTCTCTCTGGATAAGGGATTTCCAGCAATTATTCCTTTTTTCTGTAGAACTTCCTGTATTACCTGAATTTACAATGTTCATAGTCAACCTTTTTATTCAGAAGAAATAAAAACCCATCTTGAGAGGAAGAAAAACTGAATATATTGGATTAAATTTGTACCCAACTTCCATTAATGAGAGCTTAGGACACTGTACTAAAATATCCACCTCCTGTCATCCTCCTTTTGAGAAATGAAACCCCTGGTCATAAAAATAGCCTTTGCTTGCAGTTAGAAGGGAGAGGATTAGAAGGAAAAAAAAAAGGAAAAGCAGAAGGAAAACTGCCTGTTAGCAAATCTAAATTCAGATGAATGTCTGAGGGGCTGAGAGATGGTGCTGGGCCAGAACCAGCTCCCTCAAGTTCCCAAGACCTCTGTGGGGCCAAGAGGGGCTGGGGACTTCATGCAAGGTGCTGATTTCAGAGGCAGCTGTGATTAATTTTAGAAGGCCCTGACATTCTAACTGAGTCATCCTGAGGTGGCCCGATTGGAACTAATTGGGTGAGCCCATTTCAAGCTGGCTGTCTTCTCAAGTGTCCCAACCCTCTGGGGTTCTTCCAGCTCCTGGAATTGGAAGGTCTTGATCCTGTCAGCAAGTGCCATCTCACCAACAAGGAGGGCCAGGGTCTGCCCACCCAGAGTGACAGGACCACCTCAAAACATGCAAAGAGGGTCCTGGCAGCTCTGTGTCCATGGGCAACTCAAAGACAGCCAGGATGATCACTCCTGGGAAGCTGACTCCAGTCTTTCCCATTACACCAGCAACTATAAAGCACTTACTGTATACAAACACCATGCAGCAACCATTCCCAAAACTAATTATTCATATTCCCTACAGAGCTTATTAAAAATATAAATGCCTGGGACCAGCCCTGGGCAGGGGCCCCTGGGGGTTTGTCAGGTAGGCCAGGTCTGGGAGCCACCATTGTGCCGCACCCAGAGCTGAGTGGCATGCAGACCCTGCCCTCAAGGTGCTGGCAGTCTGCTGAGAGCCGGGGCTGTGGTCACAGGAAAGGGACTGTGCTGGCTGATGGTCCCGGCCACGTGTTCCACTCCTAGGCCCCATGAACACATGGCTGCCAACAGGGTGGTCTCCAGAGGAAACTGGGGTCGTTGTTATGGCAAAGAGGATGCTGCGCAGGCACAAGTAGTGACTGTCGTCCTCAGCCTGATCTCCCAGGAGTTTAACATCCCGAACAGCTCCCACGGCACAGAATCAGGGAAGTACCAGGCACCAATACCGTCGCCGGTGCACCCAGCCCCACTCGCACTCCTCTACCAGGCATCCCTCTTGCGAGGGTTTGCGCCTCCCCTCCACCAGGTAGTCTGACCCGCCTCCTGAGCTCAGCAATTGGTTCAGAGGAGAGCACCTGACTCAGGTAGGGCCAATTAGAGCCCTTCCCAGGGATTTTTCAACTCGGGAGCCAGGAGGAAGCCCATTAGGCGTCCAATACAAGAGGAGGCAAACCAGCTTCTACAGCCATCTCCTTGGCTGTATGGAAAAGCCCAGTGTGCCATGGAAGAGAAGGCAACATCCAGGCCACAGGGGAGATGGTGTGCTGGTAGCAGTGAGTTCCTGGTTCCATCACCCTGGCTACTACCCAGGTTTGGCTTGGGTTTCTGTCACTTGCAACCAAAGATTTGTAACTAATACTTACGTGTACATCAGGTTGTCCAAAAAGAGGATGGGTAGACTGGAGAGGAAATGCTGGGGCCAGAGCCCTTCCTCACAGCCCAACAAACCTGCTTCTCAAAGGGTGCTGACCAGTTCATCAGCCTAATTCAGGTTTAGTCATTCAAAAAATTCAACCAGGGAGGTTTGGTTAAGTCAAGGTATGCTTCCTGGAGGAGGGGAATTTAAGGCTGGATTTTGAAGGGAGAGACCACAAGGCACTCCCAAGCAGTACTGCAGATGGAGGAGCTCTATTCCAGGAAAGGCTGTAAATACTTCCTGACTCGCAGAAAGATCTTCAGAGACACACATACTGTCCTCTCGCTATTCTTAGCAGCATGTCATGCAGGGAGGGCCCAGGATCCCTGTGGCTGCACGTCCTGGGGGAAAGATGAGCTGGCCCCTCAGCCTGCTTAGTTCCTGAGCTTAGCAAGTGAGCCCGGCTCACACTGCAGCCGGGGATTAAAGCCGAGGGGCTCCAGGAAGCCTCTTCTGAGAGTGCCGGAGTTGGAAGTGCGTCCAGCCAACAGGCCTCTTTAATTCCAAGGGTCTGGGCTGAGGCATCCTGACAGCTCGGGGGACCCCGGCCCCCAAGGGCTGCATAGCAGTAGAAAGTTTACCCTCATCTTGATAACTTTGCCTAGACTTCTGGACTCACCTCTGTCCCAGCATGGGACATGCAGATTGACAGGGCCATCCACAGGGTCAGAGTTTCCTGGAGTTTCAAGTTTTCTCCTAAAGATATTCACATGTATTGTTTAACAGCTTAAGACATCATTCTCATACCATACAATTCATCCATTTAAAGTGTACAATTCAATGGCTTTTAGTGTATTCACACAATTGTGCAACCACCACCACAATCAATTTTATAACATTTTCATTACTCCAAAAAGAAACCACCTCCAATTGCTCCATCCCCAATACCCCTCCCAATCGCTCCATCCCCTGTAGCTCCAGATCTGTTTTGTATCTCTATAGATGGCACTATTCTGGATATTTCATATAAATTGAACCACATAGGATAGGTAGATTTTTTTTTTCTTTCTTTTTTTTTTTTAGATGGAATTTTGCTCTTGTTGCCCAGGCTGGAGTGCAATGGCGTGATCTCAGCTCACTGCAACCTCCGCCTCCCGGATTTAAGCAATTTTCCTGCCTCAGCCTCCCGAGTAGCTGGGATTACAGGCATGCACCACCACGCCCGGCTAATTTTGTATTTTTAGTAGAGACAGGGTTTCTCCATGTTGTTCAGGCTGGTCTCAAACTCCCAACCTCTGGTGATCCGCCTGCCTCAGCTTCTCAAAGTGCTGGGATTACAGGCGTGAGCCACCACACCCGTCCTGATAGCTAGACTTTAAAAAGCAGATAATAACAAGTGTTGATGAGGATTTGGAGAAATTGAAGCCCTCTTACACTGTCGGTGGAAACATAAAATGGTGCAGCCGCTTTAGAAGAGTCTGGCAGTTTCTCGAGAAATTAGTTATTTTACCCAGCAATTTCACGCTTAGGCATGCCCCCAAGAGAAATGAAAGCATGCCCAGACAAAAACCTTTACATGAATGTTCATAGTACCATTATTTATATTAGTCAAGAGTTGATAACAACCCAATATCCATCAACTGATGAATGGATAAACAAAATGTGGTATATTCATACAAGGAATATTATTTAGCCATAAAAATGCACTGATTCATACAACAACATGGATGAACCTTGAAAACATTATGTATTTATGATTTTTGTTATAATTTCTTTCTTCCTTCTCCTTGCTTTTTGTTTGGTTTGCTCTTCTTTTTCCAGTGTCTTATGATGGAAGATTAGGTTGTTGATTTGAGATCTTTCATGTTTTTTAACATAGGTGCTTACAGCTATAAATTTCTTCCTAAGCACTGCTTTATCTGTTTCCCATAAGTTTTGGTATACTGTATCTTTATTTCATTTATCTCAAGGTATTTCTAATTTATCTTGTAATTACTTCTTTGAGCCATTGATTAAATAATCAATGTCTCTATAGATTGCACTTATTTCTTATTGCTTATTTGAGCATATATGGTTAATTTCTACATATTTCTGCATTTCTCAAATTCATTTGTTATTGATTTTAATTTTATTTTGTTTGGGGGAGAAAATATACTTTGTATTATTTAAAAGTATTTCTACATAGATTTCTAATTATTGCTTTATGCAATTGTCTTTCAGATGAGATGGGGAAAAAAGAATTACTAGCAATATACACTTATACTGTCTTTTATATTTACCTATGTAGTTACTTTTACCAATGCTCCTTATTTCTTCATATAGATTCAAGTTACTGTCTAGTGTTTCTTTTATTTTAGCCTGAGAGACTCCCATTAATATCTTTTGCAGGGCAGCTCTCCCAGTGATGAATTCCCTGTGTTTATCTGGGAATGTCTTCATCTCCTCTCATTTTTAAGGAATAGTTTTGCTGAATATATAGTTCTTGTTTAACAGGTTTTTTTTTTCGTTTTACCATTTTGCATATATCATCCCATTGCTTCCTGGTTTCCATGGTTTCTTATGAGAAATCAGCTTTTAATGTTATGAGAATCCCTTGCACATGATGAGTCATTTCTCTCTCACCATTTTCAAGATTTTTCCCTTTGTTTTTTAACAACTTGATCATGATTTGTTTAGCTGTGGTTCACTCTGAATTTTTTCTAAAGTTGGTTGCGCATTTGGGATGTATAGACAATTATTCATCAAATGTTGGAATTTTTCACCCAATATTTCTTCATATATTTTTCCTGCCCTTTTCCCTCTATCCCACTGCGCATACATTGGTGTGTTTATTGGTGCCCATAGGTCTCGGTCTCTGGGGCTCTGTTTCTTTTTCTTTTTCTTTTCTTTTTTTTTTTTTTTTTTTTTTTTGAGATGGAGTTTCGCTCTTGTTGCCCAGGCTGGAGTGCAATGGCCTGATTTTGGCTCACCACAACCTCTGCCTCCTGGGTTCAAGCAATTCTCCTGCCTCAGTCTCCCAAATAGCTGGGATTACAGGCGTGCGCCACCACACCTGGCTAATTTTTGTATTTTTAGTAGAGACAGGGTTTCTCCATGTTGGTCAGGCCGGTCTCGAACTCCCGACCTCAGGTGATACGCCCACCTCAACCTCCCAAAGTGCTGGGATTATAGGAGTGAGCCACCGCACCTGGCAGGGGCTCTGTTTATTTTTCTTCATTCTTTTTTCTTTCTATGTTTCAGACTAGATAATCTCAACTGACATATATTCAAGTGCATTGATTTTTTTTCTGTCTGCTCAAATCTGCTGTTGAGGCCTTCTGATGGAATTTTCTTCTTAGTTATTGTACTTTTTGACTCCATAACTTCTATTTGGTTTTATATCTATAGAACCAAGTATATATAATATATATGTAAATAATATATATATGTATAAAAAATATAATTATATATAATATATAACCAAATATGTATAAAATGCATATTTTTGTATATATAATCCTTTGAACATATTTAAAGTAGCTGATTTAAAGTCTTTGTCTAGTAAGTCCAACATCTGGGCTTTCTCAGGAACAGTTTCTATTGATTGTTTTTTTCCCATGAATGGCCCATACTTTCTTATTTCTTTCCATGCTCTTATTTTTTGTTGAAAACTAGACATTTTAAATAATATATTATGGCAGCTCTGAAAATCAAATTATCTCTCCAAGGTTTATGGTTTTTGTTGTTTTTTGTAGTTGTTTTCATTTTGTTTGTTTAGTGTTTTGGGGGTTTTTGTTCGTTTGTTTCTTTTTTGAAATGATGTCTCACTCCTGCCCAGGCTGGAGTGCAGTGGCATGACCTCAGCTCACTGAAAACTCCAGGTTCAAGCAATTCTTGTGCCTCAGCCTCCCGAGTAGCCAGGATTACAGGTATGTGCCACCACACCTGGCTAATTTTTGTATTTTTAGTAGAGACAGGGTTTCACCATGTTAGCAAGGCTGATCTTGTACTCCTAACAACAGGTGATCTGCCCACCTCAACCTCCCAAAGTGCTGGGATTATAGATATGAGCCACTGCACCCAGCCTATTTAGTGTATTTTTTTTAACTAATTCTGCATAGTCTGTATTCTTTGTTGTATGTAGCAATGAAGTCTCTGCTCATTTAGCCTAGTGATCAGTTAATGATTGAACAGAGACTTCCTAAAAACATCTGAAACAAATAAGTCTCCCAGTCTTTGCTGGGGGGCTCTTTGTGTACATTAGGCGTGCCTGCAACCCTCAGCCAGGCAGTTTACAACTCTGCCTTAGCCTTCACTTCCTGATTGCACAGAGTCTCAGGGGAGCCAGAGATGAGAGCTTAGGACCTTCTCAGGTTTTTTTCAGGTCAATCCTGGGCATGCTCACAGCCTTACACAAGAACATGACCTTCTTGATTCCCAGGAATATTTCAGAGCTTTTCAATGCCCCCTGTAGATATCCTATTCCCCAACTTTTCATTTTAAGCTTTTTGGTTGGTCTGTTATTTGCCCCAGCTGTTTTCTACTCCCTCAGGCATCCATGAAGTTAATCAATTTGGCTGTAATTGTTTCTGATAAATGGCCCTGGAAAAGAGCTTTTCACACTGTGTAAGTTCAGAGTCAGGTCAAATACAGACAACCTTACAAAGGGGGATCTTCCAGAGAATCACCAGACAGGTCAAATAATGACAGCTCTCTGGTAATGGGCCTTTAACGAGCTCCAGGCCAATTCTGTTCCCTTAGGTGGCTGCCACCATGCTAATTTTCACTGTTAGTGTACGCTTTAATTTTTCAAGGTTACCATGGGGATGGGACTAGGATAAATTAAAATGTCACAAAGCTTTTTTTCTTACCAGGATTCTGCCACTTTTCTTAAATATTAACACTACTTGGATTGTTGCAATTTAATTTCCAAAGTTCAAAAAAAAATTGGCTCTGATAATTTTTGTCAATTTTCTCATTGCTTTTATGGAGAGACTTTTCAGAGGTCCTAACTCTGCCACTTCCTTTTTTTTTTAAATAGACAGAGTCTCAGTCTTGTCAGGCTGGGGTGTAGTGGTGCAATTATGGCTCACTGAAGCCTTGACCTCCCAAATGCAAGCAATCCTCCCGCCTCAGCCCCCTGAGTACCTGAAACTACAGGTACATACCACTATCCCTGGCAACTTTTTTTTTTTTTTTTTTTTTTACCAGAGATGGGGTAACCCCTACCAGAGACAGGGTCTCACTATGTTGCCCAGGCTGGTCTCTAACTCTTGTGGGATGAAGTGATTCTTCTGGCTCGGCCTCTCAAAATGCTGAGATTACAGGCATGAACCACTGTGCCCAGCCCTAACTCTGCCACTTTCACCAACATCCACTTTGTATTTTGCATTCTACTCCACAGTATATCCGAGCACATTCACATAACCTAATTCGGTTTACATTATTTAGCATGCAATGAAATCAACTCTCTAGAAAGATACGCTAAGTCTATTCTGGGGCTTCACACTCCCAGCATACTCCCAAGTAGTTCAGCTCATTATAACTTTCTAATTATGTGTTGTCTTCTCCACATCCTGTACCTCCCGGGTGCAGGAATAAGTAAGTATCCTTCATTTCTGTCAACTGTGGCTGGCACAGAACTGAGGAAATCAGGTGGGTGTAAATGTGGAACCAAAATGAGTGGCCCAACTTCTTATTTATCTAAATGTCCCAACATGGAGCAGGACATGCCAATAACACCTGGGGAAAATGCCCAGATAACTTCACTAGACTGAGTTCAATACTCATTTCTCAGCTCTGATGTAAACCTCAGTCATTCCCAAACCGCGTATTTTCTGCCATAGGCTGTAAGAGATTTCCTGATGGGAATCGCCATCTTGAAAATATGGGTTAGAAGCCTCAGATGCTAAGAGAGACATTGCTTTCCAAATGAATAGAAAGTAGACTAGAGAGTGGCTGTTTCCATGGACGTTTCCTTCACAGATTTTTACAGTTTTTTTCTCTGAACTCAAATAGCAGTTGCTAAAAAGAGTAATCTGAACAGTGACTGTCAATGGCATGCCACAGTCCCACCAGGGCACATATAAATACATATAAATGTCTGTATAAGATTAAAGTCGACTGGGCACGGTGGCTCACACCTGTAATCCCAGCACTTTGGGAGGCCGAGGCAGGTGGATCACCTGAGGTCAGCAGTTTCCTGACCAACATGGTGAAACCCCATCTTGTCTCTATTGAAAATACAAAATTAGCTTGGCATGGTGACACATGCTTGTAATCCCAGCTAAGTGGGAGGCTGAAGCAGGAGGATCACTTGAACCTAGGAGGCGAAGGTTGCAGTGAGCTGAGATCATGCCATTGCACTCCAGCCTGGGCAACGAGCAAAACCACATCTCAAAAAAAAACACATCCCAACATTTTGGGAGGCTGAGGCGGGTGGATCACCTGAGGTCAGGAGTTTGAGACTAGCTTGGCCAACATGGTGAAACCCTGTCTCTACTAAAAATACAAAAGTTAGTCAGACGTGGTGGCAGGCGCCTGTAATCCCAGCTACATGGGAGGCTGAGGCTGCAGAATCTCTTGAACCCAGGAGGCGGAGATTGCAGTGAGCCGAGATCACACCATTGCACTCCAGCCTGGGCGACAAGGGCAAAACGCCATCTCAAAAAAAAAAAAAGATTATAAAGTCAGCAAGAGGTGATCTTTTATGTTCAGCCTTGATGCTGTTGTTGAACACACACACACACAGAGAGAGAGAGAGAGAGAGAGAGTTCTTTTGCCAGTTAGTTCAAATGCATGGGTGATGATTATTTGTGATTAAGATACCGCAGTTTCTTGGCCACTGTAATGGACATTTGATATTTAGAGACCACCCAGTCAAGGGAGCGCCCTTCCTGTCTATCTGGTGGGAGTCTTGCTTTACTTGGTGAGAGCCAGGCTTTGCCTACTACTATGTGGCTGGAGGAAACCAGGCACTCTTCCTCCTCATGCCCTGGTAGCCAGAGGAGGTCGCATGACTCAAGCTTGGCTGGCCTGGTGTTTCTGCCACAATCACAGAGCTGGTGAGATCATCTATCCCAGCAGAGGCTCTGAGGATCCAGGGGGGTGCAGGGGGTGTTAATTGGAAATGGAGCCAGCCGACCAGCCCCCTCCAGATGGCCTCTAGGACAGGGCCTGTGTAGTCCTCAGGCCCATGGGCCACCCTGGGTTCCTGCACACTTTACTGACTGGCTCCCCCGCCCATCCCTGCACCCTACTCCCCGCCCCAGTACTCTCCAAACCAACCCAGCTCTCTTCAGGCAGCCAGGGTCAGGTATGGCTGCATTCCTTCCTCAGGCCCCTGGCCATTTCCTATTTTTCTTATGAACAGTCTAAGGACCAAGAGCCCGCTGGCATAGGATGTGTGATCCTGAGTTTAAGCAAGAGTGGAGTTTCAAGTTTTTGGAGATGGTGGGCTCACCGTAAGTTTCTGTAACACCCACCAAGTGCACACGTGGGGCCTCTGGATTCCAGAAGCTTTTTCATAGTTCCCCAGTGCTGTGTGGCCAGCCCCTGTTTGTACTGATTCCTTACATCCTCCTCCACAGCTCAGATCTCAGAGCCTTGCCTTGAAGCATCCTGGAAACCCTAACCCACTTGATGATCACTGTCCTGCTAAGTGAGTGACCCTGGGGTCTCAGTGGGAACCCCGGCATAGGGCAGGCCTGGGTGCAGCTCTGCAGGCTGATCGTGAGGTTCTCCAGAGGCCAAAGAAGCTGATGGCAGGTGGGCAGTGAGGCCAAGGAGCTGAGTCCTGGGGGCTTCACTAGGAACCTGGAGGAGCTTCCAGTGGTTTCTCCTGTGGGTGGAGGTGGGACGAGAGACGTTCCTAAAGAGAGAGGTCTAGAGAACACAGCTGTCAGCAAGGTCCCAGGTAAAGGGCACATGCCTCTGCATGTTTAATTTTCATATTCCCAAATAACAGCTTTTCTCTCTTTTTTTTTTTTTTTTTTTTGAGATGAAGTCTCATTCTGTTGCCAGGCTGGAGTGCAGTGGCGTAATCTCAGCTCACTGAAACCTCCACCTCCAGGGTTCGAGCAACTCCCCTGCCTCAGCCTCCTGAGTAGCTGGGACTACAAGCACACGCCACCATGACTAGCTGATTTTTTTGTATTTTAGTAGAGACGGGATTTCCAGATGTCGGCCAGGGTGGTCTCAATCTCCTGACCTTGTGATCTGCCCAACCCGGCCTCCCAAAATGCTGGGATTACAGGCATGAGCCATCGCACCCAGCCTCACTCCAGTTCTTTTAATAGGAAGTAAAGCAACAGTTCTCCCACCCCATGCCAAGAAATTCTGTAACCCCTTGTCCAGTCACTACTGTGATTGATTCCAAATGAGAAACACTGCCAGGAAGACCAAGCACTGCACCGAATACCTCCAACACTCACGGGTTAGGGTTTAGAGGCCTTGAGAAGACAGGGATTGAACATTCTGCATGAAAAACTGTAGAAATCTTATCTGAAACCCCAACATAGAAAAAAAAATGGAAAGAGCAACAAGACACTCAAATATATTTGATGAGTTCCATATGAAGTTATTCTACCAGTTCAATTTGTAATGTGCTGCTAAGGGGGTGGGACCCTGGAGGCCCTCAGTGGGAGATCAACCATGTGAACGTCTGACCATAGAAACTGTGCAATAAAAAAGCTGTCTTGGTTTAAGCTGCAGAGTCTTGGGTTAATTTGTTATGCCACAATAGATAACTAACAGGATATCCTCAGCTGTGATCTTCATGCAAAAGTTATTTTCTTTCTAATTTCTTCCATTGCCAAATTAATATATGTGCTTTAAAAACATTTTAAAAGGAAAGAAAAACTAAAATCACCAATTTTGTCACCATTCAAATGTCATTGTGTTAATAATTTGATCTGTTTCTTGTTTACTTTTTCCTCTATTGAGGGTTTGTTGTTGTTGTTGTTGTTGTTGTTGTTGTTTGTTTTTGCCATAGTTGTAGTCAGTCATTCTGTATACATAACATTTTTCTGTTTTGTTTTTACTTAACGTTTTTGGGTTTTAATATTTCTTAATTTTATTCTGAATGTGCACATGAAGTCCTCTGGATCTGAGACAGACTCCTCCCCATTGACCTTACAGTAAATCATAAGCCTAGGGCCCCTCCTTGCTCCAGTCCATGCTTGTGGGAGAGGCAGTGAGAGCCAAATGGAAACTCTCCACGAGCAACTGGACACTCCTTAGGGGAGGACTGAGAGCAACGGGCTGTGGCCAGTTACACCCAGGAGAGACACTGGGGGCCCTCTCTCCTGAAAGAAGGGAAGACATGCTTGCTTTTTGGAGAGTGCATGGCTAGAATCCTGAATTCTCACTCTGCTCTTTGGAATGTAAAGACATTTCTCTAGGGACCAAATAACCTAGAGCTAGTTTTCCCCTTGATATGCAAACACATAACTCCAGAGTGAGGTAAACCTCTCTAGAGTTCTTCACTATCTTTATAATTGTAAATTAACTTTTAAGGCTTGATCATAACCCAGTGTTCTGGACTGTACATCTGTGTCCTCCCCAGATCCATATGTTGAAGCCCTAAACCCCAGTGTGATGGTACTAGGAGACAAGGACTGTGGGAAGTGATTGGGATTAGATAAGGTCGTGAGGGTGGGATTAATCCTCATGATGGGATTAATGGCCTTATAAGAAGAGACACCAAAGAACCTGCTTGCTCCTTCTCTTCACCATGCAAAAACACAGTGAGAAGGCAGCTGTCTGCAAGCCAGCAGGAGAGCCCTCACCTGAAGCTGCCAGCATCTTGATTTTGGACTTCCCAGCCTCCAGAACTGCGAGAAATGGAATCCTGTTGTTTAATCCACCCAGTCTATGGTACTGTGTTATGGCAGCCTGAATGAAAATGCCCAGGATTCCAAGTTTAAGCGGATTTTGTTCAGAGATTTGGCAGAAACACAAAAATATTGTGTATACCCCACAGCATTATAAAATAATGCTTTTTTTCTTACAGACCCCTAGTGCTGTTAGGAACTTGGTCTTCAAGATTTTAAATGCCTTTTTGGAATTGATCACAGAAAAATGAACATAATCAATGAAAGTACTTTTCAGATTTCAAATACATTTCTGGCTTGATAATCTTTATATGCAGGCTACAATGAAATACTGCTTTAAAACAAAAAATTTCCAACCAGCATATGGCTCTGCCTTCCACCTGGCTCTCAAAACATCATCTCTGGTTTTCCCACTGAATAGTCAATATTAAAGAATAAATAAACTGGCCAGGCACAGTGGCCCATGCCTATAATCCCAGGACGTTGGGAGGCTGAGGCAGGAGGATCACTTGAGCCCAGGAGTTCGAAACCAGCCTGTAGAGATGGTAAAACCCCATCTCTACAAAAAATACAAAAATTAGCAGGGCATGGCGGCATGTGCCTGTGGTCCCAGCTGTTCAGGAGGCTGAGGTGGGAGGGTCACGTGAGCCCAGGGAGGTCGAGACTGCAGTAAGCCCTGATCACACAACTGCACTCCAGCCTGAATGACAGAGTGAGACCCTATCTCAAATAAATAGATAAATAAATATCGACCAAAAAAACCCAGGATCTCTGCTTAGCCATGCATTAGAAGCACCTGGGGAGATGGTTTAGTCAAGCAGCCCACGGGTGCTCCCTGGAGGGCAGAGGATACTTGCAAATTCCAAAATCAAAAGTACCACCAGAAGCCAGGACAGCTTTGTCCTCCTCAGCCCTTCCACCTATTCACAGCCATAGAAACACGCCAGGAGAGAGGCTCACAGATGGATGGCCACGGCCTGCGGGCCCCAGCCTCTAGCACTGTCCCTAGAGAGAGAGTGCCCGGGGCTGGAGGGCAGTGAGATTAGCCAGGGGCACAACAGCTGGAATCCGTTTGCCCCATTCTGAGTCACAGCAGTGACCTGCAACGCCAAAGACGGCCTTTCTCAGAGTGAGAGGAGCAAGGAGACCCCCAGTGGAGGGCCAGGGGGCTGCATTAACAGGGACCTGGGCCTCTTAACCTTGCCCAGCGTGACTCCAAAACTCTGCAGCAGAGCAAGGGCACGTGCCCCAGTGGCCCAGTTCCTTCCCAGTTCAGAAGCTTGTTCCCCTCCCCCACTTCCAACAGCATCCAGAGGTGCCAGCCCCTAGTCCCTTCCAGGGGGGACTAGCCCTTCCCACTCCATTCTGTGGGAAGGCAGTATAGCCCGGGTCTGCGGTGCAAGGTCAAGATTGCCCATCTCGATTGTTTTAAGCAGAAACCACGGAAGGGGAAAGAGATGTCTGTGGACTTCTGCCCTGTACTCAGGACTCCTTTCTACTCTTGGCCTGACAGCTAAGTTCATGCTAGACAGTTCCCTCGCAGCAAGATTTTAAAATATTTTAAACATTTTTAAAATACCAATGCCTGGCCACTGCCCCAATGCAATCAACCTCCAGCACGCAGCCCCAAGCTCTTTTTTTCTTTTTTTTTTTTTTGAGACAGAGTCTTGCTCTGTCACCCAGGCTGGAGTGCAATGGCACAGTCTTCTCTCACTGCAACCTCCACCTCCCCAGTTCAGTCAATTCTCATGCCTCAGCCTCCCGAGTAGCCAGGATTACAGGCGCACACAACCATGCCCAGCTAATTTTTTGTATTTTTGGTAGAGATGGGGTTTCACCGTGTTGGCCAGGCTGGTCTCCAACTCCTGAGATCAAGTGATCCTCCTGCCTCGGCCTCCCAAAGTGCTGGGATTATAGGCATGAGCCACCGCACCTGGCCCCAAGAGCTCTTAACATTAACTTCCCAAATACAAGCACCTCCATCCGGACCCTATTGCCTAAATTTGCATCACAGAGATGCCAACCCTTCAGCCAGCAGGTAGGTAGTGAACTTCCGCTGGGTGCTCAATCCATGGGGACTTAGGGGCCATGGGAGGAAGAGGCTGAAAGAATGCACCTGTCACTGGCTTTGAGATGCCTTCACACCACCCAAGGCAGCGGCACCCGGCTGTGGTGTGATTCTTCACCATGCACACTCACATTTTTCTTTAAGTGTCAATTACTCATACGATTGTCCTTGAGGAAGCAGTATAAAGTATTAATTGTTATAGGTCTCATCCCTTCGATTATGGCCTTCTTTATATCCTGAGTGAGAAAATGGGAAGTTGGCGTTCAGAGCTTCCATTGCACACTGAGTATGACAGTTGTTTGGGGGAAAGCCCCTGTAGAACTGCTGAAGCGTCGAGTGATGTGGACACTTCTTCTTTCATGAAACACTCTTTTTACTTGAAAGACTAAAATGCCATTCTACCTGAAAGAATGACTGACAAACAAGCGATGGTTATTCAGACTGGGGTATCTGACATATTTCTTTGAAAATGAACAAAGTAAGCCTCTCATTTCAAAGGAAACAGTGACAGTCTTTGCTGCCAATGATAAAATGTGGGCATTCAAGCAAAAATTAGAACTTTGCAAAACTTGTATCCACCATCCCGAGCTTGACAGCTCCTGAATCATTGAAGACTTTTCCAGCAAGACGGGCAGCAACGTTATGCAGTTGGATTTTGTGATGTTGTAGGATAGAGGGCGTCGACCGTGGGAAAAACTCCACAATTCAGTGAACCAGTGTCTTCCCAGTGATAGGTGTATGACATTACAAAATCAAGTATAGGTAAAAGATCTGCACAAAGTGCAGATTAGACCAGTGGTTTAAGAACAGAAGATAAACTGTTTCAGATTCCACACTGAAATTAGTCTTTAAGAAACTACTGCTTGTCATGTTTTGGTGCCAGAACAAAGACACACGTCTACAACTACATGAAAAGCCTGGGAAAGAAAATGCACATCTCTGTCCCAGCTACAACTCTCTTCATATGCTCAGTCAAAACAATATATCACAACATGTTGAGTGTGGGGGCAGAGATGAGACTCCAGCTGTCCTCCATGAAGCCAGATTTTTTTTTTTTTTTTGAAACAGAGTCTCAGGCTGTTGCCCAGGCTGGAGTGTAATAGCACAATCTCAGCTCACTGCAACCTCCACCTCCTGGGTTCAAGCGAATCTCCTGCCTCAGCCTCCCGAGTAGCTGGGATTACAGGCACCCACCACCATGCCCAGTTAATTTTTGTATTTTTAGTAGAGATGGGGTTTCACCTTGTTGGCCAGGCTGGTCTCAAACTCCTGACATCAGGTGATCCACTCGCCTCAGCCTCCCAAAGTGCTGGGACTACAGGCGTGGGCCACCATGCCCGCTTGAAGCCAGATATTAAAGAGACTTAAAGAAATGTAAAACAATGTCAGTTGGCTCACTAAATTTATTTTTGAAACCTATAGTTATTATTTATAAAAATGTTAATTATGTTTACATCCCATGACTTTATTATTTACATGAATTAGTAAATATATATGTAAAACTATCTCAGTTTCAAACAGGAAAGGTACTGATATATGTAACCCACTAAAAGAAAACTTCCTTGGAGTCTTCAGTCATTCTGAAGGCTGGAATGGGTTCCTAAGACCAAACGTTTGGGACCAGCAGCTTTCATGCAAAACTGAATCTGTTGTGCTAGGAGTTAGACCCCAAACCGTGCCCTTGCAAATGTCTTGAAGCACTGTGGGCACATTCATTCATTCATTCCATAGCTGCGTGTTGGGTGCCAACCTTGTGCCAACCATGATGCCAAGTGTTACACATCCAAACATCACTAGACATGGTGGGGGCTCAAGGCCCAGGATAGCGCAGTGATGGTGAATTTTAGGTGTCAACTTGACTGGGCCACAGGATACTCAGATTAACCATTGTTTCCAGGTGTGTCTGCCAGGGTGTTTCTGGATGAGATTAGCATTGAAATTGGTGAACTTGGTAAAGTAGAAAGCCCTCCCCAATGGGGCTGGGCTTCATCCAAGTCCTTGAGGGCCTGAACAGAACAAAAGGCAGAGGAAGGAGAAAATCACCCCTTTTTTTCTGCCTCACTGCTTGAGCTGGGACGTCTCCTCCTCTCCTGTCCTCAGACTGGGTTTATGCCCTCAGTTCCCTGGTTCTCAGGCCTTTGAACTTGGACAGAACTACACCACCAGCTTTCCTGGGTCTCCAAATTTCAGATGGTAGATCATGGGACTTCTCATCCGCCACGATTTCATGAGCCAATTTTCATAATCAATCTCTCTATAGATGATAGATAGATAGACAGAGATACTTATATAAATAGGTAGGTATGAGCTTATCTATCTGTCTATCCTATTGGTCTATTTCTTTGCAGTACCTGACTTACACAGGGACACAGACCCACAGAGAGCAAATGGTAATGTTACATTTGGGACTCTGAAGACAGACAGTCCTCAAGTCTGCCCTTATTTGGGGCTCCTCACTGGGGAAGATCCCACTGAGTCTGAGGACTTGGGGGAATTGTTTTAAGGTGGAAGAGTAGCAACAACTCTGAAGAGCAGAGAGAGGCTGGGAAATTGGAGTCTAAGGACTCCACGTTTACCCCCGCAGAAGTGGGTGGAATGTTCATGTTACTGTCATGTTGCTAGAAAAACCAAAGAGGGAGAGAATTCTTTGTATTATCTACCTCTGCTTTCAAACAGGTTTTTTCCTGGAAGCTGTGGGGCAAGCAGTCATTTTTACCCTAGTGAGACATGCTTAAGTAAACTCTTTATAGCTTTTTCTCGCTGAGACAAGCTCCACTGGAGGAGAAAGTCTTTCACTGCATGGACACGTGCACAGAAGGGGCAGAGTGCAAGGCTTAACGCCAGAGACTTCTTAGAGGAGAGAAGCTGTGATGGGCACAGCACAGGACAAGCTTGGACGCAGCTCAGGGTACCAAAGGCCAGAGAGTAAAAGCACTCAATGAAACAAATTAATGTTTTTAAATGCTCTATTTTAATTTTTAACATGCTGACTATCTAGACATATAACCCCTGTAAGCTAAAGCTCTTTAGGGTTTTTTATACTTTTTAGCAGTGTAATGAGCTCCCAGCACCCTTAGGTCTCTTTCTGGCACTGGGATTACTCAGCAGCTTCACCTGGTGCACGTACAGGGAGCTCAGCTGTTCCCAGGCATGAGCGGTGAGTCGACCATCTGCCCCTGAGATTCCCTCATGGCTGGGCCCAGCAAGACATGGATGCAGGAAAGCTTGTTACGGAATTCCCTGCTGATCTTGCTGGTCGTAAGGGAAGGGCAAAAGTGAATGCCAGCGTGTTGCCAAAGAAGTTAGGGCTTGGCTGCAAAGGAAGGAAACACACCTAGCTGCTCTGCAGCCCCAGGCTGGTTCTTAGAAAAAGGACCCGAGAAAAAAACCCTACCTCCAGAGCACAGGTGACTTTGCTGAAAAAGAGCACACCAAGAAACGCAGGCCTGTGCCCTAACAGAGAGGCTCCAGTCCCACCTCACCCTCAGCACCCACAGCATCTGCCCTTCTCCCATGAGATTTCAAAGGCAGCCCCTTTCCCTCACCCTGGAGAGGAGACCAGCAAAGGACGGTGAGGGCATCTGGATGGCTGTGGGATAAAGCAGGTGGGGCCAGTTGCCCCCGGAGCACTGAGAGCCCAGGGATCCATGGAGCTGGGCAGCCAGTGCCCCTCCGGCCATGGATAGGAGGTTGGACAAGATGCCATCAAGGCCCCCTCCCACCTCTGGGATGTAGCATCTTTGCCAAAGATCAGTGTCCAGTGACTTTGAACACATCCCTGGCCATTTTGTGGTACCTGGTTGCTTGACCGCATGTGCCTAGGTATTCTTTATTTCTATAACAGTTTGAGGGTATGTGTCCCCTCCCCAGGGTGGAGGGCCAGGCTCAGCCCAAGCTGCCTTCAAATTTCAAGAGGTCTGAAGCCAGGCTCGGCCTCATGGAGGGCCATGGCCTGCAATCGAGAGGACTGACCTGGACAGGTTCAAGGAAGCTGCCAGAAACTCAGCTTCAGAAGTCATTGAACCTGCAGGCAGCAACCTAGAGAGGGACCCTGACCTCCCAAGGGCCCACCTGTCCTCCAACAAGACCCCTACTGTTGTAGCAGACAGCCCTCTTGGCCAGGGCAAGGCTCCAGAAGCTTCCACTGAAGCTGGGGTCCACAAGGGCTGCATGGAGGCATGCTTCCCTAGCCCTTGTGCAAGCCCAGCTTGAGCCCAGGGTCTGGAACAGAGATCCTCAGCCCAGACTCACGCCTGCCTCTCTCCCTCATCTTCTCCACAAGGACTATAAACCAAAAATAAAGTTATAAGCCCCTCAACCAACAGAATGGATCCCCGTTTTGGCCAAGAGCATTCTAAAGTAAACCTGAGGCTGGATGCAGTGGCTCACATCTGTAACCCCAGCACTTTGGGAGGCTGAGGCGGGTGAATCACCTGAGGTTAGGAGTTCAAGACCAGCCTGGCCAACATGGCGAAACCCCGTCTCTACTAAAAATAAAAATAAAAAAAAATTAGCCAGGCGTGGTGGTGCATGCCTGTAATCCCAGCTACTCCAGAGGCTGAGACACAAGAATCACTTGAACCCAGGAAGGAGAGGTTGCAGTGAGCCGAGATCGCACCACTGCACTCTAGCTTGGGCGACAGAGCAAGGCTCTGGCTCAAAAACTAAACAAATAAATAAAGTAGACCTGAAACACTAGTTCAGGGTGTGATGGGCATGGGTGGTCAGGCACACCTCACTATACCCTCTACCCTTTGGAGTTCAGGCACAGCTGGCCAGCATTAAACAGAGGCTTTAACACTGACAAAACAGACTCTCTGTAGCAATAAGACACCAACATGAGAGATAGCAGGTCCTGAAAGCAATCAAATATTTTACCCCAGAATAAGTTGCTTTGACATATTTTGAAATGGCCCTGCAAAGCTGTCTCTTTAAGTCTGATAAGAAATGTTTACAATCTATTCTCTCTGGAGCCTGCTACCTGGAGAACCTTGGTCTCCACAACCCCATATCTTAACCCAGATACTCCCTTCTGTTGATCTCAGGGCTTTAGATAAACTCTTTCAACCCATCCGAAAATCTTTGAATCTACCTATGACCTGAAAGTCCTCCTTCAAGTTGTCCCACCTTTCTAGACTGAAGGGATGTGCATCTCACAAGTGTGGATCAATGTCTCATGTCTCCCTAAAATGTATAAAACCAAGCTGTAGTCCAACCCTCTCAGGCACATATTCTCAGGACCTCCCAGGACTGTGTCACAGGCCATGGTCACTCACATTTGGCTCAAAATAAATCTCCAAATGTTTTACAGAGTTTGACGCTGTGTCAACACAACAATCTTGCTCCAAACTTCCTCTCCAGAGCCCCACTCCAGCTCCTCTCAAGCAGGAGCAGTGCTCAGCCTCGCTGTGTTGACCGCTAACCTCTTACTCTGGTTCTTTGAGATTATATATTATGGAATTGCTGTTATTTTTCTAGGTGTGATAGCAGTGTTGTGAATAGGTTGGAAAACATCTTTATTTTTAGGAGCTGCATCCTGAAGTATTTAAGGGCAAAGCACTATGGTGACACACTCAAATGGCTCAGAAAACAGTGTCTGTGTCTGTGTGTGTAGATATGGGAGGAGGTGAAGCTCATGTATCTGGATGTTAACAGTGGGTGACGCCAGGTGACAGGTGCGTGGACATTCATCACACTGTCACTTCACCTTCTCTGTAGACTTGAACATTTTCAAAACCCAAAGTTGGGAAAAACAATGATGACTAGATAGCAGTATAAAAATTTTTTGCAAGATAATATTGCACAGAAGGTAGAGGAGGTAGAAGAATTTTTAGGATGTGAAAAAGCAATTTGTAGTGACTGCTAAACATAAGATACTCAGCCTCACTAAGAATAAGGCAGGTTCAAAAACACTGACCATTCTATACACAAAGTGACTGGGTAAGTGAATGCTGCACAACCTGGCAATCTCATTTCTGACTCTATACTGTAAGGCAGTGGTTTTGAAATTCAGGATTTGACCTGAGGGAGGAGAGGAGTGGGGCAGGGATGGGACAGGGCCTCCTGGCCCCAATTACTAGTTCCTTCTTGCAAATCTCACATGGCAGCCCATGGGGGTCTGGGTCTGGGAAGTACCGCCGCTAACACCACCCTCACGCCACCCCAGCCACCACTGGCCCTGAGAGTCCCCCTCCTTAAGCCCTTTTCTGGACATCCTGGGCAGCAGAGTGTCTCCTGCACTGGGAGCCTGTGTGGGTTTTGCCCCAGCCTTCAGACGGCTCCTGAGTGCTGGGCTCGGGGTCACTGGCCTGGTGCTGAGCCGAGGCAGGGCTCCTGCCTGTGCCCACTGTCCTGCACACGGCTCCCGCCCAGGAGGCCAGGGCAGCCCACACTCAGCTCCACAGCCCAGAAAATGCCCCAGGGGCTGTATCTTTTGTAATTTCACACCAGATACCATTTGAAGGGTAGGTCAGACACAGGCCTGTCCTCAGAAGCCTAGTCCACAGTCAAGACCCTGGTCAAAGCCATCACCATTTCTCCTTGAAACCATTATAACTCACTAACAGAGCCCGCCTGGCCCACCCCTACCCCTCCAGCTGAGTCTCTTTGCAGCAGTCTGGGGGAGCTTTTGAAAATGCAGCTTGGTAAATTGTTCTCAGGTGGCTCCTTTGTGCCTCTTCTGTGGCCACAGGAAGCCGTGACTGGGCTTTCCTGCTATTCCAGGAAGAGGAGAAGACAGGTGCAGCGAACTGAGCACCAGCTGCACCCAGCCTAGACCAGCCAAACTCCAACTGACCCTGAGCTGCACCAGCAAGCCCAGTGAAGACCAGCAGAGCCACCCAGCACAACCCAGCCACCTCGGGATCGGCTGACCCTCACCTGACCCCAAGATGCATGAGCAAGCCAGGCAGAGACCAGCAGAGCTGCCCTATAAGAGCTGCCACAAAGCCCAGCTGACATTCAGCTGACACCACAGGGAATCCAGCTAAAATCAACAGAGCCACCAGCTGAAGCCAACCAGGCAAAATCAGCCAAGCCCCAGGCAACCTACAGACTTGCTGCCAACAAGACTGAGCTGCTCAGTGAGTGGATGAGGCCTGGGACCCCACGGCACAATGACCAGCCCCCACATTGCAGAGGAGCTCTGGTGGCCCTCGTAGCACGCCCCATACAGCATCTTATAGCCCTAAGAGCATCTCTCTGGACAGCATTATCCTGAAGGACTTCCGTGTCATCACACACTTCACTCCATGCAGGAGGAATTTGAAAATCCTGATTTCCATGCTCATTGTGGGATGGCACGATCTTCAAATGTGAAAGCTGGAAATCCCATTTACTTCTTCCCTAGTTTTTGGAGGTGAAATTCAAGAAGTTGAAACCCCTAGTGGAGCCCTCCAGGATGGTCTCACACCCTTCCCATGCACACCATGGAGGGGCTGAATCAGGAGTGTCCTGCGGCCTTTGTGGGCAGGAGGAGGCCTCCAGGGCCACAGAAGGAGAGCTGAGGCCAGAGAAGAAAGACCATCACCAGTGTTGACAGCCTACCAATTCTCCTCAGAGGAGCTTCCTAACCTTTGACCCTTCAATGGACTGGGGCTGTGAAAATGCATTGATTCCCTTATTTCTCATGGCAACTGGCCAGGGCCCCGGTGGCCAGAGCGCTAGGCCATCATCTCAGCCTGCAGCAGCCTGCCTGTGTCCCTGGGGGTGCAGGAGGAGGGATTTATTTATTATCAGAGTCTGTGGTGTCGGATTGAGAGTAAGGTTGGGAAGCACCTTTCACGCGCTCGTTCCCCTCCCACCTCGATGAGGTCTGGCTTGGTTCCAAGCGGAATGTTCCCATGTTCTCTGCAGTCTGTGGACAGAAGGGTCCTGGCTGCCTGAGGGTTATAGCCATGGACTCTGGGCCATGGAGGGGCCACTGACAGCAAGAGGCTCTCAAGGTACTGGTCCTGGAGAGGCTGTATCAGGCAGAAGCAGCTTTTCTGGGGACCCTGGGCAAGACCCAGACCCCCGTGGACTGCCTCGAGAGACAGTGAAAGAAGGAATGAGAAATCGGGACCATGAGGCCCTGCCCCATCCTTGCCCCACCCCTCTCCTCCCTCAGGACAAATCCTGAATTTCAAAACCACTGCTTTACAATATACAGTCAGAAATGGGATTGGCGGGTTGTGCAGTATTCACTTAGCCAGTCACTCTGTGTGTAGAATGGTCGGGGTTTTCGTATCTGCCTTATTCTTAGTGAGGCTGACTACTTTACGTTTAGCAGCCACTACAAATTGCCTGTTCATCCTAAAAATTATTCTATCTCCTCTACCTTCTGCGCAACATTATTTTGCAAAAAAAATTCATGCTGCTATCTAGTCATCATTGTTTTTCCCAACTTTGGGTTTTGAAAATGTTCAAGTCTACAGAGAAGGTGAAGTGACAGCGTGATGAACGTCCACGCACCTGTCACCTGGCATCACCCACTGTTAACATCCAGACACATGAGCTTCACCTCGGCCCATGGACAGACACATTGTTTTCTGAACCATTTGAGTGTGTCACCATAGTGCTTTGCCCTTAAATATTTCAGGGTGCATCTCCTAAAAATAAGGGTGTTTTCCAACCTAATCATAATACTGCTATCACACCTAGAAAAATAACAGTAATTCCACAGTATATGGTATACCACCCATCTTTAAAATGTTCTAGTTTCCCCCCCCAAAAAAAATGTCTTACAGGTGTTTTCTCCTACAGATAAGGTGGAGGAAAAAGGAAGGACTCAGTTATGTGGCTGATGTCTAATGGGCCATTATATAACATAGTTTTGAGCAAGAGTGACATGTCACACTAACTGAGGTTCAAGGGAGCTACTCTAGGAGACGTAAGTGGACAGGAAGGTTAATTAGGAGACTATGTCAATACATAGAGCTTAATCTGATATCCTCAAAATGCTTTCACCCTTTGGTTTTACAGGCAGGGTGGGAGGTAGAAAGCTACTTATTTAATCTACAACAGTGTTTGCTTTTTGTTTTTCATGACATTGATTTTTTTTTTTTTTTTGACAGAGTCTCGCTTTGTCACCAGGCTGGAATGCAATGGCACAATCTTGGTTCACTGCAACCTCCGCTTCCCGGGTTCAAGCGATTCTCCTACCTCAGTCTACCGAGTAGCTCGGACTACAGGTGTGTGCCACCAAGCCCGGCTAATTTTTGTATTTTTAGTAGAGACGGGGTTTCACCATATTGGCCAGGCTGGTCTTGAACTCCTGACCTCATGATCCACCCACCTCGGCCTCCCAAAGTGCTGGGATTACAGGCATGAGCCACTGCACCTGGCCTAATATGTCTTTAAAAGACAGGGTCTCCCTCTGTTGCCCAGGCTGCAGTGCAATGGTGCGATCCTAGCTCACTGCAGTCTCAAACTCCTGGATTCAGCAATCCTCCCACCTCAGCCTCCTCAGTAGCTAGGACCCCAGTCACTCACCACCACACCCAGCTACAGGCAGTTTAATTTTTACCAGAATGAGTGGCTAGGCATGGTGGGTCACGCCTGTAATCCCAACACTGTGGGAGGCTGAGGCAGGTGGATCACAAAGTCAGGAGTTCAAGACCAGCCTGGCCAACATGGTGAAACCCCATTTCTACTAGCAATACAAAAAATTAGCCAGGCATGGTGGCGGGTGTCTGTAATCACAGCTACTCGGGAGGCTGAGGCAGGAGAATTGCTTGAACCCGGGAGGTGGAGGCTGCAGTGAGCCGAGACCGGGCCACTGCACTCCAGCCTGGGCAACAGAGCAAGATGCCGTCTCAAAACAAATAAATAAATAAATAATTAAAAAATAATTTTTACTAGAATGCTTCTGTTGTGGACAACCAACCTGAGACCCAGTGGTGGGCGTGGCCAACCTGCTGATGAGTGACACAGCTGGCGCTAGCAGTGAGCCTCCTGACTCCCACCCTGTTAAGCCACGCGGCTTTCAGGTGGTTCCTTATCTCCAGTCACATCACCAATTTTGATCCATAGCCAAAGCTATGTTGTCTAATGCAAGGTTAGAAAACCTTTCTGGGCCAGGCACGGTGGCTCATGCCTGTAATCCCAGCACTTTGGGAGGCCGAGGCGGGCAGATCACGAGGTCAGGAGATGGAGACCATCCTGGCTAACACAGTGAAACCCCATCTCTACTAAAAATATGAAAAATTAGCCAAGTGTGGTGGCGGGCGCCTGTAGTCCCAGCTACTGGGGAGGTTGAGGCAGGAGAATGGCGTGAACCTGGGAGGCAGAGCTTGCAGTGAGCCAAGATCGCGCCACTGCGCTCCAGCCTGGGCGACAGAGAGAGAATCAGTCTCAAAAAAAAAGAAAAAAAAAAAAGAAAACCTTTCTGGTTATTACCACCAATCACTGGTAACATTTATGGAGTCCATGACACACATTGTGTTGAGCTCTTGTGCACAATCTCATATCTTCACAGCAACCCTGAGAGTGGTTAGCATCCCCATTTTACAGAATGGAAAACTGAGGCTCATGATGCTTAAGTGTTACTTACCCTTACTTATCAGAGTCGAGAATCCAAACCTGAGCCTTTGAACTCCAAAACCCACATACTTGTTACAAAGATAGGTGACAGAACCCACTTCGTGCTAGGGTGCCGAGTGGCGAATTCGAGATGTGCATTTCAAAGAGTGCTGGCCCAGTCCCCGTGCCTCCCGCTGGGAAGGTGTCCGGTCATGCTGGAGCATGAGAATGAGCAGTGTTTCATGGATTTGCCGGGAGATACTGAGGATTTGTTTTTGTTTCATCTCAACTCTCACATATAAACAATATGAGAATATTATCTTCGTCCTTCACAGAGCATTATACTATCTCCGGAGTATTATGAATAATACAGCTGTCAGTGAAATCAAATAAGTGGATAAGGGGTAAAGAACCGGGCACTATCATATTTCCTCTCCACAATGGGGTGTTGCTGTTGAATCAATCCCAGCCATAGTCATCACGTATTGATTACATTTAACCAAAATTCCAGGAATATGTGAACTTCAGCTGCATGTTCAAATTAAGATATTTTCTTTTCCCATAGCAGGCTCTGAGCTATATGATTTTGGAACTGGAATTACAAGATGACATAGTGTCATTTGATAATTAGGCTAATGATACTACCTGCTTAAAAATGTACACAATTTAAATGAACGGCATTTAGGAGTCTGATGATTGGTCTATTTCTTGTGGATTTTCTGTTGCGGACTGCAACTCACATAGGCTATGCATTTGTGGAGTTTGAGTCTGAGGGTGTTTGCAGCATAGTTGCTGAAACAATGAACAACCGCCTTTGTGGTGAGAGACTCTTGGAGTGTAAGTGCTCCTGTCTTACTGCGGGGTTGCCTGGGTGCCTGCTGCTGGTGGGTGACTGTGGTGGGAAGGGCGGCTTGCCTAGCTGCTTGGACATGCCACTTCATCTCTGGGATGACTCTTACAGAATGGTGCAAGGATTTCAGTGTATGCTGCAGGCAGATTCTAATTGGAATTTTAAAATCTCCCAGCCTGAGAGCTGTTTTTACCCTAAATGGAGCTGGACAAGTTACCTTGGGGTCCCATGGGAGGAGCAGCTAACCCATCCTTATGGGCTGTGAAAGGCTTCTCTGAGGAAGTAGCATTGACATTAAAACCTGGAGACTAAACAGGAGTGAGCCAGGTGAAGGGGACAGGAGTGAAGACAGACCATTCCTGGCTGAGGGACAGTGAATGCCTAACCAGAGGTGCCTAACCATTTGGCTGTGAGGTAATGTGAGGAAAAGTACCAAGAGATGAGGGAGCAGGAAGAGGCTTCAGGTCAGGTTACTGAAGGCCTTCTAAGTCAGCGAGTTCAGAATTTATCCTGAGGGCACTGGGGATAGAATCAAAGGTCAGGAATCGCATTGCAAAATCCATCTAAATGGCAATGGCTGCAGCTCTTCCACGTGAGATAAGCCAGGGGGAGTGGAGGAGTGACAGCACCAGATGAGTAGTTCATCCTGCAGAAAGGAGCCAGTGCAGCCCCCTACCCTGCAGTCCATAAGGTGCAGACAGCATCCCTGTCCAGATCCTGCTGCCCTTGGGAGGCAAAGCGAAGTTTCTGGCCTCCCTGTGCCCATGGCGGCCTGTGGCCATCTTAGGTACCCAAGTTCACAGGCATCTGCCCAAACAGCTGGCGAGGCTGCCCAGGTGGCATCTCTCTGTCCACTTCCCATAGCTGTGAGAGAAGCTGACTGCCTAGCTGAGGTCATGGGTTCATTCTCACATTAAAAGCATGGCTCTTGCCAAGAGGAAATGAGCTGGGTAGGTGCCCTGAAAATTGTCGACCGCACGTACCAGGTCGGTGCTGTGCTGTGTTGGACTTGAGAAAAATAGCTGAAAGGGCTCTGAATGTAGAGTTGGGGATTGTTGCTCCTGTCTAACAGCACTGACGAACTCCACTAGGGCAGAACTGGCTCATCGAATAAGGGAGGAGACCACCCCTCATATTGTCTTATGCCCAATTTCTGCCTCCAAAGAAAGAAGAAGTAAAAACTAAAAGGCAGAAATGAAATCCACAGGCAGACAGCCCTGCGCCACACCCTGGGCCTGGTAGTTAAAGATCGACCCCTGACCTAATCAGTTATGTTATCTATAGATTACAGACGTTGTATGGAAAGGCACTGTGAAAATCCCTGTCCTGTTCTGTTCCATTCTTACCTGTGTATGCAGCCCTCAGTCACGTACCCCCTGCTTGTTCAATCAATCACGACCCTCTCACGTGGACCCCCTTAGAGTTGTAAGCCCTTAAGAGGGACAGGAATTGCTCACTTGGGGAGCTCAGTTTTTGAGACGTGAGTCTTGCCTATGCTCCCGGCCGAATAAAGCCCTTCCTTCTTTAATTCGGTGTCTGAGGGGTTTTGTCTGCAGCTCGTCCTGCTACACTATCACTCTGACATGAGATCAACTGTGGCATCTTGATTATGCTGTGGGAAATGGCACCAGGAGATTCTAAAGTGAACGTTAAAATCCCTCCCCTACCATTTGGTTGAAACCTTTTTTTTTTTTTTTTTTTTTTTTTTTGGAAATGGAGTTTCGCTCTTGTTGCCCAGGCTAGAGTGCAATGGCACTACCTCAGCTCACTGCAACCTCCGCCTCTTGGGTTCAAGCAATTCTCCTGCCTCAGCCTCCCGAGTAGCTGGGATTACATGCATGAGCCACCATGCCTGGCTAATTTTTGTATTTTTAGTAGAGATGGGGTTTCTCCATATTGGTGAGGCTGGCCTTGAACTCCTGACCTCAGGTGATCCACCCGCCTCGGCCTCCCAAAGTGCTGGGATTACAGGCGTGAGCCACTGTGCCCAGCCTCAAAACTTTTTATCTTTTCAAAATACAGGTCGGTTTCTGCCATATGAAAAAGCATATGATGAAGTTTTTAAAAGCTGGAATGTTCCATTTTCAGAGACACCTGCGTATCCAGCAGTAGAAAGACATAACAAAAAAAATATGTATACAAAAGTAAAAGTGAAGAACCAATTGCTTAAAAAAAAAAATTACAGCCCAGCATAGTGGTTCATGTCTGTAATCCCAGCACTTTGGGAGGCCAAAGGGGGAAGATAGCTTGAGTCTAGGAGTTCAAGGCTAGCCTGGGCAATACAGTGAGACTCATCTCTACAAACAATAGAAAAAGTGAGCCAGGCATGGTGGCGCACACCTGGAGTCCGAACTACTCGGGAGTCTGAGGTGAGAGGATGGCTTGAGCCCGGGAAGTTGAGGCTGCAGTGAACCATGATCACGCCACTGCACTCCAGCCTGGACGACAGAGCCAGACTCTGTCTCAAAGAAAAAAAAATTATTCAGAAGGAAAATAGCTTTAAAAAAGGAACATATTGCAGTTTTCCATCTTTAGTATACACTGCTTCATCAACTCTTTGTTGTTTGGAGGGATGATGGGAGAGTTGTAGCTCACTGGTTGCAATGTAGTGTTGGGGGTCCCAGGCCACACTTTGGAATTGTTCTTGAAAACTAGTATGACCTAAACGTGCACTCCTGCACACGAAGGGTGCCCACGCAGCTTGCCATTCCTTTCAAAGGACCAGGCCTCACCATCCGCCAAACATGCATTTACTAACTTGTGGACACTTACTAATGTGGTCCTAAGCTATCTCTTCACCCGTATGAATTTGCATTTTTTTGATGACCAGCAAGATGTAACTACACAGTATGCAGTGACTGCCAGTCTGAGAAGAATGAGACTTCCTCAACGTCTATACTGGTTCGAAAATTGACAGTGAAGTAAAAAGAGGAAAAAAAAGCAAAAGACAAATGACTGAGTTTCTCACAGTTCCACTGGGAAGAATTAGAGTTCCTGAGAGACGGTCCTCCACATTCAGATGAAATCATGCCTGCCCATATGAATCACCTGCAAAGCACAGCAAAGTAAAGCTCAAGTCATGACGTGAATACAAGCTAGGCCTCGGATTTCCCTCAAAGCAAGGGAAGGAGACTCTCCCAGCTGGCTTCCTCATGTTCTCACTCTTGGCAACCAGGCCTCACTGGGGATTTGTCACGTTCCTAAGCCAAGTATATTTTCCCTTCCATTCTTTTCTTAAAAGAATAATAGCACCAAGAACAGCACCGAGGTTATATCAGAGAATGTGCCTGTGTTTAGGAGATGCTGCTGGAGTGTTCGGGGGAAGTGACATGCTGTCTGCCACTGATTTTCCAACGACTCACACATGCACACACGCACACAGTGTGAGAAAGAGACCAAGAAGAATTGACCAAATATTTTTTTTTTTGAGACGGAGTTTCACTCTCTTTGCCCAGGCTGGAGTGCAATGGCATCATCTCAGCTCACCGCAACCTCCGCTTCCCGGGTTCAAGTGATTCTCCTGCCTCAGCCTCCCCGTAACTGAGATTACAGGCATGCACCACCACGCCCGGCTAATTTTGTATTTTTAGTAGAGACAGGGTTTCTCCACGTTGGTCAGGCTGGTCTTGAACTCCCGACCTCAGGTGATCCACCCTCCTCAGCCTCCCATAGTGCTGAGATTACAGGCGTGAGCCACTGCGCCCGGCCGAATTGACCAAATATTAACAAGTAGTGGCTCCAGGTGAGAGATAAACAGGTGTTCATTGTACTATGCTTTCAACTTTTCTGTAGGCTAGCAATTTTTCAAAATTAAGTTTGCAGGGAGAAAACTAGTATGTACAGCTATTATGAATCCACAAAATTTAAAAATTTTAAACTTAAAAAAATGTTAACTAAATATGAACCCCACAGTTCCAGGCATGTCTCTGTTCATAGAAACTGCCTCTGGGGTCCATCCTCCTGTGTCTTCGTGGGCCATCAACCTTCCAGAACCTTCCATAGCTGCAACTTCTGAGAAATGAAAATGTAGGTCATGAGTCAGGGGGCCTCCAAGTCCCCTCGGGCTCCAGTCCCCTCCACATCCCAGCATGATGTGGGAACCCCTCTGGGTAGCTTCCTGGTCATTCTTGAGTGCTCTCCGGGCAGGCTGGACATCCCTGGGCTTAGAGAAGGGCCCTAAAGCCCACAAGGTGTGGACGGACAGTTTGACCCAGCACTGCCTGAGATGTCCAACCAAGCAGCCCCATCTAGTGGGGGACAGGAGGAGTGAGCGCCCCCCCACCCTGTGCCCCTACTAGAGCCCTGGCACCCACCCACCCCCTCCCATTCCCACCTGGCACTCCCACCAGTCCTGGGTCCTCAGCAGCATGAGAGGCGGCAGGTGGTGTAGAAGGCACGAGGGCTCCAGAGGCAGACAGCATACAATAGGTGTTCACTAAACACCTGTTGAATGTGTGGACCGCTTGGATGCAAACCTAGACCTGTGATGTATGCTCATGACGGTTTTGAGTGAGCTTTTACTATCTCCAAGCCTCTGTTTTCTTATCTAAAAACAGGGGGTAAAAACAGTATTTCAGGGAGCTGTGGTGAAGACTGAGAGACAGAAAGGAGGAAAATGTCCCTGGGACACAGCAAGCCCCAGCAAAAGGCGGCACTCCTCAGCTGTGGTTGTCCGAAACTAAAGGCGGTGGGCAAGTGCAGCCAGAGAAGTCCCCAGAGAAGGCTCTTGAGGAAAAGTGTGTGCAAGTCCCTAGGGCAGAGGTGGAGAGGAGGAAAGGTGTCTACGCCTTCCTTTCAAGGACAGGGGGTGAGGAGACAAGATAGACTCAGGGTGGGAAAGAGGAGCCTCCTTTTTGCTTCTGCACCAAACCCAGGAGAGCTCCACCGAGCTCCGTCTAAGGCAGAGACGACAGGTCTCACTGTGCAAGGCAGGGATGCCCTGGGCTGTGGGAGCTGCCAGTGGGTGGGGCCTGCACACGTGGTCTGGGAGCAGTAACCCTGGAGACATCCTCTAGGCACGTGTGAGGCCTGGGAGACTCGGCAAGGAGGAGGGCTGAGAGCAGTGAAGTGTAGGGACAATGTATTAACAACAGGCTCAAACCCCTGTCCAGAGGCTGGGAGGGCTGTAGCAACTGATTACGGAGGGTCTTGCAAATGACTTACATAAACATGGGAACTGCAGTTGCCAAAACTGTGAACAGCACGATGCAGTCATTCCATGTCTGAGTTAACAAATCCAGGATATAAAAATGATCCAACAGGAGGAAGAACAGGCTAAAACCAGCAAAGATAACATTTGGCAAGGACAAATAGAAAGCCAGAGATTCAGGTCACTAAATGCGGGGTAGGGGAGCAGAAGAGAAGGGCAGGTCCCATGGGAGGAGAGGCAAAGGGTGAATTTTTCTCCAGCAGCTTGGGCGGGGTGGCACCTGGCCAGAGGCTTGTTAGAGTTCGTGATGCTGCATGCTAGGAAAAGATGAGTCTGGCCTGTCCGGGGCCTGCTCTCGGAGACAGGAATGGAAACACAGGGGAGGGGCAGTGGACGCTGATTCGTAGCTGTGTAATTGACAGTTTGGCTGGTCCTTGTCCCTAGGTCCTGGGAGGTTGCCTCTAAACCCTTATTATTCATGGTGGATCCTTGAGCTACAGCCCATGGTTTATGCTAGCAAGGTAACTCAGGATGGGGGGCCACCAGGCCAGAAAGACCAACCGTGTAAGGAGAGGGTTGGGGCTTTGAGATGTCAGCCTGACCCGGGCTAAGGGAGAGGGGCTCGAAATGAAGTCCCGTGAGCTGTGATCCGATCAACCACGCCTACATAATGAAACCCAGTAAGAACTCCAGACGTCACAGCTCCGGTGAGTTTCCCTGGGCGACAGCACTCTGTGCACCGTCACACACAATGTGCGGGAAGACAGTCGTGTCTGGGAATGACGGAAGCTTCGTGTTTGGGACACTCCCAGGCCTCACTCATGCATCTTTCCCTTCGGCTGGTTCTGACTTGTATCTTTGTGTTTATAATAAAACTGTAATCCTAAGCATCGTGCTTTCTTGAGTTCCCTGAGTCATTCCAGTAAATTATCCAGTAAATTACCAAACCCCGATTCCTGAATTTGTAGCCACCCAAGGGTGACCTGCCACCAAACTTGTGGCTGGAGTCTGTAGGAAGACAGTCTTACGGGGACTGTGTCCTTAACCTGTGAAGTGTGGCCCAGACGTCACCGAAACAGTGCTTACTGATTTCCATCGTGTAAACAGTCCTGCCACGACTGTTTCAATGCTCGCTTAAAACAGAACCATCAGCTCCCTCAAGCCAGCGTGGCATGAACCAGTGCCAGCACACGGCCGGGTAGGGGCAGAGCTGAGCGGCTCCAACACAGCTGAGAGGAGGCGGAGACAGAAGCCCCGGGGAGCAGTCAGGAGCATAAGGGAAGAAGCACGGAAAGAAAGGAGCTGTGTCGGAGGAGGCTCAGTCGGCAGAGGCTCTGAGATAGAGAAAAGATGTGTAGATGGGGAGGAGGGAGGGAAGCCAGCTCAGAGAGAGTGGTGGTGCAAACAGGCCCAACGTTCTTCCCATGGGCCAGGCACCACCCCAGGACAACTCCAAGAGGTCGGTGTAAGGTCGGTGTAGTCATCAGCTGGAGAGCCTGGGGCACCGAGGTCCAGCCGCTTGAGAAAGTCCTGCCGCTTGTCAGCGAGGAAGCCAGGATTTACACCCAAGCCTGCACACCATGCCACATGTGTCCCCACTGTGACCTGGACTTCATTTCCGCTTCTGTTGCATTTTCCCCAATCTGCACTCCCTTCTGTAATGGTGCAATCCTTCATGGGCACATGATTCCAGTCCTCGCTTCCCTGATGACTTCCTGGAACCCCACTAAACTGGGGCTCAGAACTGAAACCATTTCCCCACCCTCGGATTAAATGCACTGCAATAGGGCTGGGCGGTCACTTTGCGGCAGGCTGCTTCATCAACAGTGTGAGGCAGATACGCAGAGAGGCACCCTTTACGGAGGCCCAGCTATGTGCCAGAGGCCGTGTGTCCATGAGCACATCCAATCCTTATCAAGCAGAATGGCTGTGGCTATCCCTGGTCTTTAAGGAAAGACCTCAGGGCCCTGGAGTGCTTGCCAAAGCCAAGCGCTAGACAGCATGGAGGACTGGACGGACGCCGGCCCTGTCTGTCTGCATCAGAAGCCCAGAGGACTCCACGTGTCCTGCTACTCATTTTGGGAGCTTCAGGCAGGGTGAGGGAATGAAGCATCTGGGGATGCACAGTCCAGCAGCGACGTTCGGGACAATAACAAGGGCAGATCCGGGTCTCTGGTTCCAGCAGCCTCCTGTGCCCACAGTGCAGATGCTGGGATGGTGCTCCCCGTGCTCTCCACACGGCCTCCAGAGGCAGAGCTGCTGGGTGTTGTCTCCTCAGGGAACCCCCCCACCCCCCGCCGTGCGCCTCTGGAATCATCTATTGATGGAAATGGCTTCCACATCCTGACAGGGTGTTACTTCTCCTTCTCTCTATGTCTACTAAAAGCCCACACACTTTGTTGCTGTTGCTTTCTTTTTAAAAGCTTGGCTATAAGCGAAATACATTCTGGCCACATTTCCCCCCCACACAGAAGGCAATTTCAGAAGTCTTTGGGGGTCCCTGGAGGGTGCCCACTTGCCGTGGCTGCTCCAATCCCACGTACGACATTCATGACTCAGACTTGAGGGGACCAGGAGACACTCTGGAAGTGACATGGTGATCCTAGGTTTTCACTAAGTCTGTAATTTAGAAATCCACATGTGGTGCTATCAACACAATTGCCTACCACATAGCTGACATTTAAAACCCACGCCACGTCCCTGGCGTATCGCGGTGGTGGTGCCACACCGTCCTGAGGCTGACAGGGCTCTCTTGATGGTGCAGCCCTCTCTGCGGAGCCTCCTGATCCACTGTCCACATCCACGCATTGGCCACAGCAGATCTGGGCCCTCGGCAGAGAGACCGAGATGAAACAAGCCAGTGCGGTTCTAAGTATAGTTCTATTGGAAAGTGTTTATTATATAAGAGCTAAATTATAAATCAGAGCCTGTATATAAAACAAAGCATTTGGCAGTGACTAAAATATCTCCTCCTCTGCTGTGTTTCATCCCAAGAGACACACAGTGTGGTGCTTTGGGGCAGGGTCCTTGTGGGCTGCACAGATCCCGGGACCCATCAAGATCATTCCTTTATTAATTTTTTTATTTTTTTATTTTTTTTGAGACAGATTCTCACTCTGTCACTCAGGCTGGAGTGCAATGGCGCGATCTCTGCTCACTGCAACCTCCACCTCTTGGGTTCAAGTGATTCTCCTGCTTCAGCCTCCTGAGTAGCTGGGACTACAGGTACATGCCACCACACCGGGCTAATTTTTATATTTTCAGTAGAGATGGGGTTTTGCCATGTTGGGCAAGATGGTCTTGAACTCCTGACCTCAGATGATCCACCTGCCTCGGCCTCCCAAAGTGCTGGGATTACAGGCGTGAGCCACCACACCTGGCCCATCAAGATCATTCCTATCCAAGCTTCATTGCCTAAATCTACGTTTGTCCCAAAAGGTGTCTCGTGTGAGACATTGGGGTCCTTCTTCCCCTCATTCTTTATACTTCATGATGAAAACTATTAGTGGATTGAGAAAGAGGAACACAACAGAAGGACCCAAACAAACAAAAAGCCTGAGAATGAAAGATATTAGGCATCTTTCTAAAATTAAGGCACAGCTTCTGTTTGCAGCAATACGGTAGACTGAGGTATTAAAATCTCCCACTACAAAACACCTAGACATGCTGGATAAAGTATGTGTCCCTCTAAATGCATGCACGAGTCCACAGAAAAGTAAAAAGACTGAAGGCCAAATATGTTAGAGAGTGTGTTATTTTTCTATCCTGCCATTTAAAAATCACCATAATCTTAGTGGCTTGAGATAACGCAAATTTACTATCTTACAGCTCTGGAGGTCAGACATCTGACGCAGGTCTCACTGGGCTGCATTCCCTAAGGGAAAATCCATTTCCATAGCTTTTTCCACTTCTAGGGGCCACTGACATTCCTTGGCTTGTGGCCCCTTCCTCCATCTCCAGAGTCTGCAGCGGTGCATCTCTGGCCATTCTTCTGTCATCAGATCTCCTCTGACTCTCTTGTGCCTCTCTCTTTCACTTGTACGAAACTTTGTGATGACACTGGGCCCACTCTGATAATCCAGGGCAATCATTCCATCTTAAATCAAATGATTAGCAATGGTAATTTTATCTGCAATTTGCATGCCATCTAGCGTATTCTCAGGTTCTGGAGACTAGGATGTGGGCATCTTTGGGGCAGGGGGCATTACTCTACCTACCACCGAGAAAAAACTGAAAATCAAAAACGTATAAGTGTGGCTGACACTTTGGCTGCCTTGGATGGGGAGGCTAGCAGTTTCCAAAGGGCTTGTTTTCACTAACCATGAAGGCAAGCAATGTGGCCCAGGCCCAGAGGAGGGGAGTTAGAAACAAGGCCACCCCACAAAGAGGATCATCAAAGGGCTATACTTTCGGAGAATAAATAAAAATCTGTTCATTGACCAAAAGTGGCCACAAAAGACTATGTCTGTCTCAGATTGTCTCAAAATGTTTCCATGAGAATGCACAGCCTCAGGCCTGCCTGAAAGCATTGTCAAGGAATCCCACTGTTGAGAAATAATAAGAAAATAGCAATTTCAAGCTGTTAACACCCCTGGGGTGTCTGGCAAGAGCAAATCCAAAGCTCCTTTGAGGAACATACCCTCAGTCTGGGCTGCACATGTTCTACAAGTAAAGCTCCACCAACAGAGACGCATGCCCCAAAACCACAAAGCAAATGAGGAAACAAGCCATGGTGAGCAACAGTCCAAGCAACAGTGCACCAAAGAACTCAACTCCTGGGAACTCCAAACAACAAAACACACAGAGGTGGATTATAAAATAAGTATGCTTACAGTCGTTCGATAAAAGGAGTCAAGGGATGATACAGGAGCAAGACATTGTTAAGATAAAGACCAGGCTTGTTTGAAAATGAACCAAATAGTGTTTATAGAATTGAAAACAACAATTATTGAAATGATGGACATGTTTAGTAGCAGATTAAATATAGCTGAAAAGAGCAATAGTGAACTGGAAACTAGATTGAAGAAATTTCCCAGAATGCCACTCAAGAGACATAAATAGGTGAAAAGTTTGAAAGAAAAGATAAAAATCAGAGAATGAAGACAGAAGATCCAGTTCCAGTTTACTAGAAACTCCTAAATGAGTAAATGAAGACAACAGAGAAAAGCAATACTCAAGAAAAAAATGGCTGAGAATTTTCCAGAATTGATGAAGGATATGCATCTTCTAATTCAGGGAGGTTTTTCTATGAGCTGTAAGTAAAATAATTAAAATTTATGAAATAGGAGAACTTCAAGACCAAGAGCAAGGACAGCCAGACAGAAATGATAAATTGCCTACAGAGTGAGAATAGAATGACCTCAGACTTCTCAATAGCAATAACCAAAGTCTAAAGACAACAGAATAATATCTTCAAAGTGCCGGGAGAAAATAACCACTAATATGGAGTTCTATACTCAACTAAATTATTTTAGAATGAGGGTAACCTCTAGATCTAACTACAAATATGCAGGAAAAACAGGGGATAGAAGAACATGCTAAATGATACCACAGGAACGAGATCAGCAACATTCAGATTGTGGGAAATTCTGCAGGAAAAACAATTCAGTTTCTTCAAGAAATAAACTGCAAGAAAAAAATTTAAGAAAGACACAGGAAGAGAGGGAGAGAGGGAGAACCTTAAAAGATACTTAAGAGACAAATCAGTCCATCTCAAGGAATAAACATTATTTGAATAGATTCACACTACTTCAAAATTTATATTTATGAGACAATTGAAAATTTGAATGCTGATTGGATATTTGAAAATTATAATGCATCATTGATAAATTTTTAGCTATTTTTATGGTATTACGTGTTTTTTTTTAAAAAAAGAATCCATATGTTTTAGAGATATATACTGATGTGATGAAATGAAACTGGACTGGAAATGAGGTGTTAAAAATTTTGAGGTTGGATACATTGTGGTTCATTATTCTATTTTTGTGGTTGTTTGAAGTTTTCCTCTATACAAGTATAATAAAAATAATAGTAGTTATAATAAAAGGAAGTGTTAGTTAAAAAGGCTTCTTCCAAGAATATGGGTAAGTAAATAGTGCTATATTAATATCAAGAAATATTGTGAAGAGTTAAAATTAAAGAAGCAGATTCACTTGTAGCAACATGAATAAATCACTTAAAATGATTGAGGGAGCAAGTTGTGGAATGATACAGTATGACACTATTTATATTGCAAAAGAAAATAAAATTTTAGGACCCTCTAAATGTATTATGCCAAGGGAGAAGTTGAGCCCCGAGACTGAGTCACACTGCCTGTTTGCAATTCTGATGCTTAGATTATAGTACCACTCTCTCTTCATTGTTCTTGTTCTGTAAATGACTAGGAAAGACTGGTGACCAGACCTCCCATTTCCAATCACCAATCTTTGGTGGGGAGAGTGTGGGACACAAGGGAGTCAGCGGGAGGGTTTTAGGTTCTGCCCTGGAGGAGCACTTGGAGGGGCCTAGCTCCCAAGCAGAAGTGGACCCTGGATGCCCAAGGCTGACCGGCAGTCATAAGAAGCTGCCTGGTGGAGAGGCACTGCCCGTTTCTTGGTAAGTTTGGTTGGAGACTCCCTGTTTGGGAAAAGCCCTGAGAAAGAACCCCCAGGAGGGAGGGTCCATTTTGCATCTGTGTCTGCCCAGGCTGAAGAGGCTCAGGCCAAGTCTCCGAGGCATCAGTCAAGTGGCTCCTGTCCCACCCCAACTCCTCTTCCTCCCCCAGCTCCAAACCAGAGGAGCCTGAGAGCCTAGGGTGGGAGTGGGGTAGGGCAAGGCAGGAAACAGAGAGGTCAACGGCACCCAGCCCTGCTGGCATCCAGCCTCCACCGCCCTGAGCTGAGGGAGGAGAGATGCTCAGCTTTAAGCAAAGTTTTCTTTACACAGGACTGCATGTTTTCATTATTAAATGAGAGTGTGGCAGTGGCTAAAAGTCACTGGAGAACTTTTTCTTTCCAGGAAGTGACCTAAGATGTATTGAGCCTGGGTGCAGTGGCTCGCACATGTAATCCCAGCACTTTGGGAGGCAGAGGTGGGCGGACCACATGAAATCAGGAGTTTGAGACCAGCCTGGCCAATGTGGTAAAACCCTGTCTCTACTAAAAATACAAAAATTAGCTGGGCTTGGTGGCACACACCTTTAATTCCAGCTATGCGGGGAGGCTAAGGCAGGAGAATCACTGGAACCTGGGAGGCAGAGGCTGCAGTGAGCCAAGATGGTGCCACTGTGCTCCATCCCGGGCCACAGAACGAGACTCTGTCTCAAAAAAAAAAAAAAAAAAAAAAAGTATTCTGAATAGCCCAAGTCTTCATCGGAGGTGGAGGAGGGAGGGGCTAGAAATGACACACAGGTGTGCAGGGACCCCAAGGGAAAGAGGACACACGGGAGAGAGGACGTGCGGCCCAGCAACTGGCGATGCTGGCCAGTGGACTCCTGTGGCTGCCAGCTCAGCAGCCCTCCTGCTTTTGTCAGAGCACCTGTCCATCACAGGCCAAGCCCCTCAGGAGAGCCACAGAAACATGAGCCAGGAGCTGGGGAGGCCCCAGATCCTGAGCTAAGATTCCTGGATGGCCCTGGCTGATGCTTGGCTGGTCTGCTGGTCCTTCCATTTGACAAATGCCCAGTGTCCCTCTGATAAGTTCCTTTTTACTTTCACCTAAATGGCTCTGCTGTCTCTGTGCTGGTCCCCCACCTTCCTGATGGGTGTGCTTGCCTCTGCCGGGAAGGGGCTGTGGAGCCGCCTCACGCTGGCATTTGCTTGTGCTGGGCCCTTGGCTCGCTCATGAACCCCGGCCAGCTTCCCAGACCTGACCAGCAGGTGAGCCCTTTCATTTGCCCAGCACATTCTTAAAATTGGAGGTTGAAAACCTTCAGGCAGGGAGTGCCCCCATGGGCCCCACCACCCCCTGCTGTCATACCCTGTGGTCTGACCCATTTAAGCCCCTGCTGGGACCACTTCTCCTTTTCTTCCTGCTATCTGACTTGTCTGTCTTTCCTTCTCAGCTGCAAAGGCTACCTGGGCCCCAACAGGTCCCCTAAACCCTAGCACAACCATTGTACTATTGCAGTGTGTTAAGTCAATCATTTCTAACCAACCCCCCTTTTTTTTAAGAGATGGGGGTCTCACTTTGTCACCCAGGCTGGAGTACTATGGTGTGATCACGGCTCTCTGCAGCCTCAACCTCCTGGGCTCAAGAGACCCTCCCACTTCAGCCTTCTCAGTAGCTAGCACTACAGGCATGCATCACACCTGGCTAATTTTTAAAATTTTTTTGTAGAAAGAGACTCACCTTGTTTGCCCAGGCTGCTCTCAAACTCCTAACCTCCAATGATCCTCCCACTTCCACCTCCCCAAGTGCTGGGATTACAGGTATGAGCCACCACGCCCGGCCTCTAACACTATTGAAAGGGAAGGTAGAGCTCTCCGCAGAGCCTAATTTACAATCAGTTGTGCTGGTAAAAGCAAATAGTAATGGAAAATGAATGAATGATGAGATTATTGATCAGTCTTTTGTTTCTGAAGGCATCTTTTATTACGGAAATGTTCACACGTACACAAAGTAGAGAGCATAATGTCATGAGCCCCCACTCACCACCCTGCTTCCACAGTTAACAACATCTGCCTAATCTTGGGTCATCTCTTCCTCCCGCAGCCTCCCCACCTTCCCACACACACAATACCCACCTCCTGCAGCAAGCTGGGTTATTTTAAAGCAAATCCAAGATGCCATAACATTTCAGCCATAAACATTTATATCTTTAAGAGCTATCTCCAAGAGATAAAGTCTCTTTTTTTAAAACATAACTACCATTATCACAACAAAAAAATTAACAGTAATTCCCAAATATCATCAAATACACACAGTCAGCATTCAAATTTCCCCGAGTTGCTCTCTTTTTTTCATGCATTGGAAGAATTAATATTTTTGGCTTTTATTTTATTTTTAAAAATTATCTCTTAAATGTCTTTTTACAAGTGGTTTATTTGAATCTGATTCAAACGAAGTCCAGCATTGTACTTGGTTAATATGTCTCCTATATTGCTTCATCTGTAACAGTTCTCCTCTCCCCTTGGTTTTTTTTTTGCTTTTTGGTTTTTGTTTTTTTTAGATACGGAGTTTCGTTCTTGTTGCCCAGGTGGAGTGCAGTGGCGTGATCTCAGCTCACTGCAAACTGCCTCCCAGGTTCAAGCAATTCTCCTGCCTCAGCCTCCCAAGTAGCTGGAATTACAGAAGCCCGCCACCATGCCTGGATAATTTCTGTATTTTTAGTAGAGATGGGGTTTCACCATGTTGGCCAGGCTGGTCTGGAACCCCTGACCTCAGGTTATCCGCCCGCCTTGGCCTCCCAAAGTGCTGGGATTACAGGCATGAGCCACCTCGCCTGGCCCCTCCTCTTGTTTTTTGCCTGTCACGTATTTGTTTTGTTGGAAACCCGAGACATTGGTCCTATAGACCTCACTCTATTCTGGATTTTGCTGACTGCATCCCCATGGAGTTTGTTTGTGTGTTTGTTTGTTATGAAGTCTTGCTCTGTCACCCAGGCTGGAGTGTAATGGCGGATCACAGCTCACTGCAGCCTCAACCTCCCAGACTTAAGCAATCCTCCAGCCTCAGCCTCCCAAATAGCTAGGACTACAGGCATGCACCACCACACTCAGCTAAGTTTTTTGATTTTTAGTAGACAGGATCTCACTGTGTTGCCCAAGCTTGTCTCAAACTCCTGGCCTCAAGCAATCCTCCTGCCTCAACCTCCCCAGAGTGCTGAAATTACAGGTGTGAGCCACCACGCCCAGCCCCCATGGAGTTTTGACATCTCCCTGTATACCACATATTTCCTATAAACCAGTAGCGAACCTAGAAACTTGTCCAGCTGAATCTCCATTTCTTTGGCGTGGATGCTTCCTGGGTGGCGCCCTGCACTTCCTGCTACATCACACCAGGAGGCCCCCGTGTCTGGCTGCTTCCCTTCCTGTTCAGTGAGACTCAGCAGCGGGCACAGGTGCTACCCCCAGCCCGCACTTTGCTATTCACCCTGTGCTGATCCCCAGGCAGAGCCACACTTCACGAGAGGGTCACACTGTATGTATACCCAGGGAATAAGAGGTCACTTCAAGTCGCTTAGTTATTCTCAATATTTTTAAATTTCAGTCTCAAACAGAATGCAATTTCATCTAGTTTATAAAACTTAATATACGTATACTGCTACCTCAAAGTAATCAATCCAACACTTGGCCAGTTAATATGACCTAATTTCACATTTACCTGTACATTTACAGCATTCATACTAGAGTTATTCTGCTACCACACAGAGATTTCAACTTTATTATATACTTTAACAAAAATGGTATGTGAAATGGATATTATGTCTATTTACTTAAGGGTTATTTTGCAGAGTGACTTACTAAATGGAAAAAAAACTGTATGGTCTATATTAGTAAGAAAGTAATTTTTGGAGAAGGATTATGTAAAAGGAATTACAGAATTGGGAATAAGCTGTTTCAGGCATGATGACAAGGCAAGAGCATCAGGAAATCACGGTGTTTCCTCTTAGCAACCGGTGAGCAGCAGGAAAGGCAACAGAACTCCTCAGGACCCAGCACTCCCGGAGCCACGGCTTCCCAGAGAGCCTGGCACAGGCACACAACTGGGTGAGGGTTCTTGTGTGGATATTTAAAACAACACCATCAAGATAAAAATATTGTTGTATCTGTAGCATCTCTATTTATGTATTTATTTTCCCTTGAAATAAAAATGTTCTAAAGTTACATTGTTTTCCATGCTGCCTGTTTTATTACTTCTCACAACTTAGGCAACAAAATTTTACGTCATCATATTTCCAGTTCTTATACGTCTGCTCTACTCTGTATTTAGATTTGGTTAGAAAATCTGATTATTCTTGATTTCACCAGGAGCTTTCTTTTTTATTTATTTATTATTTATTTATTATTTATTTCTTCCAAATAAAAACTAATAGTCAACTTCATTAGGCATTATGACTAGAAAATTAAGCACTCGTTGTGGAGAGAAAAGTATTCTTATACAGCCATTTTATTTTATTTTATTTTATTTTATTTTATTTTATTTTATTTTTGAGAAAGGGTCTCACTCTGTCACCCAGGCTGAAGTGCAGTGGTGCCATCATAGATAGCTCACTGCAGACCCAACCTCCTGAGCTCAAACGATCCTCCTGCCTCAGTCTTCCGAGTAACTAGGACCATAGGTGTGCACCACCACGCCCGGCTAATTTTTGTATTTTTGGTAGAGACAGGGTTTCACCATGTTGCTCAGGCTGGTCTCGAACTTCTGGCTCAAGCAATCCTCCCACCTTGACCTCCCAAAGTGCTGGGATTACAGGCGTGAGCCACCGCACCCGGCCAGCCCTTTTAAGTTTGAGCCCTTTAACAGGATCTAAATCTGGTGCTCAGGATAAAATGTTGCCTCTGGTGCTTTCTTCCCATAATTACAGTATTACAGAGGCATTCTTAATGTTCCCTCTTCAAATTAGAAACAGTAAGTTGAAATTGCCTTCAACTTACTGTTGATGGCAATTTGAGCCCAGATGCCAGTATTAGAGAACATATATTGAAGAACTGAATTTGTAAGTAAACCACCATTTCCCTGTACAAGTAAATGCACAGGATACTGCCAGTCATTAAATATTGAGTCTAGCACAATGTATGAAGCATAAAAATTCACTGCCACTGGTTTTTAAACAGCTGTTTCCCCCAAAGAAAGGGCAACTTCTGGTATGCACCAGTAAAATAGCAACCTTTTTACATTACTTTGCATAAAGATTTACAAGTGTCCCAGGACCTGGGAGGCCAGTCTATAACAAGACAGCCTTTAGCGACATCGCTTTCCTTCTCCACGGTGATCAGCGAACACAAATACCCACTGTGTGTCGGCGAGCTGGTCTGCTACATCAGCCCAGGTTTAAAATCTAGGCTTACTTTCTGTTAACAAATCGCACGTGGATGGGCCCCCCTGGCGTCAGGAGCCCGTGGGTTTTTGCATGAACAGCATTGGTCTGAGAAGATGTTTTGATCTCAAAATGTTGAAGCAACTAAGAAGAGAAAGAGAGAGAAGGGGTCAGAATTGGAACAGCAGAAAATTCTCAGTGCTCCCTGAATGCTTTTACTCTTCCTGTGGCGGCACTGGGCTGCAGAGAGCGCAGGCAATGAGCACCCACATCCAGCTTTTGGAGGCTACAGAACCTCCAGGTCAGTGGGAAGCCCGCTGTTTGGAAACAGAACTTTAGATCCCGTACCAGAGCCTAGGCATGTCCACTAAGCAGCTGGGCAGCCGGTGGGACAGAGATGCAGGCAGATGCTCAGATGACTTAAGTTTCACTTGCCATTTCAAATTCTAACTCTTTTGCTTCCATTGCAGGTCTAGATGAAGAAGGCATCAAAGGAGCAGGGGGAAATGCGGAACAAAGTGAAATTCCGGGTTTCCTGCTGGTTCTGAAACTGCAGACACTTCAGACCCGGCCAGAAACAGAGGCGGAGAGAGCTGAATCCTCCGAAAGACTTCATCGTGCTACTATCCTGAATTTAAATATTCTTGGTTCGTAACTTTGATTCCATTTCTCATTTCTACAGTTCAAAAGCAGAACCAGCCCTGCCTCCCAGGGTAAAACTGGAATGTACCTACACGGTGAGTTTGAAAGAACACCTAAAGCAATTATCTCCCCCGGCGGCCGGCTAGGGTTTGGAGTTCAAAGTCAGCCCTGGGCTTAGGAATACAGGTAACCTGCTCTAAAGACTTCTGTCCACGGACAGGCTCCTGGGGGGAGGAGGGACCTTGCTTTCAGCCCATTTGGAAAGGGCAGGGGGCAGATGAGCTGGCAATACCATAGTCTCCTACTTAGCGCCCAGGCTGTCCCCGCCCTGCCCTTCCTCTCTGTCCAGCTTTGTCTCCCAGGCAAAGAAGCTGCACCCAGAATGGGCTGGGGCTCCAGGCTGGGACCCCATGGCGTGATCACAGCTCTCTGCAGCCTCAACCTCCTGGGCTCAAGTGATCCTCCAACCTCAGCCTCCTCAGTAGCTGGGACTACAGGCATGCATCACATCTGGCTAACTTTTTAATTTTTTCATAGAAACAAAGACTCGTTTTGTTGCCCAGGCTGCTCCTGAACTCCTAACCTCCAACGATCCTCCCACCTCCGCCTCCCCAAGTGCTGGGATTATAGGTATGAGCCACCACTCTCGGCCTCTAACACTATTGAAAGGAGAGGTAGAGCTCTCCTCAGAGCCTAATTTACAATCACTTGTGCTGGTAATAGTGAATAGTAATGAAAAAGGAATGAATGATGAGATTGTTGATCTTGGTTCGTACCTTTGATTCCATCTCTCATTTCTATAGTTCAAAAGCAGAACCAGCCCTGCCTCCCAGGGTAAAACTGGAATGTACCTACACAGTGAGTTTGAAAGAACACCAAAGTATCCATCACCCTAAAGCGATTATCTCTTTAAGGTATCTCTTTTAAATAATTAAGAGTCAGACAGGGCACCAAGGCTCAAGGGTCAAGTCTTGCAATGGGGACGCAGGCGGAACTCATGCCTTTGTCACTATTAAAGAAATGAGCTGAACAGCATGTTTTCAGGCAGCTACATCATGTGCTGGCATCTGGGTGGCTCAGCCTAAACACCTAACCTCTGACCCCTCGTGCTGACCTCTCAGAAACGCCTGCTCATTCCCATGCGGTAGAGGGAAGACTCACATGTGGACATGTGGGTCTCCTAACTTCAAGGCCATCGTGCCACACGGTATTTTTTCTTTTCTGAGTGGTTTGTTTGTTGAAAAAATTAAAACTATGCAGGAGACAAAAGACAAAAAACACTGCCCCCCCCCTCCGCCCCCCTACATCCAGTTTCCAGCTCCCAGGGAGCTGGGGTGGATCTTCCAAACATTCCTGTTCAATCAAATATCTTTTTCCTGATTTTAAGGGAACACATTAATATCACACCATGAAAGCTGTCCCTTTCCTTCCCAGTAGCCTTCAGGCATGTTCCTGTACTGTTGGGGCAGACGCCATTTATTTGGTTAAGAAAGGCCCCACTGTTGGGAGTTGAACAATGAGAACACATGGACACAGGGAGGGGAACATCACACACAGGGGCCTGTCAGGGGGATAGGGGGAAGAGGAGGGAAAGCATTAGGACAAATACCTAATGCATGTGGGGCTTAAAACCTAGTGGACGGGTTGATGGGTGCAGCAAACCACCATGGCACATGTATACCTATGTAACAAACCTACGTGTTCTGCACATGTATCCCAGAACTTAAAGTAAAATTAAAAAAAAAAAAAAAAAGAAAGGCTCCACTGTTGCTTCTGTGCCAAGAGACTTTCTTCATTAATTGGGGTTGAATTTTATCAATTATCTTTTGGGATGCTCATGTAATTTTCCTCCTTTTTATCTTGGTGAATTCTACTGACAGATTTTCTCTAGGCAGACCATCCTTGCATTCCTGAATACACCTGATGATATGTGAAGATGCCTTTCCGTTTTATACATTCAGCCTGCCAACTGTTGATTTTGCACATTTTCTATCTTCAATTATTAATCAGTCAGGCCAGCCTGTAGTTTTTATTTTCCATATCATCCTTTCCAGGTTTGAATATCAAGGTTATGCAAGTCTCACAAAATGAGACTTCCTTTTTCTATTCTCTATTTATATAAGATGATGATTACCTGTTCCCTGAAGGTTTGATAAAACTTGCCAATAACCCTGTCTAGGTTCAGGATAATTTAGGGGTAAATCTTTTTACCACTGACTCATTTCTTTGATCTGCTCTCACTGATTCGATATCTTAGGTCTGTTCTCTTTCATTTGAGTCAATTTGGATCACTTATATTTTTTCTAGTAAACAGTATGCTTTATCTAAGTCTTCAAATTCATTGGCAAAAAAACTGTTTTAGGTATTTTCTTGATTAAAAAAAAATAAACTCCTGTCTATACAGTTGTGCCTTCCTGCTCATTCCTGGTACTATTTGTGGCTTCTCTTTTTTTTTTCTTTTTTTTTTTTTTTTTTGAGACAGAGTCTTACTCTGTCACCCAGGCTGGAGTGCAGTGGCACGATCTCAGCTCACTGCAACCTCTGCCTCCTGGGTTCAAGCAATTCTCCTGCCTCAGCCTCCCAAGTAGCTGTGATTATAGGCACCCGCCACCAGGCCTGGCTAATTTTTGTATTTTTGGTAGAGATGGGATTTCACATGTTGGTCAGGCTGGTCTCGAACTCCTGACCTCATGATCTGCCTGCCTTGGCCTCCCAAAGTGCTGGGATTACAGGTGTGAGCCACAGTGCCTGGCTTTTTTCTTAACAATTAAAAATCATGGGCCAAGCGTGCTGGCTCACACCTGTAATCCCAGCACTTTGGGAGGCCGAGGCGATGGATCACTTGAGGTCAGAAGTTCGAGACCACCCTGGCCAGCATGGTGAAACCCCGTCTCTACTAAAGATACAAAAAATTAGCTGGGCATGGTGGCAGGTGCCTGTAATCCCAGCTACTCCAGAGGCTGAGGCAGGAGAATCGCTTGAACCCGGGAGACAGAGTTGCAGCGACCCGAGATTGCGCCACTGCACTCCAGCCTGGGTGACAGGGTGAGACTCTGAAAAAAAAAAAAAAAAATCATGGGCCAGGCACAGTGGCTCACACCTGTAATCCCAGCACTTTGGGAGGCCAAGGCAGGTGGATCACTTGAGGTCAATAGTTCGGGACCAGCCTGGCCAACATGATGAATCCCCATCTCTACTTAAAAATACAAAAATTAGCTGGGCGTGGTGATGGGCACCTGTAATCTCAGCTACTCCAGAGGCTGAGGCAGGAGAATTGCATGACCCCAGGAGGCGGAGGTTGCAGTGAGCCGATTGCACCACTGCACTCTAGCCTGGCGACAGAGCAAGACTCAAAAAAAATAATAAAATAAAATAAAAACCGTGATGCTCCCTTTCTACACTTGCCCAGGTAGAAATGAGGACTTTTTAAGCAAAAACTTTAGCAGTTATATTCATATGTTGACAGCAGCAAACAAGACCCCATCACGAGCTCCAAATACCATTTCACCGCTGGCCTCTTGCTCAGGTGTCTACCCCGGTTCTTCAGGCAGCCAGAGCCTGGGGGCAACAAGCATCCCTCCCAACTCACCGATGCCCTTCGGGAGGGTGCAGTGGCTGCGGGAGGCACAGCAGCATTTTAGGGAGCTGAGACCTTCCTGAAAACACTCCCCACAGCAGACTTAGTGCAGGGCTCAGAAGATGAGAACAGCTTCCACTTCTTGGGCACAGACTCTGTACGTGGACTGTTTTTACTCCTCACACACCTATCAGGCAGGGATTTGGCCCCTTTTGTAAATGACGTGACAGGCTCAGCTCAGGTGGCTGAGAAACCTGCCAAGGTCCCGGAGCCAGCAAGTGGCAGAACTGAGGGTGAAGCCAGCTTGCCCTGAGCTCCCCCTACACATCGAGCTGCCACTCACATACTCCCAGGGACAGGGGCAGCGGCCACATCCACACAAAGGTGGGATGGCCACTTGGTCCCACCAGCCCCACCCCAGCAGAGTCTCATGGGCCACCTGTGCCTCCAGAGCCAGCCCTGAGCCAGTGGGGGTTCTCCCCACACCTCGTTCTGTGCCTCCTCCCTGGGCAGTAGACCCTTACCTTCTCCAGCTCTGGTGCCCACCCTGAGCCTGACCATCCAGAATCCCTCTACCCCTCCTCCCAGCCAACCAGGCTTCCCTGGTCCCTTACTCTCCCTTCTGCCCAGCTCCGGTCTCCCAGTGAGCCTGGAGGGGGCACCTGCATGACTTGTAGGGGAAAAGTCAAGACACCTGGATCCTGCCCTGCACCTGCCACTGTGGGACTTGGTAAGTGGCTGTTGCTTTCTGAGCCTCGGTTTCCTCATCAGTAAAATGGGGAGATGAGGTCACCAGGCACTCCCCACATTCTCCAAATGTTCAGGCAACGATGGAGCTCCCAAACTTCGGGCCAAGGTTTCCCGTCGCTGAAACAGTCTTCTCCAACTTGCAGGAGAGGCTAATGGGTGGAATTTTCTCCGCCATTGACTTTACTTTTATAAAATTTCCTTCAGGTGTTATTTAGTTCCTGCTATAGCCTGAATCCAGATACGGTGCAAACCCAGAATTATGTATCTTCACATGTAAGGTGTTCTGTAACAACACCCAGGGCTTCCTGATGTTTCACAACCTAAGAAGCTTGAGAACCACTGCTCTGTGTAAATGGTTGGGTCAGTTAAACAAAGGAGACCAGCAAGAGCACCACTGTGCCTTTCCCGGGGGGGGGGGCTGCTGCTGACGGTGCCTGAGAGGCCAGCTCCTAACTGCAGACACGGCCACTAGAGGTGGAGGCGGGGTCCCCAATCCCCACAGGGCCTCGCTTAGACCTCCAGGGTTTCTCAGAGTGTAGCCACGCGGTTGGAGGACAGGGTGGGCACGGGAGATGGGGAGGCATTTTCAAAGGATATCATGCAGAGCTCTTATTTTTGGATAGGGTCTCACTCTGTCGCCCAGGCTGGAGTGCCGTGGTGTGATCACGGCTCACTGCAGCCTTGAACTCCTGGGTTCAAGTGAGCCTCCCGCCTCAGCCTCCTGAGTAGCTGGGACCACAGGTGTGAGCCACAGTGCCTGACGGCTCTTGATCTTAAGTTTCCAAAACCGTCTTTGCTTTTCAACCTGGAAGTCTTTATCCTGTTGTGCCCAGTAGAAAGAGGCCGAACCCAAAGGCCAACGTTTGGCCTCCACGCCCTACCTGGATCACGACGAGGTGAATCTCCAGTTCTGCAATTCTCCGCCCTATGCAGCTGCGAACCCCATGACCAAAGGGGATGGATCCAAAATTGTCAACTCTATCTAAGTCTCCTTTCCGCAGCCAGCGCTCAGGCCGGAACTCCTTGGCCCGAGGGAAGTTCTCATCCTGGTACGATGTGGCATAGTGGCAAAGGGCCAGCTGGGTCTGAGGAAATCAGGGATGACAGAAAAGGGAAAAGGGGCAGAATCACTCAAGAGCAGGGCAGGGCCCAGAGCCCTAGCCGGACAGTCTCCCGGGGTGCTCCCGCCTGGGGGCCGCCCGGGTCCACTCACACCCAGGATGGCAGCCGCTCCCCCCTTCCCACTCCACACTGCACCCCAAATGTCACTGCAGCCACTGAGAAGACCGTCGAGCCCTTCAGAGACTCCCAGCGGTGACTGGCCACTTCCACACGGCCTGGGGAGCAGGCCAAGGAGCATGGGCTGCCTTGCTGGTGAGCAGTAAGTTTCCAGAGCAGTGAGATCACACCATTCCCTTCCTTTCTCCCAACACCCCATCTTCATCTTAAAATACATGCAAAAGAAAAGGAAACCTATTGATCTCTGCTTAGGGACAAAGACTTCCTGAAGGTAGAAGCAGATTCCAATTCAACCCCGACCCGCAAGGCCTGGCCACCCCCATGGCCCCAAACTCACGCCTTTCGGAATCAGATACCCGCCAATAACCAGGTCTTCCTGGGTGACCCGGCCGTTCCCTGGCAGCACTGGAAACAGCCTGGAAAAGAGCCAGCGGGGACGGGAATGGCGTGGTGACTTTCACAGTATTTTATTGAACGTTCAGAACCCTGGATATATTCCCATTTCCATTAAAAATTCTTAAAAAGTAACACATGGTACATTTTCAACTGAAACATTTTGCAAGGACCTTTGCTGCTTCTTTGTTGGCTTGCTTTACCAGCGAGTATTCTGAGGAATGTGGAAAAGACTCCCAAAGCAAAACATTTGCAAAACACAAAGCCAAGCCTTTCACATGCCATTGTGTTCCCAGGAGGGAAATTCCAAGTTTCTAATATTTTATGTGACCACGGGACCACTTTATCAAGGAATAGTTCATAGGACTTAAGGCCCCATGAAATGCATTTGGAGAAAAGATACTTCGGCGATCGGATTATCTCAGAAAACCCTGAATAAAACTTTAATTGACAAATACCAATAAACCCCACAGCCAGCTGCTTCTTTTTTTTTAATTTTGAGGTTCAACAGCATGCTATATAGGTTGACGGTCATTATCAAGTCAGCTTTGAAAGAATTCTTTAGTATATACTGCAGAAAACAAGCTTTGCTTTTTGTCGCAGCATTTCCTCACAGAGGATGCCGTGTTTGGGGGAAGGGATGTAATCCGTCCCTAATCCCACCTCCTACCCAAACCATCCCCTCAACCCAGGACAACCCACATCCCTCCGGCTTTTCTGTTTGTCAGGAAAGCCCTGTCTGGGAGTAATTGAGCCTCACTGGGTGGCGTCTAAACCCAGATGAGAACATTCACTCAAGAACCATGAGGTTTGTATCCAGGTCTGCAAATCAGCTGAACAGGTCAAACTATTTTCCTAACAAATCGATCTTGTTTCGTGTTATCTTCAGAGGAACAAAGTCAAAGGCCATTGACCCAGGAACATTTTGGGAAACCCCCAGTAAGCCAATTGGCTAAAGCAGGGACAATATTCAATGACTGCTCCAAAGATCTTTTTTCTTTTTTTTTTTTTTTTGAGACAGAGCCTCGCTCTGTTGCCCAGGCTGGAGTGCACTGGTGCAATCTTGGCTCCATCACCTAACTTCAAGCGATTCTCTTGCCCCAGCCTCCCAAGTAGCTGGGACTACAGGTGCCTACCACCACGCCCTGCTAATTTTTGTATTTTTAGTAGAGACGCAGTTTCACCATGTTGGCCAGGCTGCTCTTGAACTCCTGACCTCAGGTAATCTGCCTTGGCCTCCCAAAGTGCTGGGATTACAGGCGTGAGCCACTGTGCCTGGCCCAAAGATCTTTACAGAGAACAAGGATTATGTCGACCCATAAAACAGAATGGTCTTTCTGCTATTCTGACAAGAGCAGAGAAAAAATAACAGTCACGAACATCCTCATCCTGAACAGGTCAGCCGGGGGGGCATTTGGAGGACTTGTTGTGATAGAGAACCAGGGACCTAAGGGACACAGTTTGTTGACGGATTCTGGCGAGCCTTTTACCTCAGGGTTTCCTTAAGGAGAGCTCTGACCAGCGGGACCTTGGGGACATCAGCTGCAGTTGGAACATGCCTTTCCCCTAAATTCTTCACAATCTCCCGGTACACCGTCTGCTGCACTTCTGGGTGCCTTGCCAGGAGGTACACAGTCCAAGACAAGGTGAAGGACGTCTAAGGAGAGAAAGTGGCAGACACAGGCAGGCAGTGAGTAACACCAGGGACTGAAACAGAGGCGGTGGCAGGTAGGAAGTCCCCTGGGAATACACACAGCACAAAGTCAAACTCATCCAATTCCATATAGCACCTAATGTCTTACTAAAAACGAAAGACTGTTTCCTTAATTCATGGCAAATAAATAAATAAATAAATAACTGAACGTATTTGGCAAGTGACATTGACTCTATGATTCATGTGCTCCTGTCATGAAGAGCCACAGGAAAAATGATCCTGGAGCTTTTTTTAATCACTGAAGAGCAATATGTCAGGGATGCCGTGGAGCCTGGAGGATCTGCTGGGACTTTGTGTGACCTTCTTTGCAGGGCTTGCTCGGTGTGTGCCAGAAAGGGCCTCAGGCTGCCCCCCGGCATCCCCAGGATGCTGGGCCCGGCCCACTCTGGCTGCCCTAATCTAGAGATTGGAGTGCACAGGAGATCACTAGTTAGCCATCGTGTCCTGCCTTCATCAAGTAAGGTCCACACAGAGCAAGTCAATAACTCGTCTATGCAAAGCAGTGTCTTTTTTTTTTTTTTTGAGACGGAGTCTCGCTCTGTCGCCCAGGCTGGAATGCAGTGACGCGATCTCGGCTCACTGCAAGCTCTGCCTCCCGGGTTCATGCCATTCTCCTGCCTCAGCCTCCCGAGTAGCTGGGACTACAGGCGCTCACCACCACGCCCGGCTAATTTTTTGTATTTTTAGGAGAGACAGGATTTCACTGTTAGCCAGGATGGTCTGGAACTCCTGACCTTGTGATCTGCCCACCTCGGGTCTCCCAAAGTGCTGGGATTACAGGCGTGAGCCACCACGCCCGGTCAGCCATGTCATTTTTTATACCTCTTCTCAAACCTTTCTACTTATTGAAAATAATTGTTTTATTCTCGTAGGTCCCAAGATTTTCGCTAAAATCAATAGTATCATCTATGGGACTACATTTCACTCTCTAGTAAACAAGGAAATGCCACAGTATAAAGGCCTTTCTCTTTCACCAAAAAAAAAAAACTAATTTAAGCAGGCAATATTGATATCATTTTCTTGTAGAAGATATCACGTGTTTTAGAGGGCAGCCCTCTTGTATATATAATATAATGTGCAAGGTCTTATAAATTATAAAAGATTACTTAGATGCTTCCTATCAAGAGAATAGAAAATTTCTATTTAGATCACATTTTTATGGAAAAAATGTGGTATATCCATACAATGGAATACTACTTAGTAATAAAAAAGAATCAATTACTGTTCTATGCCACCACATGAATGAACCTGAGTCATTCTTCTGAGTGCAGGAAGCCAGATGGAAAAGACAGCATGCTATATGATTCCATTCTCATCAATGTTTAGAAAAATGTGGCAGTGGTTTCATAAATGATTCCATCTGTCAAAAATCTGTATCGCATTATGCAGTTTAAATGGAGTTGACTATGCATAAGTTATACCGCAATAAAATCATACTAATTTTTAAAAATCAGTATGAAGTTGTAAGAATTTGTTCCCTGGCTTCTATTGTAGGATGCTAAAAGGAACAGCTTCCTTCTGAATGCCACCTCATTGTGATGTTCTTAGTTACCACCAGGGGACAGGAGGCACAAGCTCAGCGACGAAGCCATTCATTGATTTCTTCACCTTTCAAGTGGTGTCTTAATTTGAGCGAATCCACACCATCACATTCAGGTAGTTAATTAGAATTCTCATTGATTGCATCATTTAGTTTGCATTTAGTTCATATACTTTTTGTTTTATTGTTGCACAAAATCCAAAAGAATAAGGAGTTTATGCTGTGTGGGTTTGTTTTTGTTTTGTTTTGTTTTGTTTTTCGCTTTTACATGCTTAAGTGATATTACAATAAAAATAAAGCCTTGAGGCTTTTTTGCCCCTTTAAGATGTAGGTCTGTGCGGGGCGTGCCTTATTCAAGGCCGGGAAGCACCCGTGCAAAGGAAAAGCTTTGAGATGATGGGCTTGGTTGTTTAGTTTCCCCACCTGTTAATGAAGTCAATGACTCCTACCTTAGAGGAAGCTGTGAGACAGGCAGGGTGTGCGTGCAATGCTTTGGAAACAGCGAAGCGTCACGCAATCTTAATTCTCTCTTTCCACCCGACCACCAGCAGCACCCCAGCCCGCAGCTTCCCCAGTTTCCAGCCAGAAATTTCATTATCTTCCACCCACTGAAAGCATCAGCCTAGCTCCTCCCTGTTTTGCCATTTCCTTTTAGCAAATTTTACAACTGCTTTCACCTGTACCTACACGGCGATCATTTTCACACGTATCCTATTAATTGTATCATATTACACATGTGCTTTTGAAAGGAACTTGGCTCCTTATTCCCCCCGGACCATGCCACCCCCAGCCAGCCAAAAACCCATGTTAACTATCTAGTGTGTTCCCTCCACGCGCTGCTCTGTGTTCGCACAGTCACGGACAGATGTGCAGATGCACACAGCCGGGAGGGGGCGGTGCCGCTGCATCTTACTCACAGGACACAGTATACATGCTGGTCTGCCTCTTCCTTTCCCATCGGATAGCCTGTGGGTTCCCCCCAGGTTAATGGGCAGTGCTCTGTCTCATTCTGATATGAACCCTCCCTGGTCCCAGTGTATCATTGATCTGCCATGCTACTGGGCTCCATTCACAGGGAATTTGTTGATACACACACACACACACACACACACACACGCACTCATCAACCAAACTGCTTTAGTTTACTTTCTTTACACTCTCTTTAGCAGGTTTTGGTTTTGAAGTTATGTTGGCTTTATAGAACAAATTGGGGAGTGAATGAAATGAATTCTTGGCTTTATAAATAAATTCCATGGCCTGGAATATTTTAAATGATAACTAATAAGGTTTTTAATGTCTGTACCCTCTTCATGTATGAAATTATGAAACAATGACAAAATGTTTACAAATCAGGAATGATTTGTAAACTTTAAACATTTATTATCATTTTGTGTGTGTGCTAATGGAATTTTGGTTATGCTTTTCACAGAAATCATTATGCACCTTACATTTAATATACAATCATGCATCGTATAGTGATGTTTTGGTCAATGATGGACCCAATATACAATGGTGATCCCATAAGATTATAAAGCCACATTTGTACTGTAGCTTGCCAATGTTTAAGTATGTTAGATACACACATACTTACCACTGTGTTCCAGCTGCCCACAGTATTCAGTACAGTAACATTCCGTACAGTTGTGTAGCCTAGGAGTAATAGGCTCTACCGTGCAGCCTAGGTATGTGGTAGGCTACCATCTAGGTTTGTGTAAATACACTCTAAGATGTTCACGCAATGACAGGACCACCCAACAACGCATTTCTCAGAACAAATCTGCATCATTAAGTGAGGCGTGACTGCATACACAGAGTTTTCTCCTCCTGGAGCCCCCCAGCAGTGCAGCAGGCCTAGTACAAACATGAACAGTGTGCTAAACAAATCTGCCTTAAAAGTAGACAACGGCCAGTCGCAGTGGCTCATGCCTGTAATCCCAGCACTTTGGGAGGCCAAGGCGGGTGGATCACCTGAGGCCGGGAGTTCGAGACCAGCCTGGCCAACATGGTGAAACCCCCGTTGCTACTAAAAGTACAAAACATTAGCTGGAAGTGGTGGCGGGCGCCTGTAATCCCAGCTACTCTGGAGGCTGAGGCAAGAGAATCACTTGAACCTGAGAGGCAGAGGTTGCAGTGAGCCGAGACCATGCCATTGCACTCCAGCCTGGGCAATAGAGTAAAACTCCATCCTCCCGCTCCAAAAAAGTAGACAACGTCCATGAGGTGATGAGGAAGGGGTTATCGTGTGTTGCTTGCTGAGAACAGGACCCCCAGACTCACCGTGTCGACGCCGGCCAGCAGCATCTCAGTCACGTTGGCGTAGATCTCCTGCAGCGTCAGAGCCTGGCTAAGGAAGAGGTATGTGAGAAGTCCCCCGCTCACCCTCCGGCCTCGGTCCATTTGGTACTGTATGTCCCTCAACTTGTTGTCAACATGAATTTGGCCTGTTTGAAAACAGTATTTCTTTTGAAAGGAGTTTGGGTTGAGAATCATCTTTTCAGTCTCAAAGCCCTCTGTCCTCCCAGTAGCTTAACTAAACCAGTGGCAGGTGACAGAGGGTAAGGAAACCCAATTTATCTAACGTCAACCTGGGAGTTTCACTCATACACTTGCTTATGTAAATGAATGAAAAGTTAAAAGACAAGCTAAACGTATCTTCCTTTTTAAAAATAAGCTGTAGGATATTTGCAGATGTTTGCTTTACTAATCCAATAGCCAAATAAATTATTTATATAATATGAGTAACAAAATGCAAACTCTTTTATTTTTTTCTACCACACTTTCAGAAGAGAAAATGAGTGGAGGGGAAAAGGCCACACATTATTATCTGGGATGTTACCATACAGCACAGACTTCAGGACTTCTATATTCAAATAAATGTTGTGGTTGTTGTTGTTTCCTTAAGACAGAGGCTCGCTCTGTGGCCCAGGCTGGAGTGCAGTGGCAGGATCTCGGCTCACTGCAACCTCCGCCTCCCGGGTTCAAGCCATTCTCCTGCCTCAGCCTCCCAAGTAGCTGGAATTACAGGCACGCGCCACCACGCCCAGCTAATTTTTGTATTTTTAGTAGAGACGCAGTTTCGCCATGTTGGCCAGGCTGGTCTTTAACTACTGACCTCAGGTGATCCTCCCACCTCGGCCTCCCAAAGTGCTGGGATTACAGGCGTGAGCCACTGCACCCAGCCTAAATATTGATCTTGAAAAGACACCATGAAACACTTTATTCAGTGTTAGCATTGCTCTAGAACATTGTTCTAAGCATTTTGAAAATAATTTCTTTATTTTTGGCAATGCTTTTATAGTAAAAATTTTAGTCACATAAGAAAACAAATCTCTTTGTAATCTCACCTTGGATTTGAACAAAAATTGTCACATTCAAATGAATGTGCGTGGACCTGAAACTCTACATTTTAAGCACTGACCAATTTATTTGGAGTAAAGACATCATCTTGCATGGACATTTACTTGTACCTGTCCCTGCTAGCATGCTAGTGAAAATAAAAATTATTTTAAAATGAAAAAACTGATCATGTTACCTGTAGTCACAACCCACATGCTTTTTGCTTCTTTGAAAAACAAATCCATGGCCAGGCGTGGTGGCTCACACTTGTAATCCCAGCACTTTAGGAGGTCAAGGTGGGTGATCACCTGAGGTCAGGAATTCAAGACCAGCCTGGCCAACATGGTGAAACCCCATCTCTACTAAAAATACAAAATAATTAGCCAGGCATGGTGGCAGGTGCCTGTAATCGCAGCTACTCAGGAGGCTGAGGCATGATAATCACTTGAACCTAGGAGGCAGAGGTTGCAGTGAGCTGAGATCACACCACTGCACTCCAGCATGGGCGACAGAGCCAGACTCCGTCTCAAAAAAAAAAAAAATCCAAAAGTTATGGGTCCAAAAACTAACACGTGACTACATCTAGGCATCCTCTGCTATGGTCACCCATTGTCTGGATGAGAGTTAGACACACAACACGGCAGGTCAACCTGCTTCTGCAAAAGGTGCTCTCAATTCTTCTCTTACTGAATTTGAAGAGTCCATCCCAGGACCTGCAGAATTCCCGCCAGGGCTTTGGGATGAAGGGGCGAAGCCATCTGGGGATGGCGCCTGCATACATGGAGGTCTTGAACATGCTAAACATGAGCTCCAGGGCCTCGATGTATTCCACAGTCAGCTGTGGGATGCTGTTTTCCAGGCAGCCCAAACGACTCTCATAAAGGATGGTGGCCACTCCTAGACAGGAAAGAGAATTTGAAAACCCTCTTCTAGATTATTTACCATACCAACAGGCAATGTTGGGCCATAAATGCAACTTTCAAACGTGGTCCAGGTGCCTTTCATGAATGAGGCATCGTCCCTCTGAGGATTTCTCTGCATCCTGAACTGCAGGGTGCTGGCATTTAGGGCTGACAGGTGGTGCTGTTGCTGCTTCACCTAAGGAGCCCCACAGCCCTGGGAGGCACAGATGAAGAAGCCCACTCTCTGGAGGAAATTCGAAGACTCTGAGAGTTTAAGTAGCTTGGCTAAGGCTGCAGAGGAGGACCCTGGGACAGATCTGGAGCACAGGTCTGAAATGATGAGCCCTGGGGAGGGGACAATCACCGAGCGTGTCACTGCTCTCCCCCAACACCCTCCTCTCAGGAAGGAGTCGGCAAACCTCACATGGCCTCTCCCTGCCCCACCTGGCCACTGGGGATCGCCTTCCAGCCACTTGCCCAACTTGAGGAATTGAAAAGTGACTCCTCCTGGCCAAAACGCAGAGCCCAGGCCTGGAGAGCTAAAGGCGCAGCAGAAGTGGCCTGGATGAATCCGTGTCGGGCAGAGCTGTGAACTGTATTTACCAATCACTTCTGGGATGATTTTGTTACTAATTTTAGAGAAAATTAACATCAGAACTCTGCAAAGCTAACTTGAGTGAAAGTTGAAGGTAAGCTTTTTTTAAAAAAGATGAGAAAGCTGATAGAAAGTCCTCCAAGATGCATTCTATTTTTTTTTTTTTACACAAACATCACCATGTTAGACCAACATGCTTTTTTTTTTTTTGAGATGGAGTTTCACTCTTGTCACCCATGCTGGAGTACAATTGTGTGGTCTTGGCTCACTGCAACCTCCGCCTCTCTAGTTCAAGCGATTCTCCTGCCTCAGCCTCCCAAGTCTCTGGGATTACAGGTGCCCGCCACCATGGCCCAGTTAATTGTTGTATTTTTAGTAGAGACAGGGTTTCACCATGTTGGCCAGACTGGTCTCAAACTCCTGACCTCAGGTGATCCACCCGCCTCGGCCTCCCAAAGTGCTGGGATTACAGGCGTGAGCCACCGCACCCAGCCCCAAGATGCATTCTTAAGTAAAGAGAAAGCACGGTGCAGAACAGTATGTTTGGTGTACTACCCTTTATTGTTTAAAAATAAAAAGAATATTCACATGCGTTTTTCTGTATGTGCATAAAACATCTCTTGACATATACATGAGAGACTAGTGACCTTTGCTGCATTCAGGAAAGAGGGAGACCTTCACTGAAGCCTTTTTGGTATTGCTATTTGAACAGGAATGTACCACTCATTCAATATGACTAAAAGCTAGAATGAGTTTGAAGTAGATGCCCTCTCAACTTCACTCCTTTTTAAAAATTATGCTCAAACAAAATGTTTTTTTTTTTTGAACATGTAAATTAGTAATTAGGAACATGGCTTCTTGAGTTTAAAAGACCTGAATTTGAAACTAACTTTCTGCCTCTAAAAAGAGGGATGGGGGTGTGGCATTGGGCAAGTTCTTTTTTAAGTCCAGTTTCAGCCAGGTGCAGTGGCTCATGCCTGTAATCCCAGCACTTTGGGAGGCCAAGGCGGGCGAATCACGAGGTCAGGAGTTCGAGACCAGCCTTGCCAACATGGTGAAACACTGTCTCTACTAAAAATACAAAAAATTAGCCGGGAGTGGTGGCAGGTGCCTGTAATCCCAGCTACTCGGGAGGCTGAGGCAGGAGAATCGCTTGAACCTGGGAGGCAGAGGTTGCAGCGAGCCAAGACCACATCATAGCACTCCAGCCTGGGTGACAGAGCAAGACTTCATCTCAGAAAAAAAAAAAAAAAGTCTCAGTTTCCTCATTGGTCAACGGTGGTTCACACCAGGTTCACGTTAGCACCGTGGAGGTGACATGCATGTATGTCCCAGACTTAGCACACTGCCTGGGACCCAGGGAATGATCCAAGATGACATCTGCAGGTTTGGGGCAAGTATCCATTCTTCCCTCCTTCCCACCTGCTGATTCCACCTCACCTTCCATTGAATATTTGAAGAAAAGATCATTGACATTGGTCACGGTTTCTCCATCTTCTGCCTGGCTCCTGAGGAGGTAGATTCTTTTAATTAAGTCAGCAATAACTTGGTTGACTTCTCCAGAATAAATGGCCACATCTTTCGGTTTCAGAATTCTTTGTCTCAATACGCTTCTCATCTTGAGCCACTGTTCACCCTCCCTAGAAGAATCAAGTGAGTTTCAAATCATCTTACTTACACTGACATTCTGGGAAAGAATTCAAGGAACCTCTAGAAAAAATTTCAGCCATAAAGAATCAACAAGAGCTGCCCAACAAAGTAGAATTAAGACAGGAAAGACTTTTTGCTGGGGAGAGAGAAGTTAATAACTGCAGCCCTGGAGCCTGTTAGAGCTTCTTACACTCTTGCCTTTGAAGCAAACTTTAAGGAAAAAACTACCAGTGGTAAGTAATAATCTTTAGTAAAAGTAATACGACTTCCTTTAAAAAATCTTGAAATAATATTGTAATAAAGAAATGAGATTGCTAATTAGCAAAAGAAAAATATATATATATATGCATACATATGTATATATAAATGAAGTAAGTACTGATATTAAAAAAGAAAAAGAGGGCCAGGCATGGTGGCTCATGCCTGTAATCCCAGCACTTTAGGAGGCCAAGATGGGTGGATCACCTGAAGTCAGGAATTCAAGACCAGCCTGGCCAACATGGTGAAACCCCATCTCTACCAAAAATAGAAAAATTTAGCCGGGTGTGGTGGTGGGCACCTGTAATTCCAGCTACTCGGGAGGCTGAGGCAGGAGAATCACTTGAACCCGGGAGGCAGAGGTCATGGTGAGCCAAGATCACGCCATTGCACTCCAGCCTAGGCGACAGAGCGAAACTCCATCTCAAAAAAAAAAGAAAGAAAGAGAGAGAGAGAGAGAGAAAAGGAAGGAAGGAAGGAAGGAGGGAGGGAGGGAGGGAGGGAGGAGGGAGGGGGGAGGGAGGAAGGAAAGAGAGAGAGAAAGAAAGAAAAGAAAGAGAGAGAGAAAGAAAGAAAAGAAAGAGAGAAAGGAAAGAAAGAAAAAGAAAGAAAGAAAGAAAGAAAGAAAGAAAGAAAGAAAGAAAGAAAGGAAGGAAGGAAGGAAGGAAAGAAAGAAGGAAAGAAAGAAAGAAAGAAAGAGAGAGAGAGAGAGAGAGAGAAAGAAAGAAAGAAAGAAAGAAAGAAAGAAAGAAAGAAAGAAAGAAAGAAAGAAAGAAAGAAAGAAAGAAGACTGCAGCTTGTTACCAGGGTGTGGGAAAGAAAGAGGGACTGCAGCTTGTTACCAGGGTGTGGGGCCTTGGGGCTCCTGGCTGCACTCGGAGAGCACCCAGGTAGCAGGCCCAGCACACCGCTCCCAGTGAAGGCAGGACGCTGAGGGAACCCCTTGGAGGTCTGAGGAGTGTTCTGCAGTTTCTCAGAGGGTCGTGGCAGGACTGAGCCTCAAGTGCCCACGAGCGTCACCCACACCTCCACACCTCCGCATGGCTTGCCTCCCAACCCTGCTCCACTTTCGCGTTCTCAAGGAGACCACCTGCACTCAAAGCCTTGCCTCCAGATGGACTTTGGAGGACCCAAGCTAAGCCAGCCCGGCGCCTGGGCCTAGGCACTGCCCTTCCCTTTGCTGTCCACTGTGCTGAAGTCACCAGCACCGCCTCTCTCCATCTCAGCCGAAGAGGGGTCCAGGCACCCACACAGGCTCCTGAGCCTGCAGCTAACGGGGCAGACAGCAGAGAGATTCTGCCTCAGCATTCGGGCCCCTCTAGGCCTGAACATCCAGGAGGAGCTGTTTAATTATTTCCCCCAGGACGGAAATTGAGGGACCCTGGTGACATCTGGTCACGATTCTTATTTATCTTACTTGAGAAATTGGTGGCTGTATTTCTCCCCAATTTATGTATAAGGACATAGATATCAAAAGAGCTGCAAACAGAAGTCCCACCCCATGGGGATTTGGACCGGGGCATCTGCAGGCGCCCTGGGCCTCCCTGCCTGGCCGCGGGCCACGATCTCTTGGAAGGCACAGAGGTGTTGGTGACGCTGGTTCAAAATGAATAATCACAGTCTGCTATGAGACAGGAAAATCACCACGTGGCGACCAAGGCTGGAGGTTCTTAGCCCCTCGTCAAAGGGATTTTCCTGAAATAGTGACCACCTCCTTTCCCTGTGCACAGACAAGGGCGCTGTGAGTTTTGTCTGCCTCGGTTATCACTGAATGGACTCCCAAAGCCACAAAGCCCTGCTTCCGAAGCGCTCTGCCCACCACGGAGCCAGCGTCGCCCCTCCTGGCTCCTGACGGGACAACTCTGCACGGAGGAGGAGCCAGAAAGCCCAGCAGGGCTCTCATGTCTGGGAGATCGCACAAGGAGACTGTCTGATATCATTCCATGGGGGGGTTCTGTGCTTTTTTAAGAGCTGGCTTTTAGGAACTCAGCTTTGGAGGAGGGGGCCTCCCCCTGAGCTCCCCCTCCAGCCCGTGGCTCAGCCCGGGCCCACATACTCACGCCGAGATGAGCCCGGTGGCTCTCCCCCGCAAGTCTCGGTACTCCCGCCAGGACTCCATGTTGGCTCTCTGGGGCGCAGCGCCCTCCGCCCGGAGCACCTGAGCCACCATATCGCGGTCTGCAATAGATACTACAAACTGAGGACCAAAGTGAGACTTGAAGATTTTTCCATATTCCCGTGTGTGCTTCTGCTGCAATACCATGGAGAAATCAAAAAAGGAAAAAATACATAGATATGATATACCTTTAACATAAACATCCTGTGTGCTAGAGGAGCAGAAAATTGGGGCAGAGGGAAGTGCTATCTAACACAGCACTGAATCAGAGCAGTAATTTACATATTGCTGAGATAAACATGTTTTCACATAACCATCTCTTTTTTGTTGTTTCCGTTTGTTTGTTTGTTTGTTTGTTTGTTTGTTTTTTAGAGACAGGGTCTTGCTCTGTTGCCCAGGCTGGAGTGCAGTGGCATAAACATAGCTCACCGCAGCCTCCAACTCCTGGGCCCAGGCAATCCTCCCACCTCAGCCTCCCAAGTAGCTAGGACTGCAGGTGCACACCTCCACTCCCAGCTAATTTTTTATTTTTTGTAGAAACAGGGGTCTCTCAATGTTGCCAGGCTGGTCTCGAACTCTTGGCCTCAAGTGATCCTCCTGCCTCAGCCTCCCAAAGTGCTGGGATTACAGGCATGATCATGGAAGTTTTCTTATTCTTTAGGGATATGTTTTTAAAACTACCTTAGCTGTGTGAAGCAACAAGAGAGAAATGTCATTATAAGAGACAAATGTCCAGAGCAAACAGAGCCCTGTCTGCCAGCCCCTTTCCATGGGCCCAACAGCTCTACCCAAGCAGTACCAAGCCAACTCTGCAGAGCAAGCCCTCTGTGGACAGTCTGTAACGAGCCTCTAAAACTGACTCCCAGCAAGAAAATGAAGGAAAAGACATCTGGATTGGAAATGAAGAAGTCAGGCTATCTCTATTGGCAGATGACGTGATCTCACATACAGAAAATCCTACGGAACCTACTAAAAAACTATTAGAACTAATAAACAAGTTCAATAGGACACAAAATCAGTATACAAAAATCAATTGTATTTCTATACACTAGCAGTGAACAATCCAAAATGAAATTTAAAAAACAATTCAATTTACAATACATCAAAAAGAATACAATACTTGACCAGCTGCAGTGGCTCATGCCTGTCTGTAATCCCAGCACTTTTGGGAGGCTTAGGTGGGTGGATCGCTAGAGCACAGGAGTTCAAGATAAGGTTGGGCAACATGGCAAAATTCTGTCTCTAAAAAAAATACATGGCTGGGTGCAAAGGCTCATGCCTGTACTCTCTGCACTTTGGGAGGCCAAGGCGAGGGGATCACCTGGGTTCAAGAGTTTGAGACCAGCCTAGCCAACATGGTGAAACCCCATTTCTACTAAAAACACAAAAATTATCCAGGCATGGTGGTGTGCACCTGTAATCCCAGCTACTCGGAGGCTGAGGCAGTAGAATCGCTTGAACCCAGGAGGCAGAGGTTGCAGTGAGCCGCAAGACTGCGCCATTGCACTCCACCCTGGGCAACAAGAGTGAAATTCTATCTCAAAAAATACATATATATACAAAAATTAGCGAGGCATGGCAGTGTGAGCCTGTAGTCCCAGCTACTCAGGAGGCTGAGGTGGGAGGATCACGTGAGCTCAGGAGGTGGAGGTTGCAGTGAGTGAAGATTGTACCACCACACTCAGGCCTGGGTGACAGAGCAAGACTCTGTCACAAAAAAAAAAATAATAATATTCTTAGAAATAAATTTAACAGGAGAAGTGTAAAACCTATACTCTGAAAACTATAAAACATTGTCTAAAGAAATCTACAAAACATTGTTTAAAGAAATCTACAAAACATTGTTTAAAGAAGCCTGAAATAAATGGCAAGACATGAAATAAATGGCAAGATATCCCATGTTCATGGACTGGAAGACTTAATATTGTTGAGAAAGAAATACACCTCAAAGTGTATAAATAGATTCAGCACAATCCCTATCATAATTCCAGTGGGCTTCTTTGTAGAAACTGATAAGCTGATCCTAAAATTCATATGAAAATGCAAGAGACCCAGAATAGCCTAAACAATCTCGAAAAAAGAACAAAGCTGGTGGACCCCCATTTTCCTGTTTCAAGACTTAGTATGGGAGAGGGGCCAAGATGGCCAACTAGAAGCAGTGGTGCTCAGAGGCTCCCATCAAAAAAAACATAATAAGCATGTGAAACCTTCCCTGGCAGCCAGGGTATCCAGGTTCTCTCATCAAAATTGACTAGAAGGCTGGCATAACCCACGGAGAGAAGGAAGAACAGTGTAGTGCAGTGGCCCACCTGGAAGCCACACGGGGAAGGGAACCCACTCCCCCCAGCCAAGGGAGGTGGTGAGTGAGCGGGCTACCCAGCTGGGGAAACTGTGCTTTTTCCACAGAACTGTGCAACCTACAGGTCAGAAGATCCCACTCTCGAACCCATGCCACCAGAGCCAAGCATCCCAACCCTGGTATGCACAGATTCCTACAGCCTCTCAGCTGGAATCTGTTTAAGCCTACTGAACTCCTGAGGGGATGGGCGACCAGCACCAGCTGCGGCTGCCTGCTGTCTAAGTAATTTGAGCTCCTTGGGGGAGGGGCAGCAGCCAGCACTGGGACTCACAACTGCCAACAGGCTAAGCTCCCTGGGTTGGGGAAGGGTGGCACCCATTTCTATAGCTCCAGGCTGCACTTTTCCCCTGCTGGAGCCAGGGAGGCTGGATGGCTTGGTCCCAAGAGTTATCCCCACAGCTCAACACACCAGCTGTGGCAGTTGGCAGCCAGAGTGCCTCTTCAGGTCTAACCCTGATCCATCCTTCCTCAGTGGCTGGGGATTCCCAGCAGGATCTCCAACAATTCCAGTCAGAGGCTCGGGGACAGAACTCTGATCTCCCTGGGCCTGAGCCCTTGGGGAAGGGGTGGCCACAGTCTCTGCGGACCAGCAGATTTAGCCTCTTCTCCTGGTAGTTCTGAGGAATCCAGGCAATCCAGACTAGTGGGTTTCCCCCAAGCAAAACACACCCTCCCCACCAAGGGACAAAGTGCTTTATTAAAAGGTTCTTGCTCCCCATGCCACCCAACTGGGTGAGACCCTCCAATAGGGGTTGTCAGATACCCTATACAGAAGCAATCCTACTGGCATCAGGTTGATGCCCCTTGAGGTCAGAGGTCCCAGAAGAAGGAGCAGGCACCCATCATTGCTGCACTTCAGCCTCCTTGAGTGACATCTCCAGGCACAGGAGCAAATCAGAAGAATAGGGCCTGAAGTGAACCCCCAGCAAACTGCAGCAGCCCTACAGAAGAGGGATTGACTATTGAAAGAAAAACAAACAGAAAGCGACAACAACAGCATTGATAACAACAACAAAAAAAGGCCCCCACAAAAACCCCATCCAAGGGTCAGCAGCCTCAAGACTGAAACTAGACAAACTCACAGAGATGAGAAATAATCAACAAAAAAATGCTGAAAACCAAAAGGCCTGAGTGCCTCTTCTCCTCCAAATAATCACAATGTCTCTCCATCAAGAGCACAGAACTGGATGGAGGATCAGATGGACGAATTGACAGAAGTACACTTCAGAAGATGGGTAATAAAAAACTGCGATGACCTAAAGGAGCATGTTCTAACACAATGCAAAGAAGCTAAGAACCTTGATAAAAGGTTAGAGGAACTGCTAACTAGAATAACCAGTTTAGAGAGGAACATAAATGACCAGATGGAGCTGAAAAACACAGTGTGAGAACTTCGTGAAGCATACACAGGTATCAACAGCCAAATCGACCAAGTGGAAGAAAGGATATCAGAATTTGAAGACCACCTTACTGAAATAAGACATGCAGACAAGAATAGAGAAAAAAGAATGAAAAGGAATAAACAAAGCCTCAAAGAAATATGGGACTTCATAAAAACAGCAAACCTACAATCGACTGGAGCACCAGAAGGAGACGGGGAGAATGGAAACAAGCTGGAAAACACACTTCATGATATTATCAAGGAGAACTTCCTCAACCTAGCAAGACAGGCCAACATGCAAATTCAGAAAATACAGAGAACACCATTAAAATACTCCACATTAAGATCAACCCCAAGACACATAGTCATCAGATTCTTCAAGGTTGAAATGAAGGAAAAACTGTTAAGAGCAGCCACAGAGGAAGGCCAGGTCACCTACAAAGGGAAGCCCATCAGACTAACAGTGGATCTCTCAGCAGAAACTCTATACGCCAGAAGAGATTGGGGGCCAATATTCAACATAGTTAAAGAATTTTCAACCCAGACTTTCATATCCAGCCAAACTAAGCTTCATAAGCAAAGGAGAAATAAAATCCTTTCCAGAAAAGCAAATGCTGAGGGATTTTGTTACCACTGGGTCTGCCATGCAAGAGCTCCTAAAAGAAGCACCAAATAAGTAAAGGAAAAACCAGTACCAGCCACTGCAAAAACACACCAAAATATAAAGACCAATGACACTACGAAGAAACTGCATCAACTAGTGTGCAAAATAAGCAAATAGCATCATGATGACAGGATCAAATTCGCACATAACAATACTAACCCTAAATGTAAATGGGCAAATCCCCCAGTTAAAAGACACAGACTGGCAAATTGGATAAGGAGTCAAGACCCATCAGCGTGCTGTATTCAGGAGGCCTATCTTAAAGGCAAAGACACACAGAGGCTCAAAATAAAGGGATGGAGGAAAATTTACAAAGCAAGTGAAAAGTGAAAAAAAAAAAAGCAGGGGTTGCAATCCTAGTCTCAGACAAAACAGACTTTAAACCAACAAAGATCAAAAAAGACAAAGAAGGGCATTACATAATAGTAAAAGGAACAATTCAACAAGAAGAGCTAACTATTCTGAATATATATGCACCCAATACAGAAGCACCCAGATTCATAAAACAAGTTCTTAGAGACCTACAAAGAGACTTAGACTCCCACACAATAATAATGGGAGACTTTAACACCCCACTGTCAATATTAGACAGATCAGCGAGACAGAAAATTAACAAGGATACTCAGTACTTGAACTCAGCTCTGGATCAAGTGGACCTAGTAGATGTCTACAGAACTCTCTACCCCAAATCAACAGAATATACATTCTTCTCAGTGTACATGGCACTTATTTGTCAATTAAAATTGACCACATATACTCCTCAGCAAGTGCAAAAGAACTGAAATCATAACAAACAGTCTCTCTGACCACAGTGCAATGAAATTAGATCTTAGGATTAAGAAACTCACTCAAAAGCACACAATATCATGGAAATTGAACAACCTGCTCCTGAACGACTCCTGGGTAAATAATGAAATTAAAGCAGAAATCAAGAAGTTCTTTGAAACCAATGAGAACAAAGAGACAACGTACCAGAATCTCTGGGATACAGCTAAAGCAGTGTTTTTTTGTTTTTTTTTTTTTTTTTTTTTTTTTTTTTTTGAGATGGAGTCTCGCTCTTTCACCCAGGCTGGACTGCAGTGGCGCTATCTTGGCTCACTGCAAGCTCCGCCTCCCGGGTTCATGCCATTCTCCTGCCTCAACCTCCCGAGTAGCTGGGACTACAGGCGCCCGCTACCACGCCCAGCTAATTTTTTTTTGTATTTTTAGTAGAGACGGGGTTTCACCGTATTAGCCAGGATGGTCTCGACCTCCTGACCTCGTGATCCACCCACCTCGGCCTCCCAAAGTGCTGGGATTACAGGCGTGAGCCACTGCGCCCGGCCTAAAGCAGTGTTAAGAGGGAAATTTATAGCACTAAATGCCCAAATCAAAAAGCTAGAAAGACCTCAAATTGACAGCCTAACATCACAATTAAAAGAGCTAAAGAGGCGAGAGCAAACTAATCCAAAAGCTAGCAGAAGACAAGAAATAACTAAGATCAGAGAAAAATTGAAGGAGATAGAGACATGAAAAACCCTCCAAAAAAATCAATGAATCCAGGAACTGGTTTTTGGAAAAAATTAACTAATAAAGAAGGAGAGAGAGAAGAATCAAATAGACACAATAAAAAATGATAAAGGGGATATCACCACTGACCCCACAGAAACACAAACTACCATCAGAGAATACTATAAACACCTCTATGCAAATAAACTAGAAAATCTAGAAGAAATGGATAAATTCCTGGACGCATACACCCTACCAAGACTAAACCAGGAAGAAATTTAACCCCTGAATAGACCAATAACAAGCTCTGAAATTGAGGCAGTAATTAATAGTCTACCAACCAAAAAAAGCCCAGGACTAGATGGATTCACAGCTGAATTCTACCAGAAATACAAAGAGGAGCTGGTACCATTCCTTCTGAAACTATTCCAAACAATTGAGAAGAAGGGACTCCCCCCTAACTCATTTTATGAAGCCAGAATCATCCTGATACCAAAACCAGGAAGAGACAGAATAAAAAAGAAAACTTCAGGCCAATATCCCTGATGAACATTGATGCAAAAGTCCTTAATAAAATACTGGCAAACCGAATCCAGCAACCCATCAAAAAACTTATCCACCACGATCAATCAGCTTCATCCCTGGGATGCAAGGCTGTTTTAACATACACAAATCAATAAACGTAATCCATCACATAAACAGAACCAAGGACAAAAACTACATAATTATCTCAATAGATGCAGAAAACGCCTTTGATAAAATTCAACATCCCTTCACATTAAAAACTCTCAATAAACTAGGTACTGATGGAACATATCTCAAAATAATAAGAGCTATTTATGATAAACCCACAGCCAATATCATATTGAATGGACAAAAACTGGAAGCATTCCCTTTGAAAACTGGTACAAGACAAGGATGTCCTTTCTTACCACTCCTATTCAACATAGTATTGGAAGTTTTGGCCAGGGCAATCAAACAAGAGAAAGAAATAAAGCATATTCAAATAGGAAGAGAGGAAGTCAAGTTATCTCTGTTTGCAGTTGAGATGATTTTATATTTAGAAAACCCCATCATCTCAGCCCAAAAACTTCTTGAACTGATAAGCAACTTCAGCAAAGTCTCAGGATATAAAATCAATGTGCAAAAATCGCAAGCATTCCTTTACACCAACAATAGGCAAGCAGAGAGCCAAATCATGAATGAACTCCCATTCATAATCACTACAAAGAGAATAAAATATCTAGGAATACAGCTACCAAGGAATGTGAAGGACCTCTTCAGGGAGAACTACAAACCACTGCTCAAGAAAATAAGAGAGGACACAAACAAATGGAAAAACATTCCATCCTTATGGATAGGAAGAATCAATATCGTGAAAATGGCCATACTGCCCAAAGTAATTTATAGATTCAATGCTATTCCCATCAAACCACCATTGACATTCTTCACAGAATTAGAAAAAAAAAAACTTAAATTTCATATGGAATTGAAGACCCCATATAGCCAAAACAATCCTAAGCAAAAAGAACAAAGCTGGAAGCATCACGATACCTGACTTCAAACTATACTACAAGGCTACGGTAACCAAAACAGCATGGTACTGGTACCAAAACAGACATATAGACCAATGGAGCAAAACAAAGACCTCAGAAATAGCACCACACATCTACAACCATCTGCTCTTTGACAAACCTGACAAAAACAAGCAATGGGGAAAGGAACTCCTATTCAGTATATGGTGCTGGGAAAACTGGCTAGCCATATGCATAAAACTGAAACTGGACCCCTTCCTTACACCTTATACAAAAATTAACGCAAGATGAATTAAAGACTTAAATGTAAAACCCAGAGCCATAAAAACCCTAGAAGAAAACCTAGGCAATACCATTCAGAACACAGGCATCTGCAAAGATTTCCTGATGAAGACACCAAAAGCAATTGCAACAAAAGCCAAAATTGACAACTAGAATCAAATTAAAGAGTTCCTGCACAGCAAAAGAAACTATCATTGGAGTGAACAGGCAACCTACAGAATGGGAGAAAGTTTTTGCAATCTACCCATCTGACAAAGGTCTAATAGCTGGAATTTACAAGGAAATTGAACAAATTTACAAGAAAAAAACAAATGGCCCCATCAAAAATTGGGCAAAGAATATAAACAGACACCTCTCAAAAGAAGACATTTATGTAGACAACAAACATGAAAAAAAGCTCAATGTATAATGTATACATCACTGATCATCAGAGAAATGCAAATCAAAACCACAATGAGATACCATCTCACACCAGTCAGAATGGTGATTACTAAAAAGTCAGGAATAGATGCTGGCAAGGCTGTGGAGAAACTGAAACACTTTTACACTGTTGGTGGGAATGTAAATTAGTTAAACCATTGTGGAAGACAGTATGGTGATTCCTCAAGGATCTAGAACCAGAAATACCATTTGACCCAGCAATCCCATTCCTGGGTATATACCCAAAGGAATATAAGTCATTCTACTATAAAAACACATGCACACATATTTTTACAGCAGCGCTATTTACAGTAGCAAGGACATGGAACCAACCCAAATGCCCATTAACGATAGACTGGTTAAAGAAAATGTGGCACATATACACCATGGAATGCTATGCAGTCATAAAAAGGAATGAGATCATGTCCTTTGCAGGGACATGGATGAAGCTGGAAGCAATCATCCTCAGCAAACTAACACAGGAACAGAAAACCAAATACTGCATGTTCTTATTCATAAGTGGGAGTTGAATATTGAGAACACATGAACACAGATAGGGGAATAACATACACCAGGGCCTGCTGGGGTGGGGGTTGAGGGGAGGAAACTTAGATGGGTCAATAGGTGCAGCAAACCACCATGGTGCACGTACACCTATGTAACAAACCTGCATGTTCTGCACATGTATCCGTTTTTTGTTTTTTTTTTTTTTTTTGGTTTTTTTTTTTTTAGAGGAAATTAAAAAAAAAAAGACTTAGTACAGGCCGGGCGCAGTGGCTCACGCCTGTAATCCCAGCACTCTGGGAGGCCGAGGTGGGCAGATCACGAGGTCAGGAGATCTAGACCATCCTGGCTAACACGAGGAAACCCCGTCTCTACTAAAAATACAAAAAAATTAGCCAGGCATGGTGGCGGGCGCCTGTAGTCCCAGCTACTCGGGAGGCTGAGGCAGGAGAACGGCGTGAACCCGGGAGGCGGAGCTTGCAGTGAGCTGAGATCGCACCACCGCACTCATGCCTGGGCGACAGAGTGAGACTCCATCTCAAAAAAAAAAAAAAAAAGACTTAGTACAAAGCTACAGTAACCAAGACAGTGCAGTAATGGCATAATCATTGGCTTAGATTTAAGACTCAAACATCTATGGTCAACTGATTTTCATCAAGAGTTCCAAGATCTTTCAATAGGAAAAGGATTTAATAGTCTCTTAAACAAATGGCACAGGGACAACTGGATAGCCACAAGCAAAGAATCAATTTTTACCTTTTTCTCACACTATATAAAAAAATTATCTCAAAATGGATCAAAGCTCTAAATGTAAATGCTAAAACTATAAACTCTTAGAAGAAAACATAAGGGTAAATCTTCATGACCCTGGGTTTGGCATAATGTCTTAAGATATGATCCCTAAAGTGCAAGTAACAAAAGAAAAAAATCGATAATAGGACTTCATCAAAATTTAAAACTTTTATGCTTTAAAGAACACTATTAAGAAAGTGAAAACAAGGCCGGCCATAATGGCTCAGGCATGTAATCCTAGCACTCTGGGAGGCCAAGGCAGGTGGATTGCTTGAGCCCAGCCTAGGCAACATAGCAAGACCCTGTCTCATTAAAAAATAAAAATAAAATGTAAAAATAAAAAGCAAAAACAACCTTCGGATGGAGAAAATATTTGCAAAGCACATATCTGATAAGGGACTTGTACCCAGAATATATAGAAACTTACAAATCAGTAGAGGAAGGGAGGGAGGGAGAGAGAGAGGGAGGGAGGGAGGAAGGAAGAAGAGAGAAAAGAACCCAATTAAAAACTGGACAAAGGATTTCAATGGATATTTCTCCAAAGAAGATATACAAATGGTAAATAAGCACATGAAAATATGCTCAACATCATCAGTCATCAGGGAGAGATAGCACTTCGCACCCACTAGAATGGCCATAATCAAAAGGACAAGTAATAACAAATGTTGACAGGGATGTAGAAAAATCAGAACCCTCTTATGATAATGGTGGGGATGTAAAATGGTGCAGATACTCTGGAAAACAGTCTGGCAGTTCTTCAAAAGGTTAAATATAGAATTACTATTTGACCCAACAGTTCCACTCCTAGATACATATCCAAGAGAAATGAAAACACATGTCTACACAAAACCTTACACACAAAAATTCACAGCAGCATTATTCATTACGGCTAAAAGGTGGAAACAATCCAAATGTCTATGAACTGATGAATGGATAAGCAAAATGTGGTATAGTCATACGCTGCAATATTATTTGTCCATAAAAAGAATGAGGTACTGATACATGCTACAACATGAGTGAACCTTAAAAACATTATACTGAAATGTTTAAAGTGAAAGAAACCACCCATAAAAGACCACATATTACATGATTCCACTTATGACATGTCCAGAATAGGCCAATCTATAGATACAGAAAGTAGCTTGGTGGTTGCTTAAAGCAGGGGGAATAGGAGAGTTGGGGGTGATAGCTGATGGATATGGGATTTCTTTTTGAGGTCATGAAAATGTTCTACAAGTTGACTGCGGTGATGGTTGTATACTTCAAATGGATGAATTATATGATATGTTAATTATATCTTAAGAAAGCTGTTACTCCCTGCATAAAAAGAAATCACAATAAATGTAAATAGACTAAATTATTCAGTTAAAACACAAAAGTGATGAGCCTCTAACATGGCTCAGCATGACACAGACAGGGCTGGGCTGGGGAAAGTTACTAAGACTCTCTTTGGTATCTGCCCAGCTTTCTCACCACTCCAGCTCTCAATCTCAGAAACAGTGGGCCAGGAGCACTGTCATTTCTCTACTCTTATACTCACTCCTTCTGGAGACCTGAAAATGAAGACATTCAGACTAAACTGGAATGAGTCCATCTCCAAGGGGTCACTTCTGCCTAACAAATAAGTGGCCCCCAAAGAGTTCAGGTCTCTAAAGGGGCCCACTGAAGGAATGACTGGTAACAAGAACTACTGGGAAATGGGCCACTCCTCAAGCAAATCCAGCTACTGAATTGGGTACAATCAGCACAAGGGAACTGGAGGTAGAAATGATACAGATAGTTTTCATCACTTTCTGGTGGTGGGCCATGGAACTATACAGTCAGGCACAGTACTTAGAGTTTGCTTGGATGTTAAGAGCACAGACTCTGGAGTTTGAATCTGGGCTCACAGTTTACTAGCTGAATAACCTTTGGAAGTTAGGTCCCACTATGCCTCAGTTTCCTCACCCAAAAAATGGAGAAATAAGTTTCACGTAAGACTTGAAACTGTGCCTGGCACATGAAAAGAGTTCTAGAAATACTGATCGTTATTATTTGTTATTATTACAGTTTCATAACACTAAGCTCATTTGACCTTATCATAACCCATGAGAGGAATGGCGATTGCTAATCTCCTTTACGGATGAGAAAACTGAGGTGCAGAGAGAATGAGTGACTAGCCCAAGGCTCCACAGGTGGCTGCAGAGGGCCAGCATTGGAGGACATGACTCCTGTTTCGGCCATCCTGCTGCTCTACCACACCCTAAATAGCATCTAGTGACCCAAATTATGATTTCTACTCTGCCAATCACCAGCTGCCTGACCTTAGGCAAGTCGCTTAGGTAACCACCCAACTCTTTCCATCTGTAAAATGAGAGGTGAGCTATGTAGGTGAACACTAAGAGCCCTTGTTTAGCTAACATTCTGTGATTGCAAGGGGAGCGCAAGTGAACTGGATGTGATGGGCCACAGAACAATGAGCAACCTGGAGAGCGGGAAGAGAGGGTTTTTCTAGAACCATGTGTTCGAAATTGGGAGTCCTCAGAGGGGCTGCAGGAAGGTGAGAGTCCCCACAAGTACCATATTTGAGGGTTGGGGTAGTGCCACCTGGAGAGTAAAGGGAAAGAACTTTTTCCTTTATTTCTTTTACTCTCCAGGTCCTGTGTGCGCTTGGTGAGAAGGCAGCAAGTGAGTCAGTTGTGACTCTCTGCTCCGTGCCCCAGGGCCCTGGGTGTGGTGAAGGAAGCTGTCTGAGCAGTGGGCAGGAGGGGCTGAGCTCAGGGTGAGGGCTGGCGGCAGGGGCGGGTGAATGGAAAATACCCATCTGAACTGCCACACATCCTGACTGGATACAGGCTTTAACACGGTCCGTCTCAAAGAAACCTGTGCCCATGGAACAAACTCTGGGTGAGGTATGAGGATAAAAGCAGATGGCAGTAGGGGCGGATAAAAGAAAAATTAAATTACACTTCAGAAAGCAGGCTGTATTGAACCCATCAACAGCAAATAACAAAACACTTTTTACTGTATTTGAAAGTTGCCATCCTGATATCTTATCAGATCCTACAAAGAAAATCATTTTTGAGCCCTCTAAGCATTGGGGTGGGGGTGGCGGTTTGGAACTGTATAGGGTTGGCGTGGCGGACTTGAGGAGGGACGGTTGGGACTTCCTGGCATTAAAATTAAATTAAATTTTAATTCCCGGCCGAATTAAAATTGCTCCTCGCACGCCCGTTTTTCCATTAATGAGGGTTGGGGCTTCTCCCTCACGTTCATTGACTGAATGGCTGATGGAACGAATGAATGACTGAAGCCCAGGTGGGTAGTTAGAAGAGGCTTCGATGGAGAAGGGTCTCGAAAGACCGGAACTCTGGGCAGAAGGACAGGCCTGGGTGGGAGGAGAAGGGGGCGTTCTCGGAAGACACCAAAAGCCCCCATACCAGAAATAACAGTGCGTGCTGGGCCGGGCACCCGGGGAGGCGGACGATGGGCGAAGGCATCGGAGGGCGCCGCCGCGGCTCGGGTGCAGTGCCCCTGCCACGAAGGGCGCAACGGAGGTGGGCGTGGGAAGGACAGCACTCAGGCTCCAAGTGGGAAGCGTGCGGAATTCGCCGGCCCCAACGCCCTAGCGGGTGGCTGGGACCCCTGGGTTCCTCCCACGTCCCTGCCTCCAGTCCCGGCGCGAACTCCAGGTGTCGCCCCCAACTCCGGCTTAGAGCCTACGGCACCCCGAGCCTCCGAGCCTCCGTCCCCTCTTCCCCCGCCATTACAAAATACAAAAAGGACTAGAAATGAATACACACGGTCTCGGCCACCTAAGGACACCGAGCTCCGCAGAGCCTAGAGGAGCTAGGGAACCTAGCGCTCCCCTCGGGCCGGCCCCAGGCAGCAGCCCCCCTCAGCCCCAACTCCGCGGGTCCCGCCAGCTCTCCACTCCCAGGCCCCGGCGGCGTCCACCAGGCGCCCGCTGCCCCTCCCCAAGTCTCCTCCTCCGGGACCTCAGCCCTGGTGCCCTCCCCGCAGTCCCATTCCTGGTTTCCCTTCGCGGCGCCCCCTCCCCAGGTTCCCCAACCAGGCAATCCCTGCCTGGGTCCCTCCCCGGGACCAGTCCCTGGAGACCCTGCCCGCCGCCTCTCTCGGGCTACCACTCTCCGAAACTCCATCCCTGACTCCCCTCCCCGCTACCTCCTCCCCAGGGGTCCCGGCTGGGGCCCCTCCAGGGGACCCCTCCCTGCCGCCACCTCCCGAGACACCCATTTCCCCCGCCTCTTCCCAGCCGTTCCTTTCTGGCCCCGTTCCTCAGCTCCCTCTGCCTGCTGCCCCTCTCCGGGGTCCGCTTCCCGAAGACCCCTCCCCAACGCCCCCGCCCCGCTCCCGGTTCCTGCCTCCTCCACCCCGGATCGCCTTTCCGGCGTCCTCTCCCCAGCGCCCCTTCCTGCGAACCTTAACCGGACAACCCCAGTCCAGCTCCCCCAACCCACCGCGGCGCCCAGTGCCCGGGGATCCCTGCCCGCCGCCCCTCCCTGGGACTCCCCAACCCCGCGCCCCTCCCTGGCGCCCTCCCGCCCGCGCCGTCAGCCTTCTGGGCAGCAGCCCGGGCTGGCTCCCTCCCGGGGCGGCGCGCGCTACCTGGATCTCGTGGATGCGGCTGAAGCCGTCCCTGCAGAAGAACTCCGCCAGGTTGGCGAGGGTCCTCGGCCCCGGCATGGCGGCGAGGCTCCGGGGACCCTCGGCTCGGCCCCCTCCCGGCGGCGACCCCGGCCGCCCGGCGCCTTTGTCCTCGGCCCGCGCCCCCGCCGGGAGCCGTGCGCCCGCGGGTTGAGGCCGCCGCGGGGCCCCGCCGCCCAGGAGCCCACCCCGCTCGGGCGCCGGCCGCAGCCCGGCTCTCAGGATCCGCGCCAGCAGGGCCATGGCGCTCGTCTGCATCGGCTTGTTTGTCTGAGCAACTTTGTTTCGGGGGCTGCTCTTTGGGTTGCTGTTTCCTGCGTCTTAACTTGTCAGAGCAGTGCTTCTCCGTACTCCTGCCGCCGGGGCGTCAGTTTACACAGACCCTTATTAAAGGCTCCCTCCCCTGGGGCTGGGGAAAAGGCTGTGATTAGACTGCAAGAGAATGAGGCTATTATTATTTCTTCACATCATATTAATTCACACTTAAGCGTTCCTTGAAACCACCAAGTTTTAAGGTCAACCCCACTTCCAACCATGGCCAAAAAAAGAAAAGTCTACGGGGATCTTGTAAATTATTACCGTCCTTCGAAATGACTACTGAAGGTATACTGAAGAAATCTTTGGTCTTTTTTGCATTTTAGAAGCAGTTCTTTATGGTTTCAACTTAAATTATTGTAACTCAACTTTCAAAGGGGGGGAAAAAAGTGAGACGATTTTGCATGTAGTTCCTACTGTTGTAAAATGACCACATTATTATCTTGCCACAAGCTTTCTTAAAGACAATCACAGTCGTTTACGATGGCTTTCCTCGGGCTCATCGCTTTTATTCCGCACACCATTGGAAGCAGTGAGGACTAGGTGAGGGTGAGCGACTTTGAGCATGGGGCGTTTATCTGGTCCCTCACAAGGACGGGTCCTGTTGCACAAGGCTTGGGGAAGAGAAGCCACCTCCATGCCGAGGCGAGGAGAGGAGTCCGCCAACCTAGACTCAGAGCCCAGTGCCTGGCTGCACAAAGAAGTGGCCGCACAGGGAGGGATGGAGCACGGGAAAGGCCAGAGGTGTGCCATGTGGTTTCAAGGAAGGGAACTTTTTCCTAGTCAGTAGTTAAACTGCTCGCTGAGTTACATTATTTGAAGATTTCATACCGTTGGTACTCATGCATCTAAACGTAAAAAATAAGATTTTTTTCCGTTTACAACGTATTGTTACTAAGCATTTTTTTTTTTTTTTTTTTTTTTTTTGAGACAGTCTCGCTCTGTCACCAAAGCTGGAGTGTAATGGCGCGATTTCGGCTCAGCAACCTCCGCCCCCAGGGTCCTAGCGATCCTCTTACCTCAGCCTCCCGAGTAGCTGGGATTACTGACGCTGTAATCTTGAAAAAAAAAAAATGCTGCCGCGCCCGGCCAACATTTATTTTTTAAGAGCAGAGAGGGAGGTTCAGGCCTGTAGTCCCAGAACTTTGAGAGGCCGAGGTGGACGGATTACTTGAGTTCAGGAGTTCGAGACCAGCCTGGCCAACATGGTGAAACCCCATCTCTACTAAAAATATAAAAAATTAGCCAGGCGTGGTGGCACGCGCCTGTAATCCCAGCTACTCGGGAGGCTAAGGCAGGAGAATCGTTTGAACCCAGGAAGTGGAGGTTGCAGTGAGCTGATCTCGCCATTGCACTCCAGCCTGGGTGACAGCAAGACTCCATCTCAACAACAACAACAAAAAAGAGCAGGCCGGGCGCGGTGGCTCACGCCTGTAATCCCAGCACTTTGGGAGGCCGAGGCAGGCGGATCACGAGGTCAGGAGATCGAGACCATCCTGGCTAACACGGTGAAACCCCGTCTCTACTAAAAGTACAAAAAAATTAGCCTGGCGTGGTGGTGGGCGCCTGTAGTCCCAGCTACTCGGGAGGCTGAGGCAGGAGAATGGCGTGAACCCGGGAGGTGGAGCTTGCAGTGAGCCGAGATCTTGCCACTGCACTGCAGCCTGGGCGACAGAGCGAGACTCCGTCAAAAAAAAAAAAAAAAAGAGCAGAGAGGGGTCTGGCAGTGTTGCCCAGGCTGGAGTGCAGTGGCTATACACAGGCACTATCACTGGGCACTACACCTTCCAACTTCTGGGCACTACACCTTCCAACTTCTGGGCTCAAGCCATCTCCAACCTCAGCCTCCCAAGGAGCTGGGAGTACGGGCACATGCCACCATGCCCAGATAAAAATATTTTATTTTATTTTTTAGACACTGGGTCTCACTATGTTGCCCAGGCTGCCCTTGAACTCCTGGGCTCAAGCGATCCTCCCCCTGAGTAACTGGCATTACAGGTGCAGGCCACCGGCTCAGCTAAATATTTTATTTTTAATGAGTAGTTTATACCTTTACAACTCTGTAAAATCTACACTGCATTTGAATAATTGAAGTATCACGTAAGTGACGCAAAGAAGGCTATAGTTACTCAACTTACAGAATTTGATTAATAACACCAGGTGCGGTGGCTCACGCCTGTAATCCCAACAATTTTGGAGGCCACAGCAGGAGGATTGCTTCAGCCCAGGAGTTCAAGACCAGCCTGGGCAACATAGCAAGACCTGGATACTACAAAAAATAAAAATAAAAAAATTAGCTGGGTGTGGTGGTGTGTGCCTATAGTCCCAGCTACTCAGGAGGCTGAGGCAGGAGGATTGCTTGAGCCCAGAAAGTCAAGACTTCAGTGAGCCATTATCATGCCACTGTGCTCCAGCCTGGGCAACAGAGCAAGACCCTGTCTGTAAAAAAAGAAAAGAATTTGATTAATAAGTACTCAGCAACTCTTATTTATTTATTTATTGAGACGGAGTCTGGCTCTGTCGCCCAGGCAGGAGTGCAGTGGAGCAATCTTGGCTCACTGCAAGCTCCGCCTCCCAGGTTCACGCCATTCTCCTGCCTCAGCCTCTGGAGTAGCTGTGACTACAGGCACCCGCCACCACGCCCGGCTAATCTTTTGTATTTTTAGTAGAGACAGGGTTTCACTGTGTTAGCCAGGATGGTCTCGATCTCCTGACCTCGTGATCCGCCTGCCTCAGCCTCCCAAAGTGCTGGGATTACAGGCTTGAGCCACTGCACTCGGCCCTTGCAACTCTTAATTATAAGGCATGATAGCTGCAAAGTACTCAGTAAGACTTTGATCCTGCCTTTAGGAGGCCATAACCTATTTGAAGAATAAAACAGGTACACAAATACAAGCCAGATTACTATAAGTGTCACAAAACTGGACTGAATATGATTGGAATTTGTGGCAAGAAGCGATCACATCTAGTTATAGGGTAGGATGGAGCAGTGCAAAAGAAAGTCCTCCTGAAGGAAGTAGCACTCAGGCAGGGATTGAGGAAAGGAGCCGTTTAGCAGGCAGAAGTGGGTGGCAACACGGCTAGCCAGCAGAGGATGAAGAATGGCACAATCGCCTTGCTCTAGGAGAGGCTTTTAAAGTTTTGCAGAGGGCTACTGGTCCTTAAGAAATCATTAAAGGACCGCATATGTAGAAGTCAATTCATTCCATTCTGGACGTGAAACTATTCAATATAGATAAACAATGATTGATGGTTGTTAAATAATCATATATTAAACTGTTCAATATAGGTAAACAATGATTTTAAAGGCAGCTGGTTCTCTATGAAGGCTAATTAAGGAAAAGACTGCAGTAAAGAAAGGAAGGAAGAGGAGAAGGAAGAATACAGAGAAAGACAGGGGGAAGAAAGATTTAAACACACATGGAGACAGGCTTCTCTGGAGCTCCCTGCAGCTCCCCCGCTCTCCTGTGTCTTAGGATATCATCTCTGCTGATGTCTGAAGCTAGTTTCCATAATTAAATAAATAAACAAAGATAGTAGTTCTTGAAATTTGCCTCAAGCTCTAATGATATTAAGCCTAAGGCTTTTTTTTTTTTTAATTATACTTTAAGTTGTGGGATATATGTGCAGATCGTGCAGGTTTGTTACATAGGTATACTTGTGCCATGGTGGTTTGCTGCACCCATCAACCCATCATCTAGGTTTTATGCCCCACATGCATTAGGTATTTGTCGTAATGCTCTCCATCTGCTTGCCCCACAACCCCCAACAGGCCCCAGTGTGTGATGTTCCCCTCCCCGTGTCCAAGTGTTCTCATTGTTCGACTCCCACTTATGAGTGAGAATATGTAGTGTTTGGTTTTCTGTTCCTATGTTAGTTTGCTGAGAATGATGGTTTCCAGCGTCATCCATGTCCCTGCAAAGGACATGAACTCATTCTTTTTTATGGCTGCATAGTATTGCATCATGTGTAAGTGTCACATTTTCTTTATCCAACACGTCTATTATTGATGGGCATTTGGATTGGTTCCAAGTCTTTGCTATTGTAGATAGTACTGCAATAAATATATGTGTGCATGTGTCTTTATAGCAGAAGGATTTATAATCCTTTAAGCCAAAGGCTATTTTAGAGTGTTAGTACATTGGTATAAGTGATCGGTCTGAAACTCTGCAATAGAGCAGTATGCTGCTTTCTTACTACTGTTTTGTAGGTAATTATTATTAGTGGAAAACATATATGAACCCAGAAATAGAAAAAGTCATCCTGATTGGAAGAATTTCTTTTACTCTAATATACATATGTAATGTTACTTTGGTTTCTGAGTTTTCTATAAAAATATTGCCTTTATAATAAAATAATAAAAAAATAAAAATAATAAAAAATACAAGTAAATGATTGTCATAGTTGTGAGGGATTCAATGTGGAGGGAATAAAGGATCAAATGTTATAAGAAATCTTAAATATAAGTAAAAAATAACTGAAAAACTACTTTTCCAAAATAGGAAAACACTGTCCATTTATTTGTTCCTTTCCCTTCCAGCGTGCAAGAAAAACGGAAGTGAGATTCCAACAGGAGGGCACCACTGTCCCTGTCTGACCTTAAACCAGGAGATTTTGTACAGATGTATTCCTTCAAGAAAACCAGCTTGTTGGCAGTAATAGAGAAGAAATGAGCTTCTCCCAACAACAGCCAACAACAGCCAATGACAACAGCAAAATAGGAAAAAGGGTTGCCCTCTGAAAGGTAAATAAACTCTATACACAATAAATGACCATCTGTGGAAGTAAAACCGAGAGACAGGCTTTACCACCTCCCAGAACTCCAATCCAGATGACCACGGATAAATCTCTAGCACGCGGAATAGAGATGTCACGGCTGTTAGGTAAGCAGAGAGTAATGCAGGGTATATATTCCTGGAAGAGAACAGGGTTAGTCAAACTGGATCTCAGAAAAGGGAGCTGCTGTACAAGACATTCTAGGAAGCAAGCCTCTGAATTCTGAAACCCAGACCTGCTGGTCACGGTGGGGCAGGGATGATCTTCCAAGCTTCCCTGCGGTCTGCATGAAATTCTCTCACCCACACCAGCTTCCTGTGCTCCAATTCCATGCCTCTGACTGGTTTCCACTTAAGAATTAATGGGTAAAAAGGAAAAAGAATTAGTAGTATGATCTTGTTGCTTCCCCAGAGTCATCAATAAAAAGGCAGAACAGAGAGAAAACAAAACAAAACAAAGTTATACCAGGAGACAGAACTGGGAGATCTCAGATCGTCTTCTCTGTGAATCGGGTGTTGCTACTGAAGCCGTGATAATCCTGGTCACCTGAGGCAGAAAATAAACATTTCTTCCTACAAAGAATGTGGGCATTTTCCAGTGGGATTTGTGAGCCAGCAAAGACTTAGCAGCAGTTTCTTCACTGCCAAAAATCTCTAACTTTCCATGATGAAAAACTATTGTTGTCATTGACCGGCTTTACGAAATATTGGCTTACGTTTTAATCATCTGTTGAGCATCAGGCACTATCCTGGGCACCTGTGAATCCATTTGGTCCTCGCAGCTATTCTATGACATGGGCACATTATCCTCCTTCACAGATGAAGAAACAAGTTAAAGAGATGTTCCCAAAAGAGTTAAGTTAGGAGCAAAGTTAATACTTGAACCCAAATCTGTTTCCAGGGTTTTTATGCCTTTCACTACACCTGCTTTGCAGGAAAGTGATGAGAATTTCTAGTAGACGCTGAGTAGGGGCGGTGCTGCACGGCACTCACTGTTTCTGAGATACTGGTGATGGGACAGATAACCGAGAAGGAGACACTGGTGAATTCTGAAAGGAAGGTGTGCCTCAGCAAAGGCCGCAGGGGAAGACAGGAGGTTCGCTCGCTCACCTTTATTTGGAAAGCCTTCCTCCCACATTCCCTAGCAATGCTAGTCAGTCCCAGGGGTTTGGATGGGGCTGGCTGCCCGTGGCCCCTGATCCAGGGGTTGGGGGCATTGTTGGGAGCAGAGTCCTCCATGGGACTTCTGCTAGAGCAATCAGTGCAGACGTGCTCTTGTTTGGGGATTGCGATCTGAAGGCCCCCAGAAGCTTGCGACTGCAGGCAGCCATCTGTCCAGAGACCACCTAATCAAGAAACCCCTGACACCCTCATAGGAGACGCCTGCCATCCAGCTGTACCTAGAGGAGATCTACCACCCCCTCTGTAACTTTCAGTTTTGTGAATCAGCACATTCATTCTCTCTCTCTCTCGATCTCTCTCTCTCTCTCCAAAGTGGCATTTGTCTAGATGGCTCAGAGTGTGGTCCTCAATCTTGCAGATTCGGATTCAGTTCTGGGACAGCCTCACTAAATTGCCCTTTTCCAGCCTGTTTCCTCCCTGTAGACATTGGCAGGGTGCCTGGCAAGCCCAGCCCAGGCTCTTGTCTGTGACAGATCTGTCACCTTTTAACTCTTTCCCAGGCTTCCTTGTTTACATTAACATGTTTCCAGCCAGAGCGGAGAGCCGTAAACATCTTGAGGGCTGGGGCGGTGTCTGACTCATGGCTGGATTCCCCCAAGCCAATGCAGAGCGGGAACCTAGCGACACTCAAACACGTTTAAGAGTAAATTTCTGTTTGAGTCACCAAAGTAAAGAAATCCAGTCCCCAGTACCAATTGAAATAAACCACAAAACACTTTGCCGAATGGAAACTTGTTCTGCAATGGTAAAGCATGACTTTAACTTTAGCCAAATTACTTCCCAGGAGTTAAACTAACTCATGATCTCACTGTCCACTGAAAAAAACTGTTCTTAGTCTGTTTGAGCCATTGTAATATAGACTGGGTAACTTGTACACAGCAGACATCTATTTCTCCCAGGTCTGGAGGCTGGGCATCTGAGATCGGGACCAGCATGGTTAGGTTCTGGTGAGTGCTCCCTTCCAGGCTGCAGACAGCTGTCTTCTCGCTGTGTCCTCATGTGGTGGGAGGGCAAGCGAGCTTTCTGGGGCCTTTTTAATAAAGGCACTAATCCCACTCATAAGGGCACCATCCTCATGACCTAATCACCTCCTAAAGGACCCACCTCCTCATACCATCATCTTGGGAGTTAGGATTTTAACCAATTAAATTTGGGGCTGTCTTCTCGCTGTGTCCTCACGTGGTGGGAGGGCAAGCGAGCTTTCTGGGGCCTTTTTAATAAGGGCACTAATCCCACTCATAAGGGCACCACCCTCATGACCTAATCACCTCCTAAAGGACCCACCTCCTCATACCATCATCTTGGGAGTTAGGATTTTAACCAATTAAATTTGGGGGACACAAACATTCAGACCACAGCAGCTGTGGTGCAGACTTTGCCAAGGTCTAGTGCCTCCTTCTGTCATCTTGCAGGTGCAGCCCAGAGCAGCAGGAGCTGTGCCCTGGCCCCTGTCCTGAGGAGCTCCCACTGGTCAGCCCCGCCTACTCCAGCTGGACCTTGATGCTTCACACAAGGTGTGCGCAGAGGACACAGGCACTTCATGGAGCAACATACTTTTGTAAAAAAAATGAATTCCCTTGTAACAAATAGAGCACGGAGGCTTTTATAGATTAAGTAATTTGTAGTCTTCTTATAATTATGGCTTCTAAATTACCTAAAATAATTCATTCAAGGCTTGATTTTAGTTTTGTCTTGAGAGTGTCAACTCTTTAACTTGAGATGCTGTAGGATGGGGTTTCATCTTGGGATTCTTTTCTTGGATATGTCATTTAAATTCTGATACTTATATTCCCTATTTGAAAACACATGATCAATGACAATACCAATACCTGATTTGTGTGCAATACTTATAATTTACAACGTACATTATTTTAACATACATTCTTTTCATGCGACCCTCTCAACAACCCTTTGACAAGGCAAGTCAGAGACTAATTACTAGAGATTATTCAAGCGACTTGCTCCAAGTCATACAGTAGGCAGGCAGCCAAGATGACTCTAGTTTTTCCAACTCCTAGTCCCACACTCTTTCCTCTCCCCTTACATGTTCTGATATAAATCAAACTTAGGTTTGAAAATATCTTATTGATGTATTTCAACACCCCAGAATTTGATGAGACTGGAATCGATTTGTTGTGATCTGTGATTGCTGAATTCCTCGTATGTGGTGGATACCAAGGTAAGTTGACTAGAATGTGAGCTTGCCTACCCAGACACCAGTTCCCATGTCCTTTGTCCGGTGGTATAATTTGAAGTTCACTCTTTTTGGTGTACAGTTTTATGAGTTGAGTTGTGAAAAACATATACAGTTGTGTATCCACCACTACAGTCAAGATATAGAACAGTTCCATTACCTCAAAAATTTTTTTCAGGCCGGGCGCAGTGGCTCACGCCTGTAATCCCAGCACTTTAGGAGGCCAAAGCGGGCGGATCACGAGGTCAGGAGATCGAGACCATCCTGGCTAACGCTGTGAAACCATGTCTCTACTAAAAATACAAAAAAATTAGCCAGGCGTGGTGGCAGGTGCCTGTGGTCCCAGCTACTTGGGAGGCTGAGGCAAGAGAACCGCTTGACCCTGGGAGGCAGAGGTTGCGGTGAGCCAAGATCGCGCCACTGCACTCCAACCTGGGCGACAGAGCGAGAGTCCATCTCAAAAAGAAAACATCATACTCTTTTGTAGTCAACCCTAGCTAGGCCCCTATAGTTTTGCCTTTCCCAAAGTATCTTATGCATGGAATCATCCAGGAGATAACCTCCTGAATCAGGCTTCTGTCTCTTAGCATAATGCATTTGGGATTTACCATGTTATTTCATTTATCAGGTTTTTGTCCCTTTTCATTGCTGAGTAGTATTTCATTATAGGAATGTACTCTCGTTTGTGGATCATTCTGATCAACTCAGCACATGTGGATTATTTCCAGTCTTGGCAATGATGAATAAAGTCACTCTAAGCATTCACGTACAGGTTTTTGCATGAATAAAATACCTAGGAGTGAGAAAGCTGGACTCACAGTACATTTTTATTCCCTCAATGCTTTCCTGCCCCGTTTAGGGCTGATTTCATCATGCTTTGATCTCATCTTAGTCAACTGATGGGTCAGCATTGAGCCCACAAGAGGCTTCATGGCTTCCTGGTAAAGCGAGAGACCCCTGGAAGACTGATTCTAGAACAGGGTATGTGCATTCCTGCTGCCAAGCCCTGCTGCACCGTTCCTCATTACTCAATTAATGTCTGGTGTCTTCTCTGCCTGTTTAATTACTCCCATTACCGGGACAGGTCAAGTTCCACTCCTTCAGGGAAGCTCCTTCTGGCCACCTCACAGCACAGAACATGCCGTCTCTTTCCAAATCACTTTGCATCTGTCTTCTGCCACGCCATCCTGCTTTGTGACATCTTTGAGATTGGTGTCTGTGTTTTTCTGCATTAAACCTTGAGGGCTTTGTAGGTACAGGACTGGGATCCCCATTGCACAGATGTGGAAATTGAGGCCAGAGAGGCTAAGTGACTAAGAGAAGGTAGCATTTGCTGATCACCCACTATCATATGCCATCAGGCCTCCCATTAACAGTACACAGTCCGCTCTTCTTTAGATGAGAACACTGATACTCAGAGAGGTGCAGTTATTTGCCCAAGTCACACAGCTGGGCACTGAAAGCTGGTTTCATTTGGCTTCAAACTTAGATCTGTCTGTGGCATATCTGGGCTTTGAGCACCCTGTAGCATGAGGCTGTAGTGCACTCGGCTTTAGAATGGACAGGGGCCTGTCTTCCCACACGCTCCAGGCTGCACCACCTTTTGGTTTTTAGGCTAACTCCTGACCTGAGCCCTCCCCACCTTCCTGGGCAGAGAGTGAACCAGGCTGACTGATGTTCTAGGCAAGAATGTGGGGTACCCAGGGATGACCATTGTGCTGGGTATGGGAGCCAGAGTTCAGCCCTGACTGCTATGGTCTGAATATTTCCCTCCAAATTCATGCATTGGAAACTTAATCCCCAGTGCAGCAGTATTGGGAGGTGGGGCTTAATGGGAGGTGTTTAGATAATGAGGCTTCAGCCTCATGAATGAATGAATGCTGCTATAAAAATGGGTTTGTAGGCCAGGTGAAGTGGCTCACGCCAGTAATTCCAACATTTTGGCAGGCCAGAGCAGAAGGGTATTCTAGGGTATTCACTGTGTTGCCCAGGAACTCTAGACCATCCTGGGCAACACAGTGAGACCTCATAAAAAAAACATTAGCCCAGCATGGTGGCACGTGCCTGTAGTCCCAGCTACTCGGGAGGCTGTGGCAGGAGGATTGCTTCAGCCCAGGAGTTTGAGGCTACAGTGAACCATGATTGTGCCATTGCACTTCAGCCTGGGCAACAGAGCAAGACCCCATCTCTAAAAATAAAAATAAAGTTTGAAAAAGAATTTGTGGAAGTGGATTCACCCTTTCTGCCTTCCGCCCTGTGAGGACACAGAAAGAAGGCCCTCATCTGATGCTGGTGCCTTAATCTTGGACTTCCCAACCTCCAGAACTGTGAGAATACAAATTTCTGTTCCTTAAAAAATGACTCAGTCTGTGGTGTCCTGTTATAGCAGCACAAACAGACTAAGATAGTACCCTTTCCCTTCCCATGTGCCCAGGGACAGGCTTCCAGAGGAGCCCAGCAGCTAACTGGGAGCCCCTGGGTTTGCAGTGTGGGGAGCTCCCAGAACAGCTGTGCCTGCAGGAAATTGGAGGAGGAGAAAATATTCTGGTTTACTCTCTATTCAGTCACCTTCTGCAGCTCAGGCTTTTGATGTCTACCATTGCATTGTTTTTCTTTTACCTATAATCTTTGTAAAGATCCACAGTCCCCCACCTAGACGTGAGAATCAATATCTCTCCATAAAATCACCCTAACTCTATGGCAGCCCGACATCTTTGTTAGACCAGTGGGAAAAGCTACATAGGTTTCCACCATCCATGAGAGTCTTCTCAGCCTTAGGCTAGGCCCTGAAGTCAGGGAGTTAGGTGCTGAAATGTGCACAGCTGAAGGTAAGCCACCAACAGGGTGAGCCAGATCCACTAACAACTCAACTGGCCTCCTTTGAACTGTGAAAGGAAAAGTGTTATAATAATAACTATCATTTATTGTGCATCTACGATATACCAGGCATTATACAAAACACTACAGTTTGTCAATTAATTCTCATAAAAGTCCTATGAGGCAAATGTTCCTATTTTTATTTTATATTTTATAGCTGGAGAAAATGACACACAGGCTCTCTAGCCTGACCATGGCCCTCAGTCAATAAGCAGTACAGTTAAAGTTCAAACCCACGTCTCGGGCTCCAAGCCCAGACATTTAGCAAACACTGTGTGCTCACAGCTAAGCTTTCATAACAGAGCACTGGGGACAATGTATGGGGAATAAATGCTCTCTTCGAAGATGCCCTAGCATTCTGTGATGCAATATTGTGTGACTGAAAGAAACAGTAGTGTAGGAATTGGAAGACTGGATCTTAGTTTGTGGCAGGATTGTACCTTACTATATGACCTTGGGGAATTCACCCAAACTGCTTTTGCCTCCATTTCCTATTTGATTTCTCCATTATTCAGAGCATGAGGAAGATCTGAAGAATATATCTAAATTCCAAAATTAAATCCAAACATCTCTCCTGAGAAAACCTTCTCTTTTTTTTTTTTTGAGAAGGAGTCTTTCTCTGCCACCCAGGCTGGAGTGCAGTGGCACAAGCTCAGCTCATTGCAACCTCCGCCTCCCAGGTTCAAGCAATTCTCCTGCCTCAGCCTCCCGAGTAGCTGGGACTACAGGTGTGTGCCACCACACCTGGCTAATTTTTGTATTTTTAGTAGAGACGGGGTTTCACCATGTTGGCCAGGCTGGTCTCAAACTCTTGACCTCGTGATCCGCCTGCCTCGGCCTCCCAAAGTGGTGGGATTACAGGCATGAGCCACCGTGCCTGGCCAAAAACCTTCTTTAAGATGAGAAACTTGTGAGGCAGTAGAACGTCTCATCATTAATAAAGATTGACTGTGGAGATCTTTAAAAAAAAAAATCCAGATAAGAAACTGGAAGGAGTAAAAGATCATTTGTTTACATCCAACACATAACTTTCCTAGCAAGTACTCCTACCTGGGACAACCCCACACTCCATGGAAGAGGCAGAAACACAGACAAGAATGTGCCTCAAATGGCTCCAAATGCTGCCAGCATCCAGCAAATGCTGCTGACAAAAGAGCAGAGAGTTGGGCTACAGGTAGGCCAACCACTGTCTTGGAGCAGGAGTCCTGGTGGGAGGTGGGCATGTTATTGTGATGGATGACTTCCAACGTCACCTGTAGTATGGAGAAGCTCTGCTATTTCAGCACTGAGCCCTCACTGTTCCCCATTTCTTCCTGGGCTCTCTTCTTGTTGGCCACTTCCAGGCAGAGGGGGAAAGCACCAAGAGCCTTTGAAAATCACAGAATAGATTCAAACCCTGAGTTTCTCAATTACCAGCTATTTGGCTGGACATCTTAGTCAGCCTCTCTGAGCCACCGTCTCCTTGCGTGGACCATGGAGATGGTAACAATTGAATGCTGGTAGAGGGCACTCATAAACCCATAAAGTCATAGTTCATGATGAAGGACTGAAGTCTTCCCCCAAGGCCAGGTGCAAGACAGGCACCTCTGCTGTTGCCATTTCTATGCAACATTGTACTGGGATCCTAGTCAGGGCAATTACATGAGCAAAAGAAATAAAAGAAATTAGTGTTGAAAAGGAAGAAGTAAAACTTCAGTTTTGCAAACAACATAATCTTGTATGTATAAAATTGTAAGAACCACCCACAAACACACATAAAATGCTATTAGAGCTAATAAACAAGTTCAGCAAAGCTGCAGGACACATGGTCAATAAACAATGCTGGTTGTATCTCTACCTACTAGCAACGAACAATCTGGAAATGAAATGAAGAAAATAACTTCACTTACAATAGCATCAAAAAAATAACACACTTACTTAAGAATAAATTTAACAAAAGAAGTACAAGACTTAGACTTTGAAAGCCATGAAACATTGCTGAAAGAAATATTTAAGACCTACATTAATGGAAAGACATCTCATTTAGTACATGAATTGGGAGACCTAATCTTACTAATCTTACTAATGCTCCTCAAATTGATATACTCTTACAATGTAATCCCTATCAAAATTCCAGCTGCCCTTTTTGCAGTAATTGGCAATTTGATTATAAAATATGTATGGCAATGCGAGGGACCCAGAATAGCCAAAAACATTCTTGAAAAGGAAGAACAAGGCCGGGCGTGGTGGCTCACGCCTGTAATCCCAACACTTTGGGAGGCCGAGGCAGGCGGATCACGAGGTCAGGAGATTGAGACCATCCTGGCTAACACAGTGAGACTCCGTCTCTACTAAAAAAGAAAATACAAAAAATTAGCCGGGTGTGTTGGTGGGCGCCTGTAGTCCCAGCTACTTGGGAGGCTGGGGCAGGAAAATGGCGTGAACCCAGGAGGCAGAATTGCAGTGAGCCCTTGAGCCGAGATCGCGCCACTGCACTCTAGCCTGGGCAACAGTGTGAGACTCCGTCACAAAACAAAAAAAAAGGAAGAACAAAGTTGAAGGACTCATACATCCTCATTTCAAAACTTACTAAAACTTGCGTCATAGCTACAATACTCCAGATGACATGGTACTGGCATGCAGATAGACATCTACATCAGAGGAATAGAATTGAGAGTCCAGAAATAACCCCATAGATCTATGATCAATTTCTTTTATGGTCAATTTCTTTTATTTATTTATTTACTTATTTACTTACTTACTTTTTAGAGATGAGGTCTTGCTATGTTGACCAGGCTGGTCTCAAACTCCTAGCCTCAAGCGATCCTCCCGTCTTGGCCTCCCAAAGTGCTAAGATTACAGGTGTAAGCCACCACACCTGGCCCAATTTCATTTTTGACAAAGATGCCAACACAGTTAAATGGAGAAAGAATAGTCTTTTCAACAAATGGTACTGGGACGACTGGATATCCACATGCAAAAGAATGAAGCTGGGCTTCTACCTCATACCATATATAAAAATTAACTCAAAATAGACCAAAGGCCTAAATATAAGAGACAAAACTATAAAATCCTTAGAAGAAAATGTAAGAGTAAATGTTTGTGACCTTGGATTACACAATGGTTTCTTAGGTAAGACACTTAATGCAAGTACAAGAAAAGAAAGGCTAGGTAGGCGCAGTGGCTCACGCCTGTCATCCCAACAATTTGGGAGGCCAAGGCGAGTGGATCACTTGAGGTCAGGAGTTCAAGACCAGTCTGGCCAACATGGCGAAACACCATCTCTACTAAAAATACAAAAATTAGCCGGGCGTGGTGGCGGGTGCCTGCAATCCCAGCTACTTGAGAGGCTGAGGCACAAGAATTGCTTGAACCCAGGAGGCAGATGTTGCAGTGAGCTGAGATCGCACCACTGCACTCCAGCCTGGACGACAGAGCAAGACTCTGTCTCAAAAAAAAAAAAAAAAAGGAAAGAAAGAAAAGAAAAAGTAGGTAAGTTGGAGCTCACTACAATTTAAAACTTTTGTGCTTCTGGGCCAGGTACAGTGCTTCATGCCTGCAATCCCAGCACTTTGGGAGGCCGAGGCTGGCGGATCACGAGGTCAGGAGTTCGAGACCAAACTAGCCAACATAGTGAAACCTTGTCTCCACTAAAAAAAAAAAAAAAGAAAAGAAAATTAGCAGGGCATGGTGGTGCGTGCCTGTAATCCCAACTACTCAGGAGGCTGAGGCAGGAGAATCACTTGAACCCGGGAGGCAGAGGTTGCAGTGAGCTGAGATTGTGCCATGACACTCCAGCTGGGGCGACAATGCAAGACTCCGAGAGAGAGAGAGAAAAAAGAAAGAAAGAAAAAGAAAGAAAGAAAGAAAAAAAGAAAGAAAGAAAGAAAGAAGGAAGGAAGGAAGGAAGGAAGGAAGGAAGGAAGGAACAAAGAAAGAAAGGAGGGCGGGAGGAAGGAAGGAAGAAAGGAAGGAGAAAGAGAGGAAGGAAGGAAGGAAGGAAGAAAGGAAGGAAGGAAGGAAGGAGAAGAAAGAAAGAAAGAAAGACAACCAGACTTCCAGTTTTCAGTCTGGCGTGTAAAAAGTTTGGGAGTCGTCATTCCCACCCTAACAACAAGAAAGAAGTTTGACAAGCTGAAAATCAACTGCTCTTCTTAGATCCTGCAGATAATTGAGGTCATAGGGTAAATTACTGTCTTACAAATTGGAGAGACAGATGGCAGATACAAAGAATCATGACTTGATTCACTACTTGAGTGGAAGCTCAAGAGCAGAAACCTTTATGGGAACCAGTACCAGGGTAGGAAAACTTAAACTGCAATTGCTGAATTGCTAGAGGCTCTGTTTGGACTGCTTGAGAGTTAAAAACTCCAGGGAGCCCAGTCTTAGGGGGGCCCCAACACTTGTCTGAGTTTTACTTCCAGAAGGCTTACCAGGTCATCAAGGTGAAGAGAAAAATCCCTTGGTATTTCTGTCAGTGGGGAGGGTGAAATAAGCCAGGGCATTCTATTGTTAATAAAGCCTGCCCTCAAGAGAAATGAGTTTACCAGAGCTTAACTGAGGTTTTACTAACGCTAATTGTCCTGGGGAAAGGGAAATATCCTAGTCTAGTCCCTTCTAGCTATCCTGTCCCAACAAAGGGGGAGACACTGAGAAGTACTTGTGAAGGTCACAGCACAGGAACACAGGCTCATTAAAAGACTGAGATTTAATCAAAGAACTAGAGAAGGTTTGTTCTGCCCCCACATCTTACCAGCACATCAACAGGGCTTCTGTGCAACAGAGGAGACAAAACTAACATTAGAGGAACTTTTAATATCTCTGAAACATACAGGTACATCAAATAATCAAAACAGCTTAACTCTTTGTCAAATACACATAAAGCATCATACCAAAGGCCTATTTGCCTAGGTTCTTTTTCTCAGTACCTAATGTCTGGCTTCCAACAAAAAATTACAAGGCATCCTATAAGACAAAAAATGTTTTAAAGAAACAAGGTAACCATCAAAACAAGATTCAGATGTGGCAAAGATGTTGGGATTATCAGACTGTGAATTTAAAAACACTATAATTAATATGCTAAGAGCTCTAATAGAAAAAATGAACCATATGCAATGAGAGATGGATACTGCAAGCATAGTGATGGAAACAATAAGGAAGAATCAAAAGGAAAGAAACGCTAGAAATAAAGAACACTGTCATGGAAATAATGCATTTGATGGGCTTTTAAATAGACTGGACACATGGCCGGGCGCAGTGGCTCATGTCTGTAATCCCAGCACCTTGGGAGGCTGTGGTGGCCAGATCACCTGAGGTCAGGAGTTTGAGACCAGCCTGGCCAACATAGTGAAACCCTGCCTCTACTAAAAATACAAACGTAAGCTGGACATGGTGGCACATGCCTGTAATCCCAGCTACTCAGGAGGCTGAGGCAGGAGAATCACTTGAACCTGGGAGGCAGATGTTGCAGTGAGCTGTGATCATGCTATTGCACTCTAGCCTGGGTGACAGAGCAGGATTCCATCTCAAAAAAAGTTAAAAAAAAAAAAAATAGACTGGACACAGCCAAAGAAAGAATCACTGAGCTTGAAGACATGTCAATAGAAACTTCAAAAACTAAATGGTAAGAGAAAAAATAATTTTAAAAAGCAGAACAGAACATCCAATAACTGTGGGACAATTTTAAATGGTGTGACATATGCATAATGAATATCAAAACAAGAAAAAAAAGAAACAGAAAAAATATTTGAAGTAATAATGACTGAGAATTTTCCAAAATGAATGACAGACACCAAACCCCAGATTCAGAAGCTCAGGAAATCAAAGAGGATAAATACCAAAAAAATTTACACCTAGATATAGCATATTCAAACCACAGATAATCAAAGACAAAGAGACAATTTTGAATTAAGTCAAAGGGAAGAAAACACTGTACCTATGAGGAGCAAGTATAATAATTAATCAGAGTTCTCTTCATAGGCCACGCAAGTAAGAAGAGCTTGGAGCAAAATATTTTAAGTGTTGACAGAAACAACAACAAACACCACCACCAGAATCCTATACCCAGAAATATTATCCTTGAAAAGTAAAGGAGAAATAAAGACTTTCACAGACAAACAAAATTGAGAAAACTTGTCACAATTGACATACCTTGCAAGAAATGTTGAAATTCCTCAGAAAGAAAGAAAATAGTATACATCAGTGATATGGTTAGACTTTGTATCCCCGCCCAAATCTCATCTCGAATTGTAAGCCCCATTATCTCCTCATGTCAAGGGAGAGACCAGATGGAAATAAATGAATCATGGGGGCAGTTTCCCCCATGCTATTCTCATGATAGTGAATTCTCATGAGCTGATAATTTTATAAGGGGCTCTTCCCCCTTTGCTCAGCACTTCTCCTTTCTGCCTCCTTGTGAAGAAGGCACCTTGCTTCCCCTTTGCCTTCTGCCATGATTGTAAGTTTCCTGAAGCCTCCCCAATCGTGCTGAACTGTGAGTCAATTAAACCTCTTTCCTTTATAAATTACCCAGTCTTAGGCAGTTCTTTATAGCAGTATAAAAACGGACTAATACAGTAAATTGTTACCAGAAGTGGGGTGCTGCTATAAAGATACTGAAAATGTGGAAGCAACTTTGGAACTGGGTAACAGGCAGAGGTTGGAACAGTTAAGAGGGCTCAGAAGATGACAGAAGGATGTGGGAAACTTTAAAACTTCCTAGAGATTTATTAAATAGCTTTGACCAAAATGCTGATAGTGATATGGACAATGAAGTCCAGCCTGAGGTGGTCTCAGATGGAGATGAGGAACTTGTTGGGAACTAGAATAAAGGTGACTCTTGCTATGCTTTAGCAAAGAGACTGGTGGCATTTTGCCCCTGGCCTGGAGATCTGTGGAATTTTGAACTTGAGAGAGATGATTTAAGGTATCCAATGGAAGAAATTTCTAAGCAGCAAAGTATTCAAGAGGTGACCTGGGTGCTGTTAAAAGTGTTTGATTTTATGCATTCCCAAAGAGATGGTTTGGAATTGGAACTTCATGTTTGAAAGAGAAGCAGAGCATACACGTTTGGATAATTTGCAGCCTGATGATGCAATAGAAAAGAAAAACCCATTTTCTGAGGAGAAATTCAAACCGGCTTCAGAAGTATGCATAAGTGACAAGGAGCCAAATGTTAATAACCAAGACAATGGGGAAAATGTCTCCAGGACATGTCAGAGGTGTTCACAGCAGCTCCTCCCATCACAGGCCTAGAGGCCTAGAAGGAAAAAATGGCTTCATGGGCTGGGCCCAGGGTCTTGTTGCTTTATGCAGTCCTGGGAGTTGGTGCCCTGCATCCCAGCTGTGGCTAAAAAGGGCCAAGGCACAGCTCGGGCCATGGCTTCACAGGATGCAAGCCCCAGGCCTTGATGGCTTACATGTGTTGTCGGGCCTGCAGGTGCACAGAAGTCAAGAATTGAGGTTTGGGGCCAGGCACAGTGGCTCATGCCTGTAATCCCAGCACTTTGGGAGGCCAAGGGGGATGGATCACATAAGGTCAAAAGTTCGAGACCAGCCTGGCAAACATAGTGAAACTCCGTCTCTACTAAAAATACAAAAATTAGCTGGGTATGATGGTGTGTGCCTGTAGTCCCAGCTACTTGGGAGGCTGAGATGGGAGAATCACTTGAACCTGGGAAGTGGAGGTTGCAGTGAGCCAAGATTGCACCACTGCACTCCAGCCTGGGCAACAGAGTGAGACTCTGTCTCAAAAACAAAAACAAAATTGAGGTTTGGGAGCCTCCACCTAGATTTTAGAGGATGTATGGAAATGCCTGGATGACCAGGCAGAAGTTTGCTGCAGGGGCAAGGCCTTCATAGAGAACCTCTGCTAGGGCAGTGCAAAAGGGAAATATAGGGTCAGAGCCCTGACAGAGTCCCCACTGGGGCACTGCCTAGTGGAGCTGTGAGAACAGGGCCACTGCCCTCCAGACCCCAGGATGGTAGGTCCACTGACTGCTTGCACCATGTACCCAGAAAAGCCACAGACACTCCATGCCAGCCCATGAAAGCAGCTGAGAGGAGGCCTGTTTCATCAGCATGATCTGGATGTGAAACATGGAGTCAAAGGAGGTCATTTCAGAGCTTTAAGGTTTGACTGTCCTGCTGGATTTCAGGCCTGCATGGGGCCTGTCATCCTTTTGTTTTGGCCAATGTCTCCTATTTGAAATGGGTGTATTTACCCAATGCCTGTACCCCCATTGTGTCTAGGAAGTACCTAATTTGCTTTTGACTTTACAGGCTCATAAGCGGAAGGGACTTCCCTTGTCTTAGATGAGACTTTGAACTTGGACTTTTGGGTTAATCCTAGAATGAACAAAGACTTTGGAGGACTGTTTGGAAGGCATGATTGGTTTTGAAATATGAAAGGGACATGAGATTTGGGAGGGGCCAGGGGCAAAATGATATGATTAGGCTTTGTGTCCCCCTACTCAAATCTCATCGTGAATTGTAATCCCCATAATCCCTACATGTCAAGGGAAAGACCGGATGGAGATAATTGAATCATAGGGGCTGTTTCCCCCATGTTGTTCTCATGACAGTGAGTGAGTTCTCACGAGATCTGATGGTTTTATAGAGTTCTTCCCCCTTTGCTTGGCACTTCTACTTCCGGACGCCTTGTGAAGAAGGTGCCTTGCTTCCCCCTTTGCCTTCTGCCATGATTATCAGTTTCCTGATGCCTCCCCAGCCATGCTGAATTGTGAGTCAATTAAACCTCTTTCCTTTATAAATTACCCAGTGTTGGGCACTTCTTTATAGCAGTATGAAAATGGACTAATACAATCAGAAACTCAGATCTACATAAATAATGAGTATTACAGAAGGAACTCATGAAGATAAAGTAAAATCTCTTATTTTTCTTATTCTCAATTGATATAACATAACAGTTTGTTCAAAACAAAAAGCTACAAAGTATCCAATGATTGTAGCTTATGGATAAGTGAAAATGACAGCAATGTTATTAAGATATGAAAGAGAAGAATTATGAATACTCAGTGGTTAGGTACTTGCACTACCTGTGAAGGGGTAGAGTATTATTTGAAAGAAGACTTGGATTCGTTGTAAATGTTTATTGCAATCTCAAGGGCAGCCACTAAAAAGGCAAACAAAAAAACATAATTTGGCCAGGGGTGGTGGCTTAAGCTTGCAATCCCAGCACTTTGGGAGGCCAAGGTAGGCAGATCACTTGAGGTCAGGAGTTCGAGACCAGCCTGACCAACATGGTGAAACCTGTCTCTACTAAAAATGCAAAAATTAGCCAGGCGTGGTGCAGCGCCTGTAATCGCAGCTACTCAGGAGGCTGAGGCAGGAGAATTGCTTGAGCCCAGGAAGGAGAGGTTGTAGTGAACCAAGATTGTGCCACTCCAGCCTAGATGATAGAGTGAGACTCTGTCTCAAAAAGGAAAGGATAATTTATATGCTAAGAGAGGAGAGAAAATGGAATTATATAAGTGCTCAATTAAAACCAGAGAAGGAGCTGGAGGTGGTAGCACACACCTGTAATCCCAGCACTTTGGGAGAACAAGGCAGGAGGATCACTTGAGGTCAAGAGCTTGATACCAGCCTGGGCTCACTCAACAAAGTGAGACCCCATCTCTACAAAAAATTTAAAAGCCACACATGCACACACACACAAACAACACAGAGAGAGAGAAAAGTCAGAAAAAGAGTGGAACAACAACAACAAAAAGAAACAAAGAATAAGACCAACAAATAGAAAATAGTAACAAATTATATTAGTCTGTTCTCCTGCTGCTATAGGACATACCCAGAACTGGTTTATTTATGAAGGAAAGAGGCTTAATTGACTCATAGTTCTGCAGGGCTGGGGAGGCCTCGGGAAACTTACAATCATGGCAGAAGGGAAAGCAAACACATCCTTCTTCACGTGGCAGCAGGAAGGAGAAGTGCAGAGCAAAGTGGGGGAAGTCCCTTATAAAATCATCAGCTCTCATGAGAACTCACTCACTATCACAGGAATAGCATGGAGGTAACTTCCCCATGATTCAGTTACCTCCCACTGGGTCCCTCCCATGACACATGGGGTTATGGGAACTAGAGTTCAAGATGAGATTTGGGTGGGGACACAGCCAAACCATATCAGTCTGTCCCTGGCTCTTGCCAAATCTCATGTCCTCACATTTCAAAACACAATCATGCTTGTCCAACTGTCCCCTAAAGTCTTAGCTCATTCCAGCATTAACCCAAAAGTCCAAGTCCAAAGTCTCATCTGAGACAAGACAAGTCCCTTCCGCTTCTGAGCCTAAATGGAAAGCAAGTTAGTTGCTTCCTAGATACAATGGGGATACAGGAAATGGGTAAATACAACTCTTCTGAATGGGAGAAATTGGCCAATACATAGGAGCCACTGGCCCCATGCAAGTCTGAAATCCAACAGGGCTGTCATTAAACCTTAAAGTTGCAAAATGATCTTCTTTGACTCCAAGTTTCACATCCAGGTCATGCTGATGCAAGTGGGGGGCTCCCATCTTCTTGGGCAACTCTGTCCCCATGATTTTGCAGGGTACAGCCTCCCTCCCAGCTGCCTTCAAGGGCTGGTGTTGAGTGTCTGCAGCTTTTCGAAACACAGAGTGCAAGCTGTCAGTGGATCTACCATTCTGGGGTCTGGACTATGGTGGCCCTCTTCTCACAGTTCCACTAGGCAGTGCCCCAATGGGGACTCTGTGGGGCTCTGACCCCACGTTTCCCTTCCACACTGCCCTAGCAGGGGTTCTCCATGAGGGCTCCACCCCTGCAGCAAACTTCTGACTGGACAGTTATTTCTTACAGTTATGGAAGCTGAGAAGGCCAAGATCAAGGGAATGCATCTGGTGAGAGTCTTCTCACTAGTGGGGACTCTGCAGAGTCCCAAGACAGTGCAGGGTATCATATAGCAAGGGGGCTAAGCATGCTAACATACTAAATCAGGTCTCTCCCATCTGATAAAGCCACCAGCTCCACTCCAATGATAACCCATTAATCCATTAACCCATGATTAATCCATGTGTGAGGGCAGAGCCCTCATGATCCAATGACCTCTTAAAGGCCCCACCTTTCAATAGTGCTACACTAGGGATGAAGTCTCCAACACATAAAATTTGGGGGACACATTCAAACTATGAGCAGTATGCTATCTGATGACAACAGAATGAAACTAGGAATCAATAACAGAAAAATAGCTAGAAAACTCCTAAATATTTGAAGATTACCACAACATACTTCTAAATAACTCATGGATCAAAGAATTCTCAAGATAAATTTTAAAATATTTCAAATTAAACAAAAATGAAAATAAAGGTTATCAAAATTTGTGGGATGCAGCAAAAGCAGTGCTTAAGAGGAAATTTATAGCATTGAGTGTACATATCAGAACAGAATGAAGACCTAAAATCAATAATCTAAGTTTCCACCTTAGGAAACTAAAAAAGAAGAGCAAATTAAATCTAAAGTAGTAAGGAAAATAGTTATAAAAGCTAGAGATAGAAAATAATAAAAAATGAAAGCAGAAATTAATGAGATAAAGAATTTTAAAACAATAGATCCAATTACAATAGATGCAATTAAAATCTGTAATTTTGGGGGAAAATAAAATAGACAAATTACGACCTATATTTACTCAAGAAAAAGAGAAAAAGTACAAATGCACAAAATAAGAAATATCAAATGGGGAAATAACCATTGAAACAGAAGGTATTTTTAAAAACATAACGGGGCTACTTTTCAGACCTCTGTGAAAATACTGACAATCTATATGAAGTGGATAACTTTAAGAGAGATAGAATGTATTGAAATTGACCCCATTTAGAGACAAACAGTTTAAACAGACTAATTTACTTCGAAGAAACAGAGATAATTATCAAGGAACTTTCACATTAAAAAACAAAAACAAAAACAAACAAACAAAAAAACCTCATGGTCTCACAAGGTTTTCTACCAAATCTTCAAAGACCAGGCAGTCACAGTACTTCACAAGTTTTTCCAGATCATTGGGAATGAAGGAACATTCCTGAACTGTTTTTAGAAAATAAGTATAGCATTAACAACTAAACTTGATAAAAACAGCAAAAAAAGAAAATTACAAATATCACTTACGAATATTCATGAAAAAGTTCTAAATAAAACCCTATTTAACAGAATACAACACCACACTATGAAAATGATACAACATAACCAAGTGGGATTTGTTCCTGGAATGCACACTGGCTAAATATTAATAAGTGAACTAACACACTGTATTTACAGATCTAAGGAGAAAAATCATATGTTTATTTCCATAGATGCTTTTAAAAAGCCTTTTCAAATTCCTTACCTACTCCTGTTTAAAGAAACTCAAGAGTGTGTAATTTTTGTTTTTTTAGTAGAGAGAGGATTTCACCGTGCTGCCCAGGCTGATCTGGACCTCCTGTACTCAAGTGATCTGCCTGCCTCAGCCTCCCAAAATGCTGGTGTTACAGGTGTGAGCCACACCCCCTCTCTACTAAAAAAAAAAAAAAAAAAAATTAGCCAGGACTACAGAAGGTGTGAACCTATAGTCCCAGCTACTCAGGAGGTGGAGGCTGCAGTGAGCCATGACTGTGCCACTCACTCTAGCATGGGTGACAGAGTGAGAACTTGTCTCAAGAAAATAAAAAAGAAAATTTTAAAACTCAAGAAATGGCCAGAAGTGGTGGCTCGTGCCTGTAATCCCAGCACTTTGGGAGGCCAAGGCGGTGGATGGCTTGAGGTCAGGAGTTCAAAACCAGCCTGGCCAACATGGCGAAACCCCATCTCTACTAAAAATATAAAAATCAGTCAGGTGTGGTGGAGTGCACCTGTGGTCCCAGCTACTCTGGAGGCTGAGGCAGGAGAATAGCTTGAACCTGGGAGGCAGAGGTTGCAGTGAGCCAAGATGGTACCACTGCACTCCAGCCTGGGTGACAGAGTGATACTGTCTCAAGAAAAAAAAAACCCTCAAGAAAATAAGTTATATTATTCAGAGTATTTTTAGAGATAGGGTCTCACTCTGTTGCCCAGGCTGGAGTGCAGTGGTGTCAGCATAGCTCATTGAAATCTCCAAATCCTGGGTTTTAAGCAATCCTCCCACTTAGACCTCTCGAGTAGATGGGACTACAGGCACAGGCCACCACAGTCAGCTAATTTTTTAATGTTTTTGTAGAGACAGGGTCTCGCTATGTTGCCCAGGCTACTCTTAAACTTCTGGCGTCAAGTGATCTTCCCACCATGACCTCCCAAAGTGCTGGTATTACAGGCATGAGCCACCACCCTTGACCTATCCTTTATTAACATGTAAATACACATATGTGCACTTTCATACACACACACTCCCACCCCAACACATACACTTTTAGTGAAAAAGCCACCAACTCTTTAATGGGGAAGCCCCAGAAACTTTCCACTAAGATCGAGAACAAGATGAATTTGCCCACCATCTCCACTACTAATCAACATTATACTAGAGATATAAGCCCAATGCAATTAGACAAGAAGAATCAATAAGATGCATGAGATTTGAAAAAGTAAAACTATATCTAGCAGATGATACGAGTGTACATACAAAACCCTAGAAAATCAATAAAACTAACAATTCGATAAGGTAGCAAGCTGTAGAATTATCTTATAGAACTTGATAGCCTTCATATACACAATGATAACCAGTTAGAGTATATAATGGCATGGAAAATGCCATTTATATGGCAAAAAAGAAGATAAAGTATTTAGGAATAAGTACTAATAGGAAATGTACAAAATCCACGAGGAAAATTTTAAAAACATAAAAGTGTACTTGAACAAATTGAAAGACATTTATTGTTCTTTGAATGACTACACATAATAAAAATGTCAGGTCTCCCTAAGTTAACTTATAAATTTAATGTAATCCCAATAAAAAATGCCAGCAAGCTTTTTGAAAAAATGGAACTAGATAAGTTGATGTTAAACTTCATATGGAAAAATAAACATGTAATTTAGGAATAGCCAGGAAATCACTAAAAAGGAAAAGCTATGAAGGTGACTAGCCCAATCAGACATTGAAACATACTATAAAACCTCTATAATTACAACAATGTAGTACTAGCACTTGAATAGGTAAGCAAGTCTATTATAGTTTGTCAAGTCTGTCACAGAAAAAACAGAAATAATTTTAAATACATATGGAACTTTAGTGTATGATAAGAGTAGCAACTGAAATCACTAGGGCAAAAATGCACTTTTAAATAAATGATGCTGGGACAATTGGTTTGCCATTTGGGGGAAAAGATGAAACTGAGCTACACCTCATCACACCTACTGAAAAATAAACTCCAAATGATCAGGAATCTAAATGGAAAATACATCCCTACAAGTATTAGGAGAAAACGAGGTGAATTTCTCTTTAACTTGCATGTAGGGAAAGACATTCTAATTATGACTCAAAATCCAGATTCACTAAATGCACTAAAAACATTGATAAAACTGATTAAATTAAAACAAAAAATGAGGGTTTTTGGCATGGCAAATATCACCATAAGCAAAGTAAAAAGACAGCCAACACACTGGGAGAAAATATTTACAACATATATTACCCCAAAAGCCAGTGGAGAGGCTGGGTGCTGTGGCTCACACCTGTAGTACTCAGCACTCTGGGAGGCTGAGGCAGGTGGATCTCTTGAGCCCAGGAGTTTGAGATCAGCCTGGGAAACAAGATGAGAACTTGTCTCTACAAAACAATAAAAATAATTAGCCAGGCATGGTGGCGCACATCTGCGGTTCAAGCTACATGGAAGGCTGAGGTGGGAGGATCGTCTGAGCCCAGGAGGTGGAGGCCGCAGTGAGTTGTGATAGTGACACTGCACTCCAGCCTTGGTGACAGAGTGAGACCCCGTCTCAAAATAAATAAATAAATGAATAAAGGTTTATTTTTAAAAATGTTTATTTACTTATATTTTGTTTTTCATTTTTAGAGATGAGGGTCTCGCTATGTTGCCCAGGCTGGAGTGCAATGGCTATGCATAGGTGCCATCTCACCATCTTTGAGCATTGCAGCCTCAAATTCCTGGCCCAAGCAATCCTCCCATCTCCCAAGTAGCTGAGACTATAGGCATCTGCCACTGCACTCAGCTTAGATTTTTTTTAACCCGATAGAAAAAAATGGCAAAAGATAAGAATGGGGAATTTATACACAGAAACACACACACACACATACATACACACATACACACACACACATACACACACATATATGAAAGATTTTTCAACCTAATTCATAAGAGAAATGTCAATTAAAACTACACTAAAATACCATTTCTCACCTATAATATTTTCTTTTATTTTGTTTTTTAAGACAGAGGCTCACTTTGTCACCCAGGCCAGAGTGCAGCAGTGCGGTCATGGTTCGTGCCACAACGCCCTGCTAACTTTTTGTGTTTTTGTAGAGATGAGGTTTAACTATGTTGCCCAGGCTGGTCTGGAATTCCTGGGCTCAAGTGACCCACTCGCCTTAGCTGTACAGTGCTAGGACTGTAGGTGTGAGCCACTGCACCAAGCCTATATCTTCAACATTTAAAAAATATAACAATACGCTCTGATGGTAACGCAGTGGATAGACAAGCCTCTCATGCATGGCTAGGGGACATGTGAATAAGTACAACCCTGTAAAGGGTAATGTGGCAGCATTTCACAAAACTACATATGCGGGAGGGGCGCAAGGTTTCACGATGGCGGTGGCTGAGGGGTTGACCCAGAGGCCCTTACAAAGTGAAAGAGGCCGGGAATCGCCGCCTCCCCACTTCTCACAGTCCTGGGGAGCACAGCAGAAGTGTTTTTCTTTCCCCCTTTTCTTTTTTCTTTCTTTTTTTTTTTAAATGAACAAGTAAACCACACAAATTTTCAACATGGGACGGAGATCTACATCATCCACCAACAGTGGAAAATTTATGAACCCCACAGACCAAGTCCGAAAGGAATCCCAGAAGAGAGAATTAAAGAACAAAAAACAGCGCATGACGGTTCGAGCTGCAGTGTTTGTTGTTGTTGTTGTTTTGGTTTGGTTTTGGTATTTTTGAGGTGGAGTTTCGCTCTTGTCGCCCAGGCTGGAGCGCAGTGGCGCGATCTCGGCTCACTGCAACCCCCATCTCCAGCAATTCTCCTGCCTCAGCCTCCCAAGTAGCTGGGATTACAGGCGCGTGCCACCACACCTGGCTAATTTTTGTATTTTTAGTAGAGATGAGGTTTCACCATGTTGGCCAGACTGGTCTCGAACTCCTGACCTCAGGTGATCTACCTGCCTCGGCCTCCCAAAGTGCTGGGATTACAGGCGTGAGCCACTGCGCCCGGCCAGAGCTGCGTTTTTAAAAATGAAGGATCCCAAACAGATTACCCGGGACATGGAGAAACTGGATGAAATGGAGTTTAACCCACTGCAACAGCCACAATTAAATGAGAAAGTACTGAAAAACAGGCGTAAAAAACTGCGTGAAACCTTTGAACATATTCTATGACTATGAAAAAGAAAATCCAGATATTTACAAGGACTTGAAAAACTAGAAGTAGAGTATGAACAGAAGAGGGCTCAACTTAGGCAATATTTTGATGCTGTCGAGAATGCTCAGCAAGCGGAAGTGGAGAGCATTCTTTTGCCAGATGTGCCGCGTGCTCCTTCCAACATTTTGATCCAGGACATTCCACTTCCTGGTCCCAGCCACTCTCCATCCTTAGGAAAACCTCAGCCTATGGACCTCCAACTCGGGCAGTTTCTATCCTTCCTCTTCTTGGGCATAATGTTCCACGTTTGCCCCCTGGCAGAAAATCTCCTGGCTCTTCCCCGGCCCACCTCCTCCTCAAGTCTTGCACATGTATGGCCGTAAAGTGGGTTTTGCCCTAGATCTTCCCCTTCGTGGGCGAGATGAAGAAGACATGTTATATAATCCTGAACTTGCCCGGCAAGGTCACGGTGATGATGTTTCTAGCGCCAGTGAAGATGATGGCCCTTCTGAGGACAAGGACCAACATAAGCATGGTAACAATACTGATGATGGTGACACCAACAGATCAGATGGAGAAAGTGGGAGGATGAATTGTGTACCGTGATGATGGTGAGAGAGACAGCAATGAAGAAAACAACTCAGGTCTGAGTGTACGGTTTGCAGAGATGCCTGGAAAATCAAGGAAGAAAAAGAACATGAAGGAGTTAAGTCCTCTTCAAGCCATGATGCTTCCATGGCAGGTCAAGAAGTCCCTGAGGAGGGAACAGAAGTAGAGGAATTTTCAGAGGACGATGATGAAGATGATTCTGATGACTCTGAAGCAGAAAAACAATCACAAAAACAGCATAAAGAAGAGTCTCATTCTGATGACACATCCACTGCTTCTTCACAGACAGGCGTCTGCCACCCAGCTAATTTTTGTATTTTTAGTAGAGACAGGGTTTCACCATGTTGGCCAGGCTGGTTTCGAACTCTTGACCTCAAGTGATCCTCCTGCCTCGGCCTCCCAAAGTGCTGGGATTATAGGCATGAGCCACTGCGCCTGTTCCTGCATTTACCTTTGAATCAGCAATCCCTCTTCTAGGAATTCACCCTGAAGATACACTTCCAACAGTAAGAAAATCCATTTGCACAAGGTTTATTATTGAAGCATTGTTTGCAATTGCAGAATAATTTATACATCTTAAATGCCACACACGTGTTCCTCTTTCTCAGATACAAGCACGTCCCATCCCAGGACCACCATCTCTTGGACCACCACCTGCTCCACCATTATGGCCTCTTGGGCCAGCTATGGGCCTTCCTCTTGGCCCACCTCCAGGAGCTCCTCCATTCCTGAGATCACCTGGAATGCCAGGATTCTGAGGGCCTTTACCCCGACTTTTTACCTCCAGGACCAACACCAGCCTGACCTGGCCCTCCCCCAGGTCCACCTCCAGGTCTGCCTCCTGGTCCCCCTCCTAGGGGACCCCCACCAAAAGTACCTCCCCCTGCACCTCTGGGTGTTCCTCCACCTCATCCTGGCATGATGCGCCCACCATTGGTACCTCCACTTGGACCTGCCCCCGCTGGGCTTTTCCTACCAGCTCCCTGGCCGAACCCTGGGGTTTTCAATGCACCGCCCAACTTGATTCAGTGGCCCAAGGCAGATGATATGATTGCAGCCACCATTGAGAAGAAAGCCACAGCAACCATCAGTGCCAAGCCACAGATCACTAATCCCAAGGCAGAGATTACTTGATTTTTGCCCACTGCACTCACAGTACATCAGGAGAATAAAGGGGCTACTGCTGCTCTCCAAAGAAAGTCAGAGGGGCTGGGCACTGTGGCTCACACCTGTAATCCCAGCACTTTAGGAGGCCAAGGTGGGGAGATCACCTGAGGTCAGGACTTTGAGACCAGCCTAGCCAACATGGCGAAACCCCCCATCTCTACTAAAAATACAAAAATTAGCCAGGCATGTACACCTATAGTCCCAGCTACTCAGTAGGCTGAGGGAGGAGAATGGCTTGAACCCAGAAGGTGGAGGTTGCAGTGAGCTGAGATCGCACCACTGCACTCCAGCCTGGGTGACAGAGCGAGACTTTGTCTCAAAAAAAAGAAAAGAAAGTCAGAGGATGATTCTGCTGTGCCTCTTGCCAAAGCAGCACCCAAATCTGGTCCTTCTGTTCCTGTCTCAGTACAAAGTAAGGATGATGTCTATGAGGCTTTCATGAAAGAGATGGAAGGGCTGCTGTGACAGCTTTTGATGCCCGAACAGGATTTTGTTCACAACAGTGGCCCATGGAGAAAGAGGCTCTTATTAAACTTAGAAGAAAGAACCGCTTCCGTTGTCAGGGTGTTTTCTAATTTCAGTTCAAGGAATATCCTAAAATATAGCCTTGTTCAGAATTTACTGCACAGAAAAGAGGGTATTTCATTCAGAATAGATCAGTTATTGAAGCAGTGCTGCCAACGTCCATTCCCTTTCACACCACCATTTTCACCCTGTTTCTTTCCCTTCTCCAGTTCTTTGGAAATTTGTGATCAGGGAATCTTAGTTACTTATTTGTTTTGACTCTCTTCTTGTGTGCTATGGGCACTGGAGTAGAGATTTCTGAAAAACCAGTTTATCTCATCTTGCCTTTTGTGTTTCAGTTATTTTTAATACTTTCCTGTAAATATTTTGCAATATTTTACTTATAGTGAAATGGATCACAATATAGTTTCCTAATACAAAGCAGGATATGTGGGAAGAAAATGTACAATTCTTTGATTAAAATTATTTCCCACTGAACTAAACTTTGATTCATGGGAAAAATAAATAAATGTTCTACACCAAGAAAAAAAAACTACATACGCATTTACCATTTTTGTTTTGTTTTGTTTTTGGTTTTGAGACGGAGTTTTGTTCTTGTTGCCCAGGCTGGAGTGCAGTGGCATGATCTTGGCTCACTGCAACCTCTGCCTCCCAGGTTCAAGTGATTTGCCTGCCTCAGCCTCCCAAGTAGCTGGGATTACAGGCGCCCACCACCACGCCTGGCTAATTTTTTGTATTTTTAGTAGAGACAGGGTTTCACCACGTCAGCCAGGCTGGTCTCAAACTCCTGACCTCAGATAATCCACCCGCCTGGGCCTCCCAAGTGCTGGGATTACAAGCATGAGCCACCGCATCTGGCCTGCTGTTTTTGTTTGTTTGTTTTGTTTTGTTTTAAGATGGAGTCTCACTCTGTTGTCCAGGATGGAGTGCAGGGGCAAGATCTTGGCTCGCTGCAACCTCTGCCTCCTGGGCTCAAGGGATTCTCCTGCCTCAGCCTCCCAAGTAGCTGGGACTACAGGCATGTGCCTGGCTAAGTTTTGTATTATTAGTAGAGACGGGGTTTCACCATGTTGGCCAGACTCGTTTCGAACTCCTGACCTCAAGTGATCCTCCTGCCTCAGCCTCCCAAAAATGCTGGGATTATAGGCATGAGCTACTGTGCTTGTCCCTGCATTTACCTTTGAATCAGCAATCCCACTTCCAGGAATTCACCCTAAAGATATACTTCCAACTATAAGAAAACCCATTTGCACAGGTTTATTATTGAAGCATTGTTTGCAATTGGAAAATAATTTAAACAACTTAAATGCCACACATCTAACAGTGCTTAAATGAACTATGGTACATTTGCAGAATGGGCTACCATGAGGTTGTAAAGAATGAGGAAGACCTCAATGAATTGATAAAATTTCCAGAATTTATTAAAGAAAGACAAAGTGCAAAGGATTATCTACAGTATAATATCTACTGTGTAAGAAAGAAGAAAAAATAAGAAGGAAAAATAAGAAAATACATATGTGTCTGTTCATTTCAGCAAAAAAGAAACACAGGCAAGATAAACCAGAAACTGAAATTAGATACCTACAAGGAATGTCAAGAAAGGGATGAAAAACACAAAGGAAACAGGGATAAGAGAAAGGCACTTTCCTAAATATAACTTTTTGTGCAGTCTAGACTTTGGAATCATGTTAGTGTTTTACATGCTTAAAAGAGAAAAATAAATAAAATCGGCCAGGTATGGTGGCTCGCACCTGTAATCCCAGCACTTTGGGAGGCCGAGGCGGGAGGATCACTTGAGGTCAGGAGTTAGAGGCAAGCCTGGCCAACATGGTGAAACCCCATCTCTACTAAAAATACAAAAATTAGCTGGGTGTGGTGGCACACACCTGTAGTCCCAGATACTCGGGAGGCTGAGGCAGGAGAATCACTTGAACCCAGGAGGCAGAGGTTGCAGTGAGCTGAGCTTGTGCCACTGCACTCCAGCCTGGGTGGCAGAGCGAGACTCCGTCTCCAAAAAAAAAAAAAAAAAAAAAGGTTTTCTCAGAGAGATGTTCGGATTTCATTTTGGAATTTAAATATGTTCTTCAGATCTTCCTTGTGCTCTGACCTAATATATGGAGAAATCAAACAGGAAATGGAGGCAAAAGCAGTTTGGGTGAATTCCCCAAGGTCATATAGTAAGGTACAGCCCGCCACAAACTAAGATCCAGTCTTCCAATTTCTATACTGTTTCTTTCAGTCACACAATATTGCATCACAGAATGCTAGGGCATTTTTGAATGGTGGCGCGTGCCTGTAATCCCAGCTACTCGGGAGGCTGAGGCAGGAGAATCGCTTGAACCTGGGAGTCAGAGGTTGCAGTGAGCCAAGATCACGCCGCTGCATTCCAGCCTGGCGAGAGATAGAGACTCCGTCTCAAATAAATAAATAAATAAGAAATCAACAACGATAAGGACAATCTTATACAAACTAAAGTTTGATACAAAAAGCCCCAAATGAATGAAACTGCTCATCAAATGAACAACATAACCACATTGAAGGATGGTTGGGGAAAAAACACAAGCAACACAAGATTAAGTCTCTATGCCGTCAGGTTCCAAACCCAAACATCCCTAACACAAAGTTAACTCTAATTAAAATTAGAGTTAAATGAAAATTAGAGTCATCTAATTAGAACTCGAATTAAAATTAAAATCTAATTTTCACAGAGGCATAAACTAACAGGTCTGAAATGACTTTCGTACATCCTATAAGGGAGCAAATAAGAAAATATTAATATATTGTGTAAAATGGGAGCCAGTTTTCTCATTGTCAAAGAATGAAGTTGTGAACATAAAATAGATGATAAAATAAACCTTGTGGGCTGCATGCAGTGGCTCACGCCTGTAATCCCAGCACTTTAGGAGGACAAGGCGGGCGGATCACTTAAAGTCGGGAGTTCGAGACCAGCCTGGCCAACATGGTGAAACCCCATCTCTACTAAAAATACAAAAAATTAGCTGGTCATGGTGGTGGGTACCTGTAATCCCAGCTACTCAGGAGGCTGAGGCAGGAGAATCACTTGAACCTGGGAGGCGGAAGTTACAGTGAGCCGAGATTGTGCCATTGCACTCCAGCCTGGGCAACAAGAGCGAAACTCCATCTGAAAATAAATAAACAAATAAACCCTGTGTAGAGATTTCAGTGTGAACTCATGGGGATAGATAGATAGAAAGATACTGTTGGAATGGATATAGATGTAGGAGGATATGTAGGTGTGTGTATACACACTTATATAATGCTACTTCTATCACAGATCAAGTTCTCAGTAATATTTTTCTAGGCTCTGTATTCCATTCCACTGGTATATTTTTCTGTTCCTGTGCCTACTGCACTGTTCTTATAAATTCTCTTTGATATTTTTGTTTCTTTATTCTTTGACATTTATTTTACCATTAGTTTGTACGTTTCCATGAAAAATCTGGTTAAGAATTTGATTTAAAATAGGTTAAACCGGCCAGGTGCCGTGGCTCACGTTTGTAATCCCAGCACTTTGGGAAACCAAGGCAGGAGGATCACTTGAGCCCAGGAGTTCAAGACCAGGCTGCGCAACATAGTGAGACCCTGTCTCTACAAAAAATTTAAAAAAAAAATATTAGCCGGGCATGATGGCAGGTGCCTGTAGTCCCAGCTACTGGGTCGGACTGGGGTGCTGAGGCAGGAGGATCGCTTGGGCCCAGGAGGCCAAGGCTGAAGTGAGCTTTGATTGTGCCACTGAACTCACCTGGGTGACAGAGTGAGATCCTGTTTAAAAAAAAAAAAAAAAGATTAAATTAATAGGCTAATACAGGCAGAATTTACATATTTCATAAGATAATCCCTAAGCATTGCATATTTTTATGCTATTGTAAATAGTATTCTTGTTTCAACTTCCAAATGTTTGTCTCTAAGTATATAAAAAGATCATTGATTTTTTTTTTTTTTTTTGAGACAGAATTTTGCTCTTGTAGCCCAGGCTGGAGTGTAGTGGTGTGATCTCAACTCACTGCAACCTCCGCCTCCTGGGTTCAAGAGATTCTTCCACATTAGCCTCCTGAGTAGCTGGGATTACAGGCGCCTACCATCACACCTGGCTAATTTTTTTTGTATTTTTAGTAGAGATGAGGTTTCACCATGTTGGCCGGGCTAGTCTCAAACTCCTGACCTTAGGTGATCCACCTGCCTCGGCCTCCCAAAGTGCTGGGATTACAGGTGTGAGCCACTGCGCCCGGCCAATTGATTTTTTTTTTAATGTATCAATATTGTATTCTGCAATTTGTATTCACCCTTCCTCCATCCTTTTGTTCTGTCTGGTCCCTTGATGGGTATATGAGGCCCACCCACGTTGGTGGGGGTGGATCTGAGTCTACAGCTTCAAATGCTCCTCGTTCCTGGAAACATGCCCACAGACACACCCAAAAATGCTTAACCAGTGACCTGTCATCCCTTAACTCAGCTGACACCTAAAATTAACCACCACGTTTTCCAAATATTTGAGGGTTTTCCAGACTCTTTTTCTATTGATTTTTAACTTAATCACACTGTGGGCACAGATTACAGCTTGTATGGCTTAAATACTTACCAATGTACTTTCCAATGGACTTGTAGGGCCTGAAATTGATTCCGTCTTGGCAAGTGATCTGTGTATTTGAAAATAATGCTTATACTGCTGTTACTCAGTAGAGAATTCTGTAAACGTCAATTAGGTCAAGTTGGTTAATAGCATTGTTCAAGTCTTCTATATCTTCATTGATTTTAGTCTACTTATTCTAGAAATCTACAGAAAAATTTCCTAGAACTGAGTTTAGCATGACTGAGGAATGATATATAAAAACTGATATATAAAAATGAATTATATTTTTATATACTACCAACAGACATTTGGAAATTTAGATAAAAACTTGTTACATGATGTCAAATAAAAAATCTGGAACTCAAGTTCACAGAATAGACAATGTTAAGAAAAATAAGAAGAAAAAATCTGGACTTAGTAAAGGGAGACTTTATTTGAAAGGATTGTTGCAAAGTGGTGGGGAGGGGTGTACTATTGCAGCAGGGAGAATGCACTGAACATAAGATCTGTTTGTCTCAGGGTTAGACAAAAGGGGTTTTCTTTTATAGGGAGGGGAAGCAAGTAAAAGACAGGAAGTGGGATGAAGGGGAGTAGCATGGTGGGACAGTAGATCCAATCAGTGACTTACCCTGAGTCCAGTCTATTCTCTCGAGGGGTGGAGGGGAGGGTGAGCCAAAGTTTGTAAAGCAAAGTCTGGTTCACAAGCATTTTGTTCCCATTGATCACTGGGGACAAGCAGTTTAGCTAATTTATGAGGCAAAGAATGGGAATTTGGAAGGCCTGTGTCTGGCCTCGACTGGGGTCTTCAAGGGGAGCATTCATGAGTCATACCAGGAAGGATGGTTCTCTGCAGTAAGCCATTTTCCAGAACACCAAGGACAAGGGATTCCTTTAAATGTATCTATTTCCTAGGATCACAGTGCTCAGGTAAAATTCAACATTGTCAGTAGACAAGAAAACAGGGGCCAGAAATGTGAAAATACAGGAAATGCTCAGTATTGTTTGAGGATCTCAAGTGTAAAGGCAAGACAGGAGGTAGACTGAAAAGAGTTACAGTCAAGTTTGAACATTTGAGTGCCGACCCATCAGGGTTACATGACAGGCGAGTCTGTGGGCTCAAGCCCGCACCTCAGACAGGGCTGCTCGGGCCCCCTACTCCTAGCGAGGGCCCTGTTGCTGGTTCCTGGGGCTTGCACTGATAGTGGCTAGATGCCTGGCAGCACCAGCTACTGACCAGACTATGAGAGTGTGTTTGTCACCAAAAGGTCAGCTCAGAGAGGCGGTATGTGGGGCAGGTGGCTCTTGCTTCAAAGCCCCCTGATAAGAGAGGTATTAGGTTGGTGCAAAGGTAATTGTGGTTTTTGCCAGTAAAAGTAATGGTGGCCAGGTGTGGTGGCTCAAGCCTGTAATCCCAGCATTTTGGGAGGCCGAGGCGGGCGGATCACAAGGTCAGGAGTTTGAGACCAGCCTGGCCAATATGGTGAAACCCCATCTCTACTAAAAATACAAAAAGTTAGCTGGGCGTGGTGGCGGGCGCCTGCGGTCCCAGCTGCTTGGGAAGCTGAAGCAGGAGAATCGCTTGAACCCGGGAGGTGGAGGTTGCAGTGAGCCAAGTTCGCACCACTGCACTCCAGCCTGGACAAAGAGTGAAACTGTCTCAAAAAAAAAAAAAAAGTAATGGCAAAAGCTGCAGTTACTTTTGCACCAACCTAATACTTTCTTCTCCTCAGTCTGTGGCTGCATCACAGAGAGTAGCCCACCTGTGCTAGAGCTGAGGACAGGAAGCTGCTGCCGAGCTGTGGGGATGGGGAGGGACTCCACTTGGAAGCCTTATGTAGCCAGGGTTTCAACACTCCCCAAGTGTGAGCGCTGTTTCCTGTTACAGGCAGAGTGGGCTTCCTCCTCAGAATCACAAGTCTTTCTGCAAGGCGAATATGCCTTATGTGTGCCTACCTTTCAAGAAGCAATCCTACCTGGCCTGTCTATTCCTCAACACCTTTGCTTTCATACCAGGAACATAAAAGAAAAGCCCAAAGCCATTAAAAATAAAGGAAGTAGCAATTAAAACACCCAAGGGCACTAAACTGCTATTAGAAGAGGAATCTAGCCTCTCAGCAATTTCTAAAAACGTACTTTGAGGGAGAAACAAGAGGTCACTCTCTCAGAGAAGATGAGGCACCAGGAGCCAACCTGGAAGGCCTTCATGACGTGGGTGTCTACCTCGGACGAGGCTGTAGGAACAGCTGTGACCACCAGAACAGCAGGAAGCTGTGCGGTTGAAGCCCCAGTCTGAATCCACCAGGCTAAGCTGTGAGCAGGGACCACAGTCAACTACCCAGGCTCTTCCCTCTGGCTGGATCACCCTCCCCGTTCCCCAGGCCTTTCCTGCCAACGTTTCTTCTATCTCAGGGTACATCTCTCTGGTAGCTCCCTGGGGATGGGCTCCATCTTACTCATCTGTGCTTGCTACAAAGTAGGGCCTTGATGGAGGTTGGTCATCCAGACATAACCCATGCCCAGGACGAAGCATAAAAACACTTGTACAATGAAGACTGGTTCAATGGTCCATTCTGTTTATTCAGAACGGTAACATAAATACACCTTAAATATTAACATTTTTTATATACAGAAATGACCCCACTCCCCAAAAAGTTTGAAAAAATATTGTCTCCTCCTCCTTTATAAAACCCTAGATGACCTATGAAGGCACAGCCAAGCCCTTGATGCATCTTCCTCAGCACAATTTGGCCAACGCTGGAGGGAAGGTCAAAGAGGTGGAAGGAAAATGTTATGCTGAAAATCCCTTTCCAACAAGGGTGCCAAGCGCCGGTCTTGAACGAAGTACCCTGCCTAAGCATCATTTCCTAAAGCGCTTGAAGAGCGGGTGTACATGTTTGCTGGGCGCCTTGCTCCGCGATGAGTGGTACTCCATGTACACAGTGTCGTCGGCCCCAGACATAGAACTCATGGTGCCAAAGCGCCGAGATGCCTGCCGGGAAGGGGGAACCAGCCCATGTTAGTCTCCAGAAGAAAAGATACTCCTTTTATAATACTTATAATCACAGCAAATTTTATAAGACTTACATAAATTTAATACATCATTTTTAATAATGTTTACAGATCGCTTACTGTCTCAGGCATTGTTCTAAGCATTTTACATGCATTATCTCCTCTAATCCTCAAAACTACTATAATCCACACCTGAAAGAAGAGGAAACTGAGACACAGAGAGATTAACTAACCTATCCAAGATCACATAGCTCTTAAGGAGATGGGATTTGAACACCCAGGTAGCCTGGCTTCAGACTGTTCTTAACCATAATGCCACACTACCTCACTTAATAACAACTTCTGAACAAACTTTTTTTTTTTAAGAGAGAAACAGGGTCTCGATATGTTGACCATGCTGGTCTCAAACTCCTGGACTCAACTGATCCTCCCGCCTAGGCCTCCCAAAGTGCTGGGATTACAGACATGAGCCACCATGCCTGGCCTGAACAGAATTTTTTAACAGTTAGGGCAAAAGTTCCTTAAAATCTCCTGAGACACCACCATAAGGCTTTGAATCAAGTGGAAGGACAGAAAGCCCTGGGCTTGACTCTTGGCTCCTCCTGTCCCTGAGTAACCCTGAGGCAAGTAATTAATGTCTGCACCTCAATGACCTCATCTGTAAAATGGGGATAACCACATCAGTGCTGACATTGCTATCCTGTGAGGAGAATGAACCAGGCACCTCCTTAAAACCAGTGAGAGCAATGAGAGCACTCTCCTGGGTTCCCATGGAGAGTGCCCCCTGGGTCGGGGGAGGAAAGCCTTAGGCTGGAGGGAGGGCAGCCCCTTCCCAGGGACAGCTGTTTCCTTCTTGCCTTGGTCCAGCAGTTGCTCACCTTCCGGCTCTAATGGCAACTGAATTTCAAACGCACCTGACTGAAGTGCACTTCTCCCCTTGGACAGGCCTGCTAATTCTCCATAATGATGCTCTCACTAATTAGACCATATATTTACTTGGCCTAGAGCAGGCATATTTGTAGAATAAATGAAAGGTTGAGTATTTTCACAGAACTCTACATTTTTCAAAGTTAAGTATCGAAGCTACCACAAGAGTTGATCCTCAGAGCAGTCTTAGGGGCTAGAGGGCTCAGCTTTATCACTGAGGAGGAACCAGAGGAGAACTGTGTGGCCACAGCCAGGGATGGCAGCCCTGTGTGTGGGAACTACGTACCCCCAGCCCATCATGCTCCCTCCAGTCACCACCAAGGTGAGCTGGGGTCACCTGCTTGCCATCCTGGGCTTCAACATCAAGATTTAACAAATACTCGTGTGAGCAAAGCAGGAGACCAGTCACAGCCACTGTGAGCTCAGCTGTGTGCAACAGTACAAGGGGCACACACCAAAAGGGCAACAAGGATTGTTTCTGTTCATCTCTTCCGTGTTTTCCAACATTTCCAAAAAAATCCCATGGGCCCATCCAGGCAGGACTACATGTCTGTGTCTGTGTCTACAAACGCTGCCCTGTGAGAGCACTGACACCTGGAACCTCCTCACCCATTTACTCACCTGGCTGGATCTGGAGCCAAATTCCCCAGCCACCACCTCCTCCTCGGCATCCAGGTCAGTGGCTGCCAGGACTTTCTGTAAGAGCTGCTGTTGCTCTTCTTTTGTCGAAAACGCCAAGTCTTCCTCCTCCATGCCAGCGAGTTTCGTGATCACCTGCAAAGCCCAAGCCAGCAGACATGCCCCTTTCTGCTCTCTCTCCCCAGCCCTCCTCTGCCTTCTCCTGGGTCCACCTGCTTTGGTCACTTCCCTCCCCAGGCCCAGCCACCCTGGTGGCCAACAATGGAGAGCTCCTCCCTAGCATTCCAGAGACCAGCATCAGGAGCCGCCTTTAACAGGGAGCTTGACTAATGATCTCAAGACCAGAGGGATGCAGGAATTTCAGAGAAATCTGCCCCCAGCACACAGCATCTAAATGATCATGTATGGAAGATCAACAGGAAGAATCTTAGTGATTTTAAAAGGCTCCTTCGGGTAGCCTTCACATCTTGGAGCAGACAAAGGAAGGGACAAGTGACTGGAAGGCACAGGCTGTGGCCCTTTGTGAAGGTCCCTGGCATCTGCTGTGCTCCGCAACTGGGGCTTCCAGCAGGAATGAGCACGTGAAAATGAAAATGATAGGATATCAGGAAGATTATTTATAGAGCTTCTCTGAGAGAGTAAGAACAGCATGGTGGAGACTGGGTTTTCATTTCTATGGGGATAACTTACTACAAGGGCTCCCTATCCCTGCAGAAAACTTGGGTTGATTCTGTAAAGGGAATTCTCCTTCCCTCCAATTCTCATAATGTTCATTAAATGAAAATTCCTAGAAGTAAGGATCTGAGTCCTTCTGGGCCAGGGATCCAGAGTACAGACGATGTGCACATCTGCCCAGGCCCAGCCACTCCACGTCATGACTCTGGGAACTCCAACCACTGCTCCTCAACAGGCAGCACCGAAGACACAGCTCCAACCAACACAAACTACTACGGCATGGCATTGTGCCTTTTTGTCGAGGTCACCTTTCAAAGAATTGCTCTTTCTGACCTGGTGCTCCTCTTACCCTCACAGCTCGGCAGGAATCAGGAGGTAGGAATGCTATTACCAACAGGGATTTTCATGGATGGATAAAAAGGTCATGATGCAAATCCTCCAAAAAACTGGGCTCAAAACCCAAGCATCTTGTCCTCTAGGCCAGCATGAGAGGTCTGAAGTGTCACTGCCTCTAGCTAAAAGAGGGAAGGTCAGACAACCCTGTCCTCCTAAGGCCAATAATGGGAACTCTCACCAATGCATAAAGAGACACATTAAAAACGTATCTCAAAAGGCAGCCTGGATTGCAGTCTTTTGCAATCAAGAACCTGGGAGTCTAATGTTCTAGGGATGTCCTTTTAGTGGACCATAGGGGGAATTTAATTCCCCTACTTCTAGAACCCTCCATCTATCCCCAAAATATAAAGCCCTCTGGACACCAAATACTGACATAAACGTAATATTTGTGTAACAGGAAAGAAAGCAAATGCCTCAGCCAGTGAAAGTTAGCCAAAGCTTTAGAATTTCCCAATTATTAAAATACCTGATTTGTAGTACAGGATAGCTCTGATGTCTGGGAGGCAAACTGAGGCAAACTAAGGCCTGGAGCTTACCAGCTGATGAAAGGAAGAGCTCTCCTAGCTACCTAGAGAGGCATCCCTGAGAAAGCAGCCCTGCGGGGCTCAGATTCACACAGTGCTGGTCATAGTGCCATGGCACCTCAGTCCTGCCAGGACGGCACACTTTCCACCAACAGCTGCCCTCAGAGATTCATGCAGAGATAAAGGGAGTTTGAGGCAAGGCCTCTAATCTCCTAATGCTTGGTGCCTGCCTGCTGACAGTGGCCCTCGCTTCTCCTGGAGGCCAGGGTATCAAGAAGGCCTTGGTCCTAGTCTAACCAGAAGCCAAATGGATATGTACCTTGAAGCTATAACCTTGATCTACCAAGAATCTCTGCCGCTTGGTTGAGTAAGCCATTTCCTGTGTGTCCTGGGATACCAGTGAGTAGAAAAAGGCATTGTACTCTTCTGCAACCATCCCTGCAGGAAAAAATGAGAAACGGCAATAAAGAAGACAACATTAGCCATTAGAATGCCAAGAGCTAAGGGTCCCAGGCTCAAAAGCAAGCACTGGAGTGGAAAAGCCCTGCACTCGGGGTTACCACCTGAACTTGGCATGGGATTGCATCAAAATTTGGAAGTCTTTTGTGCTTCCAAGGACACCATCAAGTGAAAAAACAATCCTCAGAATAAAAAAATGTGGAAAGCATATATCTGATAAGGGATTTGTATCTAGGTTATACAAAGAACTGTTGAAACTCAACAACAAGACAAATTAATTATAAATGAGAGAAGAATATGAACAGATTACTTCTCCAAAAACAATATAAAAATAGCCAGTAAGCACATGAAATGATGCTCCACACCATTAATCACCAGGGAAATGCAACTCAAAAGCACAATGAGATTATCACCTCACGCCCCTCTCCGAGGATGGCTACAATCAAAAAAGCAGATAACTGCCACTGTTGTCAAGGATGTGGAAAAACTAGAACCCGCATGCATTGCTGTTGAGAATGTAAATGATGCGGCTGCTTTGGAAAACAGTCTGGCAGTTCATCAAAATGTTAAACACACTGTTATAACCACATGACCTGGCAATTCCACTTCCAGGCATAAATCCAAGAGAAATGAAACTATATCCACACAAAAATTTGTACATGAATTTCATAGCAGAATTCTTCTAAGAGCCAAAAAGTGGAAACAGCCCAAATGTCCATCAACAGATGTGTGGATAAATAAAATGTGGTATGTCCATGGAATCGAATATTATTTAGCAATAAAAAAGAATGAAGTACTGACAGATGCTACAATATAGATAATCTTTTTGAAAACATTATGCTGCCGGGTGTGGTGACCCAGTCCTGTAATCCCAGCCCTTTGGGAGGCTGAGGTGGGCGTGGATCACTCAAGGTCAGGAGTTTGAGACCAGCCTGGCCAACATGGTGAAACTCCATCTCTACTAAAAATAGAAAAATTAGCCAGGCGTGGTGGCTCATGCCTGTAATTCCAGCTACGCGGGAGGCTGAGGCAGGAGAATCCCTTGAACCTGCGAGGCAGTGGTTGCAGTGAGCCAAGATCGCCCCACTGTACTCCAGCCTGGGCGATAGAGCGAGATTCCATCTCCAAAAAACAAACAAACAAAACATTATGCTAAGTGAAAAGAAACCAGTCACAGAAGGCCCCAAGTGGTCTGACTGCATTTACATGAAATGTCCAGAAAAGGCCTACAGACATCAAAGTAGATTAGGGGCTGCCTAGAGCTGGGGGTTGGGAACAAGAGGAAATTAGGAGTGGCTGTGCATGGATGAGGGTTTCTTTTGGGAGCTGATGAGAATATTCTAAACATGAATTGTGTTGATAGTTGCACAACTTTGTGAATATTGTATTTCCTAGGTTTTCTTCGAGGATCCTTATAGTTTGAGGTCTTACATTTACATCTTTAATCCATTATGAGTTGATTTTTGTATGTGGTGATAGGCAGGGGTCTGGTTTCATCCTTCTGCATACAGTTAGCCAGTTTCCCCAGCACCATTTATTGAATAGGGAGTACTTTCCCCACTGCATATTTTTGCCAATTTTGTTGAACATCAGTTGGCTGCAGGTACATGGCATTATTTCTGAGCTCTCTATTCTGCTCCATTGGTCTATGTGCCTGTTCTGTACCAGTACCATGCTGTTTTGGTTACTGTAAGCCCTGTAGCATAGTTTGAAGTTGGATACTGTGAGGCCTTTGGCTTTGTTCCTTTTGCTTAGGATTGCTTTGGCTATTCAGGTGCTTTTGTGGTTCCAGATGAATTTTATAAGTTTTTTTTCTAATTCTGTGAAAAATGATGTTGGCAATTTGATAGAATAGTGTTGAATCTGTAGATTGTTTTGGGCAGTTTGGCAATTTTAATGATATTGCTTCTTCCAATCCTCAAGCACAGAATGTTTTTCCATTTGTTTCTGTCACCTATGATTTATTTCAGGAGTGTTCTGTAGTTATTCCTAGGTTTTGTCTTTTGTTTTTACAGCTATTATAAATTGGATTGTGTTCTTGATTTGGCTCTCAGCTTGAATGTTACTGGTGTATAGAAATGCTACTGATTTTTGTACATTGATTTTGAATTCCGAAACTTTACTCAAGTTGCCTATCAGGTCTAGGAGCCTTTTGGTGGAGTCTTTAGGGTTTTCTAGGTATAGAATCACATCATTAGGGAAGACAGATAATTTAACTTCCTTTTTTCCTATCTGGATGCCTTTTATTTCTTTATCTTGCTAGACTGGTCTGAGTAGAACTTTCAGTACTATGTGGAATAGGTGTGGTGAGGGTGGGCTCTTTGTCTTGTTCCAGTTCTTTTTTTTTTTTTTTTCTGGGGGACGGAGTCTCGCTCTGTCGCCCAGGCTGGAGTGCAGTGGCGTGATCTCGGCTCACTGCAAGCTCCGCCTCCCAGGTTCATGCCATTCTCCTGCTTCAGCCTCCCAAGTAGCTGGGACTACAGGTGCCTGCCACCACGCCCGGCTAATTTTTTGTACTTTTAGTAGGGATGGGGTTTCACCATGTTAGCCAGAATGACCTAGATCTCCTGACCTTGTTGTGATCCGCCCACCTCGGCCTCCCAAAGTGCTCGGATTACAGGCAAGAGCCACCGTGCCCGGCTGTCTTGTTCCAGTTCTTAAAGGGAATGCTTCCAGCTTTTGCTTACTTAGTATGATGTTGGCTGTGAGTTTGTCATAGATGGCTTTTATTATTGTGAGATATGTTCCTTCGATGCCATTTGTTGAGGGTTTTTATCATGAAGGAATGTTGAATTTTATCAAAAGCTCTTTCTGGGCTGGGCGCAGTGGCTCACACCTATAATCCCAGCACTTTGGGAGGCCAAGGTGGGTGGATCACCTGAGGTCAGGCCTTCAAGACCAGCACTGCCAACATGGCGAAACCCTGTCTCTACTAAAAATACAAAAAAATTAGCTGGGCATGGTGGTGCGTGCCTGTAGTCCCAGCTACTTGGGAGGCTGAGGCAGGAGAATAGTTTGAATCTGGGAAGCAGAGGTTGCAGTGAGCCAAGATTGCACCATTGCACTCCAGCCTGGGCAACAAGAGCAAGACTCTGCCTCAAAAAAACAAAAAACCTTTTTCTGTGTCTATTAGGATAATTATATGCTTTTCATTTTTAATTATGTGGTGAATCATATTTATTGATTTCCACATGTTGAACCAACTTTGCATCCCAGAAGTAAAGCCTATTTGATTGTGGTGAATTAACTTTTTGATATGCTGCTGGATTTGCTTTGTCCTCATTTTGTTACAGATTTTTGCGTCTGTGTTCATCAGGAATACTAGCCTGTAGTTTTTTCATCGTGTCTTTGCCAGATTTTGGTATCAGGATGATAGTGGTTTCGTAGTATGAGTTAGGAAGAAGTCTCTCCTCCTCAATTTTTTTGAATAGTTTCAGTAGAACTGAATACATCTGGTCCAGGACTTTTTTAGTTGGTAGATTTTTTTTTTTTTTTTTGGAGGCGGAGTCTCACTCTGTCACCCAGGCTGGAGTGCAGTGGCACGATCTCAGCTCACTGCAACCTCCACCTCCAGGGTTTAAGCAATTCTCCTGCCTCAGCCTTCCACGTGGATGGAATTACAGGCACACGCCACCAAGCCCACCTAGTTTTGTATTTTTAGTAGAGACGAGGTTTCACCATGTTGGTCAGGCTGGTCTGGAACTCCTGACCTCAGGTGATCCACCTGCCTCAGCCTTCCAAAGTGCTGGGATTAGAGGTGTGAGCCACCATGCCTGGGGCCATATTTTTTTTTTAAATTACTGATTCAATTTCTCCTTATTGATCTGTTCAGGGTTTCAATTAATTTCTGATTCAATCTTGGGAAGTTGTATGTTTCCAGGAATTTATCTATTTCCTCTAGATTTACTAGTTTGTGTGCACAGAGGTATTTTTAAGTCTCTGAGAATCTTTTGTATTTCTGGGGATCAGCTGTGATGTCACCTTTGTCATTTCTGATTCTGCTTATTTGGATCTTCTCTTTTCTGTTAATCTAACTAGCAGTCCATCAATCTTATTTATCTTTTTTTTTGAGACGGAGTCTCGCTCTGTCACCCAGGCTGGAGTGCAGAGGTGCGATCTCGGCTCACTGCAGCCTCTGCCTCCTGGGTTCACGCAATTCTCCTGCCTCAGCCTCCTGAGTAGCTGGGATTACAAGCATGCGCCACCACATTCGACTAATTTTTGTATTTTTAGTAGAGACGGGGTTTCTCCATGTTGGTCAGGCTGGTCTTGAACTCTTGACCTTGTAATCCGCCCACCTCGGCCTCCCAAAGTTCCAGGATTACAGGCATGAGCCACTGCGACTGGCCTTATCTATCTTTTCAAAGAACCAGCTTTTTATTTCATTGATCCTTTGTATTGTTTTTGAGTCTGAATTTCATTTAGTTCTGCTCTGATTTTAGTTATTTCTTTTCTTCAGCTAGTTTTGGGATTAGCTTGTTCTTATTTTTCTAGTTCCTTCAGGTGAAATCTCAAATTGTTAATTTGAAATCTGTCTTCTCGATGTAGGTGTTCAGTGCTATAAACTTTCCTAACAATACCTTTGCTGTACCCCAGAGATTTAGTATGTTGTATCTGTTTTCATTTGTTTCAAATAATTTTTGATTCCTGCCTTAATTTGTTTATCCAAAAGTCATTCAGGAGCAAGTTGTTTAGTTTCTATGTAATTGTGTGGGTTTTTTTTTTTCTTTTTTCTTTTATTTAGCGATGAGGTCTCGCTATGTTGCCCAGAATGGTCTTGAACTCCTGAGTTCAAATGATCCTCCCACTTTGGCCTCCCAAAGTGCTGCGGTTACAGGCATGAGCCACTGTGCCTGGCCAATTGTGTGGTTTTGAGAGTTCTTCCTGGTACTGATTTCTACTTTTATTCCACTGTGACCCAAGAAAATGCTTGGTATGATTTCGACTTTTTTGAATTTATTGAGTCTTTTTTTTTTTTTTTTTTTTTTGAGAGAGTCTCGCTCTGTTGCCCAGGCTGGAGTGCAGTGGCGCGATCTCGGCTCACTGCAAGCTCCGCCTCCCAGGTTCACGCCATTCTCCTGCCTCAGCCTCCCGAGTAGCTGAGACTACAGGCAACTGCCACCACACACCCGGCTAATTTTTTGTATTTTTAGTAGAGACGGGGTTTCACTGTGTTAGCCAGGATGGTCTCGATCTCCTGACCTCGTGATCCACCCGCCTTGGCTTCCCAAAGTGCTGGGATTATCGGCGTAAGCCACCACACCCTGCCGAATTTATTGAGACTTTAATAAAGTCGAGCATAAAGTCTCACATTGCTTTATGGCCAAACACATGATCAATTATTTTTTTTTTTTTTTTTTTTTTTTGTGACAGAGTCCTGCTCTGTTCCCCAGGCTGGAGTGCAGTGGCATGATCTTGGCTCACTGCAACCTCTGCCTCCCGGCTTCAAGTCAGTTCTCCTGCCTCAGGCTCCCGAGTAGCTGGGACTACAGGCGCATGCCGCCACACTCAGCTAATTTTTGTATTTTAGTAGAGACGGGGTTTCACCGTGTTGCCCAGGCTGGTTGCAAACTCCCGAGCTCAGGCAATCTGCCGGCCTCAGCCTCCCAAAGTGCTGGGATTACAGGTGTGAGCCACGGCACCAGGCCCATGTGATCAATCTTAAGAGTATATTCTGGGGGCAGATGAGAATATATATTCTGTGGTTGTTGCGTAGAGAATTATGTAGATGCCTATTAGGTCCAATTGGTCAAGTGTTGAATTTTAAGTACAGAATTTCTTTGTTAGTTTTCTGCCTCTATAATCTGTCTCATGCTGTCAGTGGGGTGTCAAAATCTCCTACCATTGTTGTGTGGCTGTCTAAGCCTTTTCCTAGCTCTAAAAGTACTTGGTTTATGAATCTAGGTGCTCCAATGTTGGGCGCATATATATTTAGGATAGTTAAGTCTTCTTGTTGAATTGAACCATTTATCATCGTGTAATGACCTTTTTGTCCTTTTTTACTGTGGCTGGTTTAAAGTCTCTTTTATCTGATGCAAGAATAGTGACCCCCTGCCCCACTCTTTTTTTTTTTTTATTTGTGTGATAGATTTTTTTCCCTATCCCTTTACTTTGAACCTATGAGTCCTGTTACATGTGAGAGAGGTCTCTTGAAGACAGCAGAAGGCTGGGTCTTGTTTTTAATCCAATTTGCCACTCCAAGTCTTTTAGGTGGGGTGTTTAGGTTGTTTACATTCAAGGTTAATATTGAGACATGAGGCTTTATTCCTAACATGGTGTCATTAGCTGGTTGCTCTGTAGTTTGGATTGTGTAGTTGCTTTACAGGGTCTGTGGGCTATGTGCTTATGTGTATTTTTGTGGTAGCAGGTGTCACCATTCTTTCATTTCCATGTTTAGAACTCTCAAGACTCTCTTGTAGGGCCAGTCTGGTGATAACAAATTCTTTTAGCAGTTGCTTGTCTGGGAAAGATTTTATTTCTTCTTTGCTCATGTAGCTTAGTTTGGCAGGATATGGAATTCTTGGTTAGGATTTTTCTTTTTTATTTTTTTTCTTAAAGAGACTGGGTCTCACTATGGTTTTTTGGTTTTTGTTTTTTTGTTTTGAGACAGAGTCTTGCTGTTGTTGCCCAGGCTGGAGTGCAATGGTGCAATCTCGGCTCACTGAAACCTCTGCCTCCTGGGTTCCAGCAATACTCCTGCCTCAGCCTCCTGAGTAGCTGAGATTATAGGCACCTGCCACCACGCCCGGCTAATTTTTGTATTTTTAGTGGAGATGGGGTTTCACCATGTTGGCCAGGCTGGTCTGGAACTCCTGACCTCAGGTGATCCACTCACCTCAGCCTCCCAAAGTGCTAGGATTACAGGTGTGAGCCACCGCGCCTGGCCTGTTTTTTTGTTTGTTTTTGTTTTAAACAGGATCTTGTTCTGTTGCCCAAGGTGGAATACCGTGGTGAGATGTCAGATCACTGCAACCTCTGCCTCCCAGACTAAAGCGATTCTCTTGCCTCAGCCTCCGGAGTGGCTGGGACTACAGGCGCACACCACCACACCCAGCTAGCTAATTGTTGTATTTTTTGTAGGAACAGGGTTTCATCATGTTGCCCAGACTGGTCTCAAACTCCTGAGTTCAAGCAATCTGCCTACCTTGGCCTCCCAAAGTGCTGGGATTACAGGTGTGAGCCGCCGTGCCCAGCCAGGATTTCTTTTCTTTTCTTTAAGAATGCTAAAAACAGTCCCCCAATCTCTTCTGACTTGTAAAGTTTCTGCTGAGAAGTCTGCTGTTAGCATGATGAGTTATATGACCCTTTCTCTAGCTGTCTTTAAGATTCTTTCTTTTGTATTGACCTTGGAAAGTCTGACGGCTATGTGCTCTGGGGATGATCATCTTGTACAGCAGGAAGAGTCATTCTCACCCTCGATCTTAGCAACCTTAGCATATGATTTTTATTCCCTTGCTTAAATTAATAACTTTTACCTTTTCGCTTTAAGAAAGCACTTTACAGCTTCTCTGGCATATCTGAATTGCTAGCATCATTACACTTGTGCTTTGGGGCCATTAGTAAGATAAAGGTTACTTGAAAACAAGCACTGAGATACAGTGACAGTCCGTGACAACTGAGATGGCTACTAAGTGACTAATGGGTGGGGAGAATTTAAGCATGAATATGCCGCACAAAGCAAGAATTCACATCATGGATGCTACTCAGAATAGTGTGTAATTTAAAACTTATGAATTGTTTATTTCTGGAATTTTCCATTTAATATTTTTAGACTACAGCTGACCATGCGTAATTGAATGTGGAAAGGAAAATTGCAGATATGGGGGGACTACTGTATTAAAAAACTAGGACAGAAAATTCTGTGGCCTGAAAGACTTGATCCTTCAGGAAAATCTGAACATCTTTGCTTTGTAGTTCAAATGTCAGTAGGTTAAGCATACTGCCCTTGAATGTAATTGTTTCTCAAATCTTACAAGAGCTCAGAGATGCAAAGAAAGGAGCCAAGTGTCATGTTAAACAGTGTTTTGAGTAAGAAAACAATTCTATTCACTTTTTTTTTTTTTTTTTTTTTTGAGATGGAGTCTTGCTCTGTTGCCCAGGCTGGAATGCAGTGGCGCAATCTCGGCTCACTGTAAGCTCTGCCTCCCGGGTTCACGCCATTCTCCTGCCTCAGCCTCCCGAGTAGCTGGGACTACAGGCACCCGCCACCACGCCCAGCTAATTTTTTGTATTTTTAGTAGAGACGGGGTTTCACCATGTTAGCCAGGATGGTCTCAATCTCCTGACCTCATGATCTGCCTGCCTGGGCCTCCCAAAGTGCTGGGATTACAGGCGTGAGCCACCGCGCCTGGCCTTCTATTCACATTTAAGGGAGTTTTTAAGGCTAGGCACAGTGGCTCACACCTGTAATCCCAGCACTTTGGGAGGCCAAGGTGGGTGGATCACTAGAGACGAGCCTGGCCAAAATGGTGAAACCCCGTCTTTACTAAAAATACAAAAAAAATTAGCTGGACGTGGTGGTGCACGCCTGTAGTCCGGGTACTCGGGAGGCTGAGGCAGGTGAATCACACTTGACCCCAGTAGATGGAGGTTGCAGTGAGCCGAGATTGTGCCACTGCACTCCAGCCTGGGTGACAGAATAAGACTCTATCTCAATCAATCAATCAATCAATCAATCAATAAAGGAGTTTTCAAATTAGAGTAAGGAATAAGTAATGAATTATATTCACATTTGCTAGCAGATCATAGTCCTGTCAGTTTATAAAAGCTACTGTCTCAGCCTCCCAAGTAGCTGGAACCACAGGTACACACCACCACGCCCAGCTAGTTTTATTTTTTGTAGAGATGGGGTCTCACTACATTGCCCAAGATGGTCTCAAACTCCTGGGCTCAAGCTATCCTCCTGCCTTGGCCTCCCAAAGTGCTGGGATTATAGGTGTAAGCCACTGTGCCCAGCCAGCCGACTACATTTTATGACTTATAAGCTGAATCCTCACAGCAGTCTTGGCAAGACAGGATTGTCACCCCCACTTTGGATGGGAAAACCAAGTCTCAGAGGAGAAAATAATTTGCCAAAGGTGACACAGCTGGCTTGGTGCCTGAGTCCATGCTATTTCTAGTCCATGCTATCTGCCTCATCTCCATTTTAAATACAAGCTACTAGACGCTTCTTAAACACATCTGAACGCAGTACAGTTCCAACAGATGCCCACTAATCTTGTCATTTTCAAACATTCTAGCAGTCCAGATGCCTCCTTGAATAAGCAGACTCCTTGAGGATAGGGCTTGTGTCCTTGTCTCAGGATGTGCCCTGGTCCCAGTAAGACAGACACGGCCATCTCTTAGCAAGAGTGTCAGTCCCTGCCATGTCCACAATGGCAGTCTGGGCCCTTTTACCGCAGTAAGCAAGCACAGGGGTGCCACGCCTCCTCAGAAAAAGCCTTTGCAATGAGGATTCTCACCTCCTCACTCACTGAGCTTGCCCTGCCCCTGCTGCAAGCTGCCACCAGGGCGGCACTCTGCACAGGTTATGAATGACGTGCCCATTGTGTGTCTGCCCAAGCTGCTCCTACCAAACCTTTCCCTGCCTCCTGATCAAGTTCCAGAAGCAGCTTCCAGCTCCTCCACTTACACTGGTGGCCCAGCTCTGTTTTCTCCCTTCCATGTCTACCCCATAAGCACTGCCTTGCCCTGGCTCCCTCTCACCATCTACCAACACAGCTGCACAGTGTACAGAGCACATCTGTGTGGATTCCGTGACACTGTCATGGAAAACACCTGCATATTCACCCCCAAGGTATGAGAAATAATGATGGGCCATAAGGATCTAGGTCTTTGCTTTGGGATTCTCTCCCTCCAGAGTCTATTTAGCCCCAGGGCACATGGCAGCTCTCACCCCTATCGTCTTCCTAACTAAAGTGGTTTAAGAGGAGTGACCTCCTGCAACAGAAGATGAAAGGCCACTTTACCTTTTTTAGCTCGAAGCACCCGCCCTAGCCTTTGGGCTTCCTGACGCCTGGAGCCACCATGGGATGAGATCTGAATGAGGACATTTGCTTCCGGCAGATCAAACGAAGTGTCACCTACCTACAGAAACAAGTTGGAAGGTTTTTATATATGAGGAAAAAAAAAAAGTCAACTGATCCAGAATTTAAATAAGTTCTGTAGATAATTTTGAAACATAATCACTCTTTTCTCCTCTTTATACCAGGGTCTATCTGATGCAGGCAGAGAGAGGTGAAGCAATAAACCTCAGAAAGGCATCTCTGGGTCTCCAGGACCTTGTGTGAGTTCTGCTAAGAGTCATCCTGAAGAATTAATACCAGGCATCAGTGACATTCAGTGCTGGGTGCCAGGAGCCCAGAGATGAGAGGGCCCTTGAACAGAGACTGACTTTGAGTCATTCATTTTTTTGGCTACAGAAATATGTCTCCACAAAACCATCCATACTCTTACCTGTTGGCCACTGACACCAGCAGCACACGTGGGATGTGACCTGGGAGGAACAACTGCCCCATATGGAATTCTGACTGTAGGTGGATTCCTCAGCTCTGGGGCTCCAAACATCGAGGTTCCCAGCCACAGACATGAAGGTTTGGTGCTTATAAGCGCCCAGCCACAATCACATAAAATCTCATTTCTTTTTTTTTTTTTTTTTTTTTTTTTTTTGAGACGGAGTCTCGCTCTTGTTGCCTAGGCTGGAGTGCAACGGCACAATCTCAGCTCCACTGCAACCTCCACCTCCCGGGTTCAAGTGACTGAACCCTGCTGCCTCAGCCTCCTGAGTAGTTGGGATTACAGGCGTCTGCCACCACACCCAGCTAATTTTTGTATTTTTAGTAGAGACAGGGTTTCTCCATGTTGGCCAGGCTGGTCTCGAACTCCTGACCTCCGGTGATCCACCCGCCTCAGCCTCCCAAAGTGCTGGGATTACAGATGTGAGCCACCGCGCCCGGTTGTAAAATCTCATTTCTTTTGGGCTTTGGGTCTGTCTTAATCTGAATGACTATTCTAAACTGTGGGGCTACAGCTTCTGATTGCAGAGTAAACCATCCCTGAGCTGGGCCTGCGGAAGTCTGTGCTGACATCCACCACCCATCATCAAGGGACACCAGGAACCAGGACAAAGGCTGCCGCGACACACAGGATCTCCAACTTGTAAAGAGAACTTCATCTAAATGCCTACTTTTGCCAGAGTAGGAAATGAACTTTTTTTCCTTTTATAAATAAGGAAATACAACTTAAAACTTCTACATCCCCAAAAGAACTGGAAAAACCTCAAATAGCCTTTATAGATTATCCATGATGCATGCAAATCCTCAGTCTGCTCCTTCCACTAACCCCAGGCAGTGCCCCCTATCCCTGGACATGTCGGAAATGAAAACATGCAGGAGAAGTTCCTTCAGCAGACATGAATTCACTGTCCAGGAATCATAGTGTACCCCCCAGGTCCCCAGAGTGCTAGGGGCCTCACCTCCACCCCATATGCCACACAAACCTTGGATATGAAGATGGTGTTAATTTTGGGGTTGTGCTTGAAATTCTGGAGAATTTGCATCCTTTCCCCCTGAGACGTAGGTCCGTAGATATAGGGTCTAGAGAAGAATGAAGCTGTGTTAGACCACAGAATAATGCCTCAGTTATCTTGAAAACACATCAGAGGGAAAAAGGAGCTCAGGCTAGCTCTTCTCAAGTAGAAAGCCCTCGTCATGTAGGAATATCGTTACACCCAAAAAAATGACTGGCTACAGATGCACCTCCCAGCCTTCCCCACTGATTCTAGGTTTAGGCCCACCATTCTCTTCGGGATTCCCTCCTTTCCATTTTTCGTTTTCTTTTTGGACTATGCTTTTTCCTGCTTCAACATCTCTTACTCTCAGCACAGAGTCTATACAAGGAGCATCTCCACATTTCATGAAGCCCAAAGAGAGGTGCAAAGAAACCACTGCTATTTCCAAAAAAAGGCTGGAAGCAACTGTTTGCCAAGACACAGGCATGCTCCAAGAGATGAGCAGAAAGGAGAAAAGTGCCCTTCAGCCATTATTGTGCTGATTTCCCATAACACTAAGTTTTAAAAACTTCTCTTTAATTTCTAGCTCCCTGCCAGGCGCGGTGGTTCACGCCTGTAATCCCAGCACTTTGGGATGCCGAGGCGGGTGGATCACCTGAGGTTGGGAATTCACGACCAGCCTGACCAACATGAAGAAACCCCGTCTCTACCAAAAATACAAAATTAGCCGAGTGTGGTGGCGCATGTGTGTAATCCCAGCTACTCGGGAGGCTGAGGCAGGAGAATCACTTGAACCGGGGAGGCAGAGGTTGTGGTGAGCCGAGATCGCGCCATTGCACTCCACCCTGGGAAACAAGAGTGAAACTCTGTCTCAAAAAAAAAAAAAAAAAAAAAAAAAAATTTTCCAGCTCCCTGCCAAAGGGTACAACCCTATCAATGAACTCAATGGTTATCATCCCATAGCATTGGGAATGTCACACTCCTTCCCTCTGTCTTGGAATGTGACGGTGGACAGTTTTTGTAGCTTCCCAAGAATCATAACAACAGTGATGATGATGATGACAACAGCAAAGACAATGAAGACAAACTACAGGTACGCAGGACCTACCAACACCAGGCATTGAGCTGAGTATTACATTAAAAAAAAAAAAATCCAGCCAGGCGCGGTGGCTCACACCTGTAATCCCAGCACTTTGGGAGGCGGAGGTGGGTGGATCACCTGAGGCCAGGAGTTCGAGACCAGCCTGGCCAACATGGTGAGACCCCATCTCTACTAAAAATAAAAAAAATTAGCTGGGTATGGTGGTGGGCACCTATAATCCCAGCTACTCAGGAGGCTGAAGCAGGAGAATCACTTGAACCTGGGAGGCAGAGGTTGCAGTGAGCCAAGATCACACCACTTCACTCCAGCCTGGGCAACAGAGTGAGACTCCGTCTCAGAAAAAAAAAAAAAAGAAAAAGAAAAGAAAAAAATCCAGCCAGCCCTGCCAAGATTCCTCAGCATTGTAAAAGACAGGTTTCATGTTCCCCAATTTACATGTGGGAAACCAAGGGTCAGAAGCCTGAGCAGGTGGAACCTGGGAGTGGCTGCTCCACTGCCGAGGCCCGTTAGCACCCAGAGCAGTGCCCATTAATGGATGTACCTCAAAGAGCAAACCCCTTGCCTGTGGGGAAGCTGGATAGGGCCTGGGCAGCTGCACACCCAGGCTGATGGCCTCTGATTAGCCCAGTCACAAGCTGCCTTGCCGTGATCCAGAATGTCCCGGCCACCACATAATTTTATCATTTTCTATGCATGTCATGCAGTGAAAAAGGTTAGAAGCCCCACTCGTCAGAACAGCCTGACTCTTGAGACCCAGGTTTTTAGGTGGTTTTCTCCTCCCCCATCACCAGGAAAAACTACTTGCACAGTGGGGAGCCCTCAGTTTCTAAAGGTTCCCCCACACAGATGAAATAGAAGGAAAAGCACCCTCCAAGTGGAGAATGTCACATTTACTAAATACTTACAAGCTGCCAGGCACAAGAATCCACCCCCCACCATCAAGGGACACCAGGACCCAGTACACATTGGGTGGCAGTAGCTCCATGTGACCGAAGTACAAAAGGAGTTCAGAGGTAAACAACTTTCCCACATCCAGTCTGTCTGATCCCAAAAACGATGCTCTGCCCACAGCCCCACACTGCCATATAACCCTAAGCCTCTCTTGCAAAGTGCTTTGGTGATACCAATGCCTTTCTTATGAAGGCTGGGAGGAGCCAAAAGCTTGGAGAATCCCCACCACACACGAGCAAAGAATGGAGCAATGCCCGAGAGCCACAGGATCACTTTTTTTTTAAAGGATGGGGTCTCACTATATTGCCCAAGCTGGACTTGAACTCCTGGGCTCAAGTGATCTTTCTGCCTTGGCCCCCCAAAGTGCTGGGATTATAGGCATGAGCCACTGCGCCTGGCCCGCAGGATCATTTTAGAAGCGAGAAAACCAAGAAGAAAAAACACTACTTCATACATTTAAAGGCCAGAGACACAAAAAAAAGGTAAAAAGTACACATTGTAATGATCATTCTAGTACACAGGAGACAGCCACAATCTGCTGCCCTTCACTGTGACAGACTGGCTTGGAATTGACAGTGCCAGGCAAATTAACGTCCCTGCCCAAGCAGATGCTCGGGAGGCTGCGGCTAAGGCACAAGCCTCAGGAGTGCTGCAAATGTAGGTGGGGGAGGCCCCTGGAGTGAGGCTCCAGAAGACTGGAGGAGCATTGCTGTGGGAGGAAGGATGGGGAGAGAATAGTTCTTAAATAAGGCAAAGTAAATATAGGAACTGTCTCATTGCCCTGCTCAAATTGGCACTAATGTGACAGAACACAAACCCACCAAGAAAACAGGAGAAGAAATAACAGCAGATGAGAGAAGTGGGTAACATTTCAGAAGCTGAAAAGCAGACAGATGCAGGCACAGTACCTGAGCTAACAGACTAGAGAAAGCAGAAGCTGGAGCCGGCAGGAGGGAAGACCGATACAAAACCCGCCGCCTCTGTGTCCTCTGCAGCACGCAGGAGGGCTCAGGAACTAGTCACCAGTTGCCTGAGAAGGTGGGGAGGTGCACAGGAGGACTGGCAGTGTGTGAGTGTGAGGAGCAGTTGGGTCCGGCCGGCAGCAGGCAGGCCACCTCCACTGGTGGGGCACTGGAGGCTTATTCTCCAGGGATGCCCGGCAGAGATGAGGGAAAAGGCAAGACTGAATGCAAAGATTCCACAAGCCCTCCTCTTCCCCTAACACACGGTGGTGCCCAGGGGACTGAAAAATTCCTCACTGAAGAAACCGTCCAGCCCAAGAGAAAAGTCCTAGAGATACTGGCATTTGGCAACCTCCTGAAGAAATAGCCAGGCCCTGCCCAGCCACTCTGGTGAGGTCCACAAGCTGGCAAACCCACTAAGCCACACAGAAAGGCCTGCCAGGTTTTCAGTGACTTTAAACCAATAAAATACAGTCAAGGATTACCAAAACTCAGAAAGACTCAAAAGACAGGTAAAAACAATTAAGACAAAAAAATGAAGAAAAGAGACATGGCAGGAAACAGACGGAAGCTTCAAAAGTTTTCAAAGCCTCCGAGAAGACACTCTATTCACAAACAAAACAAGAACAGTTACCAGGAAAGAACTCTCAGAAATTAACAAGTCTCAATACAAGGGTTAGAAGACAAAGAGATAAAAAAGTAGAAAAAAGATAAGCAAACTGGAGAAGCTGTTCAGAGGATCTAACATCTGATGAATCAAAATTCCAAGAAGGGACTACATAGAGAAAGTGATTAACAACAAAAAAACAGAAATTCTCAGAACTGAAGGACACGAGTTTCCAGATGGAAAGGATATACTGAGTGCCCATCACGATGAAAGAAAAACATTAAGAATATCACTTTCAAATTTCCAAAAAGAGAGAAGATCCTACCAGTTTTCAAGGGAAGGAAAACGCACAGCCACCACAGCAGACAACACACTGAGAGGAAGCAAAGGGCATCAGACTGCCAAACTGCTGCACTGGAAGCTCCAATGTTAGTTCTAGGACCTGGCCAAACTACTGATCAAGTATAAAGTCGAGTAAAGACATCTGTAAACATGTGAAGTCTCCAAAGCTTCTCCTCCTACATCCCTTCTCTCAGGAACCTACTGGAACATGTGCTCCATCAAAATGAGTAACCAAGAGGGTGGAGATTTCAGGGTGGGAAACACAACAAAGAGGCCCAGGGAAGTCATGGGGTAGTGTCCAAGGGAAACCCCATGGTAACAGCTGGTGGTGTCTCTAGTCCTAGACAGCAAGCAGGCCAGAACAGAGTAAGCGAATGGAGTGCTGGTGGGGATCCCACTGGGGAAACAGAAAAACAGAACTGAGAAATTACCTGACCCTACTGAGTTTATGGTTATGTGAAGACTTTGGAGGGGAATAATTATTCAATGCACAGAAAACCAAGCAAAAACAATGACAAGGCAATTATTAACTCCAAGGCAAAAAAACATTTACAAAAAAGAAAATGTAAGGCCGGGCATGGTGGCTCACACCTGTAATCCCAGCACTTTGGAAGGCCGAGGCAGGCAGATCACGAGGTCAAGAGATCGAGACCATCCTGGCCAATATGGTGAAACCCTATCTCTACCAAAAATACAAAAATTATCCAGGCTGTGGTGGCGGGTGCCTGTAGTCCCAGCTACTCAGGAGGCTGAGGCAGGAGAATCACTTGAACCCACAAGGCAGAGGTTGCAGTGAGCTGAGATAGCGCCACTGCACTCCAGCCTGGCAACAGAGCAAGACTCCGTCTCAAAAAAAAAAGGAAAATGTAATAGTACTCTACAGCTCTGCCTGAACATACTTACACAGTCAAAATAATGTAACTGAATATTAAAGTAACCCCCAACTTGTGCTATTCCCATATTGGGAGAATGGTAGGAGAGAAAACAGGAGTGGGGAGAGTGGTGTATGTAAGAAAGCTAAACCCTCAACTCCTACAGTAGGAAGTTAATAGGCAATTTCTATAACTGATCATCAAGAAATTACTACATAAGCTATTGCTTAGAAAGATGAAGGCTGGCCAGGTGTGGTGGCTCATGACTCTAATCCCAGCACTTTGGGAGGCCAAGGCAGGAGGAACTGCTTGAGCTCAGGAGTTTGAGACCAGCCTGGGCAACATAGCAAAACCCCATCTCTACAAAAAACAAAAATTAGCTGGGTGTGGTGGTGCGTGCCTGTAGACCCAGCTACTCGGGAGGCTGAGGTGGAAGGATTGATTGAGCCCAGGGGGTCAAGGCTGCCGTGAGCCGTGATTACACCACTGCACTACAGACTGGGTGACACAGTGACACCCTAACTCCAAAAAAAAAAAAAGAAAAAAGGAAGAAAGAAAGAAATATGAAGGTAAACAACAAAAAAGAGTCAAAAGCGGCTGTCTTCAAGGAATAGAATTGTGGGTGGGAAAATAGAAGCAGGGAATTGCTGTTTTTCACAATAATCTAAATGTTGACTTGGATTAAAAAGTCTTTCTAAATTAAATAAAGGTATAATTTTAGAAACTTAAGAAATTTAATCTTTCTATGAGTTTGTCTTCCCTTCTATAAAATGGGAACAACATTTTATATGGCTGAAGTGAGGATTAAGTAAAACCTATGTATAGTACCCATAGCACATAGCTTGACCTGTCTCCATAGAGGGCCTGGCCTTCTGCAACACTTACAGCACCTGAAGTCCTGTGTCACTGTAGGAGCAAGCGCAGACCTCTTCCTCCTTACTTGGCAGAGCTTTACAAAAGCCAGGTTTTAAGCACAAATATTTGGGTGGAGCCATGGGTTGATGAGGATACTGCGTGGGCATTTCTAAGCTCCTTCCAGATGCCAGTCCGTACTTGGGATGCCAGCCCAGCCCATCTTGCCTTCCCAGCCCCTAGGCCATCCAGTCTGGCCTCCTCTCCACCCACAGAGCTCACACAGCCCAAAGCTCCAAATGCCAACTCCCACCCACCTTTGGAGCCCAGATCTTCCATGGGGCCCCACCCAGCTCAGTCCAAGTCTCTGCTCCCTGTTCTTTGGGCTCAAGGTGACTAGCCCCCCTTTTCTCTATGCTCTAACCTCTGACTCCAACCACCTACTTCAGGTCTTCCCTGGTTTCTGAGACCAGGGCCACAGAACAAGATCTTTGGAGCCCAAGAAGTTCCTGAGAGAAAAACAAAAAAACAAAACAACAGCCACCTTCTGCACTCTCAATGGGGAAGAGAAACTGGCCTGGAGGAAGCTCCAAGTTTTCAATTCTTACTTGTTCAGTCGAATGGCATATTCCTTTAGGGCAAACACATTGTCAGCAAAGACAATAATCTTGTCATTCCTCCTTTCATGAAACTTGATCAGAAACTGGCAAGCTCTAAATTTGTTGGGGTTCATGGTGTACAGCAAGATTCGTTTCTTGGTTTTGATTGCCACATATTCCCGGTAAAATTCAGGAGACATAGGGCACCAGACCTGTAATACAGTAAGAACCAGGGGTCATTTTACAAGTTTAAACACCACACAATTTAAAACTTTTGAAGACCTTTCTCTAGCAGAATTAGCTTTAAAACAAAACCAGTCAGGTGCAGTGGCTCATGCCTGTAATGCCAGCAGTTTGGGAGGCTGAGGCAGGCAGATCACTTGAGGCCAGGAGTTCAAGACCAGCCTGGCCAACACAGTGAAACCCAGTCTCTACTAAAAATACAAAAATTAGCTGGGTGTGGTAGTGCATGTCTGTAATTCCAGCTACGCAGGAGGCTAAGGCAGGAGAATCACTTGCCCAGGAGGCGGAGGTTGCAGTGAGCCAAGATCACGCCACTGCACTCCAGCCTGGGTGACAGAGTGAGACCCTGTTTTAAAAAAAAAAAAATGCTATGTGAATTAGAAATCAGTACAACTGAAAATAAATGCATGCACAAAACTAAACCCAACCTAATACCTCCTATTGAACTGGACGTTTTCACATGTTAACCACTTAAAAGATTTTTAAATGCAATCACATCCAGGGAGTTATTTTCACACCAGCTGCAAGTGTGCGAAACCAGATTCTCAATTGGTAGTGTCAGCAATTCTTCCATTTAAGCCACACTTCCACACACGAGTCAGCACTGCTACTGAGTACCGCCACCTCTTCACACACTTCCCAGCAGGGCTGGGAGCATATCAGTTAGGCGCTTGGGGCTATCAGAGCAAAGCCCTTTGCTGCCAGGCTCCCAGGCAGCACTGTGGTATCAGGGGCCTTCATTCATCCCTGTGCCCTGAATGCTAATCCTCACCCACAGAAATCCATGACTGGTAAACCCCATGGCTAGGAAAAAGAATCATCACAAATTCAGGGGTATGTGAGATATGTGACAAGACAGAAGATATGCAGCAAGTGGGTCTAGTACCACCCAACCACAGGGTGACTGAGGATCCTGTATGAAGTGGTAGCAGGTGAGCCTAAGTCCTGACCTGTGTCTGCCCATGAGGAATCGATCTGATCACTCCCCTGCCCATAGGAGGAGGCCCTTTCCCAGACGCCCCCAGCCCAGGCCCAGCTACCTCAGCACACTGGACTTTGGCGATGTAGCCATTATTCTGCAGCTCCATCCAGTTGGCTTCGTAGAGCTTAGGCCCAATCAGAAAATTTAAATCCACAATTTTGTCATCTTCGCGGACGAGGGTCGCAGTCAAACCCAGCTTACAGTGGGCCTGCACGATGGTGAGCACCCTTCGGAACATCTTGGCTGAGGAAACAATGGGAGCATTCACACTGTCACTTTTCTTTCTTATTTTTTATTTATTTATTTTAAAATATTTTTTGTAGAGATGGGGTCTCATTATATTGCCCAGGCTGGTCTTGAACTCCTGGCCTCAAGCAATCCCCCTGCCTTCGCCTCCCAAAGTGCTGGGATTACAGACGTGACCCACTGCACCCAGCCTACACTGTCACTTTTTCAAATGCTCATAGCTGTGCAACTTAACACTGGCTTATGACACCACCTGAACTAACCCTTGGGTTTCAGGACCACAGAAGCTGGCTCTAGACAAGAATGACTAGGCAAATGCTTCACCATCACTTTTAGACCTGTCCAAAAGAAAATGAAAAGGAGAACAAGAGGGTGAAATGAGCTTAAGGAATCTCCAAGTTAATGAATCCCAGCATTCCCCTCACAACAGTTATCAGTAGAAGTACAGATGGCAATTTGAAATACAACCTGCAATACTTACTATTAATACCATTAAGCTCTAAATTACGCAAAGAATTTTCCCCTAACACTTGTACCCAGGTTACTGAAAAGAAAGTTGACAATCTAGGGAGAGGAAGAAATGAAAGAAGCCAGCTCTTCTCAGCTTCCCATCATTTTCCCAGAAACCGAGAAGAAAGCCAAGCCCACGGGAGTGATGAAACTCCAGGAACTGTTCGCCCAAGCCCTCCGGCCCGCCTTAGGAAACTCCCCTCTCCAAACTTTACCAATTCAATCACTTTGGTCAACCAGCAACCTCTTTTTCTTCCTTTCTTTTGAACATTATAATTCTCTCTGGTTTATCAAATAAAATAAACACATAAAGGGTATGAGTTATTCATTTTTAAAAAACCTAATTTATGGATTTCCACGGGCTCACCTTTTAAAAATTCTAATACTCTGAAGCAAGGTTAAAATGTTTGAGTCATGCTTATCTTACAATATAATTGAAAGTAGGGCTAATGATATTTCAGAAATAAATAGACACAAAAATCTAAGGAAAAAGAGGCCTGAATGCACCAAAACACAAAGACGTTCACAGTGAAATAACATAGGGTTGCCTAACTCTAAGTAAATGTTTAGTTTTTACATCTACATGGTTTGCACACAACACCACATGCAAACACACACACACAAACACACACACACACACACAACACAGAAAACAAAATCAGCTCAGGGTTATGTCTAAGGAAAGACTGTGCTGGCTCCAAAATACAGTAGCCAAGAACCTCAGACCAAGCTCCCCATGTTAGAGGGAAATGGTAGTCAAGGCAATGGCTACACCAACCCAGTGTGGGCCCCAGAGAGGCAACACTGGGGGACATACTGACCCAAGACAAGGATAAGGCAGGTAGGACTCTGCCTGGACACCCGTGACCCCATCACACCCCTCTATTACACTCTCCTACAGCCCTGACAGCTGTCACAGGTGAATAACTCACAGCATACTACTCAATATATTTTTACAGACATGCAGCTGTGGAACCACCTAGATCAGGATATAGAGAACCAGGCACCCAGAGGTCTCTCCCCTGACCCCTTCTGTCAATAACTAGCACTCTTCCTTGAGGGAAACACTCCTCTGACTTCTGAGAGGGGTCTGCCTCCTTTCTGAACTTTGCATGAATGAAATCATAGTATGCACTTTTGTGTGTGGCTTGTATCACTCAACATTATGTCATGGTTGTCATTTGGCATTTATTTGTGTGGTTACTTGGCTGTCCCTTCCACTTTGTCTCCAGTGCCAAGTACAGTGCCTAAACTTAGTAGGTTCTCAATAAATACCTGTAGAAATAATGAAACTGGCACAGTACCTAGCACACAGGAAGCACTTAATATACACAAGTACCATAATATGAATCATTAATAAAAAGGCATAACAGAGCTCCTTTTGAAAAATCTGTAAAACAGCACAGCAATCTTTATCCTTTGAGATAAATCTCAAAGATTGATCACTCCACCTAACCCAACACAGCAGACGTTAAGACAGTCAGGAGACTTACTGTGACTTCCTAGCATTCCCTTATTTAACATTTGCTCTCTGGGACAATGAGCATGGCCAGGCCACTGGGCTTATGGGGCCTGTACTCAAAAATCCCTTAGAGTTTGTTGGTTTCACTCCGCAACTCAACCAAAGACTAACTCATCCAGTGAACTAGACGAGAGACAGACAAACTCACAGACATATGTGAGTGTGAGATGCACCTTTTTGTACTTGTTCATCAGATAACCAATCCCAAATCTGTGCTGTTGTCCCCTGGAACCTGGGACCTGGGGCTTGGGTTAAAGAAAAACATGAACGTGTACCAAACATATAGTCAGACAGAATGCCTCAAGCCCTGAACACAGCTTCCAACCAAACTGCTACAGAACAATTCCAGACTCCTTTGTGGGTAGTGATTCTCTGTACCATCAATTTTCAATCCTAGCAGACCCAATACCCACCCTTCCACCTTTTTTCTTTTGAGTTTTTAAATTCTCACAGTAAAACTGACTTGGGGCGGGGGGTGGGGGGGGCACTTCTATGCATTTTAACATATTTACATTTTTGTAACCAGCACCACAATCAGGGTACAGATAAAGACAGCATCCCCCAAAATTCCCCTGTGCTCTCCTTTAGAGTCATCCATCTCTGACCCCCCACTTCTGGCAACCACTGATCTGCTGGCCAGCACTATACTGTCGTTGTATAAATGAAATCACATACTATGGAAGCTTTTGAGGCTGACTTCTTTCACTCAGCACCATGCTTTTGAGATTCATCCAGGTTGCAACATGCAGCAAGTTTGTTCTTTTTCACTACTGAGTAGTGTTCCAGTGTATGGATGTACCACAGCTTGTTTATCCAGACACCCACTGATGAGCACCTGGGTTTTGGATATTATGAACAGAGCTGCCATAAACATTCGTGTACAGGATTTTGTGTAAACCTCTTTTCATGTATCCAGGATACACAGGAATGGGACTGATGGGTCATGTGGTAATTTCATAATAAATGGACAAACTGTTTTCCACAGTGACCATACACTTTGCAATCCATCCCTCCAGGAATGTGTGACAGTTCAGTTGCTGTGACCTCATCAGCACCCGCACATCAGTATTTTTTATTTTGGCCCTTCTAACTGGCATATGGGAGCATCCTGTGGTGGGTTTAAATCTGCAGTTCCCTGATGACTAATGAGGTTGAACCCTTTTTCAAGTGCTTTTTTGACATATGTATATCCTTTTTTGGTGAAATGTCTATCAATTTCTTTGGCCTATTTCTTAACCTTTTTGCCATGGCCTGAATGCCTAACAGGAAACTCAAATTCACACATCTAAAGCCCAACTCCTGATAGTCACCTTCCAGACCAGCTCCTTTGAGAGTGTTCCCCATCTCAATTAATGCCCACTGTATCCTCCCTTTGTTCAAGCCAAAAACCTTAGTGTCATTCTTGATTTCTCTCTGATTCCACACCTGACCTGTCAATTAAAGCTTCACAACATATCCAGAGTCGGATCACGCCTTCATCCTTACTGGGATTCCACAAACTCACCTCACCGCTTCTGTCTTGCTTCCTTCAGTCTATTTCCAGCACAGCAGCCAGGGCAGTATTTTTACAGTGTAAAGTCAACTCATGTCATGCTCTGCTCAAATCCCTCAGATGGCTTCACACTAAGAGTACAAGCCAAAGTTCTTGTCGTGGCCTACAAGGTCCTACAAGACCTGCCCCAATACCGCTAATCTTCCTCAGCCTTGACTACTGTTCCTATGCTCTCCTCTGGCCGCATGGCCACCTTGTGCTGTCTCACTATGCCAAGTACTTTCCCACAGCAGGGCCCACACCCTGGGCTTCCATCAGAAAGACCTCCAATCCCTCCCTGGCCAGCTGTGAACATCTCTAGGTATCTCCAGAAACCCATCAGGGCTGAAGAGCTCTCATGCACAGAAAGAACCAGATGCTGGGGCCATTTTGACATTTTGAACACTACCTGTGAAAATGCCTCAGATTTCATTTTGTTCATAGTAACCTCTATTAGACTCCTTAATTTACCCTAATCTGTTCATCTTTATTTTTTTTTTTTGAGACAGAGTCTCACACTCTGTCACCCATGCTGGAGTACAGTTGCACAATCATGGTTCACTGCAGCCTCAACCTCCCAGGTTCAAGTGATCCTCCCACCTCAGCCTCCTCAGCAGCTGAGACCACAGGTGCACACCACCACACTTGGCTAATTAAAAAAATTTTTTTTTGTAGAGACATGTCTCACTATGTTACCCAGGCTAATCTTAAGCTCCTGGGCTCAAGCAATCCTCCTGCCCTGGCCTCCCAAAGTGCTAGGAGACTACAGGTGTCAGCCACCATGCCCACTCCTAATTTGTTAATCTTAATCCCTTAATCTGTTTTTATCAAAAAAGATTCGCCCAAAAAACTATACAGCAATAAAAGGAACAAACTACTGATAAATGCTAAGGCACAGATGAATCATTATGGGAAGTGAAAGAAGCCAGACATAATATATATTGTATGATTGTGTTTATATAAATTTTCCATAAAAAGCAAATCTATAGTGACAGCAGTTCAGTAGTCATCTGAAGCTAGATAGAGAAACAAAGATTGACTGCAAATGAGTACAAAGGAAATCTAAAACTGGATCATGGTGGCCGAATGCAGTGGCTCACGTCTATAATCCCAGTACTTTGGGAGGCCCAAGCAGGCAGATCACTTAAAGTCTGGACTTCAAGACCAGCCTGGCTAACATGGCGAAACCCTTTCTCTACTAAAAATACAAAAATTTGGCCAGGTGTGGTACTTTACGCCTGTAATCCCAGGGTGAGGCTGAGGTGGGCGGATCACCTGAAGTCAGGAGTTTGAGACCAGCCTGACCAACACGGAGAAACCCTGTCTCTACTAAAAATATAAAATTAGCTGGGCATGGTGGCGCACACCTGTAATCCTAGCTACTCGGGAGGCTGAGGCAGGAGAATCACTTGAACCCGGGAGGCAGAGCTTCCAGTGAGCTGAGATTGCACCACTGCACTCCAGCCTGGGCAACAAGAGCGAAACTGTCTCAAATAAAAAAAAATTAGCCGGGTGTGGTAGTACACACCTGTAGTCCCAGCTACTTGGGAGGCTGAGGCAGGGGAATCAGTTGAACCCTAGAGGCGGAGGTTGCAGTGGGCCAAGATCACACGACTGCACTCCAGCCTGGGCAACAAAGCAAGATGCCATCTCAAAAAAAAAAAGAAAAGAAAACTTGGATCATGGTCATGGTTGCACTGGTCCACAAATTTACTAAAACTCATTGGATTATATATTTACAAGGGGTGATTTTATGGTATATAAATTAAATCAATAGAGCAGCTTAAAAAAAAAAGGTTTGCCCATGATACTTGGAGAAGTAGGGCTTCTATTACATATTGACTAAGGATCAATATTCCGGGCTTCAAATAAAACACATCACCACCATTTTGGGAAGGGCTTTTCAGTGCTCCTAACCCAGTTTTTAGAGGGCCATTAAAAAACGGATGAAGCTGAGCAGCAAAAGGAAGATGGAGGAAAGAAAATATCATTTTCTAAATCACTACTGAGCCAGTGATTAAGCAAACTGTGAATGTGAACACTCCTGCCTGCATCCCACTTAAGAATTACTGGCCGGGCACGGTGGCTCACGCCTGTAATCCCAGCACTTTGGGAGGATGAGGTGGGTGGATCACGAGGTCAGGAGTTCAAGACCAGCCTGGCCAAGATGGGGAAACCCTGTCTCTACAAAAATACAAAAATTAGCCTAGCATGGTGGCAGGTGCCTGTAATCCCAGCTACTCAGAGGCTGAGGCAGAGAACTGCTTGAACCTGGGAGGTGGAAGTTGTGGTGAGCTGAGATCGTGCCACTGCACTCCAGCTTGGGTGACAGAGTGAGACTCCCTCTCAAAAAAAAAAAAAAGAACTATTAAAAGCTTTACCCAGCAAGCCAGCAAGTCTTTCTAGCCAGTTGGGTGGGCTACACAGCAGTCCCTTTCCCAACCTAACAACTGGAAATTGGTTTGTCTGTTCAGCAAGTGGACAGCTCAGCTCCAGCCTGCTTACCTGGTATGGTGTGCACTTCATCCAGGATCATGAGGCCCCACTCCTGGGTCTTGAGCCACTCCATGACTCGCTCGGCCTCCCAGGACCTTTTGGTGGTGTGGCCCAGCATGGAGTAGGTGCTAATGGCAACGGAGCAGCCGATGGGCTTGTCCTTGGCATCGGAGGTGAACCGGCAGATCTGGCTGTCGTCAATGGTGGACCACATCTTGAACTGGGCTTTCCACTGCTCCACAGAAACAGCTGAGTTGCCCAGCACCAGACAGCGTTTTCTGACAGTGCATGCAGCAGTCACACCAACCAGGGACTTTCCAGCACCTACAAGAAACAAGAGTGCAATCCCACCCAAGGACAGGTTGAAATGAAGGACAGGGACAGGCAGAATGACTCACAAGTACAGCAATCTAGGAAAATGTCTTGTAACAGTCCACATAGCTGACATCTGAGCGACACACACTGCTCCAGCCTGTTTTCTTCTTTATAATGAGGAGACATGCCCACTTCACATACATATGTGAGAAATGGCAGGCGCTGGGGCCTACTGTAGCACTTTACACACATCTCATTTAAATGTCAAAATCTCAAAACAAACCAGTGAGAAGAGAAATGCCTGTTATTGTTATTTTAAAGATAGAAAAACCTGGCTGAGCCACCATGCCACGGTGGCTCATACCTGTAATCCCAGCACTTTGGGAGGCCGAGGTGGGTAGATCACATGAGGTCAGGAGTTCAAGACCAGCCTGGCCAACATGGTGAAACCCTATCTTTACTAAAAATACAAAAAATTAGCCGGGCATGGTGGCGGGCGCCTATAATCCCGGTCACTTGGGAGGCTGAGGCAGGAGAATATCTTGAACCCAGTAGGCGGAGGTTGTGGTGAGCCAAGATGGCGCCACTACACTCCAGCATGGGCAACGGAGCAAGACTCTGTCTCAAAAAGAAAAAAGAAAGATTGAAAAACTAAAGCTGAGGAGTACTTTACCTTGCCCACAGCCACGGGACAGTGAAGCTACTGGGTCCCAGCATGCCTGGCCCACAGAAGGAGGCACTCGGCAAAAGACCACTATTATTATTACACAGCAAACGGGGCTGAGAATTCAGGGATGCGCTATGTGTGTACAGAGAAAATGAAATTCCAGGAGCTTCTGAGTTTACTACCATCCACCATTTGAAGATCAAGAGAAAAATCAAGCTTTTCCATTAAACAGAGATCCTTCCTTTATTATAAAAATACACTGTGAGTTACCAGGAATAAACGTAAATAAAAAAAATTTGTAAAGTGAAATAAAAAAGGAAAACAACATCAAAATAACCCTTGGAGTTTTGGAAAAAAAGAACCTCCCCTTCCCTGAAGACCTTGCCTCTGTAAGTCCTCAGTGGGGTCCCAAGGTGAGTCTGCTGTGGTCTCTGGCCAAGAAGCTAGGCTAGGACCTGACACTACTGGGATAAGTGGTCAAACAGGTGCCCAGGGGGCCACTCCTGCCTTTCCCTGGACCTGCACACCATCCTAGTCATCCAGGAACACCAAAGTTTCTGCGCTAGGGAGTCTCCAAATACACAACCCCTAAGGCTGATTCAAGAACAAGAACCTAACCCCACTAAGTGCAACAGCCCCTTGCCATCATTACAATCTCACCCCTCATGTGCTCTAATTTTTCTTCGCTGACTCTAGCACCACCCAAGGTTGTACACATCTGCTTACCATCTGTCTCTTCCCCAGAAGAGTGAGCTCCATGAGGTCAGAAGTGTTGTTCTAGCCACCATAATACCCCCAGTGTCCAGGCCAGGGCCCATACACAGCAAGCACTCAAATATTTGTCAAGTCATGAATCAGGGAGTCACCTGATCTTGGCTTTTCAGCAAGGTGTGATTTAGGGAAATGTGCAGAGAGAAAGCGGGAGGCAGCTGGCAGATCCAGACACAACAGCCTGACCACCTTCTTAACTCTGGTACCACTTACCGCAGGGAAGAACAATGACCCCCGAACGTGCACGCCCGTTTCCAAACATCTTTCGCAAGCTCTTCTCCTGATAGGGTCTGAGGACAGCTGTGGGCTTTAGGTCAATGTTGATATCAGGGTTGACAGAATCATTCCGGAAGTCATATTCTGCCAACAGAGGGTACTCCAGGTGGATGCAACGTTTCTGGAGTTCCTCAATCATTTCCTGGAAAGAGGGCACAAAAGGGGTTTTAAAATCTTGTTACTGTGCTCAAAAACATTACATCTTCTAAGAGGTCCAATGGTCAAAAAAGTGGCATTCTATCTAAACTTCTACAAGATTTTAGATCTTGCTCAGTCAACAACCGGGATAAAGCACAGAAAAGCAACCCAGACTAACAACACTTTGAAAATGAAATCTAATCAGCAGGCAAAATTGACCTTCAGGCACCATTTCTCACATCTCCTCAGGAACCTGTGAAGACCAGCCTACCAGCCTGAAAAAGAGGACACTGGGACTTTAACTCCATCAGGAGAAATGATGCCATGGCTCACAGATAATAAAAAGGAGAAAGCAATTCAGGGACCAACAGGGACTCCTTCCTTTCACACAGACTACAGGCAGAGTCGACACATGGCTGGACTAGCTTCTAACAGCAGCTCAGTGAAGGAACCAGGAGGAAGGTACATTCACTAACCTGCTTGACTTCAAAAGACACTGTCTGTGTCTCTTCTTCTTCTTCTTCATCCTTGTCCATTTGCTCATAGAAGTCAAACAGGTCCATGGGGATGTCAGATTTACCCTGTGGATCTGTCACTCGGGAAGTGGAGGGCCCACCACTGCTTTCAGCAGTCTTAGAAATCTGTGAGAGAGGTAGGTGCTGAACGTGCACACAACATTTAATTCTGCTGTTATCAAGCAATGGGTGAAGTTGTAAAGGGTAGAACCAGCAGGGCTGCTAGGTTGTAAGTGCTGGGTTAAAGACACCTGAGAGAACTGAAATCCTAAATGCCTGCCCCCACCCAAGGGTGGCCCAGGAGTCCACATACGGCAGATTTGCTTGTGAAAGTCTCTGTGATGAGCTCAGTGGCCTCCCCTTCAGAGTTTCTTAAGCGGCATTCTCGGATCACGGGGTCCTGGAGAAGATGCTGGATTACATCAGGGTGGCAACTTTCAACGAAGTATCTGCAAGCAGGGGAGGAAGAAGGGGTCTACTGACCAGCAGGTACCTCCTGGAGATTCCACTGCTCATTCAATTAGATGGTCTGGAAATACAAGCCTCATGACTCTCCCCACAACCCTTCGCCAAATCTGTACCATGAGCTGCCGGCCATGATTTAACATATGAGGGTTGTGACTTTGAGGTCAAGTAGGCAGGGGCCTGAGCCCAGCTCCACTGCTAGAGGAAATACAGTGGCCAGTGGATGAGTTTCCAGTCTGGGCCACATCTCTTGTTTCTCTTCTCTTATCTGTGCTTCACAGAAAAGACAGCATAAACATCAGGTCCTTCCCATATCCCTTTATTCCTGCTGGTGCGCAGAAAGTGACAGTGCCTTGGGACAGGCCTGTCATGGAATCTCTTACCTGTTGTGCTTCAAGACCAGCTTGACTTTTCCATAGCTGACAGTACACAACTGCAAATACAGATAACATCCAACAGGTAAATGTGCAGCTAACTCAGAACACATTCATTACTGGTCACATCTTACACCTACCAACCAAGTGAAAAGTTCATTTTACTTTAGGGAAACCCAACTTGCAATCCTAAAGTGGTCAGATGTGCCTAAACTGAGCTTTTTCCATTGGCCTCTGCTTTCTGAGAACAAAATCTTCCTCTTGCCTGGGTAATTCTGATGCATATCCATTAAGTTATAAAACGCTGCTTAAAATCTTGCATTCTGCCTTTCCTCTCTATTCCCACAGCCCCCACCCTAGTCTAGAGAAGACCACACCAGTATTACTACAACTCCACAGAGTATGTGCACAGTAATTGCGGCTTAAATAAAATGCAAAGCCTCTTCACCAATGCTCCTATTTCCCCAAATAGAATGTAAGCATCTTGATGGCAGAGAATACAGCTTAAATCCTCCCAGGTTCCCAACCACCTTTAGGAAGGAATACAGTAGAGGCTGTGTGGCAACAATAAAAATTTGCCACTCAGGCCAGGCACGGTGGCTCACACCTGTAATCCTAGCACTTTGGGAGGCCGAGCCAGGTGGATCACCTGAGGTCAGGAGTTCGAGACCAGCCTGGCCAACATGGTGAAACCCCATCTCTACTAAAAATATAAAAATTAGCCGGGCATGGTGACGGGCGCCTATAATCCCAGCTACTTGGGAGGCTGAGGCAGGAGAACTGCTTGAGCCTGGGAGGTAGAGGTTGCAGTGAGCCAAGATCATGCCACTGCTATCCAGCCTGGGCGACAGAGCAAGACTCCGTCTCAAAAAAAAAGAAAAAAAAAATTTGCCAGTCAGACTTTGAGGGGCTGCCTATCCCCGCTGTTGTCCCTGATCCACCACTACAGTGCACCAACACCTACATCCCTGCAGGCAATTCGCAGCCAAGACCAGGCAGAGCCACAGTGTTGGTACAAGGTCCTCTCCTTGGGCACGCTTTCTTTTTTGTTGTTGTTCTGAGGCGGAGTCTCACTCTGTTGCCCAGGCTGGAGTGCAATGAATGGTGAGATCTCAGCTCACTTCAACCTCTGCCGCCCGGGTTCAAGTGATTGTCCTGCCTCAGCCTCCTGAGTAGCTGGGATTACAGGCACCCACCACCATGCCTGGCGAATTTTTGTATTTTTAGTAGAGACAGGAATTTCGCCATGTTGGCCAGGCTGGTCTTGAACTCCTGACCCCAGGTGGTCCACCCACCTCAGCCACCCAAAGTGCTGGGATTACAGGAGTGAGCCACTGCACCTGGCCGGGCACGCTTTCACATCACAGGAAAAGAGAGTTCTCTCCAGGACTCCTGCAGCTTCTCTGGGACTGGCTGCAGTACCATACTGAATTCCTGTGGCACTCTTCTGCCACTCCAGATCCCAAGGTCTGAATCTGACTCCTTTTGGATCAGCCAAAGGCAATGAAAGCCACTGTCCATCTCTTTTAAATGGCATTCACCCATCTCGCAGAAGAAACCTAGCATGTTCAACTATTAATCACATGGAACCCTCTTTGTTTTGTCAAAAACATCTGAAGTTGTTTTTGACTTTCCCTCATGGAACTTGTTGACTATTGGTCTCCTGCAGATACTTAGCTTTAGACAGAGTTTACCACCTGTGTTAGTCAGCTTGGGCTGCCATAATAAAATTCCAGACTGGGTGGCTTCAACATTAGAACTGTATTTTCTCAGAGCTGTGGAGGCTGAAAGTCTATGATCAAGGTATCAGCCGATTCAGTTTCTGGTGAAGGCTCTTGTCTATGGACCACCTTCCCATTGTGTACTCACATGACAAGAAGGGCAGGTGAGAGAAAGCATGCTCCGGTGTCTCTTCTTAGGAGGACACTAATCATAGCGGATCACGACCTCATTTAGTCTTAACTACTTTCTTACTCCAAATACATTACCATTGGATATTAGGTTTTGAAGACAAAATTTGAGGGGAACACACACAATTCAGTCCCCAGCACACTCACTTTGGGCTGCATTTCCAAATTCTCCCTGGCTACAATGGGCCTGAATTAGTAGCCCCTCTGTGTTAATACCCACAGCTGGGAGCGGCTCATGAGAAGCGTGGCCTCACCCAGAACACAATGCTGGATCCAGAGTGTAGCGGCTCATGAGAAGCATGGCCTCACCCAGAACACAATGCTGGATCCAGAGTGTAGCGGCTGGGGTAATCAGTCGTTATGCTCCCCACAGGAAATCTGAATGGCACATTCTCATGGCTGCCACAGGCTGACAACATGGAGCACCTATGCCTATTGTTACATTAGCAGGGCAGGTGGAATTGCTGGTCTCAGCTGTCACTTGCCTTAATAAACTGCATAATTCCATCAGGGACTCCAGTCTTGCTGAGCTTCCTGAGGTACTCGGTGATGTCACTGGTTTGCAGCCCAACGCTGACAGCTGCATACAAGGAGTAGGCAGTTAGTTTGTACTCATGCACATGGGTTGGTCGGCACACTGGCTCTGCAATAGCCACCAAGAAGTCTTGGGCATATTTGTAAACTGGAGAGAAGGCTTCCAAGAAGATATGGCCATCGGGAGCCTGAGAGATACCAAATGGACAAAACAGACAAGGAAACATGAGTTGCAGAGACTACTGGGCTCTTGCCCATATCATTATCAAGAAAGAATAAGCTGCCCAACACCACAGATATTCTTGCAAGCACTCCTTCAGACAACTGTGGGGCCTGTTACATTAATCAGATACAGAAGAGTAAAGAAAAATAGAAGAAAGTGTTTCCAAAGTCAACAGCTGTTTCCTACTATTCTGCACAGAGAAAGCCCATCTTACTGGCTATCCTCAAGTTACCTTTTGGCTAGATTTCAACTAAATGTATAACATTAATTATTTAAAGTAGAGCAAAAGCTTGCTACCGAACATGTCTTCCATTATTTGAGGAAACAAACTGTTACATGATAAATGCTATTTATTCGGCAGATAAAAGGATTCACTACATGGGGTAGGGCTGGGGAAGGAGTGAGAGTAAACCGAGGGGTTAGAGCTGTTGGAAGCCCAGGTCCGGCCGCCACACGTGTGCGCAACTGCTCGCTGTTGCCTTGGGCTGTTCCAACGTGTGTGGATGAAAATTCTCTCCCGGCCAGTTCTAGGGGCAGTATCCTGAATGTCAGTTTTGACTCTGAGGATGCCCAAGATTTAGCTGCCGCTCCGCACACTCCTGGGCCCTGCCCAAGCTAAGGGCATGCTTACCACCCAGAGGGGCCTGGAGGTGTGGTCGTCCTTCAGCGGCATTTGCAGCCTGTAGTCCTTGGCTCCATATTCATCCACTTTGGTGCCTGACTCATCCACCTGCTTCCCCGCCGCCGAGGGAACCGCTTCCTGAGGGTCGTTCCCCGGGGCGTCCTCTTCATCATCCTCTTCATCCTCATAGTGCCGCTTCCTGGATTTCTTCTTGTCTGCAAGATACCAACACAGAAGTAAGCCCAGCAGGAGCCTTCAGGGTTCCCTCCGCACCGCTTGGCAGCATTTCACCTGCGCCGCCGCAAACTCCTAGCTAAGAGCCACCTGCATCCCGCAGGCGTTGCGCCCCTCACCCGTCTCCCCTAGGCCGAGTTCGCTGGGCTGCGCCCAGGTCCAGCATCTCTCCCGCCCAAAGGCCTGTCCCAACGGGGTGCGCGCGGGAGGGCCAGCAGGGTCGGCCGGCGCAGAGGCCCGGAGCAGCTCCGAGGCAGAGCGGGGGGCAGGGCCGGCAAGGGCAGTCGTGGCTGAGCGTGCCCGCGCAACGTCTCACCGCGGTCCGCTCGGTCTCTTTTGCCCATGGCAGCTACAGCAGCAGAGAGAAGATGACCCCGCTCCCACAGGCCCGCCGCGGCATCCGCTCTGGGGGGACTTCCGGCTCAATCCGGAAGCTCCCTGTTGTCCACACAGGATGTCCCGCCTCTAGGCGCCGTGATGTGGGTGGCTGGAAGAGCGGAGAGCCAGCGACCGCCGATCTGTTAGCTCGTGCGACCCAGCGGCGGGGGTCCTCCACTGTTCATTTCTCTACAACTGAAGGAAAATACTGTGTGTTGAGCACCTGTGTAGTGCGCGAATTAAAGGCCTCATCCTTCTGGAACTTAAATTTTAATGAAGCCATGTGGGCAATAAATGTGTGTGTGAGAGAGAGAGAGAGAGAATGTGACCTGAGTCCATGGGTAAGGAAGAATTCTTTTTTTTAATTAAAAAAAATTTGGCTGAGCACGGTGGCTCACGCCTGTAATTCCAGCACTTTGGGAGGCTGAGGTGGGTGGATCACTTGAGGTCAGGAGTTCGAGGCCAGCCTGGCCAACATGGTGAAACCCCATCTCTGCGAAAAATACAAAAAAAAGTAGCCAGGCATGGTGGCACACGCCTGTAGTCTAAGCTACTTGGGAGGCTGAGATGGGAGAATCTCTTGAACCCAGAAGGTAAAGGCTGCACTGAGCTGAGATTGCACCACTGCACTACAGCCTGGGCGACAGGCCGAGAGTTCGTCTCAAAAAAAATTTTTTTCTTTTTTTTTTTTTTTTTTTTGAGACGGAGTCTCGCCCTGTCGCCCAGGCTGGAATGCAGTGGCGCGATTTCAGCTCACTGCAAGCTCCGCCTCCCGGGTTCATGCCATTCTCATGTCTCAGCCTAAATAAAGCAGATTACCCTCAATAATGCGGGTGGGCCTCATCCAAATCAGTTGAAGGCCTTAAGAGCAAAGACAGGTTTCTCAAGGAAAAAGGAATTCTGCCTCCAGACTGCAACACAGAAAGTTCTGACTGAGTTTCCAGCCTTTGGACTCAAAACTACAACATCAACTCGTACCTGAATTCCCAACTTGCCAACCCCCACAATTGCATGAGCCAATTCTTTAAAATCAATCAATCAATCTCGCTTGCTCAGTGGGCCTCTTGGTTCTGTTTCTCTGGAGAACGTAACACAGATTTTTGGTACGGGGAATAGGGTACTGCTGTAACAAATACCTAACAATGGGGAAGTGGTTTTCAAATTGGGTAATCGGTAGAGGCTGAAAGAATTTTGAGGCGCATGATAGAAAAGCCTCTATTGTCTTGAAGAGCCTTGGTAGAAGTATGGGCATTAAAGGTGATTCTGGTGACGGCTCAGATGGAAAGGAGAAATATGTTATTGAAACTGGAGGCAAGTGGTAGAGAGCTTGCCTGAATTGTATTCTGTTGGGTGGAAAGTAGAACTTATAAGTGATAAGCTTGGACATTTTGCTGAGGAAATTTCTACATGATGGTTCAAAGTGAGGCCTGGGCCAGGCGCGGTGGCTCACGCCTGTAATCCCAGCACTTTGGGAGGCCGAGGCAGGGGATCATAAGGTCAGGAGTTCAATACCAGCCTGGCCAATATGGTGAATCCCCGTCTCTACTAAAAATACAAAAATTAGCTGGGCGTGGTGTCGCGCGCCTGTAGTCTCAGCTGCTCAGGAGGCTGAGGCAGGAGGATCTCTTGAACTCAGGAGGCAGAAGTTGCAGTGAGCAGAGATCACGCCACTGCACTCCAGCCTGGGCAACAGAGCAAGACTCCGTCTCAAAAAAAAAAAAAAAAAAAACTGAGGCCTGCTTTCTCCTTATTGCTTATAGTGAAATGTGAGAAGAGATACACTGAAGGTGGAATTATTCAACAAAAAGGAACCAGAACTTGAAGATTTGGATCATTCTTATACTCACATTGTAAAAAAAAAAAAAAAAAAAAAAAAAAAAAAAAAAAAGAGAGAGAGAAAGTATGCTCTGGAGAAACACTAAGGATGTGGACAACCATTTATTTGCAAGAGATTAGGTGTGTGGCTTATAGACCCAATCACCCATCTCCACAGAAACCTGGACAGTTTTGACTAGGGTACATAGATGGGATGAAATGAAGGAAGGCTGTTGGACTCCCAGGATTCCACAGGTAGGAAAGGGATTGGCAGGGGCAGTTCAGAGGCCAGTGAGGCTGCTTCCGCCACCACAGGACTGAAAGGGACAGGCTTGGGTTTGAACCCACGGCCACCACCTCCTCAGTTCTGAGGGTGCGGGGCTGCAACCCCAGTGGGCCCTGAGGACAGAGGATCAAGCCAGTGAGGATTATTCTCAAGCCTTAAAATCCTGTCATTGGCCCTGTTAGGTGTCAGACTTTCTTGGCACCTCCAAGTCTTTTTCCTTCCCATTTCTCCCTTTTGGAATGGAATGTGTCTATCCTCTGCCTATACCATTGTAATTGGAAGCAGATAACTTGTCTGTTCTCATGGGTTCATAGATAGAAAGAAAATTTGCTCCAACAGGAAACCTAACCCAGAGTCAATTGATGTGGATGATTTGGGTGATGAGATTTGAACTGATATTTAGATGATACTGGACTTTGAGTTGATGCTAGAATGACTGACTTTTGTTGATGTTGAGATGGGGTGAATGTACTTTGCATGTGGGAAGGATATGAACTTGTAGGGGCCAGAGGACAGACTATGGGTTGAATTGTGTCCCCCACCCCTCAAAAAGTTATTTTTTTTGAGACGGGGTCTTGCTGTTGCCGAGACTGGAGTGCAGTGGTGCGATCTGGGCTCACTGCAGCCTCAACCTCCTGGGCTCAAGTGATCCTCCCTCCTCAGCCTCCCAAGTAGCTGAGATTACAGGCATGCCACCATGCCTGGCTTTTTGTATTTTTTTGTACAGACGGGGTTTCACCATGTTGCCCAGGCTGGTCTTGAACTGCTGGACTTAAGTTGTCCATCGCCTTGGCCCCCCAAGTGCTGGGATTACAGGCATGAGCCACTGTGCCTGACCCAAAAAGATATTTTGAAGTCCTAACCCCTACTACCTCAGAGTATGGCCTTATTTGGAAACAGGGTCTTTATAGAGGTAATCAAGTTAAAATTAGGTCATTAGGGTGGGCCTAATCCAGTAACTGGTCTCCTTATAAAAAGGGGAGCACACACACTTGTGTCAATAGACACACAAAAAGCACCACGTGCTGATGGAAGCAGAGATCGGATTTATGCTGCCACAAACCAAGGGATGCTATCAGAAGTTGGAAGAGGCAGCTGGACACAACGCCATGGAGCACATGTAGTCCCAGCTACTTGGGAGGCTGAGGTGGGAGCCCAGAAGTATGAGGCCAACCTGGGCAACATAGTGAGACCCAATTTCTAATATATAAAAATAAGTTGGAAGAGGCAAGGAAAGATTCCCTTATGGGTGTCAGAAGGAGCATGGTCCTGCCCACACCTTGATTTCTGACTTCTAGCCTCCGTAACTGTGAGACAATAAATTTTTTATTATAAGCCACCTAATGTGTGGTACTTTGTTACAATAGCCCCTATTGTTGGACATTTAGAGTTTTAAGTTTGGGCTTTTATAGATACAACTTAAAACATTCACAATCTATTTCCACAGGTTAATTCCTAGGTATAAATTGGTGGGTCAGAGGATATACAAGGTTCTGAAATTTAAGACAGGGTCTCGTTCTGTCATGAAGACTGCAGTGCAGTGGTGCAATCTCAGCTCACTGCAACCTCTGTCTCCCAGGCTGAAGCGACCCACCCACCTCAGCCTCCTGGGTAGCTGGGACCACAGGCATGCACCACCACACGTGGCTGATTTTTGTATTATTTGTAGAAACAGGGTTTTACCATGTTGCCCAGGCTGGTCTCAAACTCCTGAGTTCAAGTGGTCCACCCACCTCGGCCTCCCAAAGTGCTGGGATCACCATGCCCGGCCAATTCTGAGGTTTCTGATTCTGATTCTGAGGTTTCAATTCTGAGGTTGTGTTAAGTTGCCCTCTATACCAAAGTATTAAATTATCTCCGCCAGGCGCAGTGGCTCACGCCTGTAATCCCAGCACTTTGGGAGGCCGAGGCGGATGGATCACGAGGTCAGGAGATCAAGACCATCCTGGCTAATATGGTGAAACCCTGTCTCCACTAAAAATACAAATAAAATTAGCTGGGCATGGTGGCAGGTGCCTGTAGTCCCAGCTACTCAGGATACCGAGGCAGGAGAATGGCCTGAACGCGGGAGGCAGAGCTTGCAGTGAGCCGAGATCATGCCACTGCACTCCAGCCTGGGCGACAGAGCAAGACTCTGTCTCAAAATAAATAAATAAATAAATAAATAATCTCCAGCACCATGTGAGAGACCATTCCTTATACTCAGTAGGTTTGATAGTAGGGTTTGTGTTTGTTTTTAATCATTAGTTCTGATTTAGGTAATCAAGATGTCCAGCCAAAGATATACTACAAGTTGGGTGGAACATTATAGACTTAGATACTGGAAAGATTTGGTTTAGTTTCATTGTTTTTAGATTTGTCTGCGCTTGGTTTCCTAGAGAGTGCTCAACTCAAGCAAGGAGGGAATAACTGTAAATAAAATGTGTCCAAGAATAGATTTGGAAAAACCAATCACAGTGGAAATAAATATTAGCTTTATTAACACTCAAAGTGCCATTCATTTATATTCATTCCATAGTCCAGAAGGTTACTTATTAGAGTAAGCCTTTGCACCACAATCTTTCAAAAAAATGAACATGTAAGAAAAAGCAGTTTTCATTGTGCTAATTATTGCAGGCCTTCATGCACGTAAACCTCAACAAAATGTGTGCCAACAATATACAAATTTCCATATAAACAAAGTCATTGATCACTAACAAAATATAAACATGGTTTCTTTTATATTAGATTTTTTTTTAAAAAAAAGCTATTTACCAGCAAGAAAAAACAAGTACCTAGAAATTATAAAACTCAGAAATTGTATACATTTTTACAAGCACAATTTTGAATGACAAACAAAATCAAAATGTGCATGAAATGTTGCACGTACCACACTGTATCTGGCTTCTGGTAGGTTTTCCTAATCACACTGGTTCCTTTTAACATAATAAGCTTAGTGACATTCAACTTCAACAGTGGACTTTATTCCTAACACGAGTAATTTTACATGGTACCGCATATTTAAAACAAAGTTTTCTTTAATACTACATTGTCTGATTGGAAATTTCATTTCCAATTCTTTTTCTGCCAGTTACTTAAAACACACAGTACAATATAAAGACACACAACGTATGTTTGGACATTTCAAAACCAATTTATAGTCAATTACAAAGAATCACAATATGCCAATATATTGTTTTATAAACCCAGTCTGACCTTGCCCAGTGATAGAAAAACTAAAAGTTGAAATCTTTTGGGGTGGAATACAGGAAATATTCAAAGACAACAGTAGGACAGGCCAATAGCAACTGGAGATAGAAAAATCTTGACATCTCGAGACAATTTAGTTTCTCACATTTTTCCATAGCTCTGAGAATTCAAAGGCCATTTTTAGCGGTGTGTTTTTGCTACTGCTTAAAACCTATTTTTCCCTTAATTTGCATTTCACGGAATTCTCAAAGAGAATTTAATGCTTTTTCTTGCAAGAGTATTTTAATTGAGCTCTAAGTATGACTTGCATTCAATTCTGAAAATACAAATACATTTTGAATGGCTAAAAACAAAATTTTAAAAATACTTTTGATCAGCCAGCTGAAAATATATTCATATAGTAAATAATCTCTCAGAAAGCTTTTATATATATTTAATTATCACAACTAAACAGTACCCTTATAAAACAAGTTCATAAAAATGTAGAAATGAAATGAAAATAAGAACTTACTGGGATATATACATGTGCCTACAGACAGAAAAAAACATCTCCACACAAACATACATCCCCTGATACACAGTTAAAAGCATACTTTCAACTTAGTAATGGATTTTATAATACATTATAAAATTTTCTAATTTCTATTAATGTCGAACTCCTGAGTTCTTCAACAAAGAACCATAGATAAGTATAGTTTGTAAAAGCAAAAAGGTCCATTTAAGTCAGTAATAGCAGTGCAGTAACTGATGGCTACATCTTGAAAGAAGTTAAAACATAAAGACACAGACAGTAGTTCAATGCACGCATTCATGATGCTCATACACTCATCAACAATTATTGGTCAGAGTAGTAAATCAGTGTACAAATTAAACATTTCCAAAAATGTGCAAAAATGTCAATCTTAATAGGAAAAAAACCCTTTGTACATAATTATAAACTGCCCAGCATTCAACTGAGATTAAAAACATTTAGAGAGAAACCAATAGGTTAAATATAGAGAATTTAATGGCTACATTTAAAAATGTACATTATTATGTCAAAGGGTAAATTTACAAATTGATAATCATAGTTTGCAACAATTCAAAGTTTATTCTCAAATTTATCCAAGTTTACTTTTATTTACAATGAATAAAAAGAACCATGTGAAATGTAAGAGATGTCAGACATTAAAAGTATTTTTGGTATTAACTCTTATAATATTTCAGAATTCAGGGTAGCAAATTTTAAAACCAATAACAATAGAAAAAATGTAAACCATTTACTAATTAAGATTGCATTAAAACAATTGTTGGTCTTTAAAGAAGTATTCTTATCCTTAGACACTGTACTTTCAATTGAATAGGGTGTATTGCAAGAATTTGGCCCACTTCATATTGCCCATAAGCCTCTCCAGCTCAAATGTTTCAACTAGTCCTCTCTTCTTATTCCAGGTGGAAAAAATTCTTTGGAAAAGTAAGAATACATCAAATCCATTTTGTAGTCTATCTAATAGAGTTTAAGGTGTAATTTTGTTTCTTCTCCCCTCCAAGTAAAGCTAATGCTAAAATCATCACTAGTTACATATGCTTTTAAAAAATAAATTCTAAAAAAATATTTAAAAAGAAGTGAACTTAAAAGTGCTTTTCGGTATGGTCATGAACTTTACTGTTCTCAACTGCATTAAGGGATTCTCAACTGCATTAAGGGATTCAGAAATTATTTGGGGACAAGTCCTGTACATATAGTAGAAGCAGATACTTCCTTATGTTCCAAAATGTCTATGGCACAAAGCAGACATCAGTCCAGAACCTACTTTTCCTCACAGCTTTGCTGAAATGCCCCTCAAGTCAAACATAAGTTCATAAATGTTAAGACACTAGGAAGAAAGTTCGCCATCAACCTGAGGCATCAGACGTTAATGTCTGTCTATGTGAATCAGTGGTCAAGTGACATTAACAAGATTGGCACATGTACAAGCTTAAATTCATGTCTACATAGTTCCTCAATAGTGGAAGTAACTTCTGGATGTCTAAATGCACTGATCACCTGTCCTTTTCCTTGAAGGATATACCAGAATACAAATTCTACTAGTATCTGCTTTATAATTTTTATACTATTAGCTTACAAGTGGACAGAAGTAACAGTGCTAATTATTTTGGCTATGTGTACAGGGAATATAAAAGCTTTGGTTTAAAGTGATTCTGATAATACAGATTGTGTTACAAACAAGAAGTCATCAGGCAGAAGGAACAATGGTACTGATTTAATGCCTTTGCTGTTATTAACAAAAATACCATATGACTATCAATTAAAATGCACAATTATGAAAAATAAGAATTCTATGAGACTGTATACAGGCAACAGATAAAATCTATTCTTTTCTTTACTGTAGCTATGACTCCTCCCTCATCTTTCTGAAGCTCAACCTTGAATGCTTACAGGACCACTGAAAAAAGAATCTCTAGGCTCCCCCAAGAGCTCATTTCCATCAACAGCTCTGGAAGGTGAGTATGGGAAGATGGGAGGCCCTGATACTTCCCACACCTACCATGGCATCCTGTCCAAACCATGGCAGAAGTCAAAGCCAAGCCAAAGACAACTATAAGTAGGAATAGCTGCTTCACAGCATGCTTCCCCTAGCCAACCAAAAAGAGGTACAAGAGAATTTCCTTGTGAATACTTGGTAAGCTAAGGAAGCTTATTTTGATAATGTTTGGCAGAATTTCAGTTCCAAAAAGTTCAGGAAGAACTATGTAAAATCAATTACTTTCTATTTAAGAATTATATATAAGATTATTTTACATATACACAAATTGAATTTTAATCTACCTTTAGCAACCAAGAGTATGGCAATTTACAATCAATATTATTATACAATCATTTGTACTAGCTACTTCTGGAAAATGTACTGGTGTTCCTACCCAAGGATGACTACACTCACTGTATGTCATCAGTAGGTCATACATTTGAGTTGTTCTTCCAAAACCAGAAACTGACCTAATTGAACACTCATACCTTTCCCCTTCTTCCTTCCCATCCCTGCCTCCAACTCTAACCACACACACACACACACACACATGCATGCAAACGCACACATACATGCACACATGCACACACTTCACAGAAAAGTAACTTTTCTGTGAGTATTACCCAAAATGTTAGCTGAGAATTAAGGACTAGAATCTGCTATCCCTGGATTTCCTACTCACTGTCCTATCTCATTGCCTTAACATTTGTAAACCATGTGAATGACTTCTTTAGGGCAAAAACAAGTATTGTAACTCTACCATGAAAATCATAACTGAACTATAATATGCCAAGAACTTGGACAGTGCCAATGTGATTGAAAATCAAATATTCAACCCAGAAAACATTTACATGTCTCTTTAGAACGAGAATACCTCTTTCTATGCTTGTGTTGGGAATTCATGTCTAGTGGAAGCTGCAGCATGTCTATCACAGACAAATCCTAATGTTTCTCTCCTAACATTTATTTATTTATTTATTTATTTTTTTAAAAAGGAGGTAGAAAAGGGTAGGAGGAGGCAGGCATTAAGAAACATTTAAGGACCAATACACAGTCTAAGGCCAAATGAACTTGTGAAGCCTACTGATTTTGGAAAAAATCTTCATTTTGGTGGGTAACTTGAATTATTAATATAAAATAAAATTAAGGCATACAGAGAAAAGGCACTACTAAAAATTAACAATTGGATTGCTTTTCATTAACATTTAACCAATCTTAAAATTCAAATAAATATGAACATTACATTTGTAAAACAAAGGCCAAACTTAGTAATAAAACAGTATGATCTCAAGGAACTGTCCTGATCTTAGTATAAATAACACTGTTGACAGAGTTCAATTTCTATCAAATGTTTTGGGTATTTTCACAATTTAGACCAAAATAAAGTATGTTTTCTTTAAAAGAGACACTGGGGAAAAAAAAAAAAAAGAACAAAAAAACACTGTTATGGAATAAATGCTCCCCATCACCAGAACTGTTGAGTAGAGGCTGGGTTTTGCAGTAAGAGGGGGTCCTGAGAGAGATGCTATGTGACCTGGTTGGGGAGGGGATCCCTCTAGTTTGGAGATACTTTTACTCTAATCCCTGTTGTCAGTGACATTTCCGTTTATAACAGCCAATGATTACCTAAAATTGCTTTTCCCTTAATAAAAAATAACATTTTAAAACATCATTGCTGAACTTTCAGAGTTAGCGTATGCCATAAAATAAGTAACTGTTTGCCCATGTTCCTCCTAGATTGTGACCTCCTTAAGGATGTTAATTTAGTACCTGACATAATAAGTTACAATTATTGAACAAACAAAGAAGATTCATTCTATTAAAAAAGATAGATTTGTATATTTAATTGACACCAGGTGATTTTATATCAAGCTATCAGTTCCCAGACTCCAAATAAAATCACTGGCACAGAACTTTGCCATAGGCCAAGGAGTCTGCATCTGGCTTGGTCATCCTGCTAAACTATTCACATCTGATTTTATTTTCTAAGTGATTTCACATATCTTATAACAACTCCATGTCAGAAATACTACAGAGCAGATCTGACATATATATGAGCTGGAGTAGCAGAGACTTAGTCTAAAGAAATAGTTTCATCTTTTTAATGCAGTTTCTTTGGGAATAAGGTAAAGACTCTCTCAAGTGAAAGCCAATCCAATTCACTCTGAAATCAAGGTTTAAAATTTTCTTTTACAGTTCAGCAAATGCATTAATATTTTAATTCCTTATATATGTTATGTAAGGGTAACTGTGCCTTTTAAAACTTTCTAAGGCAATAGTCATTTTTTTAAGTTAGAAAGATGTTTTGTAAACAAGGAAAAGTGCTGAAAATTTTCAAGATATTCATACTGAAATTTTCAGTCTGTATACTTTCAAATACATTTTAAATAATTAACAACCCATCAAAATTTCCACTAGTCATTATGATTTTTTTAACCCTTTTATTCAATACAACATTTTGTTTGCAATGTAAAAGATCTTATATTTGGTCCAAGCCTAAGTCATGCCACTTTGAATCTCTCAAGGCCTTAAGTAGAAAGATATTTCCTGAAAAGCACATATAAGACTGCTAGTGAATCTTCTCCAGCACCAAAAAGTCTGCCACTGTCAAAGCAGAATGCATTTTAAAGGCACAAAGTCAGCAGTCTGACCATTTTCCAGCGTCAGCAAAGAAGCATTACAGTATAGAAGAATCAATTGTGCATTTAAGAAACAAAACACATTTAGAGTTATCTTAAAAAGTTCAAATTGCATTTGTTGATCCATATCATTATTAGAAAGAAGAAAAAAACGGAGTGTTATATTTAACTTCCCCTGATAAAGCTGTTTCCTTTCAAAAATTTCTTTTTTAAATTTACTTTTGGTCTTCCATACCCTCCACCCCCACACCTTCAAGCTTTTTTGTTCTAGTAGTTTTTATATATATTAACTTTTATTGTGGTTTTTGGTACCTTCACAACTTGTTTGAAATAAATTCACATCGTATTTTATATAATAACTCTGTAAACTATTAGTCTATTTTTAAGTCTTTACATAAAGAACATTACTTTCCCATAGCTAATAATATTTTTCTTATAAAGCAAAGGCCTTCCACAGCAGTGTTAAAGTAGTAGTTTCTTTTCAGGTGCCTTTATTTTCTATAGCATTTAGAAAAGAAAACAGAGACTGAAAAAAAAACAGTTTTGCTCTGGGTTCTACAGTCTCACCAGATTTCTCTCTAAAGAGCATTTGTCTCATATTGTGCACTGCTGGTTACCCTGACAGACCAAAAACGAGCCAAAGGAAAAGCACAACTACACAAGACAGATATGAAGGAAAAGCCCACTGGTCAAGGACCATGATCTTGCTCAAGTAGAAAAGATGCCCTCATTCATAAAAGATAAAGAAATTATAATAGATCCACACACTTGGGGATTCTTTCTAGAACAAAATTTGGCAGTTGCTTTACCAAGGCAGGGACACCTCATTCTTGTTCTTCCCTGCAAACTGCTTCAATTTTAAGAATATGAGAGAAGCGTTGACAATTAATTTTGTGCTTTGACTTCTTAGACTAGCTAGTGGAATTTCAAATATTCCTACAGGGAATGCTAGGTAGGACCTTGGCACAGTAAACCAAGATCTACCTAACTTCAGAAACAAAGTATCGTAAAAGAGTCCCTAAATAAGCACACCTTTTGGCAGAAAATAAGAATACCTGAGTCCCTTATGAATCCCATGAAAGGGATTCTGGGGCCTCCAGGAAGACTGTTGTTTTCTAGACCTTTAAAATAAAGTACTAAATAAAGTACTAATAAAGTACTTAGCACTTGCTTTAACATGCTGAAAAAAACTGCAAGTGGCCAAATTGCTGATATCTTCATGTTTTATAGTAGCACAATTCTATTAGAGATAGTGGGGCCTTTCCCAGCTGTCTTGTTCCATTTAACAATGTCCTTGCTCTTATTGGATACATTGTACTAGAAATACGTGGCAGCTTTTTAACCTTCCCATTAGTAGTTAAAATTTTGTTTTGATATGCTTTTTTTTTTTTTTTTGCCCAAAATCATGAATTTTAAGGAAAGAATATATAGAGATGGCTGAGTTCAAAAGGCTCAGTGTTCAAATTCAGTTTGTTCCTAAAATGAAGAGTTACCTATGTGGGTGCAATATGCAGCTGGTAAAGTGATTGCTATTTGCTGTTTGTTGAGATTATTCACCCTTGACTTAAAGCAGCAGTATCTGATCTTGTAAAATCCTCAATTTGCATTACATCACTTTCTCTTTGCGACTTCCTTTTCTTTCTTGCATTTACTGCTTTGTAAATAGCTGTTTTCAGTTTATAACTGGGACTGATCTTTACATCAGGGTTTCTCAGCCTCAGCACTTCTGACATTTTGGGAGGGGTAATTCTTTGAGGCTGCTTTCCTTGTGTATTATAATCTATTTAGCAACATCCCTGGCCTCTACCCAATTCATGTTACTAGTATCCCTCCAATTGTGACAACCGGAAATGTCTCTAAGAATTGCCAAATGCCTAGTGAAATCATCCTCGCTCCACTTTTGGCAACCACTGTTTCACATGATACCTGTTTTTTTGAGGTGCTTTAGTATTCTGTGATCCTAAGAACAAGGGTTTCATCTCCTGACATAACACATAAACATTACTAATTGAACTCTTCGCTCCTAAGGGATGTTACCTATGGGGAATCAGGAGCTGGAAATAGAAGATGGTATACATGATTTTGATTATTTCTCCATTCCTTTAATTTTGGGACGTCCCCCTCAAGTAAAACAAAACAAAACTGTTTAAAATACACTAAACACCTAATTTTTTTTCATTATTTCTATTGACTGTAAATGTGGTCTCTTCTACTGCTCACACATTTGATAAGAGTGATGTCCTTTTGTCTTTTATTTCTATTTGCTCACAACTTGACTTTAAAATAAAGGTTTTCCGTGTGTGTGTGTGTGTGTGTGTGTGTGTTTTTAAGCAGAAAGCTATCCCTCAAGGTTTACAGATTCCAGTAACGTGGATCTATTATAGTGTATTTGCTTATTATACTGGTTAGGATTAACAAATAAACATACCTCTCAGAGATTCATATCTTCTATCAAGACTCCTACTGAGCAAAAAGGTTGGTAGACAGAGGTTAGGATCTAAAGAATACAGATATAAGAAGAAACCTATATTCTTTAAGTTGAGTACCTACCCTAAACTAAAGTTTAGGGCTCAACCCCACAAATGAGGATATATTTTAAATACTATCACTAAAAACTACAAATTATACATCATTTTCTTCTCCTTGTTTTCCATGTCTTCCCATCGTCACTGATGTGTCAGTGATAGAGGGAATGACTCTACAATCTTTAGGTATTCCAAATGATTTGTTTGTACTAAAAAGAGTGACTATGTACTAAAGTGCTTTATCTCTCTGAACCACATCAGTACATTATAAAAATTAAAAAAAAAAACTTCAAGTTCTTGTAAGGGAAAAAAAGATTAAATATAAAAAATTTAGGATATTATTATTATTAAACAAATTTAACCAAGAATCAAGAGAAATACTTTCCCTCTTGTCTTTTTTCTCCCCCATCTCTCTTTTTTTATAAAAAAGAAAAGTGCAGTCAGAGAGAAGGTGAATGAATAGATGGGAGCTAGGTAGAGGCACAGGAGAGGTTACTGGCTGCTAGTGATAATGCACAAACATGTGCCTTAAGAGTTCATCAGCTGAAGGTCTCAGTTTGGCCTCTACAAAAATCCGTTTGAGGAAATCTCGAGTATAGTCTGAGACATGAGGTGGCAGCTTTGGGTTTGTTGGCTGAGTGGCGATTTTAAAGATGGCAGCCATTGCTTCAAATTCAGCCCAAGGCGGCTTTTCAGTTAGCATTTCTACCACAGTACATGCAACACTCCTGAAAAGAAACAAAAAGAAATACATTACACAAACAACAACATGAAAGAAAGCTAGTTAGCTAGAAAATGAGAAACAGGCATTAAGTCCATATATATTTAAATATGACTTAATTTCAAGTTCAAAGTTTCATTAAAAAGTTCTAATTTCGTAAAACTAATTTAAACATAAAAATCAATTAAAATAAATTTAATGACTATCACTTAATTCAAACGGTTGGGCAAAGAACATTATTCATCTTATTATTTTTGTTTTATATAATTTCTAACCTGATTTTAAAAATAATTTTTGTCTTTATCTTACAAAGAATATAAGCATTAGAAATCAATTGCCTTCAGGTGCCTAAAATGAATGTCTATTAAAGTCTTTTCTGGGTGGGAAGTAGAAAATGGCCATTTCATGTTCTAACTTAAAATTATAAAAGAATTAAAGATTAAATGAATTATAAGACACTGACAACAAAGATGAAGTACTTTTAAAGGTCTTTAGACAAACAAAGTAACTATTTATTTACTTCTGTAATAGCAAAAAGCTTTTTAATGCTGAGGTTTGCTCACGACAAAATCCTTCCTAAAGAATGGAGGACAGGTTCAAGGATTCTAACTATTTAGTCAATTATAAGCCTCAATAAGGCACAATTAATATAGTGTTAATCTTCGCAATTCTTACGTCCTATTTTGGAAGTACAAAAGATTATTTACATCTGCCTCAGTAATTCAATCCCAGGTGGAAATACATAGGCGGCAGGTGGTTTTCAAGCAAACTTCGTATCAAAACCTACCAGATGTCTGCTTTTCTTCCATAGCCTTCTCCACTGATGACTTCAGGGCTCATCCAGTATGGTGTGCCCGTGACAGACTTCATTCCTGTCCCTGAGAGACAGATGGTCTGAAGCCGTTTGCTGGCCCCAAAATCTCCTAGTTTGACGTTGCCTGTTGAATCTCGCAGGATATTTGCGCCTAAAAATAAGACATTGCCTCATTTCATTAATTTTATTGGCAGTCTCGAATATAGCATAAAAGAACAATGGCAGAGAATTACTTCATAGACTCTTTGATTTGTCCCCAAAGTTAGGCTGCTTTTCATCCTCTGGCAGTAGCTGGCATAATGCTAGTCACACAGGTGGTGCTCATTAAGGATTTGCTGCAAGAACACTACATTTTTAGGTCAGCTGTGTGTTTAGGACCTAGGACGTTTCTATTGAAAAGGACTGGTGCAGGTTGGAGGTGGGGGTGAAGAGGAGGAGAAAGGGGAAAAGGGCTAAGAATGAAGCTCAGTGAAGGACCAAGAAAGCCCCCAGTTTCTCTATCATAAAGCAAGAAGCCCATGGATGAAGCTTATTTCCCTGAGAAGTCAGCCTTTTCTCAGAAACTTCCTTAGGGACCTTCAGAACAAAAGCATTTTCCCCCTCTATTACTTAAATTTAGTTACCTTACATTTTAGAGTTTTCTTAATATTGAATCTTGCTTTATATTAATTTTACTTCCCAATTTCTAATATTTTAAATGTCTCATAGGCAGGCTTTGAGCTTTTCATTTAAAATTTCATTAGCTTTTATAATAAACTTTTTAGATAGCTTCAGATTTACAGAATTATTGCAAAGACAGTATAGAGAGTTCCCATATACCCCCACACCCAGCTTCTCTATTACTAATATCTTAGTATGGTACATTTGCCACAATTAATAAACCAATACTGAAATATTATTAACCAAGTTCATACTTTGCTTAGATTTCCTCAGTTTTTCCCTAATATCATTTTTCTGGATCCAGGATCCTAACCAGGATCCCACACCATATTTAGTCATCGTGTCCCCTGAGGCTCCTCTTAGGTGGGATACTTTCTCAAATTTTCCTTGTTTTTGATGACCATGACATTTCTGAGGAGTACTGGGGTCAGGTTTTTGTAGAATGCCCCTCAATTAGGATTTGTCTCATGTTCTCATAACGGGGGTTGTAAGTTTTTTGGAGGAAGACCGCAGCTAAACTGCCATTCTCATCATACGATATTAAAGGCACATAGTGTCAACATCATTGTTGATGCTGACCTTGATCACCTGGCTTAAGATAGTGTTTGTCAGGTTCTCCACTGTAAAGTCATTCTCCCCCACCCTTTCCGTACTTTGGAAGAAATTCGCCACGCACAGCCCACAATTAAGGAGTAAAGAGTTATGCTCCAGGCTGAGTAGCTACATAAATTATTTGGAGTTATGCTGCAGAAGAGATTTGTCTCCCCTCTCCCACATATTTATTAAATCATTCATTTGCATCACTATGAACATGGATATTTGTTTTATACACTGGGTTATAATCCAGTACTACTTTATTTGCCTGCTATTTATCAGTTTCAGCCACTGGAGTTCTTTCCACTGACTCTGTGTCCCTTTGCCATACCCCCATCATTGTATCCTTGGCTTTTGTTTTGGAGCACTTTCTTGCTTTCTGGCATTTGAAGATGCTCCAGGCTCATCTTGTATATTTCCTGCACCAGTGCTAGAATCAGCCATTTCTCAAGGAGGCCTGGTTCCTTTTAGTGGAGAATGGTATTAAAAAAACAAGATATTGGCCAGGTGCAGTGGCACACACCTGTACTCCTAGCACTTTGGGAGGCAAAGGTGGGTGGATCGCTTGAGCTCAGGAATTCAAGGCCAGCCTAGGCAACGTGGTGAGACACCATCTCTACAAAAAAATACAAAAAAATTAGCTGGGCATGGTAGCATGTGCCTGCAGTCCCAGCTACTTGGGGGCTGAGGCTGAAGGATCGCTTAAGCCCAGAGGGCCAAGGCTGCGGTGAACTGAGATCATGCCACTGCACTCCCGCCTGGGTGATAAAGTGAGACCCTGTCTCAAAAAAACAAAAACAAAAAACCAAGCTTGGGCACTAGGCTCACTTGTTTTTTATTCTCTATTTTCACTCTTATCATTTTAAAAACTCTATTTTTTCTGGGATTATAAATCTAGTTTCCGTCTTTTATAAATCATTTCTCTTCTCATTTTTTTCCACATAGCCCTCATTACTTTGGACCTTCTCATTTTTAACTTTTTCTTTACCTATTCTTAAATAAGCCATTTATTTTATTATCTAATTTTAAAATTTTACTTCAATTCTTATTTTTAACTCTTCCATAACCTTAACCATATTTTATATTACAAAGATTCATTTTCTTGGTTCTCTTACCCTTTTCTTAAAAAACGGTCTCTAAGAAGGAGACTGAATAGTGGAGAAAAGCTACCTTACAGACTGGAGAGGATAAAGAGACCCCACCCCTATCACGGGGCTTCTGTACCTGTCTTTCTGTTCTACCAGCAAATTCCCCAGTCTAGTCAATGATGGTTCCCTAAAGCCTCTCTCCAGAGGAGAGTCCAGGGTCCATTCTCTGCACACCTTAAGTGTAAACATGCCATGACATTAGTGATCTTCTGAAAGAGCACTGTCTAACATTTCCTACCATCCAGTACTTTAAGAAGGAATGTCAAAAAAGCCACCGTCTCTAGAATACTTAACCAGTGGAAGGACAACAAAGCCCATTTTTTACTGGCTACAAGCAGGGCTCTGATAGGGGAAGGAACAGTCCAAGGCAGGTCACAGACAGGGGAAGCTGTCTCTGGGGCGGAATCACCAATATTGAACCAATGCTTATCCACAAGAAGGGCGGAGGAGAAAACGGGTAGCCAGGCTCCAACAGAAGTTTCTAAAAACTTATTTTGGACATGTTAAAAATAAGTTATTAAGGAGACTTTTCAGACATACACAAAGGTAGAGCAGCATGCGCAGCCATCACCCAGCCTCAACATCCATCTGGACAATCCTGCCCCAGCCATACTGCCAACCACTCCCCCTCCCCTCTCTAGGATTTGAAGCAAATTCAAGATGTCATGATCAACAAATGGTTCAGTACATATCTTTCAAAGATAAGGACTCTTATCACACCCAAGAGGATGAACAATAAATTGTTAATATTATCAAATATATAGTCGGTGTTCAATTTGTTACATTAAAAAAAACTAGAATCCAAATGAAGTCCATACATTGGGAGTCACTGATAAATCTTCTAAGTCTTTCCTAAAGTTCCCTCCAATCTCCTTTTCTTTTTTCTTTGCAACTTATGAAGAAACTAAGTTGTTTGCCTATAGCTTTCTCATGGTCTAGATTTTGCTGACTGCGTCCCAAAGAATCATTTTAACATGCTCATCTGTCCTATATGTATATTACATAATTCTGTAACCGAATTTGGAGGCGTGATCAGATTCAGGTTCAATTTCTGGGGGACTGAGGAACAAAACTAGATAGATGATGCTGTATTCTAGACAGTCTCTATTTAAGTGATATCAGCAGCTATTAATGTTTAATGCAATATCTGTTCATTATTCTTTCTCCGCTTGTTAGCCAAAATACTTCTATGAAGATAAGTTTCCTTTCATCCATTAATTTCATCTTCAGTGGTCTAGTTTGTAAAACAAACGGAACAAAAACAAAGGCAGAAGAGCAACTAGTTCTTGAAATAATGAGTTGGTTCCCTAGCAATATAATCAATTAATTTTCATCCTAGGTTTCATTATGACTTCACGGGTCTAAATTGAAAACCAATCAACTATCTTCCTTTTCTCTTACGATTTAAAAGTTGCTCATGGAAATTTGAGAAATACAGAAAAAGTATATAGGAGCTTGGCAACATAGCAATACCCTATCTCTACAAAAAAAAATTTAATTAACTGGGCATGGTGGTGTGTGCCTGTAGTCTCAGCTACTCAGGAGGCTGAGGTGAAAGGACTGCTTGAGCTCAAGAGGTTGAGGCTTCAGTGAGCCATGACAGCACCACTGTACTCTAGCCTGGGTGACAGAGGGTGACCCTGACTCAAAATAAAAAAACAAACAAAGGCCGGGCACGGTAGCTCACGCCTGTAATCCCAGCGCTTTGAGAGGCCGAGGCAGGTGGATCACCTGAGGTTGCGAGTTCGAGACCAGCCTGACCAACATGGAGAAACCCCGTCTCTACTAAAAATACAAAATTAGCCGGGTGTGATGGCACATGCTGGTAGTCCCAGCTCCTAGGGAAGATGAGGCAGGAGAATCACTTGAACCCAGGGTGGGGGCGGAGGTTGTGGTGAGCCGAGATCTCCCCATTGCACTCCAGCCCTGGGCAACAAGAGTGAATCTCTCTTAAAAAAAAAAAAAATAAAAACGACCATCACTCATCCTGCCACTTGATGATAACCACCATCAATCATATGGAAATTTTCCTTCTAGGTCATACTTGAATTTTACAAACTTAAGATCATATTGCACATCCAATTTTATATTTTACATTTATTCTCTTATCAATATATTTGCCCTATGCTTTAAAATCAGCTTACTTCCAGCCTTCTCTTTTGACCAGGATGGCTCATCACTTCTGGCAAAGTTTGAAGAAGATCCACTCGGCGGGTAGCTCCCTCAGTTCCTTTGCCTTGCCTCATTATGAGGGCTAACGAGAAGCTGGCTTGAATGGACATTATTCCTAACTGAATAACTTCTCTATGAGGTTCTTCAAGCTATCAGGTTTCGTACTTAACAAGGGAGGTCTGCCTAAGATGCGTAGATCATGAGCAATGTCCCCATCTTTTCAGACTTACTCTAAGTCCCACTCTAGTACAGGTGATCTGGCTTAGGCATTCTGCATTCTACTCTATCACCAGGAACTGGTTAGGAATGTTCTTGTTGGTCTGAATATGGCCATAATTAGGACGTGCCACACCTCAAAGGGGAAGTGAAAGCCTGGGAGCTCGTAAGAGTCCCCAGCAAGACCAATGAGTAATATCTTTATACATGCAAATACAAACGTGTACACATACACATTTACAGTAATACATTGCTTAATGATGGAGATGCATTCTGAAAAATGCATTTTTAGGCAATTTTGTCATTATGCAAACATCATAGAGTGTATTTACACAAACCTAAATGGTATAGCCTACTACACACCTAGTCTATATAGTATAGCCACTGTTGTAAATGTGGTCCATAATGACGTGGAATCATCATTATGTGGCACATGACTGTTTATTTATTAACAGATGGGGTCTCGCTACATTACCCAGGCTGGACTTGAACTCCTGGGTTCAAGCGATCCTCCTGCCTCAGCCTCCCAGGTAGCTGGGACTACAGTCATGCACCATCATGCTGCTATTCATTATTTTTATTGATTGATTTATAAAGTGATGTCTAAATTTGGGGCCACAACCTACCTTTACAGGACTAAACCTCCAGGTATGTTTTGTAGTATAGATTTTGAAGCATTCTTAAATTGCACCTATCCCCACCACTTGCTTTTGTGTGACTTTATGCATTTACCTACATCCTTTATCCCTGCAAACAGCTGAGTTTTTGAGTTTTAAAGTCAGTTTGACATAGTTGGGGTTCATCAAAGCTCAGTTTGGGGCTCTTTTCTTCGCTTCTCTTCATTCTTTCCCTCGGTAGTGACACCCATTCCTCCGAGTTTAAATTAAAGCATATTGCATGCATTAACTCATTTACTCCTTACAAGAATCCTATGAGCTGGATACTATTATCTCCATCATTTAAGAATGAGGAACTGAGAGACTGAGTAACTTGTCCAAGGCCACACGGTGTGGATAAAAGCCCAAATTTGAATCAGGCCATCTGGCAGCAGGGATCCTACTCTTAGCCAATCTATCCTAATACCTATGCAATATGTATGAAAACATGATCTCACTTGTATGGTCTCTTAAACTTTACTGGTTCTGTGAGCCCCCACAGTAGAGCTACCCATTTGTGGAGACAGGACTGGTGTGATAGAACACTGACAGAGTCCATAAGAAAGCAAGAGAACTGTTTCCCTGTAGTATTTCAGAGACAGATGAATTAATGTTAAATGTCTTACCCACATCACTTGTTTCATTCACATTCACTAAGAACTGTGTACTTAAAATAGAAAATACCTCATTACTTACCTTTGATATCTCTATGGACAATCATATTACTGTGCAAATAATGGACACCCTCCAGAATCTGACGGGTGTATTTCCTAGTCACATTCTCAGTAAGAGCGCCATATGCTTTTAATTGGTCCTTAATTGAACCCTAGGAGAAAAGAAAACAAAAATAAAAACTACTGTATATGGTTTGAAATGAAAACTGCTATTAAATCTTTATCAGTAAAGAGGGCAGGAATTCTCATCTCACTCGTCTAAGCATGTCCTACTTGAATTTTACTTATTTTGTTCTTATTCTGTTTTTAAAGTATTTTATTGACATCTGCTGATTTTCTCAGAAAAAGGAATGGGTGTAACTAGAAAGAACACAGAGATTTTAAAGTTTTTTTCTTTATATACTCAACACTCAAGTTCGAAACATGAGAACATACACAAAAGGAGAATAGATTTTCTTAAGTGTTTTTTAGGGCAGGATAAGGTGCCATCTCTGAGAAAGCTGAATCAGTCTGAAGTGAGGAATAGGTATTTGAATTTTGAAAACTTCCCTAGTGATTCCAATGTATAAGTTTGATTAATAATCCCTTTAAAAGACAGAAATAAAATGCTTCCTGAGGGACAAATCTCTTTTTTGACAGGAAAATACATCCAAATGTTTCTGCTTTTCCTTGAATTTTGGTAAACGGTGTACTCTGTCATATGAAAGTAAATCCTTGGATTTTACAGATTTAACCATTTGTCCTTTCCACTGTTTATGAGCCATCCTTGGAGGGAGAGCATTTTGCAATTCTGTGGACCCAAATTTGCAAACACACATATGGAAAGCGGCAAGTGTGGCCAGTCAACTACTCACACCTACAGTTCAGCACGGCTTGTTTGTTCAGTCTACTGTGTCTCTACTTGTAGTATTATACAGAATAGGCCAGGCACAGTGGCTCACACCTGTAATCCCAGCACTTTGGGAGGCTGAGTGAGGAAGGCAGATCACCTGAGGTCAGGAGTTCAAGACCAGCCTGGCCAACAGGGTGAAACCCCATCTCTACTAAAAATACAAGAATTAGCCAGGCATCGGCTGGGCGTGGTGGCTCACGCTTGTAATACCATCACTTTGGGAGGCTGAGGCGGGCAGATCACCTGAGGTCAGGAGTTCGAGACCAGCCTAGCCAACCCCGTCTCTACTAAAAATATAAAAAATTAGCTGGGCATGGTGGCAGGTGCCTGTAACCTAGCTACTCAGGAGGCTGAGGCAGGAGAATTGATTTAATTCAGGAGGTGGAAGTTGCAGTGAGCCGAGATCGCACCACTGCACTCCAGTCTAGGCAACAAAACAAGACTCCTTCTCAAAAAATAAAAATTGTAGCCAGGAGCAATGGCTCATGCCTGCAATCCCACGACATTGGGAGGTCGAGGCAGGCGGGATCACCTGAGGTCAGGAGTTTGAGACCAGCCTGGCCAACATGGTGAAACCTCGTCTCTACTAAAAATACAAGAATTAGCTGGGTGTGGTGGCATGCACCTGTAATCCCAGCTACACGGGAGGCTGAGGCAGGAGAATTGCTTGAACCCAGGAGACGGAGGTTGCAGTGAGCTGAGATCGTGCCATTGCTCAGCCTGGGCAACAAGAGCGAAACTCCATCTCAAAATTAAACAAATAAAAATTATGGAAATGCATGTATTTTTAAATAAGTAAACATATTAATCACCACCTTGAAAATCATTAATACTAGATGTACTCTATATAATGACAGATGTCACAAATCACATTTTATAACTCCTAATGAAATTATAGACTCTAGTGATGACTATCAATCAGTGCTAAAAACATTAGGTGGATGGCTGAAAAGGAACAGGCTATTCCTATGTGCCACTGCTATACCTCATATTACTTTCTGGTGTGCAGGAAAAAACAAAACTTTACAATGCAGGACTCAATATGTCAATCATCCTCATCTAATGGTAGCTCTTTGCATTGCTACAGTGGAATAACCAGAAATTGGCTCCTGATAGGATGCAACATAAAGTACACAGCTTCATCTATGACGTATCAGATAAAAAAGGCTGAATGTGAATCTAATTTAGACCTCAGATCTAACTTGGAGTTTATAGTAAAAAAGGGATAAAGAAACAAATTAAAATCCGCATGCTCATTTCGGCAGCACATATACTAAAATTAGAACGATACAGAGAAGATTAGCACGGCCCCTGTGCAAGGATGACACGCAAATTTGTAAAGCATTCCATATAACTAAAATTATAAAAAATTTAAAACAAAAAAACAAAATCCACAAGAATGCTACTAGAGAAATCCATGAGAATTTTTTTTTTTTTTTTTCAAATTCTTCCAGATCCTGAGAGTGAAGACTCTTAACAGGCTATCCTCTTCTCTTTGTCAAATCTATATCATGTACAAATTGACTGCTCTAGATAGTAATCCTAGCACTTTGGGAGGCTAAGGCAGAAGAATCACTTGGGCTCAGGAGTTTGAAACCAGCCTAGGTAACAGAGTGAGACCTTGTCTCTACTTCTTTTTAAGAATTATAAAAAATTGTTTAAGAAGAGAGAGATAATTAAGGGGCATAACAATTAAATGTATGTATAGACTGGAACTTGGTGTGAATATATCAGCTATAAAGGGCATTTTAGGGCATTTAAGGAAATCTGAAGATGGGCTGCTAAGATGTCTGTAACCTACTTGAGAATACTTTTATCATTAATGAGTTAAAAAATACAAAGACAGAGGAAGAGGATAGAAAATACTACTCAGCTCTAATTTAAAACTCTTCCAAAATGTCCTTAACTAGGGTTAACATTTTATAATCTACGTTTTTGTTGTTTTTCTTTTATTAACTAAAATTTTAAATAGAATGTGTATTTTCAAAAAGATGTACTAACTTACCCCTGGCATATATTCCATAAATATGGAAAGTGTTTTTTCCTGGGGATCCCTCAAACAGCCATAATACTGAACAATTCGCTCATGTAGCAAGTTTTTCAGCAACTGAATTTCACACTCAAGTGCATTTACTTCCTGAAAGAGAGAATTCATTGTTAAGTCTTCAACAATGTCAGTAAAAGCAAAAAATTCTAACTTCATGGACCATCAAGGTGATTTCATTCTGAAAATTTTAGTTCCCAAGTAATAAACATCTGAAAGTCTCTAACCAATAACTTTTTAAACAGTCCTTGATGATATGCTAAAGCAACACTGACTCAGATTAGGATTATAACTGAAGTACTAAAAAAGAAAAATCCATATTAAAAAATAGACAAACATATCTAATCTGTTTTACAAATAATTTATACTAAAGAAAACTGCTTTTTTTTTTTTTTGAAAAAAAATGCTTCTTATTTAGAATGGAAGGGGCTTAATGTTAAAAAATAATAATGAATAAAGTTTCTTATAATGTGACAAAGTAATTTGTGCAGTGATTTTTACCTTGCTGGTCTCAGGACTATCGGGGTCAAATTGAACTTGCTTAACAGCCAATTCTCTTCCTGTATCAACATCATAACAGAGGTAGACCCTTCCAAAGGCTCCTTGGCCAAGCAGTTTGCCCAATCTCCAGTTGGTCGGAGCTCGAGGTGCTGAAAAAGAACACTTTCTTAAAGTGAAATATCAAACAGCACACAAATAAATGGTTAATAACTAAATGAGCATACTGCATTAGTGACATCCTTCATTGAATGTACTTGGATATAAGGAAAAATTATGATTATCCAAATTCACAGTTACCGTCTTTCAAATTTTTCTCTTTCGTCAATTTTCTACAAATCCTAAATCAAAAAGAGATTCATATCCCAAGACTCATTTTTTTCTGAAATTGTTTTCCTAATTACACATGTGACAGCATCTTTCTTTCACTCAATCTAACATTCCAAAGACTGTAAGATGCACCATTTCTATTCTTCACTGCAGTAATATTTGTACTTAGTTTTTCAGCCTCCACCTACAATGTAGAAAGCTGGAAAGAGTATCATTCCCATCCAAACAACAAGAGAAATCTGGGTAATCTACAAAATTTAACTTTTGTTGAACACATATCAAAAAACTAAGATTGCAGGGCAACCAACTAACCTGAAATCTAAGGAAAAAGTGGTACCTCCAAGGAGAGACAGAACAGAAGCACTGGCTCACTTGTGGCAAAGCACAGACAAAGACCCACACAAGCAAGGAAGAATTCACCTCCATTTTAAACAAATGTGGGCTGGCATGAGAGTATTGAACCCTTGGGAGATCTAGACACAGGTGAGCTCACACCTGCTCTAAGTCTTTTCTGTGGACCTCTACCATGCACTCATAGGAGCAGGAGACACCAGGGAAAGCCTCCCTTGGTGGTCAAGGCCTGGAAAAGGGGAATGGCCCACTGTTGTGGGAAACGCAGAAAGTCCTTCCAAACCCTTTTCCCCTAAGAAACGAGAGCCTTCAGCCGCTGGAGAAAGCAGCAAACCCTGTCACCCCTGCATTACAGTTAAAGACCCACTGAGGCTAGGGGAATGCAAAAGAAAAAAAAAAAAAAAAAAACCCTACCCCTGAGAGAGAGGCTGAGGCTGGAAACCTTCTGTGACCCTGATCATTAGAGCACTCCTACTCCCGGAAGGTGGGCAAGCCCATCTCTGAGAACTGAGGAGATAAAGCCTGCCTAAGACTGAAGCTGGATAGGACAACACAGAACCCTCTAGTCTGCCTCCCCTCTCCTAGGCTGGCAAGTAACAGCAATCCACTTACTGAGAGCATGACAAGGCCATGGAGAGATCCTCCCTCTCTGAGAAGTAGGCACAAAAGAAAGGCCAAGGCTGGGCGCAGTGGCTCACCTGTAATCCCAGCACTTTGGGAGGCCGAGGCGGACAGATCACCTGAGGTCAGGAGTTCAAGACCAGCCTGGCCAATGTGGTGAAACCCCATCTCTACTAAAAATACAAAAAAAAAAAAAAAAAAAAAAAAAAAAGAAAAAGAAAAATAGCCAGGTGTGGTGGCAGATGCCCGCAATCCCAGCTACTCGGGAGGCTGATGCGGGAGAATCGCTTGAACCCGGGAAGGGGAGGTTGCGGTGAGCTGAGATCGCGCCACTGCACTCCAACCTGGGCAACAAGAGTGAAACTCCATCTCAAATTAAAAAAAAAAAAAAAAGCTGATGGAGCAGGACCATTGAGAAAATCCCTTTAGGAAACCAGCACAAGGTAATTAGAAGAATTTAAAGTCAGTGGTGCACAGAGACCATGACAACAACAAAATCCAAACCCAGCTCAACTCCTAACTAGACTGATTGACTTAGCTCCTCACAGTAACGGCCTAGCAGAAGAAGAGCTGTGCCTATTTCCAGGCATACATTCTATTTACCTCCTCCCTTATCCTATACATGATATCTGGCATTCAATGTAAAATGATAAGACACAAAAAAGCAACCCTTCCAAAAAAAATCAAAAGAGAAAGCAATTAATACAACCAGACTCAGGAGGTTCAGAAGGGAAATTTAAAATAACTATGACTAACATGTTAAAGGTTCTAATGGAAAAGGTAGACAACATGCATGAACAGATGGTGAACAGAGCGATGGAAACTACAGGAATGAGTCACATGAAAATGCATGAAATGAAAAACAATGACAGAAGTTAAGAATTCCTTCAACAGGATCATAAATAGATGCAACAAGGCTGAGGAAAGAATCAGTGAACCTGAAAATAGATCAATGGTGGGGGAGAGAGGGAGACAGGGAGAAAGGGAGAGGGAGGGAGAGAGAGAGACAACAGAGGTATGAGACAGTATCAAATAGTCTAGTGTATAGGTAATAGGAATCCCAAAAGAAAAAGGAAGAATGAGACAGAAAAAATACTTGGAGAGGTAACAACTGAGAACTTTTCACAGACAAACTATAAATATAATAAACTGAAAGAACACCAGCTGGGAACCCTACACAAATATACCTAGACACGTCATATTCACACTGTAGAAAATCAAAGACAAAATCTTGAAAGCAGCTGGGGCAGCTGTGGGGGAAGAAAGCATATTACATATGGAGGAACAAAGATAAGAATTATAGCAGATTTCTCTTCAGGAAGTATATAAGCCAGAAGACAATGGGACAATAGCTTTAAAGTGCTAGAAAGGCCAGGTGCAGTGGCTCACACCTGTAATCCCAGCACTTTGGGAGGTTGAGGCAGGTGAATCAGCTTAAGCCCAAGAGTTCAAGACCAGCCTGGGCAACACAGCAAAACCCACTCTCTACAAAAAATACAAAAATTATCTGGGCATGGTGGTGCATGCCTGTAGTGCCAGATACTTGGGAGTTTGAAGTGGGAGGATTGCTTGAGCCCAGAAGGCAGAGGTTGCAATGAGTTGAGATTGCACCACAGCCTGAGTGACAGAGTGAGATCCTGTTTCAAAAATGAAGGAGAAATAGACTTTTTTCAAACAAACAAAAGCAGAATGAACTCAGTACCAGCATGCCTATATTACAAGAAAGGTTAAAATGCAGTTTTTCAGGCAGAAGGAATTTGATACCCAATAGATCTTGGATCTGTCTTTGTTTATACAGATTTTGGATATATACAAAGATCTATAAAAATGAATAGACTGAAGATATATATAAAAGACATTTTTCTCTTATTTTTAATCACTTCAAAAGATAGCTGTCTAAAGCAAAAATAACAGCAATATAGCATGGGGTCAATATGGATATAAAAGTAAACTATGACACACTAGCACACAAAAAGGAATTCAGAGTATGCAAATAGTGCTGCAATAAACATCTTTGAACATGAATCTTTGTATGCACTGCTTACACAGTAAGGTCTGAATGCTTTGCAATCCAGCCTGAGTTACCACTGTAGGCCTATTCCCACTATTTCAAGTAAGATACTCCCACATCAGCCAAAAATTGAACTATTCCCCATTTTTAGATGATGTTATGGCCTCTTGCACATTATCTCCTCAGCTGGTGATTTCTACTCACATTTAAATGCTATACAATAATTATTTCTCCATGTATCATCTATCCCATTAGATTATGTCTTGGAGATTATGTTTGAAATCTCAGTGGTAGGCATTCAACAAGGATATGTGGAATGCATGGATAAAGAATGACTAGTTGGTAATAATTTTCCTAATACAAGTGAAGAACAGAATTATCTAAAGTAATTAGCAGTGATACCATGCTTATACCTGACATTCCAACCACCTTTAGAAACACCATTATTACCTTTTTTGAGTAGTTCATCTGACCCCAAAAACTCACTTAGTATTTATTCCTTTTAATAATATAAAATTCTGCAAAGATTCTGCTCTACATTTCACTATACCAAGTTCTATTACTTACAACGGCTGGGTGGGCTGATGTCCATTACGGTCAAAGTAGGATTGTCTATGTCACTTCCCCTTCTTCTTATTCGACTATCATCATACTCTGGGGTAAAGATACTGCTTCCACTACTAGTGCTTAAGGAATGATCAGTAGGACTGAAACTCACAGGAGACCGTAAGCTGGTCCCCTGGGTCCTTCTAGCTCTTGGAAAAGTTTTACGACCTAAAAAATGAAAAGAGAATGACCTTATACCTTTTATTAATATGTTATACTTTTAAAGTATTTAAAATTTGTAATGTAGAGAATAGAAATTTGTCCTGTGACTAGGCTAAGAAACTCAAATAGGAATGATTGGGTGGGAAAAAATAAACAGGATCTGAATACAAATTCAAATAATCTCTTATGATAAAACATGTATGAGTGTGCACACAGAAACATACACACACACATCTTAAAAAGGAACCTCCTCACTTCTGGATAAAAAGGAGGAAAAAAATTTACTCTCATTTCCAATAATGATTTTAAAATCTAAAACAAAGATGCAGAAGTTCACAGGTAGTAATTTTTTTCTTTTCTTTTTGAGATGGAGTTTCACTCTTGTTGCCCAGGCTGGAGTGCAGTGGTACAATCTCGGCTCACTGCAACCTCCGCCTCCAGGGTTCAAGCGATTCTCCTGTCTCAGCCTCCCAAGTAGCTGGGATTACAGGCGCCCACCACCATGCCCAGCTAATTTTTTGTATTTTTAGTAGAGACGGGGTTTCATCACGTTGGCCAGGCTGGTCTCATACTCCTGACCTCAGGTGATCCACCCGCCTCGGCCTCCCAAAGTGCTGGGATTACAGGCATGAGCCACCGCACCTGGCCAGTAATTTTTTTTCTTAAAGGGATGATGTAAGTATCAATCTCATCATCAAAGAGTAATTTTCTAATATCATTTAAAAGTTACTCCTTTTGGATGGGTGCAGTGGCTCATGCCTGTAATCCCAGCACTTTGGGAGGCCAAGGCAGGCAGATCACTTGAGCCCAGGAGTTCGAGACCAGCCTGGGCAACATGGCAAAACCCCATCTCTACTAAAAATACAAAAATTAGGCCGGGCACGGTGGCTCACGCCTGTAATCCTAGCACTTTGGGAGGCCAAGGCAAGTGGATCACTGGAGATCAGGAGTTTTGAGACCAGCCTGGCCAACATGGCAAAACCCCATCTCTACTAAAAATACAAAAATTAGCCAGGTGAGAATCGCTTGAACCCAGGAGGTGGAGGGTGCAGTGAGCAGAGATCATGCCACTGCACTCCAGCCTGGGTGACAGAACAGAGTGAGACTCTGTCTCAGGGGAAAAAAAAAAAAGAAAGAAAGAAAATTACTCCTTCTTGGCCAAGTGCAGTGGCTCACACCTGTAATCCCAGCACTTTGGGAGGCTGAGGCAGGAGGACCGCTTGAGCCCAAGACTTCAAGACCAGCCTGGGCAACATGGTGGGACACTGTCTCTACAAAAAAAATTTTTTAATTAGCTGGGTGTGATGGCAAATGCCTGTAATGGCACACACCTGAACTCAGGAAGCCAAGGCAGGAAGATCACTTGAGCCCAGGAATTTAAAGTTACAGTGAGCTAAGATCATGCCACAGCACTCCCGCCTGGGCAACAAAACCTTGTCTCTTAAAACAAAAAATTATTCATTTTCTTTTAAGGGATAACCAAGTCTTATAAGTTGTCATAAAGCCAAAATGCCCATTATACTTTTGTTATAACACAATTCCTCATATTTTTCTAATGGTATTAACACAAATATGAGGTTTTAAAAAATTTTTGTATTTATTTTTGTTGTTGAGATTTTTTAACTATTCTTGTGGTCTAATTGCTAGAAACTTACCATCATTATACTCTTGATGATGATATGAAACATGATACCTTCTTGGATATGTTCCTCCTTTTCCAAATTTCTCAAAGATAGGGTTATCATAGTCTGTTAAGACATATAAGATGGTTATCTTTTATTTAAAAAAAAAAGTTAAATATTTCTAATGATGAAAAGCACATTTATAAATCTTTATTTGACTTTTCAAAAATCCCCCCTCTCCCTCCCAGCCAAAACATTATCCAATGACATAAACATTTAAACATTTAGAATTTATAAAGTCTAACCTGAAAATTCCTGATGATTATCTGGGTAGCTCTGAGCCCTAGGCATTCGTGATTTTGGATAGCTCTCTCTATAAAGAAAAAACATCACATTAAGTTTACAGAAAGAACGTAAGACATTAAAAAGAAAATCTTTGAGCAATATCTATATCTATCTGTGCCTCTCTGTATGTGTTTGTGTAAAGGAGCTCACTTTGAAAGGTTAGCATACCTAAAAAAGAAAAACTACACTTACTTGGTACATGTAGGCAAAGAGCATGACTTAAAATTAACCTTACAGTACAGTGGAAGAATGACGTATTTTGGAATCATTAGGTGTTTCTAAGCACTGTGTTTCAATCCAAGCTCTGCCACTTAACTATGTAACCTTGGCAAATCACCCTTCTGCATCAACAAAAAAGATAATTTCCAACTATTCAAGTGTACATAAGTAAGGTATCCAGGATAGTGTTTTGCAAATGGTAAGTACTCAAATATATAGCTTTCTCGTTACTACTTCCCTGAATTTCTTAAATGTCTACCTTAAGATAGACATTGACACAGACAGAAATTTCATATACATGGATAAAAGAAACTTAAATGTGCATTCCCACGCAATATTAGTTATTTTTTTCAGAATTTGCTTTCATAAAGCAATTCCAGAGAGGATTACCAAGAATACTGTCCTATTGAGACCAGGAGGGGGAGCACGTGTAACAAAAAATTCACATTTTGCAACTTTATCCTGCTCATATTCCTGAACAGCTTTTTCACAAAAGTACTTAAATTTTTGCCTACATGTACCAATGTGACACAGTGGGCTACAATTTCCAAGAATTTAAATTATTTCTAATCTGGTGCCAGAATGAACATAATCCTGAACAGGTGAAATAACTCAGGAAATTTCCAAAACCAAACATATTAATGTAAAAGTTGATAGCACTTTTCATAAACACAGTTTTAAAAGTAAATGTACATAAATTCTAAATTTGATTTGCCTTCAAACACACAATTTTGACAAGCAGGAATACTCAAACTATTATAATCAGATTTCCTTTTAACTAACAAAGATACTGAGTCCCATGAGGTAAAGGGATTTATCCACACTGTGCAAAAATTCATCTGCCGTCATCATACACAAGTACCAATTCTATTCCTCTGAATGTAGCACAAAAAAGTTACTGATAATTCAACATTCTATCTGTATGAATATTTACTCATATCTATTAAAAAAGAAAACTACAGTAAGCTGAGCATGGTGGCTCATGTGTGTAATCCCAGCGCTTTAGGAGACCAAGGCAGGAGGTTCGCTTGAGCCCAGGAGTTCAAGATCAGCCTGGGTAACAAAGTGAGACCCCCATCTCTACAAATAATACAAACAAAATAGCCAGATGTGGTATTAATAGCAAATGCCTTTGGTCCTAGTTCCTCGGGGGTCAGAGGTGGGAGGACTGATGGAGCCAAGGAGGTCAAGGCTGCAGTAAGCCGCATTCACGCCACTGCGCTCCAGCCTGGGTGACAGCAAAACTCTGTCTCAAATAAACAAATAAACCCTCCAAAAACTACGATAAACATTACCCATCCAAAGGACTATCAAGTGATGGACAACTTCCTGAGCCAGAATTTTCAGGGCTGCTTAAAGATAATGGATCCAGCATCTAGGAAAAAAAGGAGTTCCACCATGATTCAATTTGATATAACCAAAAGTTGCTTATTAAAAAAACCTGCCTTAATTAGACATACTTCATGTAACATAAAATTCACCCATTTAAAGTATACAAGTCAAGGCTTTTAGAATACTGAGAGTTGTGCAACCCTCACTCACAATTTTAGAACAATTCCATACTCAATAGTGGTCACTCTCCAGAGTTACTCATTTTCAAATGTCCCTTGTAAGCAAGCCACGACTTCAAAATTTCCTAAGAGAAAAATATTCTTTCTCTATAGACTATTGACTAAATAATTAAAAGCTACAATATTTCACACTATTTTGCTTACTGAAAACTGAACAATGGCCCCACCCAAACTGAGACTAATGACACTATGACTATTACATTATTAGAAAATGTAAACTACTATAATAGTGTGAACATATAATGCGATGCAATGCAATGTTAAGGGAATAACAGCAACTCCATGAAAACATTTTAATACTATAAAATTGAAGTATTTTTTAAATGTTTCAGAAAGTTCACAAACCTCAGTTTCACAAAGGTAAATATTTGTAGTTTCATTCTATCTTTCAAATGTTTAAAAAAAAAATCTGGCTGTTAAATTACAAAGCAAATGCATTATCATTCACTCACTCTCATTCATTCACTTATTGAGCAATATAAAACCAGCTGTATTCCAGCTTTCTTTATACAGGCACATGTAAATTAATGGGCATTTTCCTATATTTTTTCTATTTTGTTCAGTTAAGAAGATATGTAATTAGAGAAGAGATAATACACACACACACCCAGTTACGTGCCAAATCACACTGACCCTGACAACATCTCTTTAAATTAAATTTAAAAAATCAAACTTTTGCTTACTTGGTCCATGCTCTCTGGAATGAACTCTCCTTCACTGTTGATACTAGTGAATGACCCATTCCGGGCAACCTGGTGTAATTCATCTGGAATGTAACCTGGGGGAGGAGAACTTCTATCTCTACTAGTAGGACCTCAAGGAAGAAAAATAATGTAATTTATAATTATAGGCAAGGGAATCAAGTTTTGTTTTAAATAGGCTATATTTCTGAATTATATCATTAATAATTTCAGCAAAAGAAAATTCAATTTTTATTAAAACTTATCAGAACATTCATTTGTAAATCTTCAAATGGCTTTATAACCTTTGTAAATTCCCACCCTATCATAATTATTAACCTCACCATAATATTCATTTATACTCACTAGGTAGGATGGTATTCTGACTGCTGATAGGATGATAATACAATATAGATTTCTGGCATTAAGACAGTTTATTTAAGTAATCACATTTCTTATGAGACAATAACCCACTCTATTTTACTTGGTTCTGTGGAAATGATGCTATATTTATTAGTACAGTGTCTCACCTTTCCTCATAGTTTTTTGAAATTAAACTATGTGAGCATTTAAGTTCTGGTCCAATTTAAAGCAAAAAACATTTTAGCCTTATGTAAAGGAGTCATTGTGAGTATATGCAAGCATTTGTTAGTGAGACAGGGAGGAAAAAGAAAGCAAAATTATTACCAAGACATGTGCATAAAAGAGAGTACTGTCTACACTTGTCTGTAAAATGATTAGGAGCTCAATTTGAGTCAGGATTGATTTAGGCTTCATAACAACTGTAGCCACAATAATACTGGTCCCTAATATTTTTATTCCTTCCATATACCCGTGCTTACAAAAGATCAATATAGTCAATTACTAAAAGGAGATAGGACCAAAAAAAAAAAAAAGCTATGAAAATTTTGTCTCCTTATTTGACAACCCTTTTTCACAGTAATGCGTATGCCAACGCACTCTTGGTTGAGACCTGTTTATCAGCATACACTCCTAACCTAAAGGAGTTTTTCCTCCATCTCCCTTTTATAAAAACAATTAAAAAGAATAACTGCCAACATATAAGAAAAATAGATAATGGTCATATCTAGCAAAGCCATTCCAAGTTTAAAGCAGTGCCAATAAAAGACCACTAATTCTATACTTTATGATTTCCAATTTCTTCTTATGCTGGCACTGACGTCAAACAAGAATATTTATTAGAATAAGACTGAGGTATTCAGTGTAATTTTAATTCAAAATATATTTAAAATGTCAATTTAACTAGTACATTTAGCTTGTTTTGTCTAATGCAACTAAAGTGAATTAGAGCTGGGCACTGTGGCTCACGCCTGTAATCCCAGCACTCTGGGAGGCCAAGGTGGGTGGATCACATGAGGTCAGGAGTTCGAGACCAATCTGGCTAACAGGCTGAAACCCCATCTCTACTAAAAATATAAAAATTAGCCAGGCATGGTGGCGGGCGCCTGTAATCTCAGTTATTCAGGAGGCTGAGGCAGGAGAATCACTTGAACCCAGGAGGCAGCGGTTACAGTTAGCTGAGACCGCGCCACTGTACTCCAGCCTGGGTGACGGAGTGAGACTCTGTCTCAAAAAATAAATAAAATAAAGTGAATTAGCAATTTTTTAAAAAATGACAAGTACCGTAATGTGATAAGAAATGGGGATAAAGAAAGAAATGTACAATGAACATCTGAGCTTTGTACAATGTACAAAATGTATAAATGTACAATAAGCTTTCTAGTTTGAAAAGTAAAATGTACAAGTGTTCTCTCAATTTAATGCTACAACAATCCCATGATTTAAAGATGAAGACACATTTACTGGTCTCAGGTTCATCAGAGAGCTGGAATTTGAATTTGGGTGTTTCAAATGTTCTTTCACCAAATTTTAAAACTATATCGAAATATATCTGAATGCAAAAGACAAGCCATTTGTATTTTGCTTGTGTATCACCTCTGCTGCTCGCATTTCTGCATTCCTGAAACCCAAAGTAGGACTTATTTAAGACAGACACTTCGAAGAGAATGGTCATAAAATAGCTTCTTCTGGGGACCAAAAGAGAACATGAATAATGTCTATTTTTTTGATGGTCCACATGCCAATTCAATTTTTTCTTTGATTATCAACAATCCTCTTCTGTTACCAATCTTTTTTAGATTCCCAACCACATTTGTTTTTCCTCCTCTTTAACTTTTCTCTTTTAAATCCGCCCCTCATACATGTTTTCATGCCATCTTTAATGGCCATACTCACTGCCCTCTCTCAAAGAACATTTATACCAGCGGTTTTTTGAAACAATGTTAATGCTTTTATCAAATAAAAATGTAGATTATCAATGTTTTATACAAATTGAAGAACAGACAGAATGGGGAGTTGAGAGTACCTGTGTCAAACTCATGTTGCACGAATAAAGCCTCCTTAAACTACAGCATGCAAGATCTTTATTTCTTTATATCATAATCTTAATTATAACAATAAATTAATGGCAAATGAAAATGAATACTAATAAAGTAATAATAAAGCATAATATAAAAATTCTTAGTATCTTTATTTTGAGAGCATTCTTGGCAATCACTAAAACCCTAGAGAAAGGCTTGTGAATTTACACTCTATTAATTTTAATACATTATAATTACTTCTTTTAATTTTTTTCCTCCATTCTATTTGTACAATTAAAACCTTTTTTTTTGAGATGGAGTCTTGCTTTGTCGCCAGGCTGGAGTGCAGTGGCACAATCTCGGCTCACTGCAACCTCCGCCTCCCGGGTTCAAGCAATCCTCTTGCCTCAGCCTCCTGAGTAGCTGGGACTACAGGCATGCACCACCACGCCCAGCTAATTTTTGTAATTTTAGTAGAGATGGGGTTTCACCATGTTGGCTAGGATGGTCTCGATCTCTTGACCTTGTGATCTGCCCGCCTTGGCCTCCCAAAGTGCTGGGATTACAGGCATGAGCTACCGCGCCCAGCCTAAAACCTCTTTAAAGTTTTATTTGAATTTGTTAACATTAAAATACCCTGAGTATATAAATAAAGAATTTAAATTGGAGATTACTAATCCTGTAAACTTGAATTTCCAAGGGACGTCAAATATTAGAGTGTATTTAAATTAAATTATAGGAAGTAGAGAAATAAAATATTATTTATCAGGAATATGTTTAGGTGCCACACTACATTAAAGGATGGAGAAGAAATTGAGAAATCATTCATTTCATAATTCAGACACTAGTTTCTTACCTATTATAGATAGCCGTTTTTTCCTCTCTGCTCCAAATACTGTATTATCCAAATCTTCTAGTGATGGCAATGGTTCTAAATTAGTAGCCTACAAAGGAGAAAAGACAGTTAATGCTATTCTTCCTCCTTGGGGCTTTAAACAGAATCCTCTCCCCTACCAAGTACAAAACATTTTATATTGTTTGTGAGCCTTAATCAAATCCTCTACTCTTTGAAATTTTAATTCTAACATAATTCTAAGTTGTCAGTTTCTATTAGCTTCGTATGTACAACATATTATACTTATTTATAACTATGACTGTGGTTTTTGAGGAGTAAGGATATTAAAGTATAGTAATTAAAGGATGTAAGTTTACATTTAATCATAATGAAAATATTGCAATGATTATAGAATATAATTATGTTTCATATGTTAACTTTTACAAGCCTAAGTCCTATAATTCTTACTGAAAAAAATATCCCAAATCATACCTGTGTACTTCCATTTATTACAAGTAATATCTTGAGGCTCTTCATATGAATACTACGATCCAGCAGTTCCACAGCTTTGTCCAAGTCATCTTGAGTAGTTAATGGAATTACCAACTAAAAACAAACATAAGGAACCATGCAGCTATCTCACCAGGTCAAGTTCTTCCATGAGCATCTCCACTACTAAGGAATTACAAATGTCAAAATACCTTGCTCTTTGATTTGTTACTATGATGAAAGTCTGAATGTGTATGTGTATATTGTTTTGCCCTCCTCATTCTACCGCCACTAAAATCTTAGAATGAACATGTATGTTTTTAAATTTTTCTTTATTAATCATTACATTCTTCTAGAAAATAACATTTAAAGATTAATTTTCTAGGATATTTCCATAATATTGCTAAATTTAAGTTATAGTATGTTCGCCCCTAAAAAGAATGAAGAAGTACAGACAAAGACCATATGAAATAAAGGTACTACTTTTCTTCTGTATAGATGAAACTCAGTTCTTTTTTCAATAGTAACCACAAATTTGCACTCTCAGCTGGTGTGCTCTTCAACATACCAACATCCTGAGCACCTGCCATGGAGGACAGCTGCCATGGAGGGGTACCACTAGTAACATATCTGCAATCTACAGCCCACCTAGAGTTCTTCTCTCTGAGCCTAGTGACCTGACCACTATACCCTAAAACAAATAAGCTAATGAGTTAACTATTCCATAGTAAACCCTGCATGTGGAATCTGCTTTCACTAGTCTTCTCATGCAGCAGATGTTATAGAGGACAAAAGCACCTAAGAGGTCTATGAGAAAAAGTGTAATTCATACAATTTAAGAAATAAAAATATGTCCTTTTTTTAAAAAAAAAGTCAATTTAGTAACTTAAGAAGACTCTGTCAATAACTTCAAAGTATATTCCATTTCATTGAAGGAGGAACAGAATAAAAACAAGTGAACATATTCTGCACTAGTTAACCTGCTCTACTCAGCACAATATATGAGCCATTAAAATGCAAGGCTGAATTAATTTGGGGTCTCTACAGTATAAATTCTTTGAAGACAAGGACCCCCTACACCAGCAATGAGCAAAGAGCAGACAACCTGGTAAATGCTGTCTAATAAATCTCACAGTGTTAAAAGCTCAATCTGAACCCAAACCCACTAGCTGGCATGGTGTATGTTCATTCTGCAGACTTCTTTGTGAAAAAAGTCCTTGGGGTTTTTGATTTTTTGTTTTGAAATGGAGTCTCACTGTCATTCAGGCTGGAGTACAGTGGCAATCTCAGCTCACTGCAATCTGCCTCCTGGTTTCAAGTGATTCTCCTGCCTCAGCCTCCCCAGTAGCTGGGTTTACAGGCATGCACCACCACGCGTGGCTAATTTTTGTATTTTTAGCAGAGACAGGGTTTCAACATGTTGACCAGGCTGGTCTCAAACTCCTGACCTCAAATTATCTGCCCGCCTGGGCCTTCCAAAGTGCTGGGATTACAGGCGTGAGCCACCATGCCCAGCCAAAAAAGTCCTTGTTATAAGAAAGGCTGCCAAACACGAATATAAAGAAGGATTTATGTGAATTCCATCAGACAATCTGCTTGCATTTACTTACTCTGTTGTTAAAATATATTCCCAATTTCTGTTTGTAGCTAATTTTGTATTACTGTAAGGGACCGACTAACTGGGCTCTTTTCGCTCTATGAGAATTTTTTTCTAATAAAATACAATTATTAACTGTTTGGTATCATAGAACAAGCCTGATCTACTGATCTACTTAAACACATTTCTATTTCCCACCAATTATGAAACATATTGGTATATCTTGCTTCTATCTTCAATAGTCTATTACTTTTCAAGCACTGGAAAACATTTTAAAGCAATGGTAATGACTGTTCCGCCGATTTTTCATTTGAGGGGAAAATCTGAATACTTACTTTTATTATTCATTTATAACTGGATTGTTTACTTCTCCAAGATACTGCTACTTTTGGGGGAAAACAACACTAAGTCAAATGACAGAAAAAAATATGAACATAAATGATTCTGCTGCTCTTCAGTTTGCTGCTGTAAAATGTGAACATCCTGGAGGGGTGCCTGGTGCAGCAGCTTAGGCACTTGCCTACAGACCTAATGTGATCCTGCCTGTGTTCTAAGGTTACCTATTACAAACCGTAAAATGAGGACTAAGAGTCATGAACAAGTCCCAGGTTATCTACATTACACTAAATAAATCAGATAATGTTTTCTGGCTTGGTGAATTCATTTCAGTCTCATTCATGAAATCTATCACCCTCTGGCTTATTTTTGATAAATCAGTTGTTTGTTGATATAAATGCTTTCTAGAAAGGAAACTTAAAATTGAGTTCGAGAACCATTAAACAGAACTGAAATCTGAAAGAACTGAATTATCTTCCTGAATTTACATAGTGAAGTATGAAGACAGCCATTAAAAGGTTCTCCAGGCTGGACGCAGTGGCTCACACCTGTAATCTCAGCACTTTGGGAGGCTGAGGTATGCGGGTCGCTTGAGCCCTGGAGTTTGAGACCAGCCTGGGCAACATGGTGAAACCACATCTCTAGAAAAAATACAAAAATTAACAAGGTATGGTAGTGCATGCCTGTAGTCCCAGCTACTTAGAAGGCTGAGTGGGGAGAGGATTGATTGAGCCAGGGAGGTCAAGGCTCCAGTAAGCCATGACTGTGCCTCTGTACTACAGCCTGGGTGACAGCGGGAGATGCTGTCTCAAAAAAAAAAAAAAAAAATTCCTGCTCTACTCATCTAAAATGGAAGTGATCTTAGAAAATCCTTACTTGGCTTGAACACCTCCACATCCAACCCCCATGACACACACACACATGCACCCTGAACACCTCCACAACCAACCCTCATAACACACACACACACACACACACACACACCCCTTATTAAAGAGAAGCCAAACTAACAAATCCAAACAACCTCAGCTTATATTTCCAGCTTAAATTTCCTTAACGTTTCAATTCTAGCCAACTAGAAGTTTATAGAGTAACAGTTCATTTTGAACAGAGGAATTAATATTACACTAGAAAAATATTTATAGAAGTGGAATAACATGCAGTATAAATGAATTTTTTGCCTGACCACATGTCCACAAAACTAGTAAGACTTTCTTTAGTACCCCCAGTGTCCAAGATCATGCATTTGGTTTGGGACAATATGTCAAGATATGAAACAGGATACGGTTCACTCACAGAATCTCAGGGTTGCAAGAAATCTTAAATGTAATCTTATCCTAATGCCACCCCTACCACATTCCTGCCAAGAGGCCACCAAAATATAATGGTAGAACCACTCACAGAAATCCTTCAGAAAGCATGAGAAAAATAAACTAAAATGGAGCAGTTTTCCAATTTTTAGAAAATGGGAAAAGGTTCTTAAAAATACAGATCAGGCCAGGCGCGGTGGCTCATACCTGTAATCCCAGCACTTTGGGAGGCCAAGGCAGGTGGATCATCTGAGCTCAGGAGTTTGAGACCAGTCTGGGCAACATGGTGAAACCCCGCCTCTACCAAAAATACAAAAATTATCCGGGAGCAGTGGTGCCTGCCTGTGGTCCCAGCTACTCAGGAGGCTGACGTGGGAAGATCGCTTGAGTCCTGGGAGGCAAAGGTTGCAGTGAGGTGAGATCGGGCCACTGCATTCCAACCTGGGTGACAGAGTGAAACCTCGTCTCACACAAAAAACAAAAACAAAAACCAGTTAGCTTGATGTCAATCCTCAAGAAAACCCCAGAAAAAAATTACATAGCAAACTGGGAGAAGTCACTAAAAAAAAAACCAGCAATTCTTAGGAGGTGACATAGGTATAATATGGACAAATCATGTCATGCTAACCTCATTTTTCTTGATAGACCTACTAGGCTGTAGATAAAGACAATATTGTAGTCTTAATGTATCTTGGCATTTGAAAGTTTTCCATAATACAATTTTAGAAAAAAGAAAAAAAGATATGTCTAGGCTCCCCTATAATCATCCTATGAGATAATAATTCAAGTTCAAGACATTTTTTAAAAATTTATTCTTTTTTGTTCAGACAGCTCTGTCACACAGGCTGGAGTGCAGTGGTTCAACTGTAGCTCACTGTACCCTCAAATTCCTGGGCTCAAGCTATCCTCCCACCTTAAATCCCCCTGCCTCAGCCTCCCGAATAGCTGGGACTACAGGTGTATGCCATCACACTCAGATAATTTTACTTTTTTGTAGAGATGGAGTCTGGCTATGTTGCCTAGGCTAGTCTTGAACTCCCGGCCTCAGGTGATCCTCCTGCCTTGGCCTCCCCCGATGTGCTGGGATTATAGGCATGAGCCACTGTGCTCTGCCCGTTATTCTTCAACACAATACTTTATGCATTTTTTTTTTTTTTTGAGACGGAGTCTCGCTCTGTCACCAGGCTGGAGTGTAGTGACGCGGTATCAGCTCATTGCAACCTCTGCCTCCCGGGTTCAAGCGATTCTCCTACCTCAGCCTCCCAGGTAGCTGGAACTACAGGTGCACGTCACCACGCTCAGCTAATTTTTGTATTTTTAGTAGAGATGGGGTTTTACCACTTGGCCAGAATGGTCTTGTTCTCTTGACCTTGTGATCTGCCCACCTCTGCCTCCCAAAGTACTGGGATTACAAGCGTGAGCAACCATGTCTGGCCTACTTTATGCATTTCTTTCAAAGAACTTCGTATATTCAAACAACTCATTTATTAATGGTTTGCTTGTACCACAAGTCTATAAGGTCTATACTCCATGAGGTGCTGCAACTTATAACTTATAGCATTATGCCTGAAAAATTAATAAATACTTTCTGAATATAAAAAACAAATTCACCTAATTACTAACCCAATTATTAACTAAATTGTCCTATAAATTTTAAGATCACAAGATCCTGATATCTCATAGAATCTCAAGAACTAAAAGAAACTTCAGAGATCACTGAATCCAATCCTAAGTTTACAGAACATTAAAAAGGGGTTTCTCCACAACGCAGAGCTCCTCACTGCTAGAGCAAGCCCTTCAGATCATACATACTGATTCCCAAACATAATAAGCTAATTGAGCCCTAACCAACACTAAAATAATCCTTTAACTCAATTGTTTAACTACCAAAGCTCTGTCATCTGTAGCCAAGTGTAGAGTATGAGAGGAAAAGACAGTTCACCAATAAAGTACACAGAATAAAAACAAAACCATAAATAAGCAGCAAAATTCCAAGTAATACATATATTTTCCCCTATAATACACCCTCATTCAATTATTTGCATAGTAGCACCCTCTATTATTTTCCACAATGAAATAAATCCATTTTAGTCAGTTAAAATTTACTTGTTTTATCCTTCTGACATACCATATATTTATCAATCCCTAAATAAAAACACGAGTCTTAAAAGCAGTCTCTTAAACGAACACATTACTTTTGAAGGTAAGATCTACTAAAGTTAAACTGTACATGTTTACCTCGTTATTGGTATAATGTAGATCCATAGACTGTCCAAAGGCAATTTTAGCTTTAGATCTCAGATCTTCCAGTTTAACTGGTCTGGGGAACTGAAGGATTCTATATAAACACAATTTTAAGATTTTATTTTCTTAGGCAAAGTTAAATAATAAACTTGCAAAAGTTACCTCCTTTTAGAGTGATACAAGATTAACTAAAAATTACGTAAATATTCACTTTACTTAACACTACAACAGCACATTTTTTAACACAGGCACACATTTTCAACACAAAGTTCAAAAACTCTGAAGTCTGTTTTATCCTAATACAAATTTTAAAAAGGAAATTCTCAAAATTTTCTGCAGTTTTTAATTTGCACTGAAACTACCATATGAATGTTAAAGAGCAATGCAAAATGTTTATTCAGGAAACTGATTAAACTTAACTATGTGACATCTGTATGACAGAATGAAATGAAACTGTTAAAAAGAATAAAGTTGTTCTCCAGGGATTCAAATTTTGATTTCTGTATCCTTATCAACTCAACATTTTTGGGTACATATATCATGTAGGCATACTTCCAAAATAAATATTTTTACAAGATTAAAATTCTAGTGTTTTCTTTCTACTTCCCAAAGACTGGCCTGTGCTGCCCCTAGAGAGCATGCACCTAAAGCTTGAAGACCACCAATACCACACTATAAGCCCCATAAGGAAAAAGACTGTGTCTGCTTTGCTCCCTTTATTCCTTCAGGGCCTAGCATATACTAAGTACTCAACAAATAATGCTGAATGAATGAAAAAATTGGGAAAATATCCAAAAAAGAATCTTAAATAGGAAAATAGATTGGATAGTTCCATGGTTTATCTGATATATTCCAGTTTTAAATATTTCTATGTAGAATATGCTTATATGATTTGTGAGCCACTTTAAAATCCTTAAAACTGTTAGGCTTTTCACTACATTAATTTCATGAGACACTAATAGCAGAAATGAAATTCTATCATCAGGCTGGGAGCGTGGGTCACGCCTGTAATCCCAGCACTTTGGGAGGCCGGGGCGGGTGGATCATCTGAGGTCAGGAGTTCGAGACCAGCCTGGCCAACATGGTGAAACCCTATCTCGACTAAAAAATACGAAAATTAGCCAGGCATGGTGGCTGTTGCCTGCAATCCCAGCTACTCAGGAGGCTGAGGCAGGAGAATTGCTTGAACCCGGGAGGTGGAGGTTGCAGTGAGCCAAAATCACGCCATTGCACTCCAGCCTGGGCGACAGAGTAAGACTCCATCTCAAAAAAAAAAAATTCTATCGGCCTTAATTCCTATTAGGTCTTGTTAGCAATTTTGTTGTCAACTACCACCCTATCATTTGTGCACTGAGATACAGATACCAAGTAGAAGACTAGGTTTACATCTCTGCTAAATAATTTGCAGCCACTAGTCCAATTCACTTTCCTCAACATTACTAATGACGTAAATGTCATAAAACTGAGGTCTCTTGAGAATAATCAGAATTGTAAATGTTAAGCTCACATATATAAATGCTATATAGTATCTGGAGGGATGAAACAATTATAAGGAAAAATATATTTAATTTCCCCCAAGTAAAAATGAAAGGAAGTGAAAATATGTAAAGGCTGTATTAAACAGTGATCTTATTTATCTCTGAAAATTGCAAAGACATTAATCATTTCTAATATTTAACCTGAATTTTGACATATTTTATCTATCTTAAGTCTAAGCACATTACACATTCCCAAGGACTACTCTATTCTCAATTTGTAAACCATGAAACTTCATTCAAATCTGAAAAGAACCTTTCAAAAGCTTAATTAGAATACACATTTGATTAAATCAATTAATTAACATGTAATGTTTCCTTCCTTACCTTTTTTCTCCTCTATGTTCAAATTTGACTCGGACATCATTCTGTAATGAAATGACAAATCAGTCTTTCAGAGATTAGACAGATCATTCAGAGATTAGATAAAATTTCTACAATTTCTAAATGATTTTGTTTTTTAGCCATTCATTTAAAATAGACCAGACGAGGAGGGAATTTTGAAGTTCTGTACCAGCTCCAAACAATTGATAGTGTCTGCTAAAAAGTTGAGAATTATGTTGCTGAATCTGGGCTCAACAGGAAAGAACACCAAGATCTATTAGTGAAGGTACCAGGAGTATGAGACATTTGCTGATCCTGTTATGGGAAATACAGAATATTATATTTTTATGTGTCATGCTGAGTATCCAAAACTAATTTCATTTATCAGAATCAAAAACATCCTCATTTCTAAAAATCCAGAGTAGACTATTTGAAGAACAAAACAAAACACAATTTGCTTAAGTGCTTGAAAAATGGATGAAATGTCAGCTTTGGAGAACAGTTACCACATTAAATGAAATGCTACCTTATTTTTTCTGGGAAGGGGTCAACGTTGGCTGCAGAATGCTACAATTCTTTATGAACACAAACTTAAAAAAAATTTTTTTAACTTTTAAGTTCAGGGGTACATGAGCAGTTTTCTTATACAGGTAAACTCACGTCACGGGGAGTTGCTTGTAGATTATTTAGTCACTCAGGTATCAGGCCTAGTACCCATTAGTTATTTTTCCTGATCCTCTCCCTCCTCCTGCCCTCCACCCTCTCGCAGGCCCCAGTGTCTATTGCTCCCCTCTATGTCTCCATGTGTTCTCATTATTTACCCTCCACTTATAACTGAGAACATGTGGTATTTGGTTTTCTGTTCCTGCATTAGTTTGCTAAGGATAATGGTCTCCAGTTCCATCCATGTTCCTGAAAGGACATGATTTTGTTATTTATTATGGCTGCACAGAATTCCATGGTGTATATGTACCACATTTTCTTTATCCAGTCTACCACTGATGGACACTGAAGTTGATTCCACGTCTTTGCTACTGTTAATAGATGAACACACACTCTTACACGAAAATGTGTAACAAACACTAACAAAATTCTTGATTCGAAAGTGTAAAAGCTGAACACATTAAACAAGTCCTCCATAAGATTAGGATATTAAAGGAAAGTAATTCATAAAAAAATACTTATTAAAATAAATACCTGTTTTTTTGGTGATGAAGATTTTGCTTTTCTGGTTTCCTGCAAGGATAATGCTGGTCGACTGGCCTTATGAAGGACAGCCAAATCTTGCATGATTGAGTTCAAAGCTTGCTGATCATCTAGGTAGTTTTGAAACAACACATACATAGAATTGTAATTGTGACATATATATCAACATGTATAGACATCAAACACAAAATTTAAAATAAAATTTGATGTAGAGAATGTATTAATGCAAAAATGCATCTAGAACATTTTTAATGCCTACACTTTTGGTAAAATAAAATTGCACTAGACTTAATCTCTAGCATCAGTCCACACATGAGACACTAATGGACAAGATGAAGTCATTCTGATTCTTCCAATGATTTAATATCCTAGAATAAGGTCAAAACTGCCCTGTTATAACAAATTCTTTTCTATGACTCCTAAACAAAACATCAAGGTATCTAAAATGTTTTAAAAAGTAGGGAAAAAAAAATAAACAACTTTGTATAAATCTCATTACTTAGCATTTATATTCAAAGTACAGACTTAATTTTGGAAGGTTTTTTTATTCTTTCATCAATACTTAAGAGTCAGAAACAAAGAAAAGCTTCACCTGTGGATACTGGCCTACTGTATTTGGAAATGCTCTTTCAAACTTCTTCACCATAAGGTTTGACAAGACTAAAAACAGACTATTTAAAGATCTTGGCCAGCAACAATGTAAGAAAATTCCTTTCCTTAGAAAAAGTACCAAGTCCATAAAACTGAGAGAAAGCATCATGAACATGAACTTTTAGACTCTTATAAATATACCAAAGATTTCCTTCTGAGACTAAAACCATGTGCCTGCCAGTAATGCCAATTATAAGCTCTCCAGAAGACATCAGGGACAACTTAATTTATTTTCACTAGTAAATCAATTCTACTAATGATAATCACAAATGATAAATAAAGGAATCAAGAGACTTTACACTTTACATTTTAAAATGTAACCATTTTGGTGAGCAGTAACTTATGTTCTTGGAGTAGTAAAAATTAAAACATGCCATATCCTGTATGGGAAATCACTAAAAATATTCCAACAATTCAGTAGCCCTAATAGTCTCTCAAACACACAAACAGCTGACTTCTCTAATTTACTAATTTTTAATAACACTTAATATAGTCTATTTTGTAGTGAAATTATTTGCATATTAAAATTTAAAAGTAATGGTTGCCATGGTTTTATTGGTTTATTAATTTATTAATATTTCCAGGTTAAGAAAAAATTTTATAATCCTTCACCAAGGATTTTTTATAAAATAAAGTTTTATCATAATGTTAGTTTAGCCAAATAGGTAACCAAGCCACAGTCAGGTACAATATAATCACAATAGATGTACCCATCAATAAGCTCACAATGATCTCAACTGGAATAAAAGCATTTGATGTGACCTTCTTTAAGAAGGTAAATCCTTGGCCAGGCACAATGGCTCAAGCCTGTAATCCCAACACTTTGGGAGGCCGAGGGGGGCAGATCATAAGGTCAGGAATTCAAGACAAGTCTGGCCGATATGGTGAAACCCCGTCTCCACTAAAAATACAAAAATTAGCCAGGCATGGTGGCAGGTGCCTGTAGTCCCAGCTACTTGGGAGGCTAAGGCAGGAGAATCTCTTGAACCCAGGAGGCAGAGGTTGCAGCGAGCTGAGATTGCACCACTGCACTCCAGCCTGAGCAACAGAGCATGAATCTGTTTCCCAAAAGGAAAAAAAAAAAAAAGGTAAATCCTTAATTCTATACTAGGGATAGATGAACTCTAATTCTTTTTTTATTTTTTTGTAGAGATGGGGGTCTCACCATGTTGCCCAGGCTGGTCTTGAACTCCTGGGCTCAAGCGATCCTCCCACCTTGGCCTCCCAAAGTGGGAACTTAAATCTATCTATGTTGTTCTAATTTTTATTAGAAGAAACCTAAACATTTGAATTTAAACAATTTTATATGCTTAATATTACAATGTCAAAATAAATGCCTTGGGGGAGGGCCTTTGGCTAAAATTATCACATTTATAAATACTTCTTTCTTTTTGGGGGGGACGGGGGAAGCAAGGGGAGATGGATTCTCGCTCTATTGCCCAGGATGGAGTGCAGTGGCGCCATCTCGGCTCACTGCAAGCTCCACTTCCCGGGTTCACACCATTCTCCTGCCTCAGCCTCCCGAGTAGCTGGGACTACAGGCACCCCCCACCACGCCTGGCTAATTTTTTGTATTTTTAGTAGAGATGGGGTTTCACCGAGTTAGCCAGGTTGGTCTCGATCTCCCGGCCTCGTGATCCGCCTGCCTCGACCTCCCAAAGTGCTGGGATTACAGGTGTGAGCCACTGCACCCGGCCTACTTATTTATTAAGAAAAATGAGAACGGAAAAAAAAATAAGTACCGTTTTCTGTTATATATGTAAAAAATGGTGGGGCCAGTTGAACAAAACTTCCCATATTAGGAAGGTGACATAAAAAACAAAGGGCAATTTAATTGAGTTCCTTACTTGGCGGGCTTGAAGAATTACTACTGGGCACTTATTTACCCATAAGTACACTTACGTACTTATGGGTAAGTACAATGGGTTTTTTTTTGTTGTTTTTTTTTTTTTTTTTTTTGAGACAGAGTCTTGCTCTGTCGCCCAGGCTGGAGTGCAGTGGCGTGATCTCGGCTCACTACAAGATCCGCCTCCTGGGTTCACGCCATTCTCCTGGCTCAGCCTCCTGAGTAGCTGGGACTACAGGCGCACGCCACCATGCCTGGCTAATTTTTTGTATTTTTAGTAGAGATGGGGTTTCACTGTGTTAGCCAGGATGGTCTCAATCTCCTGACCTCGTGATCCACCCGACTCGGCCTCCCAAAGTGCTGGGATTACAGGCATGAGCCACCACGCCCGGCCCAATGGGTTTCTGACACATGTTGGAAGGACACTGAATTGAGCACAAAACCAAAAAATACTTGGAAAATAATTTTTTCAAAAATCTTTTATCAGAAATGTTGAATTAAATACCTTATATGCTTATTCATGATATTTGAAAAATAATTACAGAAGAACATCCTCAATCAAAAATTCAAACATCTGTCATGGTGTTCTGTGACTAACTTTGTATGTTTTTAAGCAATGAATGTTGCCCTACTATAGAGCAGTATTATTTGAGGCTGACAAAAATAAATTTGATCGATACATAGAGTACAAGTGACAGCACCCAAAATAAAAAGTTGAAAGAAGTTCAGTAAAAGTACATCCAATTTGGAGCTGAAAGTAAGGCTGACTAGAGTGGAGAATTTGGGCTACAAGGGGGCACTGCTACTCATGACTACAGAAGAGGAAGTGGAAGAACAATTTTTAAAGTAGGGAGGTGAAGTCTAAGCTTACATACTTGCTACAATGACACACAGTGAAAGTGTCCTAGCCCCCACTTTCATCACATGGGCAAATATAAGTTCTTCATGAGGGTGTGTGTGTGTGTGTGTGTGTGTGTGTGTGTGTATTTGTTTTGTTAAGCAAGAAGTAGAAAATGTGTGATAAAGGCAAACTCTGGCAAGCAAATGTCAGAATTAAATCCCAGGATCAGTCTAAGTTTCAAAATTTAGCATCCAACTACTCAGTACCATTTTTCTTGATTTAGGATAGGGTGGGCCATTCGTGACTCCATTTCCTTCTAGTGTCTTCCTGTCTAACTAATTCCCTGCCTCATGCTGGAACCCTTAACACAAAGGAGAAAAGGAAAAAACAAAAAGGAGGTAAACAGGAAAACAAAATATGTAAACTGAACATACACAATCCATTCCCATACTTTAGTGTCTTTAAACTAACATTATACCACAATATACGACCAAGAGTTGTATAACATATTCTCCCTGAGCACCAATGATTTGCTGCTCTATGAATGATAAAATTAAATTTTATGATTTCTCTCTTGCCATCAGACTTTAAGCAAATCACAACACATCTTAACAGCTTATTTTGAATGTCCCTGCTGTTACGCATAAAATGATCATTCTAAAACTACAGCAACACAAAAAGTACTTTAATTCAAAGTCTATTAAGTAAATATAAAACATTTCATAAATCTGCTATATCATAAAATTTATTTATAAAAAGGTTTATAATAACACATAATAGAGAAAGTTTTTTCACTTCCATTCTATCCTTTAATTATTGCTGAAAAATGCTTTTAGTTTGAACTCACCCATTATGGCAAACAGCTCAACAATTTGAAAATTAGGAAAATGGTTCTCCCATCAGCATTCTTTATGGCCTGAGAAGATAAAACAGATCAGCATATTAATAAAAAGAAACAGAAAAGGAGCCAGGAAAAGAAAAAAAAAAGTCAGTTTAAATAATACTAATGAAAAATATACAATATGAATACTTTACACATTTCGCTAGGGGGAGGTGTTTTATATTGAAGGTTGATCATGTAGGCACCCCCTTGCCTAACACATACCAAAATTCCAGACTCCCAGAAGAAAAGCAGGTATTCAGCATAAACCATAGTGTTTGTACAAACCATTATCAGTTGGAGGCAGGAACTCTCCTGAAATCCAAGTTCTCAGGTGTCAGCCAAAGGCTAACTCCTAAGCAGGCCTTCTACAAATCAGCAATCAGGCCCACTACATTAACTCTTTTTCTATATAAACAGCAATAGGAAACTAATATGTTGGTTTAAAAAAAAAACTGCATAACGCAATAATTATAACTGTGTTGCTGGGTATACAATATATAATAATATAATTCACATAATATTAACAGCACACAGGAAAGGGAAAGGATAGAGTTACATAAAAGAAAGGTGTTTATGACCAAGTGCAGTGGCTCATGCCATAATCCCAGCACTTTGGGAGGCCTAGGCAGGCGGATTGCTTGAGCCCAGGAGTTCGAGACCAGCCTGTCCAACACGGTGAAACCCCATCTATACAAAAAAATACAAAAATTAGCCGGGTGCAGTAGTGCATGCCTGTAGCTCCCAGCTACTTGGGAGGCTTGAGGTGGGAGGATCACTTGAGCCTGGGAGGTTGAGGTTGCAGTGAGCTGTGGCACTCCAGTCTGGGCGACACAGCGAGACTGCCTAGAAGAAAAAAAAAAGTGTTTGTATACCATTGCAATTAAGTTGATATTACCTCAAACTATGTTATTATAAGATGTTAACTGTAATCCCCAGGTCAACTAGAAAATAAGATGAAAAATATGAGTGCCAACATGACACTATGAATGGAAAATTCCACAAACCTGTCCTCATGTGATATGTCACAGTCAAAAGGCAGATGCACAACTCAGTTTATTCAGCATCCCCCAGGAGAAAAGAGACCCTACCAGCCCCTTCCACTGTAATATATCTTTTCCATGCATGCCCAAATTCCCCCATGCAAGAGGCCTACAAGGGTAATAATAGAAACTTTGTTTCAGACACAAAATTATTTTAAAAATTGTTGGCTAGTACAGTGGCTCACACTTATAATACTAGCAATTTGGGGGGGCCAAGGTGGGAGGATCACGTGAGCCCAGGAGTTTGAGACCAGCCTGGGCAACATAGGGAGACTCCCATTTCCACCAAAAAAAAAAAAAAAAAAGATTTAAAAAACAAAATGCCAGGTGTAGTGGTGCATGCCTGTAGTCCCAGCTAACTGGAAGGCTAAAGTGGGAAGACTGCTTGAGCCAGGGAGGTCAACGCTGCAGTGAACTATGATTGTACTCCAGCCTGTGTGACAGAGCAAGACCCTGTCTCGAAAACATTTAAAAAATTGTATAAAATTACCTTTAGCTATATGAATAAGATGTATATGAAACATAAAAGAATTTCATGTTTAGACTTGGGTCCCTTTCCCAAGATACCTCACTATGTATATGCAAATATTACAAAACATGAAAAAAATCCAAAAAACTTCTGGTCCCAAACATTTTGACCTGAATATGTTGCCTACAACAGACACTTTTTTTGGGGGACAGGAGGAGGGTCTTGCTCTCTTTCCCAGGCTGAGGTGCACTGGCATGATCACAGCTCACTGCAGCCTTGATCTGCCAGGCTCAAGCAATCCTCCCACCTCAGCACCCCCGAGTAGATGGGACTACAGGTGCATGCTATCACACCCAGCTGATTTTTAAAAAAAGATTTTGTACAGATTACCCAGACTGGTCTCAAGCTCCTGGGCTAAAGTGATCCTCCCAGTTTGGCCTCCCTAAGTGCTGGGACTACGAACCACAACACCTGGTCCACATTTTAAATTCGAAGACAAAATAGGTTGACAGTAAAAGGATAGAAAAAGATATACTATGCAAACAGTAGTCAAAACAGACCTGCAGTGGCTACACCACTATCAGGCAAAACAGACACAAAAATTGTTGTGACAAACAGCATTTTATAATGAAAGATAGCCAATACATCAAAAAGATATAGCAATTATAAACTTATATGTACCTAACAACAGAATCGCAAAATACACAATGCAAAAAAGTATAAAATTCAAGGAAGAAACACAATTCAAAAATAAAAGTTGGAGATTTCAATGCCCTGCGTTCAATAACGGATAAAATAAGTAGACAGAAAATCAATGAGGAAATACAAGACTTGTACAACACTATAAACTACTAGGCTTAACAAACACCTACAGAATAATCAACCTCAAAACAGCAGAATATACACTCTTCTCAAATACATATAGGACATTTCCAAGACAGACCAAATATTAGGTAATAAAACAAATCTCAGTAACTACATGGATTGAAATCACACAAAGTGTGTTCTCTGACAAAAATGCAATAAAATTAGAAATTGGCAACACAAGGATATCTGGAAAATTCACAAATATGTGAAAATTAAAAAACATAAAAATAATCAATGGGTCACTAGAAGGCATAAGGAAAATTAGAAAATACTTTGAGATAAAAATGAAAACACATCAAAACAAAATGTATTGGATGCATCTAAAGATAAAATTTATAACTGTAAATATTTACATTGACAAACAAGAAGGATGTCAAATCAATAACCTAACCTTTGACCTTAAAATACTAGAAGATGAGGAACAATTTAAATCTGAAACAAGCTAAAGGAATAGGGAGTAGAAAATAAAAATACCACTGAAATTTAAAAAAAAAATCAAGAAAACAAAAATTGGCCCTTTGAAAAGATCAACAAAACTAACAAACTTTTAGCTAATCAAAAAAAGAAGAGGGAAAACACAAATAACTAAATTCAAGAATTCAAAAGGGAGCAATTACACCAACCTTTCAGAAATAAAAAGGATAAGAGAATACTGTTAACAACTGTACATCAACAAATTAGATGACTGAGATGACACAGACAAATTCCTAAAAAGAAACAAATTATCAAAATCGACTCATCAAGAAGAAATTAAGAATTTGAACAGACCTATAAAAAGTAAAAAGACTAAATTAGAAATGAAAAATTTCTCACAAATAAAAGCCCTGGACCAGATCACTTCAAACATTTACAGAATTTACAAAAACTGGTTTTAAAAAAAAAAAAAAAAAAAAAAGAAGGAACACTTCCCAATTCATTGTGAAGCCAGTATTACTCCAATACCAAAACCAGACAAAGCCATCACAAGATGAGAAAACTAAAGATCAATATCTCATCAATACAGATGCAAAAATCCTCAATAAAATACTAGCAAACCTAACCTAGAACATTAAAAAACAAATTATATACCATGCACATTTGGGATATATCCAACAAAATCAAGGTTGGTTCAGCACATAAAATCCAATCAATGTAAAAAACCACATTAACAGAACAAAGAACAAAAACCAGGCAGGCACAGTGGCTCATGCCTGTAATCCCAGCACTTTGGGAGGCTGAGGCAGGCGGATCACCTGAGGTCAGGAGTTCGAAATCAGCCTGGCCAACATGGCAAAACCCTGCCTCTACTAAAAATACAAAAATTAGCCAGGCATGGTGATGGGCACCTATAATCCCAGCTACTTGGGAGGCTGAGGCAGGTGACTCCCTTGAACCTGGGAGGCAGAGGTTGGCAGTGAGCAGAGATCATGCTGCACTGTACTCTAGCCCGCGCGACAGAGCGAGACTCTGTCTCAAGGAAAAAAAGAAAAAAAAGAAAAAAGAACAAAAACCAAATCATCTCAAAACATACAGAAAACACATGTGCCAAAATTCAACACCCTTTTATGCTCAAAAGATAACAAACAGAAGAGGACATAATCAAGTTGATTATGGTGAAAAACTTCATGGTGAAAAACAGGATACATTCCCAGTAAGGCCAGGAATATGGGGATGTCCACTCTTGCCACACATCTATTTAATATTGTACTAGAGGTTCTAGTCAGAAGACGAGGCAAGAAAATGAAATAAACGGAATCCAGACTGGATAAGAAGTAAAACTATACCCATTTGCAAGTGACATAATCTTAGATACAGGAAAACCTAAGAAACAAACAAAAACAGTATTAGAATCAATAAACACGTTCAGCACAGATGCAGGATACAAGGTCAACATTCAAAAATCAATTATATTTCTATACATTAGCAATAAACATTCTGGAAATAAAATTAAGAAATCAATTTCATTTACAATACCACCAAAAAAAATAAAGTACTTAGGAACATATTTAACAACAACAAAAAAATGCAGCTTGCACTCTAAAAACTACAAAACACTGTTGAAAGAAATTAAAGTAGACCTAAATATACAGAAAGACATCCCATATTCATGAATGGGAAAACAATATTTTTAAGATAGCAATACTCCCAAAGTTATCTACAGATTCAATGAACTCTCTATCAAAATTCCAATGGCCTCTTTTAGCAGAAACGGAAAACTGATCCTTAAATTCATATGAAACTGCAATAGGCACTGAATAGCCACAACAATACTGAAAAAGAAAAATAAAGATGCTCAGTATCATCTGTCATCAGGGAAATGCCAATAAAAATCAAAATGACATACTACCTCACATCCAGTAGGATGACTATAATCAAAAAGAAAGACAATGACAGGTGGTAATGAAGATGTGAAGAAATATGAGCCACTGTTTCCACTCCTATTGTATATACCCAAGAGAACTGAAAGCACACAACCACACAAAACCCTGTAAATTCAATGCAGCACTATTTATAAGAACCCAAATGTCCATCAACTGATGAAGAGAGAAACATGTCCTATATCCATATGATGAAATATTATTGACCATGTGTGGTGGCTTACAGATTACATCTGTAATCCCAGCACTTTGGGAAGCTGAGATAATTGGATCACTTGAGGTCAGGAGTTTGAGACCAGTCTGTCCAATGTGATGAAACCCTATCTCTACTAAAAACACAAAAATTAGCTGGGCATGGTGGCAGGAGCCTGTAATCCCAGCTACTCAGGAGGCTGAGGCAGGAGAATTGCTTGAACATGGGAGGCAGATGTTGCAGTGAGCCCACATTACGCCACTACACTCCAGCCTGGACAACAGAGTGAGACTTCATCTCCAATAAATAAATAAACAAATAAATAAAATTCAGTCATTAAAAAGAATAAAGTACCTATACATGCTCCAACATGGACAAATTTATGCTAAGTGGAATAAGCCAGATTTTTAAAAAGCCCCATATTCCACTTACATGAAATGTCTAGAATAGCAAATCTACAGAGACTGAAAGTAGATTAGTGATTTCCTAAAGCCAGGGTATGGGAAATGGGGAATGACTGTGAATGAGTATGAAGTATCTTTTGGGGGATGAGGAAATGTTCTGGAGTGAGGCAGTGGTGATGGTTGCACAACTCTGTGAATAAATGAAAGATTACTGAATTGTAGTATTTAAAAGGGTGAATTTCATGGTATGCAAATTATAACTGAAAAAGGAAGGAAGGGAGAAAGGAAGGAAACAAAATAGAAGTGGCTGGTTCTATGAATAACTAGAGATCATTTGCTCACCTAGAGAAGCAACTGCCTCAGCTCCAGTCAATAGCTGCTACAGAAGTTCGGGCTCAGTATTATCAGATATGCTGGTTTTTCAAAAAGCCCTAATCCAAATTTTAATGTGAGATCTCCCCAATTTCAAATATTAGCAACTAATTCAAATTTTTACAAAAACAACCATGTTATCCTTGCATGCTGCCATTTTGTAAGCACTGACAACTTTAATTTCTTTTTAGTTATATTATTTTCAAATGTCAAGTAACATTAAGGAATTATCAAAGAAAAAATGTAAAAATTATTAACACAGAATATAACATAAAACAAGAAAGTGTTCCTTTCTTTTCTTTCTTTTTTTTTTTGGAGACAGGGTCTCACTTTGTTGCCCAGGTTAGAGTGCACTGGCATGATCACTGCCTGCGGCAGCCTCAACTTCCCTGACTCAAGTGATCCTCTTGCTGCAGCCTCTCAAGTAGCTGGGACTACAGGTACGCATCATGCCTGGCTAGTTTTTTGTTTTTGTTTTTGTTTTTTTATATGGCGTCTCACTGTGTTGCCCAGGCTGGTCTCAAACTCCTGGGCTCAAGCAATCCTCCTGCCTCGGCCTCTCAAAGTGTTGGGATTACAGGCCATCCAGCCTGGTCTCGAGAAAGTGCTCCCTTCATCATGCCTATCAGTACCATTTCAAGGGCAACCACTGTATTACCTCAGTTTTTAGGACTTTTAATCAAGACAAATATAAGACTAAATTTTAAACAGCTGAGAAGAAAACATCTAGTCTAAACATCTTATTTTAAAATCTGAGGGCCAAAAAGATAATATAACTTATAAAGTTGGACAAAGCTAAGACTTGAATACCTGTTTCTTATTTCTTACTCAAGTAAACTTTCCATAATGCCATATCACTCCAATTTACCTTTTGAGGAAACAACTAGCTGGAATACAAAATTCTCCTACCATACATATGCACATAGAGAAAGTCACAAAGTGGTTGGGGAAGTTTTATTTAGTATATTCTCTTTCAATAAAAATTTAAATTCTCAACGAAATTTTTCAGGTGGTTTTGTTTTGTTTTCTGTGACAGGGTCTTGCACTGTCACCCAGGCTGATGTGCAGTGGTACTATCACAGCTCACTGCAGCCTCAATCTCCCGGGCTTAAGCAATTCTTCCACCTCAGCCTATAGCATTTGCTACCACGCCCAGCTAATTTTCTGTAGAGATGGAGTTTTGCCACGCTGCCCTGATGTCTGCAAGTACCAATCCCCACTGTACGGCTGAGGAATCAGAATATGACTGAGATACAGCTGATTTAGAGGAGGTAATTGCAAAATGAGCCTAAAACATCTCACTGAACCAGAAAGAAAGCACATAAAGACTTATGGGGACATGTCAGAAGGCCACAGGCACAACTTGAAGGGGATTCCACTTATCAAATATGGGACAATTTGAGCATCAAAATAAAAATAATGTTGGATTACAGGCCCACTGAATAGAAAAAATGAAACAATGAAGTTAGGCCCAATAGCTATAATCTCAGCTACTCAGGAGACTGAGGCAGGAGGATCACTTCAGCCCAGGGGTTTGTATCCCACCAGGGCGACATGGCAAGATCCCATCTCCTGAAACAAAAACAAAAACAAAAAAAAAAAAAAAAAGAAAGAAGAAAACCATGAGTCCATAAAAACAAAGATAAACAAATAAATCAACAATGGGAGGAAGAGAAAGCTTTTTCTTACAGTAGAATGTCAACTAATGAATGTAATAAAATTAGAAAGACCACCATTCAGCAATCATCAATAGAAATAATTAAGTAATAATTCAACCAAGAAAAATCAACAAATGCTAAAGCTAGTGGATGAAAAGTGTGATGAGGAATGAGTTACTTAGTTTCAACACACCATCTCCAAAAAATAATCATTTCCACTCATTTTTCAAAGGAAAAAAAAGTACCCTTTCTAGTGTAGAAAGCCAGCAGACAAAAAAAAAAGCTTAAGTCAAGTGATCCATGTTAATTAAGATCATCAGTAACAGGCAAATTAAAATCATGTACCTAACTAGCCTGACTTCAATTTTTAAAAATTAAAAAAAAGTGCCAACTGGTAAGGTAACACTGAGAAGAATACCACATCACCTCTGTGATACTGCTACCAAAAATTGATAACCTGAATTGATTCATAGGGAAGCATTAGACAAATCTCAATTGAGAAATAGTCTAAGAATTAACTGCTCTGTAAACCTCAAAACTGTCGAAATCATGAAAGTCAAGGAAACGTTATGGCTGTTCTAGATTGAAATACATCAAAAAGACACAACAACTAAATGCAAATTATAATCCTGATTGAATTATTTTCCTAAAATGAGCATTATTGGGACTACTGGCAAAACTTGAATGGGTTCTGTGGATTAGATGATATAATCCACAGGTTCTATCAATGCTAACCTCCTCATTTTGACAGTTGGATTCTGGATATGTAGAAAAATATCCTTATTGATAGCAATTACAAACTAAAATATTGTGGGGTGATGGGACCTCATGTTAGCAAGTTACTCTCAAATAATCAAAACAAATTTCTTTATACTGGTTTTGCAACTTCTGGAACTTATTTCAGAAGAAAAAAATTGTAAAAACAAAAACAAAGTGAAAAAAATCTATTCTTCTCCAGTCTTATCAAGAAGCATCTCTATTTTTCCAGTTGCTCAAAACAAAAATTTTGAGATAGGCTTGACCCCTCTCATGCTCTCACCTTATATTCCAATCCATTAGCAAATCCCATTAGCTTTCCCTTAAAAATATATTTCACTACTCCAAGCCATAATCCTCTCTTGCATGGATTACTGAAATAGTTTCATATCTGATCAACTTGATTTTACTCCAAACTCTAATATAACTCATTTCCTATACAACAATAAGGATCACCCTTTTAAAAAGTAAGTCAGAGAATGTTAATGCTCTCTCTCTGTCAGAAAGTACTGGTAGTTTCTCTACTTTGAATAAATTCCAAAGTCCTTGCCATGGCTTACTTCATATAATCTAGACTTCCCTACTTCTTGTTTTTTTGTGTTTTTTTTTTCTTTTTTGAGACAGGGTCTTGCTTTGTCACCCAGGCTAGAGCGCAGTGGCACAATCATGGCTCGCTGCAGCCTTGACCTCTTGGGCTCAAGTGATACTCCCACCTCAGCCACCCAAGTAGCTGGTACTACAGGTACGCACCACCATGCCCAGCTAATTTTTGTATTTTCGGTAGAGACACGGTTTTGCTATGTTGCCCAGTCTGGTCTTGAACTTCTGGGCACAAGCAATCCACCTGCCTTGGCCTCCTAAAGTGCTGCGATTACAGCCGTGAGCCACCATGCCTGGCCAACTTCCCTACTTTTGGTGTTATATTCTACTACAGTAAAGGTTAGATACAGAACACTGCTACTTCCGCCAAGACTAACACAATGGATGATCCCATCCCCACCACTGCAAAAAAAGAAAAGAAAAGAGAAGGTTGTTTAAATACCGGTAGGCTAAAAACATAAATATCCATTACAGCTTCCATGGCAATGCACTCTCACGAGTCTCCATTCTTCACCCCACTTCCCACATCTCACCTGAGTCTGCTTCAGAATCTCTTCTTCCTTGTTTGGCTATTAAATGCCAGTGTCATTTGAAGTTTCATTCTTGCACTACTACTCTTTTCATTCTATTGAGTCTCTTGAAGAAACATCACCTATAAACTAACCCTCAAATCTGTATCTCCAATCTAGACAGAGCTAAGCTTCAAATTCCAAATTATATAAAACTAGTTGTTAGATATTTTAATCCTTGGCCACATGCTTAGGATGGCAAAGCAGTAAGTTAAAAAAGAGTGCATGCTTCCCTCTCCCTCTCCCTCCTCCTCCCCCTCCCTCCCTCTCCCTCTCTTTCCACGGTCTCCCTCTGATGCCGAGCCGAAGCTGGACTGTACTGCTGCCATCTCGGCTCACTGCAACCTCCCTGCCTGATTCTCCTGCCTCAGCCTGCCGAGTGCCTGCGATTGCAGGTGCGCGCCGCCATGCCTGACTGGTTTTCGTATTTTTTTGGTGGAGACGCGGTTTCGCTGTGTTGGCTGGGCTGGTCTCCAGCTCCTAACCTCAAGTGATCCGCCAGCCTCGGCCTCCCAAGGTGCCGGGATTGCAGATGGAGTCTCGTTCACTCAGTGCTCAATGGTGCCCAGGCTGGAGTGCAGTGGCGTGATCTCGGCTGGCTACAACCTCCACCTCCCAGCCGCCTGCCTTGGCCTCCCAAAGTGCCGAGATTGCAGCCTCTGCCCAGCCGCCACCCCGTCTGGGAAGTGAGGAGCGTCTCTGCCTGGCCGCCCATCGTCTGGGATGTGAGGAGCCCCTCTGCCTGGCTGCCCAGTCTGGAAAGTGAGGAGCGTCTCTGTCCTGCCGCCATCCCATCTAGGAAGTGACGAGCGTCTCTGCCCGGCCGCCCATCGTCTGAGATGTGGGGAGGGCCTCTGCCCCGCCGCCCCGTCTGGGATGTGAGGAGCGCCTCCGCCCGGCCGTGACCCCGTCTGCGAGGTGAGGAGCATCTCCGCCCGGCCGCCCCATCTGAGAAGTGAGGAGACCCTCCGCCCGGCAGCCGCCCCGTCTGAGAAGTGAGGAGCCCCTCCGCCCAGCAGCCGTCCTGTCTGAGAAGTGAGGAGCCCCTCCGCCCGGCAGCCGCCCCGTCTGGGAAGTGAGGAGTGTCTCCGTCCAGCAGCTGCCCCGTCCGGGAGGGAGGTGGGGGGGGTCAGCCCCCCGCCTGGCCAGCCGCCCCGTCCGGGAGGGAGGTGGGGGGGGTCAAACCCCGGCCCGGCCAGCCACCCCGTCCGGGAGGTGAGGGGCGCCTCTGCCCGGCCGCCCCTACTGGGAAGTGAGGAGCCCCTCTGCCCGGCCACCACCCCGTCTGGGAGGTGTACCCAACAGCTCATTGAGAACGGGCCATGATGACAATGGCAGTTTTGTGGAATAGAAAAGGGGGAAAGGTGGGGAAAAGATTGAGAAATCGGATGGTTGCTGTGTCTGTGTAGAAAGAAGTAGACATGGGAGACTTTTCATTTTGTTCTGTACTAAGAAAAATTCTTCTGCCTTGGGATCCTGTTGATCTATGACCTTACCCCCAACCCTGTGCTCTCTGAAACATGTGCTGTGTCCACTCAGGGTTAAATGGATTAAGGGCGGTACAAGATGTGCTTTGTTAAACAGATGCTTGAAGGCAACAGGCTCGTTAAGAGTCATCACCACTCCCTAATCTCAAGTACCCAGGGACACAAACACTGTGGAAGGCCGCAGGGTCCTCTGCCTAGGAAAACCAGAGACCTTTGTTCACTTGTTTATCTGCTGACCTTCCCTCCACTATTGTCCTATGACCCTGCCAAATACCCCTCTGCGAGAAACACCCAAGAATGATCAATAAAAAAAAAAAAAGAAAGAAATATCATTTGAAAAAAAAAAAAAAAAGAGTGCATGCTGACTACTTTGAGTCTTCAGAATGATTATACGATAAAAGTAAATCCCTTATTTGGTAACCCCTTGTATTTATTACAAACAGCCAAATATACTTCCTGATTTAGTGAGATACTGAGATGAGGCTCTGGCAATGACACCCTGATTTTATCTCTTTCACATATAAGATTTCATCATGATTGTCAGACTGTCAGACTGGAAAACCTCAAAATTCACAGGACACTGGGTAGTGTACTCAGAAGGGTGTGGTCTCAAAAGTAGAGAAAAATTATGCTAAACTAAATGCTACCCTGGTTCTACCTAATGAAACTTAAGAGCAAGACGCAAAGGATCTGTTTCCAAGTAATTTAACTGCTTCCCAAAACATACAAGAATGCAAAAATGTCCAGTGCCTAACAAGGTAGAATTCATAATATATGGTATTGAATCAAAAAGTACCAAATATGAAGAGAGGCAGGAAAATGTGAGCCAGTCAACTAATAATAACAGACCCAGATATGACACAAATGATAGAATTAGTACAGTTGTCACAGCTATATTCCATATGTTCAAGCAGATAGAGGGAAGATGCTAAGTGGAGGCATGGAAGATGTTTTTTAAATGAAATTTTTACAGATAAAAAATACAATGCCTAAGATGAAAATTACACTGAATGAAATAACAGTAAATCAGACATCGGAGAAAAAGATTAGTAAACACAATAATGATGACAAAAAATAAAACCAATAAACAACTACAAAAAATGAACAGAGCATAAGCAGACACTAAGACAAACTGAAAGGAGCCTAATATACATTCAACTGAAGTCCCCAAATGACAGCAGGGCAAGATAGAATGTATACTTGAAGAAATGCCATAACTGTTTGGAATTTGACAGAAACTATAAACCCATAGATCCAAAACTCTTTATGAACCCAAGGCACAAAAAACTTGAAAAACACTTTACCAAGATGCATCACAAACTGCTTAAAAAACACATTATACACACAGAAATAGCAATAGGATGACAGCAGACTTTCTCATCAGGAATAATGCAAACGAGAAGACAGAAAACATCATCATTAAAGTAAAGGTATACCTGAGATATTGCGGGTTCAGTTACAGATGATGGCAATAAGGCAAACATCATAATAAAGTGAATTTTTTTGTTTCCCAATGCATATAAAAGTTATGTTTACAATGTGTAGTCTATTAAGTGTGCAATGGCATTATGTCTAAAAAACAATGTACATGCCTTAATTAAAAATTATTTATTGCTAAAAGAATGTTAAAGAACACCTGAGCCTTCAGAGTTGTAATCTTTCTGCCACTAGAGGGCCTCCATGTTGATGGCTCCTGACTGATAAGGGTGGTGGTGGTTGCTGAAGGTTGGGGTGACTAGGGCAATTTCTTAAAATAAGACAACAGTTTTATTTAGTTTAAAACAAACAATAAGTTTGCCGTGTCAATTGACTCTTCCTTTCATGAAAAATTTTACTCTAGCATTCGATGCTGTTTGATAAAATTTTACCCACCATAGAACTTTTTCCAAAATAGGAATCAAGCCTCCCAAACCCTTCATCGACTGAGTTGCTTATTGCTGCTTTACCAGTAAGTTTATGTAACATTCTAAATCTTTTGTTGTCATTTCAACAATGTTCGCAGCATCTTCACCAGGAGTAGATTCCATCTCAAGAAGCCACTTTGTTTGCTTGTCCATAAGAAGCAACTTCTCATCCATCCAAGTTTTATGAGATTGCAGCAATTCAGTCACATCTTCAGGCTCCACTTGTAATTCTAGTTCTCCTGCTATTTCCATCAAATCTGTAGCTACTTCCTCCTCTGAAGTCTTGAACCCCTTCAAAGTTGTCCATCAGGGCTGGAATGAGCTTCTTTCAAACTCCTGTTAATGTTTATTTTTTTACCTCCTCCCATGAATCACCAATGTTCTTAATGGCACCTAGAATGATGAATCCTTTCCAGAAGGTTTTCAATTTACTTTGATCCGATTGATCAGAACAATCTGATCACTGTCTATGGCAGCTATAGCCTTACAAAATGCATTTCTTTTTCTTTTTTTAGTTTCGCAGTGCATATAAAGTTATGTTTACAATATACTGTAGTCTACTAAGTGTGCAATGGCATTATGGCTAAAAACTGTATATACTTTAATTTAAAAATTATTTATTGCTAAAAAAAATGCTTAAAAACATGTGAGCCTGGCTTAGGCTAATTTTTTATTAGCCTAATTTTTTATTTTTATTTTTAAAGACAGTGTATCACTGTTGCTCAGGCTGGTTGCAAACTCTTGGCTTCAGGTGATCCTCCCACTTTGGCCTCCCAAAGTGTTGAGATTACAGGCATGTAATTTTTCAATTATGGTGCTGGGAAAATTGGACTATCATATGCAGAAGAATGAAACTGAATCATTATGTCTCACCGTATACAAAAATCAACTCCAGATGGATTAAGGACCTAAATGTAAGATGTGAAATTATGAAATTACGAAAAGAAAACTAGGGAAAACTCTTTTGGACACTGGTCTAGGCAAAGAATTTGTGACTAAAACCTCAAAAGCACAGGCAACAAAAACAAAAATAGACAGACGGGACTTAGTTGAACTAAAAAGCTTCTACACAAAAGAAATAATCAACAGAGTAAACAGACAACCTACAGAGTGGGAGAAAATATTTGCAAACTATACATCCAATGGGGACTAATATCCAGAATCTACAAGGAATTCAGACAACTTCACACACACAAAAATAAAATAATCATCCCATTAAAACATGGGCAAAGGACATGAACAGACATTTTTCAAAAGAAGTTTGACAAAAGAACGGCAAGATCTTTAAAAAACTAGAAAAGAATGCTAAGAGAAATCAAAGACCTATAAATTGAACAAAATGCCATGTTCGGACCAGAAGACTCAATGTTGTTACAAAATTCAATGAAATCTTAAATATCCTGGCAGCCAATACTGTGAAAACTGAAAAGCTGATTGTAAAATTTACATTGACAGTCTGGGCAACATAGCAAGAACTCATACCTACAAAAAAATTAAAATTATCAGCTGGGCATGGTGCCATGTTCCTGTAGTCCCAACTACTAAGGAAGGTGAAGCAGGAGGATCCCTGAGCCCAGGAGTTCGAGGCTGCAGTGAGCAATGATTGCGCCACTGTACTCCAGCCTGGGCAAGGGAGGGAGACCCTGTTGAATACAGAAGAATAGAACAGAACAGAATAGGAAATGTGAAGGACCTAGAAATTCTAAAACAAGTTTGAAAAAGAAGAAAGAGAACTTAAATTATGTAACTTCAAGACTTATTATAAAGCTATAATAATCAAGACAGTGTGTTATTGGCATACAGGTAGATAAATGGTTAATGAAACAGATTATCTAGAAACAGACCCATATATACATGACCAGTTAATTTTTTTTAAAGGGCTAAGGCTATTCAATGGGGAAAGGATAATCTTTTCTATACACTGTGGTACAACAGCTGGATACCTCAGCTGTCACCTCATAACAGACAAAAACTAACTCAGAATAGATCATAAACCTACATATAAGGACTAAAACTATAAAACTTGTAGAAAAAAATTATGGTGACCTTGACTTTGGCAAAGATTTCTTTGCATTTTTTAATGGTGTCTTTTGAAGAGCAAAAGTACAGTACATATCTTAAAAGAAAAAAATGCATTGAACTTCAAAAATTAAAAATGTTTACCCTTCAAAAAACACCATTAAAAAAATAAAAACACAAGCCACAGACTACGAGAAAAAATGTACTAAACACATACCTGACAAAATATTTGTATCCAGAATATCTAAAGTACTCTTACAACCCAACAAAAAAAGACAAACATTAAGATTAGGACATACACTTCACCAAAAAGACATTAAGGATGGCAAATAAAGCCATGGTCAATAAGATAAGATGCTCAATATCATTAGTCATCATGGAAATGCAAACCAAAACTACAAGATTACAAAAGACTAGCCATCCAAAGTGTTGGCAAGGATACCGTGCAACTAAAATGCTCATGCACTACTGTTGAGAATGTCAAATGGTACAACCGCTTTGGAAAACAGTTTGGCAGTTTCTCACAAAACTAAACATACTCCCATATGAACCAGTAATCATGCTTTGTATTTACCCAAATGAGTCAAAAACTTAGATCTACACAAAAACCTATGCATGAATTTTATTAGCAGCTTTATTCATAATGGCCAAAACTTGGAAGCAAGGTGTTCTTAAGAAAGTGAGCAGATAAAGTGTGGCATATCCATATGACGGAATATTAAGAACTATCAAGTCACAGAAAAGTCATGAAGGAATCTTTAATGCTTATTACTAAGTGAAAGAAGCCAATCTGAGGCTGGGCACAGTAACTGACACCTGTAATCTCAGCATTTTGGGAGGCCGAGGCAGGCAGATCACCTGAGGTCAGGAGTTTGAAACCAGCCCGGCCAATATGGCAAAACCCGTCTCTACTAAAAATACAAAAATTAGCCGGGCACGGTGGTGCATGCTTGTCCCAGCTACTTGACTGGCTGAGGCAGGAGAATCGCTTGAACCTGGAAGGCAGAGGTTGCAGTGAGCCAAGATTCCACCACTGCACTCCAGCCTGTCTCCAAAACAATAAAAAAAAAAAAAAATTTTTAAAAGGCTAGATACTATTGATTCCAACTATGTAACACTTCAGAAAAGGCAAAACTATGGAGACAGTAAAAAGATCAGTGGCTGCCAGGCATTCAGGAGGAGGGGAGCAGGGATGAACAGGTGGACCACAGAGGATTTTTAGGGCAGTGAAATCATTCTGTATGATATTGTAATAGCAGATATACATCACTATACTATACAACACTGTATCTGTCAAAACCCCCAGAATATACAACAGAGTTAATTCTAATGTAAATTATGGACTTTAGTTTACAATAATGCCTCATTATTTGCTCATCACCCATAACAAAGGTACGACACTAACGCAAGATGTTAATAACAGGGGAAACCAGGAGGGGAGTTAAGAGGATGAGAATATATATGGGAACTCCCTACTTTCCACTCAATTTTTCTATAAACCTAAAACTGCTCAAAAAAATAAACTTCCCTCCTTTTCACCTTCAAAAAGTGAAAGAAACAAAATGAGATTTGAAAAGACATCTCATCAACATCTGAAATGTTGGCAAGGATGTTGTACAACTAAAACATCATACATTGCATTGATGAGAGAGTGTCAAGCGGTACAATCACTTCAGAAATGTTCGACAATTTTTTACAAAGGTAAACATGCACCTACTGACATGGTTTAAATCTGTGTCTCCACCCAAATCTCATGTTGAAATGTAAGCCCCAATGCTGCAGCCTGGTGGGAGGTGACTGAATCATGAGGGTGGTTTCTAATGGTTTAGCACCATCCCTCTAGTGCTGCTCTCCTGGTGGTGTTCCTGAGATCTGGACGTTTAAAAGTGTGCGGCACCTCCCCCGTCTCTCTCTTCCTCCTGCTCTGGCCATGTGAAGTGCTGGCTCCCCCTTCGCCTTCTGCCATGATTTTAAGTTTCCTGAGGCCTCTTCAGAAGCTGAGCAGGTGCCAAAATCATGCTTCCTATAAAACCTGCAGAACTGTGAGCCAATTAAACCTCTTTTCTTTATAAATTATCTAGTCTTGGGTATTTCTTTATAGCAGTGCAAGAATGGACTAATACACCTACCATATGACCCACCCATTCAATGCCTACGTATTTACTCAAGAAAAATGAAAGCATATGTCCACATGAATATACTTGTACACAAATGTTCTTAGCAGATTTATTTGTAATAGCCCAAAAGTGGAAACCCAAATGTCCATCATCAGGTAAATGGTTAAACAAATTGTGGTACAGCCATACAGTAGAATAAATAATATTCAGCAATAAACAGAAATAAACTATTGATACATACAATAATACGGATGAATCTCAATTATGCTGAGTGAAAGAAGCTAGACTCTTCCCCACTTCAAAAACAGTACACACATACACTGCATGACCCCATTTATACACAATTCTAGAAAAGGTAAACTAATCTATGGTGACAGAAAGTAGATCACTGGTTTAAAAAAAAAAAAAAAAGCAGATCATTGGTTATCTAGGAACAACGGATAGAGGTAAGACAGTGACGAATTACAAAAGAGCCTGAACAAACTTTCAGAGATGATGAATATGTTCACTATCTTATTTATAACTACCAAAACTAGGGGTGACAGTTTGACAGTTATACACATATGTCAAAATTTGCCATAATTATATACTTCAAATGTGCAGTTTATTGTATGTTAATTATCTCAAGTTATTTTACAAAATTATTCTTTAATGCTACTAGCTCTGCAACTCTGATCATTGATTTTAGGCCAATTTATGAATCACACCACAAATCTCATTACTCTGCAGACATCTTTGCTTTTGATTTTTAAAAAATATATTACTTAAACTGGTGATTCCTTTGTTTGCCAGACCGTAAATGAACTGAGTTTTTAAAAAATGAAGTCAAATCTGTCGTCATTGGTTACATATATCCTAATTGCAAGTATTCAAAAATTCTGAAGTTAATTTCAAAGAAGTATTTCCCACATAACACCAGTCACCTCTGAGAAAAATTAGGTGGCTGCAGGTAAAAGGAAGAGAGGAGAGGGTTCTGAGACCTTTCACTGTGTATCCTTCCAAACATTTTGAACTTTGTACCCTATCATTTACTCAAAACCATATAAAATTCAAATTTAGGCAGGGCGCGGTGGCTCAAGCCCGTAATCCCAGCACTTTGGGAGGCAAAGGTGGGCAGATCACGAGGTCAGGAGATCGAGACCATCCTGGCTAACACAGTAAAACCCCGTCTCTACTAAAAATACAAAAAATTAGCTGGGCATGGTGGCAGGCGCCTGTAGTCCCAGCTATTCGGGAGGCTAAGGCAGGAGAATCGCCTGAACCCGGGAGGCAGAGGTTGCAGTGGGTGAAGATCACACCACTGCACTCCAGCCTGGGGGACAGAGCAACACTCTGTCTCAAAAAAAAAAAAAAAAAAAAAATTAAAAGGGAATTTAAAAAGTGTTCTCCCAACATTTTAAGTAATAATATAAAAGCAACAATATAGAGCCTCCCAGAATGAATAAAAGAAATAATACTTCCATAGATGCAATAAATTTGGTTAAGTTTTAATAACTTAATAGTCATACCACATATGTAATCTCAAATTGTTTGAATGATCACACTCCACATAAAGTGGCAGTCATTTGTAAACATGCCTGCACATCCTCAGAAAGGCAGAGAAAAATCTAATTTTCATCTAGTGGTCCCTGTGGTCCTAGTAATTATCACATTTGGGATGTATTTGCTTCCTTTCTCTTATCGAGTTTTAAAAGGTCTTTTAGTTGATAAAATGTTTTATCATTTCTTGAATTAATATTTCAAAAGAATGTGTAGTTTATTTGGCAAATAAATTTGAGTTTTTAATATTTCCTTAGGACACAAAGTATTGTAGAATGTTTTAGAGTCACATAGGGACCTGGGTTCAAAACCTAGCGGTAGTTATAGGTGACTCTCGGCTATTACAAACCCATGTCCTTGTTTATGAAATGAAGATAGAAGAGACTATATGACAGGTTTGCTTTAAGTGCTGAATAAAATAATATATAACACCTAACACAAACACCTGACACCTTATCAGATGTCAGTTCTCTTCCTCCAAACAGCTCAGTGTTAAAGGCAATATTCAACTCTAAGCGGCAAATTGATTTTTCTCCTTTTTAAGGTATTACTCAGACAATATATTTGTAATTTTTAACAGATCCCTTCTTACTCATCCATACTTTCTCTCTCAGTGGGTCATGTTACATACAAAAATAAAGACAGCAAGAAGAGCTCAGACGGTGGAACCAGACTGCTTGGGACTGAAATCGGCATTTGCCACTTACCAGGTGTGTGACCGCAGGCAAATGACTTAATCTTTCTTTGCCTTGATTTCTTTACTTGTAATATGGAGATTTATGGCATAATAGTATCTCAAGATTGCTATGGAAGTTAAACGTTTAAGTTAATGTAAAGTGCTTAGAAAGAGGCTGGCATATAGTAGTAATTATGCAAATGTTTGTTAAACAAAATTAAGTTGATACACACTTAGGGGTTTCCCCCACCCCACTTAGTTCTCAATACTGAGAATGCGGGGGAATTTGTTTTAAATGTTTACAAATGTTTACAAATCTTAATTTTTTTTCTATATTTGATTATTTTAAAGAGGAAAGAAGGTAGCTCTTAGAACAAATTTAGACTTTAAAAAAAATTCTCAATCTGTACCCTGACTGTTGTCCCTGATACTGTTATCAGGCACTAGAAAAAAAGCAACAACCCATAATTGGTTTACCAAAAACATCACTCAACTGTTTATGGACGATAATTAGCAATAACGGCTGTCAGTGCCACGGTTCCTCTGTAAAAACGGAGACAACTGTATCTACTTTATATGATTGTTACAAACATTTAATATTATTTGTAAAGCACTTAGAACAATACCAGAGCAGAGTGAACATTTAAAAAATAGCTAACATTTATTAGGTTCAGAATTTGAGCCCAATCCTGGGCAGAATCCACTTCTACACACTACAGTTGGCCCTCCCTATCTGCACATTCCGCATGTGTGGATTCAACCAACTGGAGATCGAAAACAAATTTAATTTAAAATAATGCAACAATAAAAAAACACAAAAAATGCCGTGTAACAATAATTTACACAGCACTTACACTGTGTTAGGTATTACAAGTAATCAAGAGACAATTTAAAGTATACGGAAGGATGTGTGTAGGTTGCATGCAAGTACTACTCAATTTTATATAAGAGATGTTGAGCAACTGGGGATTTTGGTATTTGTGGGAGTCGAGGTTCTGGAACCAATCCCCCGCAGATACCAAGGGATGACTGTGTATTACACTGCCTCTCGTTGTTTGTTTATTTTTTTCAACCAACATTTAACATATGCTTACTGTGTGCCAATATGCTCTCCTCACCAATCTTGATTTTAAAAATGATAAAATGCTAACATCCTCTAAAAATTAAAAATCCTTCCAAAGTAAGCAGAATTTATACCTTAATACTTTATTAATATAATAAAACCATGACCAAGGCTTCAGTCAAAATCAGTTCATATTGAACAACATATTAATATTTTGCTGATGGGAGTTTAACACTTTCTATTGCAAAACTCCCCAATGATATCAAACACAGTACTTCTCAGTCAGAATTCTGAAGTCAACACGTTGCCTGAACCTCAAACTCCAACACAAAAACCCAAGACTAGCCAATTCTCTTCAAATCAATTCCTGTAATCCTCTTCATTCCATGCTTTGTAAAAATGTTATTTGTGTAGCTGGCTGTCTTCATTATACAGGACCTTTTAAAAATGTATTTACTTATTTATTTTAGAGATAGAGTCTCACTCTGTCACCTAGCCTGGCTCAAGCAATCCTCCTACCTCAGCCTCCTGAGTAGCTAAGACTACAGGCACACACCACCATGCCTGGCTAATTTTTCAATTTTTACTAGACATGGGGTCTTGCTATGTTTCCCAGGCTGGTCTTGAACCCCTGGCCTCAAGTGATCCTCCTGCCTCAGCCTCCAAAGTACTGGGATTATAGGCAAGAGCCACCAAGCCCAGCCAGGAAACACTACTTAGGTATCTTTCTATCTCCCACAGCACCTAACAGTACTTTGCACATAGCTAGCCTATTACCAAACATCTTAAATAAATTGCAAATTTGACTCTCCTTACAACCATAACATAATATAGCACACATATGTTTCAGTCAATCTAACCTATCTGCTTTTCTCAAAGGACTTGCTATTAATAGAGCCCCCTTCCTGGTCCTTGATTTCTGCTCATCCCTTGAATACCCATCTCCCCTCTCTTTAGTAAATCTTACTACTAATTTGCATCTCAAAACAATTTACCCAGGAAACCATTCGGATAACCAAAAGAAGCAAATAGATAATCAAAAAAAGCAAAGAGTAGGAGTCAATAGGTTCTGAGTTATACTACGAAGTGTTCCATATGCCTTATTGATAGCTACTTTTTGTCTCTGTGCTGTCTGAAATGCTTCCTTTTTTCTACTTGTCCAAACCATCTTTTAAGGGCCCAGCTTAAGCCCTCCCTGTCCTCTTCACCTGGTCATCTTACCATGTATAAACGATAATGGAAAAGAATTATCGTCTGTGGACTGTCAGACGATGTGCTAGACATTTCACATACACTACCACCTAACCCTGGCTACACTGGAATGACAGCACTTGCCATCTCTCCACTCATCACACAGTCACCTTTCTGAAAGGATATTACCTCATAGAACAGCTTCCTAACTATTCCATATTTTTACATGTGCTCTCTGCCACTAGACTACAATAACCTCAAATATAGGAACTATGTCTTCTACTTTATTCTGCACTCATCTTCTTTTCCCTCCACCTTTCCCCTCATCTTTAAAAATATACCCCTCCTATTTCTCAATCTCTTCTCATTACTACTGCAATGACTACTAATAAAAGCTACTATTGACCAGGCGCAGTGGCTCACGCCTGTAATCCTAGCACTGTGGAAGGCCAAGGCAGGCAGATCACCTGAGGTCAGGAGTTTGAGACCGGCCTGGCCAACATGGCAAAACCCTGTCTCTACTAAAACTACAAAAATTAGCCGGGTGTGGTGGCACATGCCTGTAATCCCTGCTACTTGGGAGGCTGAGGTTTGAGCCCAGGAGGCAGAGGTTGCAATGAGCCGAGATCGTGCCATTGCACTCCAGCCTGGGCGACAGAGTGAGACTCTGCCTCAAAAAAAAAAAAAAAAAAAAAAAAAAAAAAAAAAAAAAGCTACTATTTATAATGGCTTGCACTGAGCAGACACTCTAAGTGTTTTACATTTGATTTCATCCTTACAACAATCCCATAAGGTAGTTATCATTTCCCTGTTTCACAGAGGAGGAAGTGGGCTTAGAGAGCTTAAGCAACTTGCTCTCTCACATTCCTATGAGCCTTGATCCATAAAACATCACTATGGACTCCCACAACTTTAACATCCCCCACTGTGTTTCTTTTCATCCTTAACTGCTGTGGCAGTTTATACTGTGTCAACCTGGTTACATCCAAACTACATTTCCCAGAATCCTCTTTCCATAGGGTAGGTGGCCCAAAGAGCAAAAGACTTTCTGAAGAGTATGGTTAGATAGAGCTGCAGTTGCCAGCCGACTGCGCAGCTCTCCTCTGCTCTGTATACAGCTCCTCTTCTTGATTGCCAACCCTGCTGACCAAACAGCAACCCCAGGTTCACCACCAAAAGCTTGACTGAGGACCACAAAAGAGGCAGCTACACAGAGGTGACAACTCTCCACAGACTTTTCACCAGCTCCAGTGTGTGGTCCCACTCCAGTAGCTGGGCATACCTGGCTTCTCAGATTCACCTGTAAACGCTGAGCTGACCACTGCACAACTGCTTCAAAGAGGCTGAATAGTAGCTTTTCTCTGACCTGCCCTACAGACTCTGACTTCTGGAGTTTCTCCCACAGCTGTATGAAGTCCTATTCCTTTCCTAAATCCCTTATTCCATAATATCATAGTAGCTCTGTTTTCTTGATTGAGCCCTTAAATGATTCAAGTACTCAAGCTTCCTCCCAATCTACTGACCAAGAAATCTCTGCAGCTTTCCCTCTGAGATCTTCTTGCATATATAACAAAATCTACATCATTTGGTCTCCAATTTGACTGCTTCCAAACAAACCTTGTTTTATCAGTTCTGCACTGTCCTCCTTTGCTTCCAAGGAACAAGTAACCCTCATTCCAAAAAAGTCGTATCTCACTACTTGATCCTCCCATTTGCAAAAAGCAATATTTAATGGAGAGAATACTAGAGTGGGTAACAGATTAACAAACGTCAATACCAATTTATTAACTAAGAACAAGATTAGCTAAAAACACTCCAGGGTTAGCCAGGTGTGGTCGTGTATGCCTGCAGCCCCAGCTACTCAGGAGGCTGAGGTGGGAGGATCCCTTGAGCCCAGGAGTTTGAGTACAGCCTGGGCAACATACAAAAACCCTATCTCTGGAAAAAAAAAAAAAAAACCCAACAAAACAAAACAAAAAGAATACTCAGAGGATACGTGTATGCTTTAGTTAGAAATGTGAAGATTGAGAAAGGAAGAACAAGAAATAAAAAATTCTGAGAAGAAAAATATTTCGTGATGTATAGTTTGTCCCAAAATGTGTTTTTCCCCCCATTTGAAGTAAGGAAGCTTCACTTTTTTATATAATCATTTTGGGCTTATCCAAGTGTCTCCCTGAATTATTTTTCGGTTGCTACTGGGCATAAAGGAAGACTGTATGTACAATTTTTCCAATACTTTTTTTCCTTCTCCAAAAAGATCTTCACCCCACTCCCTACCTTTTTGGCTAACATATTTCCAAAAATGTATTTTATTAGTCTTGGTTCTCCACTCATAACATGAGAATAATTCTGTTCTCTGTTATTTTCTAAGGCTCAATGCTTACTATTCTGGAGTTCATTACTAAGCTGTCCCACAGTCAAGGGTTTTTTTTTTTTTTTTTTTTTTTGAGACAGAGTCTCGCTTTGTCACCAGGCTGGAGTGCAGTGGCACAATCTCAGCTCACTGCAACCTCCACCTCCCGGATTCAAGCCAATCTCCCGCCTCAGCCTCCCGAGTAGCTGGGATTACAGGCATGCACCACCACACTCGGCTAATTTTTGTATTTTTATTAATATACATTACATGATCTCAGAACACATAACTAACCTACCCTTTCTCAAATCACAGGGCAAGATTATATATGAAGAGACATAACAGCTTGGGGGTGAAGTCAAAAGAATGCAGCCATGTACTGATCACAGACTGGTTGGATTAATGTCACATCATCTCTAAAAGTAGATTTTTATCAATCTAAGGCTGAGCAACCCTCTACTTATCTTGTTTCCTTATAGTATCTGAGCAACTAAGAAGTTTTGTAAATACTGTCTGACATATGTATATTATACAATAAGATATTATTAACTTTAAAAAGGAGTTAACAGGTTACTTTAAAATGCCTAATCAGAATATACATTAAAGCCATCATATGAAACATAATGTTGATCTATCTCTCCTTAAACTGAATCAGGAGACATTAGGTCTCATTTCCCTATCACATTAGAATAAAATACTTTGGATTAAAACTCCAGGCAGGGCACTGTGGCTCACAACCATAATCCCAGCACTTTGGGAGGCTGAGGCAGGCATATTACCTGAGGTCAGGAGTTTGAGACCAGCGTGGCCAACATGGTGAAACCCTATCTCCACTAAAAATGCAAAAATTAGCCAGGCGTGGTGGCACATGCCTGTAATCCCAGCTACTCGGGAGGCTGAGGCACGAGAATGGCTTGAATGCAGGAGGCGGACGTTGTGGTGAGCCAAGATCGCACCACTGCACTCCAGCCTGGGTGACAGAGTGAGACTCCGTCTCAAAACAAAACCTCCATAATACCATTAAAATGTAACAAAGCCAGTCAAACTTTACAGTAATTAGAAACTCTCAAATAATGATAATGAAACACATCTAAACACGTCTAAGTCACAAATCTAAAATAAAATATGACTTAGGAGCATCCAACTACAGTCATCCCTCAGTATCCACAAGGGACTTGTCTCAGGACCCCATAGATAACAAAATCTGCAAATGCTCAAGTCCCTCATATAAAATGGCAAGTATCGGCTGGGCATGGTGGCTCACGCCTGTAATCCCAGCACTCTGGGAGGCCGAGGCGGGTGGATCACTTGAGGTCAGCAGTTTGAGACCAGCCTGGCCAACATGGTGAAGCCCTGTCTCTACTACAAATAGGAAAATTAACCTGGTGTGGTGGTGTGCCCCTGTAGTCCCAGGTACTTGGGAGGCTGAGGCACAAGAATCACTTGAACCCAGAAGGCAGAGGCTGCAGTGAGCCGAGATCACACCACTGCACTCCAGCCTGGGTGACAGAACAAGACACTGTCTCAAAAAAATAAAAATAAGGCGGTCGGGCATGGTGGCTCACACCTGTAATCCCAGCACTTTGGGAGGCTGAGGCGGGCAGATCACGAGGTCTGGAGTTCGAAACCATCCTGGCCAACATGGTGAAACCCCATCTCTACTAAAAATACAAAAAATTAGCCGGGTGTGGTGGCATGCGCCTGTAGTCCCAGCTACTCAGGAGGCTGAGGCAGGAGAATGGCTTGAACCAGGGAGGTGGAGGTTGCAGTGAGCCCAGATCGTGCCACTGCACTCCAGCCTGGAGACAGAGTGAGACTCCATCTCAAAAATAAATAAATAAATAAATAAAAATAAAAAGGCAAAGTATTTACATATAAACTATGCATATCCTCCCATATACTTTAAATCATCTCTAGATTATTTTTAATACCTAATATAACTGCCATGTAAATAGTTGTTATAAGTTATTTTTTAAATTTGTATTTTTTTTTTCTTTTTGAGATGAGGTCTTGTGATGTTGCCCAGGTTGGCCTCGACCTCTTGGGCTTAAACAAACCTCCCGCCTCAGCCTCCAAAGTAGCTGGCACTACAGGCATTTGCCACTGCACCCAGCTTGTTGAATTGTGACTAGTATTATTATTCTCAAATATTTTATTTTTTATTTTTGTGTGGACAGAGTCTCACTCTGTTGCCCAGGTTGGAGTGCAGTGGCGGGATCTCGGCTCACTGCAACCTCCGACTCCCTGGTTCATGCGATTCCCCTGCCTCAGCCTCCGGAGTAGCTGGGATTACAGGCACGCATCACCACGCCCAGCTATTTTTTTTTTGCATTTTTAGTAAAGACAGGGTTTCACCATATTGGCCAGGCTGGTCTTGAACTCCAGACCTTGTGATCTGCCCGCCTCGGCCTCCCAAAGTACTGGGATTACAGGCATGAGCCACCGTGCTCGGCCATTCTCAAATATTTTCTATCTGTGGTTGGTTGAATCCACAGATGCAGCAGCACCTGCAGATACAGAGGACTGACTGTATTATTACAAAACAGCAAATAATAGGCTGGGCGCGGTGGCTCACGCCTGTAATCCCAGCACTTTGGGAGGCCGAGGCGGGCGGATCACGAGGTCAGGAGATCGAGACCCTCCTGGCTAACACGGTGAAACCCCGTCTCTACTAAAAAAAAAAAAAAAAAAAAAAAAAAACAGCAAATAAACAAGTAAAAAATGACTTCATCTTAGATTGGAGATCTCTTTCCAAAGACTAATAAGAAATAGTATTGACTCACATTTTTCCCACTGGCTTCCATTTAATGATTTTCAAAATTAATTTTCAAAAACTTTTCCACAGAAAACACTGTCTCCGTGGGAGGGCTGTTCACAAATACTTGTTTTTATCCTTCTGGGCATATGGAAAGATTAAATTTCCCCATCCTGTTTATATCCCAAGTACAGTCAAGAGTCTTCCTTTGGCCAGAGCTGGTGGGTGAAAGTGGTGAATGTTTCTAGGTAAAAGCTTTAAAAGCCAGAGTGTAGTCTGATATGGTCTCTTTTCTCTCTTAACTAATTAACCAGTAATGTTCCGTGTAGGAGATCAGTCAGGGTGGTGGGAAAAATTGTAGAAAGATGTAAACCTTCTTGGAAGGCTGGAAGGTTTTACAAAAGCTTCGGAAAAAGATTTGGCTGAAGGCAGCCAGATTGTCTTATCTGGTGCCTGAAACTTTAGGTTAGGTAACAAGGGGATGTAAAGAAACTCATCTAAGTAAGTTAGTTTACTTAGACCATGGAACCTGGCCTAAATCATCTGCATGCAAGACTAGCGGGGGGTGGGGGTGGGCGCAGCACGACCATGTGAATTCCCCACAAGTGTGTTGACTCAAGACCTTTGTCATTAAATCTATACTGAATAAATGCCCGCAGCGCAAGCACAGGCTTGTCAGGGCCTCAGCCGCTGACTCTTTATACACCCTCCTCAGTGTCTGTGGGCGGCCCAGTCCCCTAGCCCACTCTTTCACTGGCTTCCTGTGTCTGAGTTCATTTGTTCATCTGTTGTTCAGCCAGGGTCTGCGGGTCGGACCCGGAAGGTAGAGCCCTGTGTGAGGAATGCTGCAACAGATCACAACAGAACCCTTGAAAATGAAGGTGAAAAAACTGCGGTCAGTAAGTCACTGTTGCCTGCTCTGAATTTCCAAGTTCGAGGGAATTGCTCAGGCTAGGGTTTCATCAAGGGACAACAGTTATCAGCTCAACAGAAACAGTATATAAAAGTATTTAAAAAGCTGCTTAAAGCTAGTGGAGCCTGGGTTTCACAGGCTCAATTAAGGGACCTAATGCAAACTGTTGTATCCCATAACCCATGGTTCCTGGAAGAAGGTACACTAGCCATAGAGCTCTAGGAACAAGTGGGGAGAAATCTTAAACATCATGCACAAGGACAACAGGTCCCAGTAACATCTTTAACATTATGGGCTTTAGTTAGGGCAGCTCTGGCCCCGTTATACACAGAAGAGCCTAAAAAGGGGAGGGAGGAGGAACCATCATCTACCTTACTGCCTCCTTATCCCTCAGCCCCGCTATCACCGGGCCAAAATAACAAAGAGGAAACGGAGGTTTTGCCTGAGCCCCCTCCTCCAATAAACTAGAAGAAAAGACAAGGGATATGCTACAGCTGGGGGACCCTGTCTTAAGCAAGTGGCATTAGAAGGGGAGCTCTTAGCCTGCCCAGTAATGCAAGAACGACAATGCAATCAGGTACATGAACCCATTTCTTTTAATGCTTATAAAAAGCTAAGAAAAAGCATTAAAGAAAACAGAGCCGCTAGCCCATTTCCTTACGAAAGGAATGACTGAAGCCTTGGCAGACAACTTCCGTATGACCCCATGGGACTGGTCAGTGCTAGCTAAAACAATTTTGGAGGCCAGCCAGTACCTCCTCTAGAGGGCAGAATACGATGAGTTGTGCGAACAACAAGCCAACCAGAACGAGGTGGCCGTGCAAGATGTAACAGCTGCTATGCTCCAGGGGAGGCGTCCCCATGCCGATGTACAACAACTAATTTTGATCCCCAGGCCTATGCACAAGTGTCTTTGTGCGCTCTCGGGGCTTGGGACAGAATTTCCAAAAGCAGAGATCAACAGGGATCTTTTATAAATGTTCGACAAGGGCCTCAGGAGCCATTTGTTGAATTTATCAATCGTTTAACCCAGGCAATTAAGAGACAAATTAGTCACACCCAGGACTGATATCTTGTTACAATTGGCTTATAAAAACGCTAATGTGGATCGCCAACAAGCAATGCATGCAATCAGAGGAAAGGCAGCCACAGTCAGGGAACTTACACAAGCATGTCAACTGGTGGGGACTGAAACACACAAAGCCAAAATATTGGCTATGGCATTAAGGCCTCCTAAAGTGAAAAGGGAGGGAAACCCAAATTGTTTTCTATGTGGAGAGGCAGGTCATATGAAGAGGGAATGTCCCAATAATAGAGACCAAGGTAACTCAGGAAAAGAACCCCCTTCTATATGACTGCAATGTAAAAAGGGGAAACATTGGGCAAATCAATGCAAGTCCAAATTTGATAAAAACGACAACTCCGTAAGTAACCAGGCGGGAAACTTCATGAGGGGCTGACCCCAGGCCCTGCTGCAAACTGGGGCAATGTCAGTGGCTTTCCTCTGTCAGATGGAAAGCCCACAGTCCTCTCTCTCAGAGCAACCACCACTGGGAGCGCAAGACTGGACTTACTCTGCCCCGATGAATTAGTGCTAAAAGAAGGAGAAGACACTAAAAGGGTTGCAACCGGGATCTGGGGCCCACTGCCTCTGGGAACAGTGGGATTAGTCCTAGGGCAATCTAGCCTATCCAGTAAAGGAATCAATGTGCTCACTGGGGTAACTGATAGTGATTATTGAGGTGAGATACTAGTTATGATGGAATGTAAAGGTCTGCATATTTCTTCCCCCGGGATCAAAGACAGCTCTGTTACTGCTTTTACCATACTGGGTCCCCAATGCCCAGAAAGGGGGAAAGGGACGTTTTGGAAGCACAGGAGCCACAAAAGTACACTGGAATCAATTAATCACTAACCAGAGACCCATGATCACCTTAAAAATTGGAAATAAGAATTTTACTGGCTTATTGGACACACGGATGGATATTTCAAACATTAATGATCAAAACTAGCCAGAAACTTGTCCTTGGGTCACTCAGAAACAAAAAATTGTTGGCATTGGGGAAGCGCACACAGCCAAGCAGAGCACGTGCCCCCTAACCTGTTGCGATTCAGAGGTAAGAAAGGCAGTTATACAACCTCAACTCATGCCCTTCCCTGTTAACCTTTGGGGACGGGACCTATTAGCCCAATGGGGGGGTCACTCTGCAGACCTCTTTCTAATAATGGCCACAGTTATTCCTCCCCTACCCTTGACATTGCTCTCTCAAAATCCTATTTGGGTAGAATAGTGATCTTTAAAGGGAAAGAAATTACAAACAGCCCGTGAATTAGTTGAGGGGCAACTAAAAGCCAGCCATACAGAACCATCAAACAGCCCCTGGAATTCACCCATTTTCGTCATTCCCAAAAGGTCTGGTAAATGGAGACTTTTGCACGACTTATGTGCTATCAATGCTAATTTGCAACCTATGGGGCCCCTTCAGCAGGGGCTCCCCTCCCCCACGGCCATTCGACATTGGCCTATAATCGTTACTGACTTAAAAGACTGCTTTTATACTATTCCCCTAGCAGAAGAGGACAGAGAAGAATTTGCATTTACAATACCAGCAATCAATAATGAAAGGCCAGCTCCCTGATTCCAATGGAAAGTGCTTCCCCAAGGAATGCTGAACAGTCCTACCATGTGTCAGTATCATGTAAATCAGGCTTTCTCCCCAGTAGAAAAGAATTTCCTAATGGCAAGATTATTCATTTTATGGATGATATTTTACTAGCAGCCCCAACAGAGCCAGTGATTTTAAGGTTATATAACTCTGTAGCAAAGAATACACAGTTAAGAGGTTTAATCATAGCACCTGAAAAAGTACAGATGTCTTCTCCTTGGAAATATCTTGGATACAGACTAATTTCTTGCTAAGACCTCAAAAGCTTAAATTAGATACTAGCAACTTACACACCTTAAATGATTATCAGAAATTACTAGGTGATATTAACTGGCTTTGCCCCACCCTAGGCATAACTACTGATAAGTTACAAAACTTGTTTTCTATCTTAAAAGGCAATGCTGCCCTAGACTCTCCTAGGTATTTAACTCCTACGGCACAAAGGGAAATTGAAGAAGTAGAGCAATTTATCTCTCAAAGGCAATTAGATCGCACAGATCCATGATATTCAGTTCAGCTGTTTGTTTTTCCCACTAAACACTCCCCTACAGGGTTAACAAGACAGATGGGCCCAGAGCTATGCTTTCTAGAATGGGTTTTTTGCTCACATACCGGGACTAAAACACTCTCTCTCTATGTCCAGTGAGTCAATAAAGTCATCTATTCAGGCCTCAGACAATGCAATCAGTTGCTAGGTTATGACCCTGATATCATCAGGATTCCTTTAAGTAAAAAGCAATTTGAAGCAGTATTACCCTTATCTATGGACCTGCAAACAGCACTCTCTGATTACACAGGCCTTATAGGGCATACCCTTCCTGCTGACAAACTCCTTCAGTTCTTATCTCGTACTTCTGTTGTTTTGCCTACTAAAATAGTTCAATCCCCCATACCTAATGCTTTAACATTGTTTACTAATGGCTCTGGTAAACATGGAAAAGCGGCTGTCTGGTGGAGATCACATAATTCCCTCACTCATTCTGGATTTACTAGCACTCAGAGAGCTGAGATTGGAGCCTTAATATTAGCCTTAGAAACTTTCTCCACTCAGCTCATCGATATTGTTAGTGACTCTGCTTACTGTTTATTTATTGCAGAACTTTGAGACGGCCTTCATTAAGACCACTCTGGAGCCCACCCTGTGTGCACTTTTTCTCCGACTTCAGCAACTGCTAGATCAATGTATACATCTTATTTTTATTACACACATTCGGGCCCACAGCTCACTGCCTGGCCCACTGGCTTATGGCAATGATCAAGCAGACCTACAGGTTATGACATCACTGCCTGACCAAGCCACCCAATTGCAACAATTTTTCCACCAAAACTTGAGAAACTTATCTAAACAATTTCAACTTACCCAGAGACTAGCTAAACAAATTACCCTACAATGCCCAGATTGCCAGTTCACAGGCACATCCCCTCCTTCAACAGGTGTTAACCCTAGAGGACTAGAACCTAATCAGTTTTGGCAAACAGATGTTACACGCATCCCTGAATTTGGAAAACGTAGATATGTACATGTATCCATTGATACCAATTCTCATTTAATTAGTACTCATGCTCTTCCTGGAGAGTCCACCCGATATGTCATTAAACATCTTCTTTTAACTTTTGCATTTATGGGACGGCCCACAGAAATTAAAACTGATAATGGTCTGGCTTATGCCAGCTCACAATTTCAACAATTTTGTCACACATGGAACATCCAACATTCCACAGGCATCCCGTATAACTCCCAAGGACAGGCCATAGAACGTACCCAATCCAGCCTTAAAAATATGCTCAGAAAACAAAAAAGGGGGAATATGAATAAGGACCCTGCAACACTACTAGCACAAGCCTTATTTACCCTTAATTTTTAAAATTTAAATAAATTTCAATCAGCTGTAGAAAAGCACTTTGCTAAAACCTCTCAAGAAATAAAACCTGCAGTTTTATGGAAAGACGTAAACAGTAATGTATGGTATGGTCCAAATGAATTGTTAACGTGGGGGAGAGGATATGCTTGTGTTCACACCCCCTCAGGTCCTCTTTGTATTCCAGCATAATGCATCGAACCATACCATGGTGTGGCTAGGACCCAACCCAGTACCAGAAATAAAGAAAATAACCCTATGGGACCCATAGCCCCGAACAATGTGGCTTCATCAGACAACACAGGCCCCGGACAGGATGCTCAAGAAGACAAGTCAGAAGACTGAGTGAATCCTGCTCTGGACACAGACACCATTCACTCCAGATAATCTGCTCCTTGTTATGCTTTATTATTATTTATTTATTTATTTATTTTTTTTTTGAGACAGAGTCTCACTCTGTCACCAAGCTGGAGTGCAGTGGTGCGATCTGGGCTCACTGCAACCTCTGCTTGCCAGGTTCAAGTGATTATCCTGCCTCAGCCTCCCAAGTAGCTGAGACCACAGGCACATGCCACCATATCCAGCTAATTTTTGTATTTTTAGTAGAGATGGGGTTTCACCATGTTAGCCAAGATGGTCTCAAACTCTTGACCTCGTGATCCACCTGCCTCAGCCTCCCAAAGTGCTGGGATTAATTCTCTCACTCTGCCTGCAACTAGTACCTGCTACACTCTATTTGGCCCATCCTCTAAATCCGCCTTTCTTCTGCCCTGTTACTTAGACAAATACCCGACCTTCCCAGCTTCTAACAACGTGACTGCTTGGCTGAGAGAGATTAACATAACCCCAGTGGGGTTCCTTAGTAACAGCACACAATGAACTGAACTGCTGAGTAACAATATAGGTCACTCCTTGATTGGAAAAAAAAAAATGTTGATTATACTCAAGTTTGTCTTATGTTATTTACTAATGCTAGGATGCAAAGCTGGAATATGAGCAGTTACCACCACGCCTGACAAACCTACTGCACATATCTGTACTCTCCTATCAACAAAACCTGATGCTAAAAACAGAAAAGGGAGAGATGTAGGAGATCAGTCAGGGTGATGGGAAAAACTGTAGGAAGATGCAAACCTTCTTGGAAGGCTGTAAGGTTTTTACAAAAGCTTCGGAAAAAGATTTGGCTGAAGGCAGCCAGATTCTCTTATCCGGTGCCTGACAGTTTAGGTTGATAAAAAGGGAATGTAAAGAAACTGATCTAGATAAGTTTACTTAGACCTTGGAACCTGGCCTTTAATCATCCACGTGCAGGACTACTGGGGTGGGAGGGTGGGAAGGGGGGGAGCGCAACCATGTGAACTGCCCACCAGTGTGTTGACTCAAGGCCTTTGTCATTAAATCTATACTGAATAAATGCCGGCAGCGCAGGCTTGTCAGGGCCGCAGCTGCTGACTCTTTACAGCACCCTCCTTGGTGTCTGTGGGTGGCCTGGTCCCCTAGCCCGCTCTTTCACTGGTTTCTGGTGTCTGAGTGCACTTGTTCATCCATCATTCAGCCAGGGTCTGCGGGTTGGACCCAGCAGTTCCGTACAGGGGCTGCTCCCATGTGAGGTCCCAAAGTGGGACCCAAAGTAAGGATGACAAAAATGTTGAGCTGAGCCCCCAGCTGACCCTCAATGAATACATGGTATGAGCAAAACATACACCTTCTGTTGTTTTAAGCCACTGAGATATTGGGGTTTTTGTTCACAGCCTACTCAGAATAATAGTCTACAACTAGTTAAAAATCATGCTGATGCTGTGCATGGTGGCTCACACCTATAATCCCAGCACTTTGGGAGTCTGAGACAGGAGGATCGCTTGAGCCCAGGTGTTCAAGACCAGCCTGAGCAATACAGAGACCCTACCTCTACAAAAATTTAAAAATTAGTTGGGTATAATGGTGTGCCTGTAGTCCCAGCTACTCAGGAAGCTGAGGTGGGAGGAATGCTTGAGTCTGGGAGGTCGAGGATGCAGTGAGCAGTGATCCTGACACTGCACTCCAGCCTGAATGATAGAGCGAGATCCTGTCTCAAAAAAAAAAAAGAAATCATACTGAAAATACCCAATGTTCACTCTATTCATTTTAAGAAATTAAAATAAATACTTTAACTATGGACATTAAACTCTCCCATATTACTTCTCTTAGAGATCAGAAAAATGAACCCACTTCCCATAAAATTTATTTAAAATAGACGAGTTTATTGTCATCCCACTGAAAAGTATATGTAATACAAATAAAGAAATAATTCTAGTTTACTCAAATATTTATCAGAACTCTGACTTAGCAATTATAAAAAAATGTGGGCAATTATAAAAGCAATTATAAAAGCTATTTAGAATAGCATCTAAATTTCAGTGGTTTTTTTTTTTTTAAACTACATTGGCCCTAGCCCCAGAAGATTCCAGTGCACACATTCATCACAGAGAATATATGTATTCCAGTGCGTATAGTCATTATAGAGAATGATGAATATAATGAGAATATGAGCAATGTGGAGGCAGTGGGAATGTTAGGAACCTTTGCTCTAACTGGAAGAGCCACACAAAATCCCAACTGCACTATGTGACTCTGAGCCTTACCTGTAAAATCAGAAAAATATGATATACCATAGTTATTAAGTTTAAAAATGTAATATGAATTTTCTGGCACACAGTAGACAATCAAATATTATCTCTGCTTCCTAAGATACGGTTTGAAATTTGTAGAAAATTGTATGATAGCTTCAATGCCAGAAGACATGTCTTTATAAAACAGGAAGAGAAAGCCAAATGGGAGGCTAGGCTGAGATGCAAGACAAAGACAACGTGAAAAAGGAAATGGGTGAAATCTAGGACTACCAAGATAATACAGATTCAACTGCAGAATAAAATACTTGCCCAGGAGCCAGAGGTTGCAGTGAGCTGAGATCACACCACTGCCTTCCAGCCTGGACAACATAGAGAGACCTTGTCTCAAAACAAACAATAACAGCAACAAAAACTGTGAGACAAAAAATATTTTTAATAGATACTAGAGGGAATAAGGAAAAGAACTACTGATGTGGCTACAGAGATTAAACCTAAGAAGCTTTACCAGAATGCAAAGATACTGAGAGAAGATGACAGACATGGAAAATGGAGATCTAAAAAACTACACATCCTCAAGGAACCAGAATACAAAGAAAAACCAAAGGTACAAATTTTAAAAACTTGAAAGAGCTGAAACAAAACTGGTACATTATTATTACGTAGTGCTGAATCCTTTGTTTAAATATCTGTATAATACTTTCTCAATTACTCAGAGATACTAGAAAGCAAGGCAACAATATTTTCTCTTATCCAACATCCTTAACAAACTAATTTGGCAAATTAAACAACACTCTCCATTCTCTCCAACAAATTACTGAACATTCACCACTAGTGAAGCTTACTTTTTATCAAACCAATACATTTATGTTCCCATCAACTTACCGAAAATTAGTTATATTTATAATTTACAGTTTGTAACATAATTTTTTATGATAAAATAACATTCAGTTTAAATATTATATAAATCAGTAAAATTGTAAATATGAAGAGTTGATTCTATAAAAATGAACCTGAATTTTAGAAAAACTCAACAGCTAGTCACAAAAACTGTTAAATCAGGTACAGGTGAATCAACTGTAAAAGACTAGGAGGAAAAAATCATACGTCTCTAGATGGATCATATACTCAGACTGCTTTACATCTATATGGTTTTTGTGTTTGTTTGTTTTCTGGGTTTTTCTGTTTTTGAGATGGGGTCTCACTCTGTTACCCAGACCGGAAAGCAGCGGCATGATCACTCCTCACTGTAGCCTGGACCTCCTGGGCTCAAGCAATCCTCCCACCTCAGCCTTTTGAGTAATCCTCCCACCTCAGCCTTTTGAGTAGCTGGAACTACCGGCGTGTGTGCTATCACGTCTGGCTAATTTTGTGGGGTTTTTTGTTGTTTTTTTTTTTTTTTTTTTTTGGAGAGACAGGGTTTCCTCATGTTGCCTAGGCTGGTCTCAAACTCCTGGGCTCCAGCGACCCACCCACCTTGGCCTCCCAAAGGGTTGGGATTACAGGCATGAGCCATGGTGCCTGGCCTCTATGTTTTCTTAAACAAAATAAACATTTAAGGTAGAATGTATCATTTGTATTCCCCTTATATTAATAACTTTTTTAAATTTAATAAATACTACCTCCCAATCACATTAAATAAGAGAGCTTCTTTGTACATCAAAATAGACAGAATCTATGTGGATTATGAGAGATTTTTACAATAACTGATAATGTTTTTGGAATACTTATTATATGCTAGGCACCGTCCTAAACATATTATCTCACTTAAACCTCATTTAAAAACCCCATGAATTAGACACTATACCCCAATTTTACAGAGGAGTGAGGCTTAGAGAGTGGAGCTCAGACTCACACTCAGGTCTAGATCCCAAGCTCATAATCTTAGCTATTCACTACCTTTATTTTCTTTATCTTTTCTGTATTTTAAAGTTTTCTTCAATACACATTATAAGCACAGTCGGTTAACGTATAAGGTTTGTTAACTTAGTTCAACTGTTGATGACTCTTCAAGGCCTTCTGGAAATACCATCTCCACTCTGGTACACAGCTGGTACTCAATGAATTATATAGTATTATATAAATGTCAAAGAATGTTTTTATATTGCTTGATGAAAGATATATTACACATCTAATTTTCTCATTGCCCTGATAAAGCAAGAAAAGCAGCATGTTAGGAGCACGTATTCTAGAGCCAGGCTGCCTGAGTTCAAGTCCTAGCTCCACCACAGACAAGATGTGTGAACCTAAGCAAGTTGCTTATTGTCCCTGTGCTTCAGTTCCCTCATCTGCACTACAGATATAGTAACAGTAACTAATTCCACTGGGTTGTTGTAGGGATTAAATGAATTAAAATCTTAAAAGCAGTACTGAAATCAGTGCCTAGAACACAGAAAATTACATTTAACTAAAGTAAAACCAGTATCTCGTGGGAGAAAAAAAGAAACAAAGGAAACTCAACCAGTAAATTCAAACCAAAACTTCTGTAAATCATCAATGATTTTGGGAGGCATCACCTTTTAAGTAATCTTACAGCACTGCAAAAGGAGATCCCTGCTGTCTGCACTGTGCTAGGTACTGGAGTACCAAACAACAAAACGCTGCCTCTGTTCTTGATGAGCTAACTTACTACTGAACGACACATCAATGATTATAGTGCAATGTGGCAAGTACAATGGTAGAGGCAAGTGTGCACAGAGTGCTCTAGGAGCATTCTCAGTGACAATAAAGGGACCTAATTTGAGAATGATCCAAAGAATACCGATAAAATATATTAAACTATTCTTTTGTCATTATTAACTATTAAAGTTCACACTAAATGACTAACCACACAAATGGAAAAAATTCCAAAGTTTATAAACCTCGTAGTGCTTTTTAAATTTATGGTACTATGAATCTCAAACAAATAATTGTTGACCACTTGTAAGAAAACCAGTAAGCTAGTGACAGTAGGGAATCTAAAGATTCTAACCCTATCCTCCTATTAGTTGGGAAGGCAAGGTATAAACAACAACAACAAAGTAAGAGTTAAGACCTAATCTTAACTCTTTAACCTAAGAGTTAAGTAACAATAAAGGCAACAATACAAGAAATATTACAAAGCAACCATGTAATTAACTACCAAGAGAAATATAGTCAACCAATGTTCCAAATCAATCCCAGGAATATCCAAGACAAAAGACAAACTTAACATTTCTTGTTAAGTGTGTGTAGATATAGATATATAGATACATCTCACACAACACTTTGAGAATAAGAGGAAAGGTTTTTTAAGTTCAATTTTGTATTACATACATTTGATTTACTTATAACTGGCTTCATAAAAATGAAGTTCACTACAAACATATCTCATCAGAAATTCATTCTTTATTCATAAATGTTTACTAAAGCAATCACTATGAAATAAGAACATGCAGTAAAGTTTAAAAATTTATCCTTCTTTTTTTCCTGATTTTTGATACAGGGTCTTGCTATGTTGCCCAGGATGCCCTCCAACTCCTGGGCTAAAGGGATTCTCCTGCCTTAACCTCCTGAGTAGTTGAGGCATGCACCACACAGCCCAGCTCAAAAATTTGTAATTCTTAAACTTCATATAATGGTAGGAATGATCTTCTGACTCTCAATCCAGTGTTCCTCCCATTACATCAGAAAATAGACAATTTTCTCAAAATGTATTTTAGTAGATCCACCCTTCCTTTATATTGTATTTCTGGGTTATTCTTGTGCAGTAGATGTTATCTAAGAAAAATTTAAATGCACTTCTTAAGAGTACAGAAGACCAGCATTGAGTTATTCCCATTTTTCAAGCCAGGTTTCTTATAAAATTCGTAACAAACGATACTTTGAATACTTTGTTAAAATCTTTAAAATCCACAAAATCAGATTCTGATTAACCTAGCTGGATATTTTTTAATTCCTGTGATTTGTTTCCATCTATAGACCAACAAACATTTATTAACACTGAAATTTAAAAGTTAGCCTGACAAGGATCAGCAAAAGATACCACAACTATTAGGTAAAAGATCACTGGAGAACAGGCTAGCATTACAGTGCTAATTTATCATGCCACAGATTACTTGCTGACTGCAGTGAGAAAAATATACCTCACCTTACTCCTCTCAACCAAGCAATCAAACTTAGTATCACAAATAATGGGACTGCACAGTGTACGTCTCCTAATGGGAGGCATATAAAATATATTAAATCACTTATTAGGTATTCTTGTCCAAAATGTTGAAATTAAAACTAATCGACCCTTTAAATCTAGTTTACACTTAACAACTGGTATGGGGGAATACAGGAACAAGCTAAACAATGCTATGACGGGGGGAGGGGGGTGGAATCTGACAAATCGAGAATATGAGTCACTTTATAAGACAACTGTCTTGATCTCTTAAAAAAAATCATTGTCATTTTTAAAGGGTGTAAGAGGTGAGACTGCTGTAGACTATAAGAGATCAAAAAGCCTTAACAACTAAATGCAATGAATAAACTTTGATGAAATCCTGATTTGGTGGGGATGGGTGTACAAACCACAAATGACAATTCAGTACGAATGAGATGTAAATATGGATATATATTAGAGTATATGAAAGAAGTATCGCACCTAAGAAAAGTAACAATAATGGTATTTTGGCTATGTAAGAAAATGTCCTTAACTTTAGGAGATGCATGTGACATATTGAGAGGTAAAATGTCATAATGTCCATAGCTTAGTTTCAAAGAGTTCAGCTGAAAATAATATACAAGTATATCTCATTTTATTGAGCTTCATTTTATTCTGCTTCATAGTGTTTTTTAAAAAAAGATATCTGGAAGTGTTTATTTCTCCTTTATTTTTGAAATACATAGTTCCAGGATCTAGAATTCTAGTTTGATAGTTTTCTTCTTTCAGTAGAGGTATACCTTGTTTTATTTCACTTTTCATTGTGCTTCACAGATAATAATGTGTTTTCTTACAAATTGACTCACTCTATTGCCCAGGATGAAGTGCAGCAGCACGATCTTGGCTTACTGCAGCCTCCATCTCTTGGGTTCAAGCAGTTCTCCTGCCTCAGCCTCCCAAGTATCTGGGACTACTGGCACCTCGTCCCACTAATTTTTGTATTTTTAGTAGAGACAGGGTTTCACCATGTTGGTCAGGCTGGTCTTAAACTCCTGACCTCAGGTGATCCGCCTGCCTTGGCCTCCCCAAGTGCTGGGATTACAGGCATGAGCCACTCTACCCAGCAGATGTCGGTATATTGATAGGGGTTGCCTTCAATCTGCAGATTGCTTTGAGTAGTGTATTAGGCCATTCTTGCATTGCTCTTAAGAAAAACCTCAGGCTTGGTAATTTATAAAGAAGAGAGGTTTAATTGGCTCACGGTTCAGCAAGCTGGACTGGAAGCATGGTGCTGGCACCTGCTTGGCCTCTGGTGAGGTCTCATGACATAAGGCAAAGTGGGAGCAAGGACCTCACTTGGCAAGAGCAGGAGCAAGTGAGAGAGTGGAGAGATGCCACACATTTTTAAACAACCAGATCTCACATGAACTTGCTCATCATCAAGGGGACGCTGCTAAGCCATTCATGAGGCACCCACCCCCATGATCCAGTCACCTCCCACCAGGCCCCACTTCCAACACTGGGGATTGCATTTCAACATGAGACTTGGAGGAGACAAATAAACAACCCATATCAGGTTGTATGGTCACTTTGACAAAACTGATTCTTCCAATCAACGAGTATGGGATGTTTTTCCGTTTGTCTGTGTCATCTAGAATTTCTTACATCAGGACTTTGTAGTTCTCCTTATAGAGATCTGTTACCTCCTTGGTTAAATACATTTCTAGGTGGATTTTTTCTTTTTTTGAAGATTGCTTTCTTGATTTAGTTTTCAGTTGGATCGTCATTGGTGTATAGAAATGCTCCTCATTTTTGTACACTGATTTTGTATTGACACTTTACTGGATTATTTGTCAAATTCAAGAGGTTTTTGGTGGCATCCTTAGGTTTTTCTAAATATGACAGAGATCATGTCATCAGGGAATAGGGTATTTTGACTTTTCCAACTTGGATGCATTTCCTAATTTAAGAAATACAGCCAGGACAGTGGCTCATGCCTGTAATCTCAACATTTTGGGAGGCCAAAGTGGGAGGACCATCTGAGGCAAAGAGTTTGCAACCAGCCTGAGCAACACATTGAGATGCTAACTCTAAAAATAGAAATAAAAATAAAAAAATTAGGCTAGCCTGAGCCAGGCTCAGATGTTCTTCTAGCATTTTTTTGGCAACAAATAATTTTTTTTTTTTTTTTTGAGATGGAGTCTCGCTCTGTCACCCAGACTGGAGTGCAGTGGCGCCATCTCTGCTCACCGCAAGCTCCACCTCCCGGGTTCACGCCATTCTCCTGCCTCAGCCTCCCGAGTAGCTGGGACTACAGGCACCCGCCACCATGCCCGGCTAGTGGTTTTTTTTGTTTGTTTGTTTGTTTTGTATTTTTAGTAAAGACGGGGTTTCATCCTGTTAGCCAGGATGGTCTTGATCTCCTGACCTCGTGATCTGCCCGCCTCGGCCTCCCAAAGTGCTGGGATTACAGGCGTGAGCCACCGTGCCCGGCCAACAAATAATTTTTAATTGATATATATATATATATATATATTGCTTTTTTAGAATGTCATTGCACACTTAACAGACTACAGTATATTGTAAACATAACTTTATACGCACTGTGAAACTAAAAAAAGAAAAACAAACGAAATACATTTTGTAAGGCTATAACTACCATAGACAGTGATCAGATTCTTCTGACAGATCTGAGCAAAGTAAATTGAAAACCTTCTGGAAAGGATTCATCATTCTAGATGCCATTAAGAACACTGATGATTCATGGGAGGAGGTCAAAATATCAACATTAACAGGAATTTGGAAGAAGCTGATTCCAGCCCTCATGGATGACTTTGAGGGGTTTAAGACTTCAGTGGAGGAAGTAACTGTAGATGTGACGGAAAGAGCAAGAGAACTACAATTAGAAGCAGAGCTAAAACTTGAACAGATGAAAAGTTGCTTCTTATGGATGAGGAAACAAAGTGGCCTTTTTTTTTTTTTAAGACAGGGTCTTGCTCTGTTGCCCAGGCTGGTCTGCACTGCCACAGCTCACTGCAGCCCTGACCTCCCCTCCCCGGCTCAAGCACTCTCCCTGCTTCAGCTTCCCAAATCACCACAACCGGCTAACCTCTATATTTTTTTAATGGGATTTTGCCATGTTGCCCACGCTGTTCTTGAATTCCTTGGCGCAAGCAATCCTCCTGCCTCAGCCTCCCAAACTGCTGGGATTATAAGCGTGACCCCATTACGCCTGGACAGAAAGTGGCTTCTTGAGATGGAATCTACTCCTAGTGAAGATGATGTGAATATTATTGAAGTAGCAACAAAGGACTTAGATTACAAAAACTTAGTTGATAAAGCAACGATAAGCAACTTAGATGATAGGTGATAAGCAATTAGTTGATGAAGGGTTTGAAAGGACTGACTCCAATTTTGAAAAATGTTCTATGGTGAGTAAAATGTTATCAAACAGTATCACATGCCAGAGTGAAATCTTTCCTGAAAGGAAGAGTCCATCGATGCGGCAAACTTCACTAATGTCTTACTTTAAGAAATTGCCTCAGCCATCCCAAACTTCAACAACCACCCCTTATCAACCATCCTTACTAGTCAGCAGCCATCAACATGGAGGCAAGACCCTCCACCAGCAAAAAGATTACAATTCCCTAAAGGCTCAAATTTCTTTAGAAATTTTTAGCAATAAATAATTTTTTAATTAAGGTATATACTTTTTTTAGACATAATGCCATTGCACACAATAGACTACAGTATATTGTAAACATAACTATATGCACCGTGAAACTAAAAAGTTTATGTGACTCACTTCTTTTCCTTTATTGCAGTGGTCTGGAACCAAAGCCACAATCTCTCTAAGGTATGCCTGTACATGTACCTATAGATAAAGCAAATATGGCAAGATAACAACAAATGTTTAATCTAGAGGGTCAAGATACAAGTGGTTTACTATTACCAAATTTTCTGTATGCTTGAAATTGTTTGATAATAAAAAGTGGGAGGTGGGGGGAAATAGCTCCAATTCTATAGGGAAAGAGAAAATCAACCTGAAACCAACGCTGTAGGAAATGCAGAGTATCAAACATGACTTTATTTTAATACAGCACCTGTTAGTTTAACCCTTTGGTACCAATAAAGTAAACTAGAAACAAAAGCTCCCCCTAAAACATTGCTTATAAGACTCAGTCTCTAATGCAATCCAATTATTTAAGATAAGCCTTTAACAGCTAGTTTCTCAAAAGAGGCACATGGATAACCATTCTATAATGATATCATATACAACATAATTCAATAAGATTCAACATGTTTATATTTTAACCAAACAACAAATCAATCTGTAAACCATCCACATGTTAACTTTGTAATTTCACCTTTTCTCCACAGAGACTGCAAGACCACAAATTTTCTTCAACTTGATAATATACTAGGAAAATTACAGAGTAATATAACTGGGCATCAATAGATTTGTTAAACATTTGCAATTATGCATAGAGCTTCAATTACTCAAAGGAAATGTATCGACTTTTTTTCAGTACAGAGCTCTGGCTCCTTATTTTTTCCTCTCACCATAGTTTTAAAAAATACAAAACTCATGCTAAAATGAGAATTTTCAGTTAACTTATAAACACTGACTAGTAGCACTCCATACAAATGAAAAAGAATCACACCATCAAACTTCCTACGATATTCTACGCATTAAAATTTGACATCGAACTAAAAAAGATTGCATAAGACAACGAACAAATCACTAAATTGCCACATAATCCAGCAACAAATTTTGCAACAAGGAAATCTCAAGCAAATAACCCAACTGTGAGTTCCCTTTGGGCATCAAGGTCAAACTACAAAAGTAAATTTGTGACTTTTCAAGATCTATGCAGTTTTACCAAATGTATTTATTTTTTGTGAGAGAATAATTTTTTTCTGTCCAGTACTAGTACATAAAAAGTAAAGGTATCTGAAGCCATCTTTTAAATTTTTTTTAAAGCCAAGAAAATGATTTGGCAAAAGATATCGAAGAGCTTACGTTAGGGAAAACTAAACTGTATCTGTCTATGTGTTTAGAATTTATCCCATTAAAGAAACTGCCCAGTTAGTCTCATTTTCTAAACGTATTTATTTTTTGCAAGACGAGAAATACAGTCTTACAAAAAGACATCTGCATATTCGAACCAAGCCTTCCTGGATTACTACCTTCATGACCTTGGACAAATGCCTTAATCTCTCTGAGCCTCAAGTTTTCACCTGCAAAATGGGGCAATTTACCCACCTCATTGAGCTGGGAAGATGAAGAGAGATAATGCATGACAACTGCCGGGCGCAGACTAAGAGCACCCTAAGTGCTACCTAAATATTCCGTAAAGAGAAAAGGGGGAAACAACCTTACATCAAAAGATTACCACACTGTGACAGTGCAAAGACAAGCACTTTTTCGCTTACTGCATGTACCATTTCTGCTTCATCCCAAGACCAGATGCAACCTTTCTTCTAAAATCTCTGCAGGGTACGTGTCTGACAGCTAACACAGCCCAGCAGCCTACTTCGCGCTGACCTGGGCTTTAGGACTGGATGCAGGGGGCCCAAGGTCCGCCCTCCCGCAGCTAGGCAATCACCCAGCGAAATCTCCGCCCCTGGAGCGGCGCTTAGGCCGCCGCCAGCCCCCCTCCCGGCGCCCAGCCCGCGGCCCCCGACACACACGCGCGCACACACACACACACACACACACAAGCGCGCGCGCACGCACACACGCACGTACCGGCTGCTCCGCAGGGACGTAGAGAGCCGCAGGCCCAAGGAGGGGCCGCCCCCGCCGAGCCCGCCCCTCCGCCCCAGCGCGGCCTGTCACCGCGGCCCCAGGTCGGGGGCTGCCGCAGGGCCCCCGGGGACCGGAGGGGCGCGCGAGGAGTCGGGCGCGGGCCTTGGGGCCAGGCCCGTCCCTCTTTCACATGAAGCCCGGGCCGGGCGGGGTGGCGGGCGCGTGAATCCTCGCAGCCGGCCGGGTCCTCCTGGCGCTCCTCGGCACTTCTAGCCGCTGCAACCCCGAGGCCCGCGGGAACTGGGCAGGAAAGGAGGAAGCCGCGGGCCCGCGTCGCTAGAGACCGGAGAAGAGGCGGGAGTGGCGACTCTGCGGACAGGGGCGCCGAGCGTCCTGGTCGTTGTTTTCGTCGCCGCCGCGGGCCGTGCAACCCCCGAACGCTGCGCCCAGCGGCCGCGGCACCCTCGTCAGGCGCCGCCGCTGAGGGCAGGCAGCCCGGCAGCCACTACACACGGACCCGTGACGTCGGGCGTAGCGCGGCGCACGTCACGGCCGCTCGCTCGTGCGCGCGCACCCCTCCGCCCGGCGGTAGCGGAACCCGCCGCGGGCGCGCGCCCGGCCCAGGGGAGTGGGTCGGCGCCTGCGCAGAGGCCCGCCACGCCCACACACAGGCCACCGCCCCCACCGGCCGGACGGCGCGGGGATTCCCAGTCCTGGCTCCGCCCCGGCCTCGGCCCCGCCCCCGCCCCTGCCCCGGGGCAGCCTGTGCTGTTCCGTGTGCGCGGCGCATACGCACCTGGGTTGTCTCGAGCCTGCGGTAGTGGCCAGATCCCAGACATCCGAGTAGATCCCGTGAAAAGGTCTCCCACGTGGGCTGTGGACAGGGCCCAAGGGTAGCAGAGCTAGCAGAGGCAGTGACGGACTGTGTGGCAGGTCATTTGCAAGGAGAAAAGCCGTCTGCCTCTTAATTTGTGGCTCAAGTTTCAGAATTTTTTTCCTGAGGGACTTTAGAAATTACTTCAGGCTTGCCACCTAACCTTAAACCACCCCCTTGGAGACTGGCTAAGTGTTATTTGTGTTTTCTGTTTAGTTCTTATCACCATCGATACTTGGTTATGACTGGTTGTGTACATTGGTTAGCCCAGCAAGTATTACTTCTCCAGCTTAACAGATGTGGAAACTTAAGCCCAGAGACATGAGTTGACACCCCACCCCCAAAGCTAGAGTCTAAAACCCTTTCTTTCGCTCCTCATCTCCCACAGGATAAAATGCAAATTAATCAGACTAGTGGTGAGGCCCTCCGTGGTGTGACTAACCTGCATCCCGACGTTTTCACCCTACTTTGATCCAGAAAGCACCTTTCCGCCCCATCTCTTCTCCTTTCCTTAAATACCCCTTACAACTTCCTGTACCATTCTTCCCTGTTCAGCTTCTTCTTGGTTTCTTCGTACATTCTGGATCCACCCCTTTCATGCATATTCCAGACCACATTTCCACTGGAGCAGTTGAAATGAGAGAGATGGGAATGGGACTCACCCGAACCAGAGGTAAGGAGCTACCCAACTTGGGCTCTGAGGGTCAAGGGAGCTGGCACTTGTGGGGCAGAGACTGAGGGAGAAACTGTTGTGTAATGTCAAAATATCTCTGGGTTTCTTCCAGGAATTTTTATTACAGACCCATTAACAGAGGTGTCAAAGTCACAGGAACAAGGATGTGCACCTCAGAAACACAGAGGTCAGTGGAAAATCAGTTTGCTTCTATTTGTTTAAAAAATGGGGGACTTATGCATAAATCTAAGACCTTCTTGAATCTAACATTCTAAGACCTGTATGCCACAGAAAGGAGGGTCTCAGAACGCCGGAGGATAGTATTTAAATCTTAAATATCTATATTGTTCTCCACAGTTACTGGGTCACCACATAGCAGGCATTCAATAAAAACGTGTTTGTTTACTAAGTAATCTAGAGATAAATTTTTTCCCCTCATAGTGCTGCTCATTTCTCCACTCCCTTCCCTCACTTACCACCCCGGGGACTTCATTCACCTCTGGGTTCCTCAGAAACATCCCGTGGGTATAGTTATAGTAGCTATTCTTTCTTTTTCGCCATTCTCCTTTTATATTGGTGACTTTTCCTCTTGCTTAGATATTAAATCTCTGACATCTTTGGTTATTTTAGTATATATGATTACAAATTAGTGATATTGGGATTTTTTTATTGATGAAACCATCATTCAATGAATATTTTTTTGCCTTCCTACTCTGTGCCTGGGATTGCAGTGATAAAATTATATAGTCCCCACTGCCCAGGAACTCAGAATCCTGTGAGGAAGGCAGACAGGTAAATGGATAATGATAACACACTGTGACCTGCATCATGGGAGGGATGTGTATCAGGCACCACAGCAGCAAGAGGAAGATGTCACAGGTGTGTCTGGGGAAGTGAGAGATGACTTCAGAGAGGAAATGTGGCATGTTCCTTTTCTGTTGCTGCATAACAAACTGCCACAAACTTAGTGACTTAAAACAGTGTCTGTTTTTTAGCTCCCAGTTATACAGATCAGAAGTTTGCACAGGGGCAAGGCTGAGTTCTCTACTCAGGGTATATTGCAAGGCTGAAATCAAGGTATCAGCTGGGCTGACTTTTTATCTAGAGGCCCTTGCAAAGATCTTCCAAGCTCATTCTTCTTTGGGGCACAATTCAGTTTCCTGTGGTTGTAGGATTGACATCCCTATTTCCTGGGCCTGCCTTCAGTTCCTAGAGGTCACCTGCATTCCTTGCCACATGACCCCTTCCATCTTGAAAGCCAGCGACAGAGACCTTCTTGCGTGCCAAACATCCTCCTACATCAGATCTCTCTCTAACTTCCTCTTTTGCTACCAGCCAGAGAAAACTCTCTGCTTTTATTTTTATTTATTTTTTTATTTTTGAGACAGAGTCTCACTCTGTCGCCCAGGATGGAGTGCAATGGCGCAATCTCGGCTCACTACAACCTCCGCCTCCCAGGTTCAAGTGATTCTCCTGCCTCAGCCTCCTGAGTAGCTGGGATTACAGGCACCCACCCCCACGCCCAGCTAAGTTTTGTATTTTTAGTAGAGACAGGTTTTCACCATGTTGGTCAGGCTGGTCTCGGACCCCTGACCTCGTGATTTGCCCACCTTAGCCTCCCAAAGTGCTGGGATTACAGGCATGAGCCACTGCACCCGGCTTTTAGAGAGTTCATATGATTAGATCAGGCCCACTGAGATAATCTATTCTTAACATCAACAGTGTCACATAACATAACCTGATCATAGGAGTATAATCCATTATATTCACAGTACTGAGGGTTATGCAGGCTATGTACACCAGCCGTCAGGGATCTGCAGGGACATCTTAGAATCTTGCTGGCCACATATTGTGCCATGGCTGGCAACTGAAACTTGAACGGGGGTAGTTATTTGCTGGAAGAAATAAGGATGGAGGAGTACGCATTCCAGGCAGAGGGAATCAAGTGTGTCCAAGCTTGGAAGTATGAGGGAACGTGCCCTGCCTAGGAATGGCAAGAGTTGCTGGCCACTGGGTGTTGAGAGAAATGCAGGCAGGGGGTGAAGCTAGAGAAGGAAGAGAGCTGCCAGGAGATTGGGAAGGAGGAATATTAGAGCAGGCCAAATTGCTGGGAAGGGAGATGAAAGTCTAAAGGTCTAAACCACAGCTGTGGCCATGAAAATGATACGAGTACTATTGGTTGGGATGCATTCAACTGCAGCGAGCAAGACACCTGGCCCAAAACAGCTTAAACAGTGAGGTTGATTTTGTCACATAACAAAAATCCAGTGGATGGATCCAAGGTTGGTTAGGGCTGTGAACAGGCATATTGAGAATCAATGGACGGCCACCTCAGCTCCAAACATGACCTCCCACACAGTAAAGAAGGGGGAACCATCCCTCTGTTTCTTTCCCTCATTCTTTTTTAAAATAAACTTTTTATTTTAGAATGTTGACGAAAGAGTCAAACTCTATAAAATATTTGAAGAGATTTGTTCTGAGCCAAGTATGAGTGACCATGGCCTGTGATACAGCCCTCAGGAGATCATGAGAACATGTGCCCAAGGTGGCCAGATTACAGCTTGGTTTTATACATTTTAGGGAGACATGAAGCATCAAGCAATACATGTAAAGTGTACATTGGTTCAGAAAGTCAGGACAACTGGAAGTGGGGGCTTCCAACTCATAGATGGATTCAAAGATTTTCTGATTGGCAATTGGTTGAAAGAGTTACTATCAATAGAAGATAATTTCTGGGTTACCGTAAGGGGTTATGGAGACCAAGGTTTTATCATGTGGATGAAGCCTCCAGATAGCAGGCTTCAGAGACAATAGATTGTACATGTTTCTTATTGAACTTAAAGAGTCTGTTCTGTCAGAAATTCCAAAAGGGAAGAGGGTAGAATGAGGCATGTCCAGCTCCCCCTTTCCTTCACAGCCTGAACTAGGTTTTTCAGGTTAACATTGGAGTGCCCTTGGCCAAGAGGAGGGGTCTATTCAGGTGGTTGGGGGCCTTAGAATTTTATTTTTTGTTTACAAGAACAGTTTTAGGTTTACAGAAAAACTGAGACAATAGTACAGAGACTTCTCCTATACCCACATTCAGCATTCATTTTCTCCTATTGATATGGTTTGGCTTTGTATGGCCACCCAATCTCATGTCAAATTGTAATTCCCAGTGTTGGAGGAGGGGCCTTGGTGGAGGTGATTGGCTCATGGGGGTAGATTTCCCCCTTGCTGTTCTTGTGATAGCAAGTGAATTCTCACAAGATCTGGTTGTTTAAAAGTGTGCAGCACTTCCCCCTTTGATGTTTCTCTCTCCTGCTCTGCCATGGTAAGATGTGCCTGCTTCCCCCTCACTTTCCATCATGATTGAAGTTTCCTGAGGCCTCCCAGCCTTGCTTTCTGTACAGCCTGTGTAACTGTGAGTCAATTAAACCTCTTTTCCTCTTAAATTACCCAGTCTTAGGTAGTTCTTTATAGCAATGTGAGAACAGACTAATACACCTATTATTACGAACTTGTATTATTAGTATAGTACATTTGTCATAACTAGTGAACCAATATTGATGCATTGTCATTAACTGAAGTCCATACTTTATTCAGATGTCCTCAGTTTTTTCCTAATGCCCTTTTTGTGTTCCAGGAGCCCACACTATGCTTAGTCATCACGTCTCCTTAGGCTTCTCTTGGCTGTGAGTTCCCTTGTTTTTGATGGCCTTGTGCTAAGGAATACTGGTTAGGTGTTTGGTAGAATATTCTTCAATTGTGAATCATGTAATGTTTTTCTCATGATGACACTGAGGTTATGGGTTCTGGGGAAGGAGACCACTGAAGTAAAGTGCCATCTTTATCACATCCTATCAAAGGTAGTCCATTGTCTTAGTCCATTTTGTGCCCTGTAACAAAATACCACAGACTGGGTAATGTGTAATGAACAGAAATTTATCTCTCACAGTTCTGAAGGCTGGGAAGTCCAAGATTGAGGGGCCCACATCTGGCAAGAACCTTCTTGCTGTGTCATCCTGTGGGGGAAGGGCAAAGAGAAGATGAGAGAAAGAGCAAGAAGAGTCAAACTCATCCTTTTATAAGGTGCCCACCCTAGATAATGACATTAATCCATTCATGACGGCTCTCCCCTCATAACTTAATCATAACTTAAACACCTCTTAAAGGTCCTACCTCCTAACATTGTTGCATTGGGGATCAAGTTTCCAAAACATGACCTTTGGGGGACATATTCAAACCATAGCAGGTATATACTGTCAGTATGATTTATGACTTGGTGTTGAGCTTGATCACCTGCCTGAGATAGTGTTTGTCAGGTTTCTCCCCCATAAAGCTACTCTTTATTCACCTCTTTCCATACTATACTCTTTGCAAGGAAGTCACTATGCTCAGCCCACACCTAAGGAGTGGGGAGCTATGCTCCACCTCCTTGTGTGTGAAGTATCTGCATAAATTACTAGGAATTCTTCTGCATGTGAGATCTGTCTCTTCTCTCCTGTTTACTTATGTAATCTTTTATTTATATTAATATAGAATTGTGGGTATATAACTTATGCTCTGGGTTATAATCTAATACTACATTACTTATTTTGTTGCTCTAATTATTCTGGGTTTGGCCATTGGTAGCTCTTTGATTTGTCTCCTGTGTCCCTTTGACACCCATCATTATGATTTTTTTTTTCCTTTTTCAGCACTTCTTTGCTTTCTGGCACTGCCAGCGCTCCAAAATCATCTTGAATATTTCCTGTCCCAGTCTAGAATCAGCCATTTTTCCAAAGGGCCCTGGTTTCTTTTGTTGGAGAATGGTGTTAGAGACCAATATCTGGTGCTAGGTGTGCTAAGGATTCTCTTTTCATTAAGGATAGTATTTCCAGGGCCAGGCGCAGTGGCTCACACCTGTAATCCCAGCACTTTGGGAGGCCGAGGCAGGTGGATCACCTGAGGTCAGGAGTTCAAGACCAGCCTGACCAATATGGAGAAACCCCATCTCTACTAAAAATGCAAAAAATTGGCTGGGCATGGTGGCATATGCCTGTAATCCCAGCTACTCAGGAGGCTGAGGTAGGAGAATTGCTTGAACCTGGGAGGCGGAGGTTGCAGTGAGCTGAGATCATGCCATTGCACTCTAGCCTGGGCAACAAGAGTGAAACTCTGTCTCAAAAAAAAAAAAATAGTGTTTCCCATCAGCCTCCCAGAAGACTACCCATTTTGTTTTTGCAGCAATGTCTGCTAATTGTGCCCCCAAATTCATTCTCCTCTTCCCATTGTAATCAAATTTTATCTGAGCATATAGGACTCTCATAATAAAGAGTTCATTCCCTAGCCTCCCTTGCAGCTAAATGTGACCAGGTGACTAAGTAATGGCAAAAGGGAAGTCAACTGAAGTGTGTCCATCCAGGGACCTTCACTGAGAGTCCCTTTCTTAAGAGACTACTGCTTTTACATCTTTCCTCGTCCCTTCCTCCCACACTGGAGTACTTGCAGGCCATCTTGGAGAGTCAGGACATGGGGCATACACAGGAATGGTGGCTCTGGGAGCAGAATCCCCTCCCTAATCTGGACCACAGGGCTGTGTAGTTTCTCATGGGAGATGTAAATGACTGTCCCTGGTAGCTGAACTGACTGCTAATAGTATCTTGTTGGCTGGAGTTGGGTCACATGGTTATGCATGCATAGAAGTCAGGATCACCATGATGGGTTCAGCCCACACGAGGACCACCGGGGGCTGGGCACACTGCCTGGCTATATCTAAGCAGAAGCCGGATTAGGTTACAAAGGAGCTGAGAGATGGATGGTTGTTGCCTAGCAGCCAACTGTGTTGGCTCTGAGAAGCTCATGGAGAGGCAAGACTTGGGGGACCAGAGTGGACTGTAGGGCCTACCCCATATATAAATGATGTTCCACAAATCTATTATGATTATCCCCAGGGCCACTTCACTGTTACAAGAAGCAAAACATTAGTAAATCTGATTTTTAAAAGTTCACAGTGCTGCCACAGCCAAACAAAAGTTATTTCTGGGATTTCTGCTGTGTGGAATGCCCACAAAGTTTTCTAAGTGTGGAAAGAGGCAATGTGACAAGATTTCTAACAGACAGTTGTCTTGAATTCTCTGTGATCTTGATCAGCTCTAATTCTTTTATCCATCAGTTGCTAGTACATTAACTTCTTACTTTAACATTATGTTTGTTATATATTTTCCATTGTTACACATATTTATAATAGAAAATATGGAAAACAGGAGGAAAAGAAAAAGCTCATTCCTTCTATAGTTCTGTTTCTATTCAATTTTTTCTCTATTCGTAAATCTTTGTTGTGCTGGTATTTTTTTATTTTTAGATACGTTTTTAAATCGTTCTTAGGTATTAATAGTTGTGATCTGTCCTATACATGCAATTTTGTATCTTACAGTTTTCACTTCACATGGCATAAGTAGTTTCTTTTTTCTTTTTTTTTTTTTTTTTGAGACAGGGTGTCGCTTTGTCACCCAGGCTGGAGTGCAGTAGTGTCATCTCGGCTCACTGCAACCCTCACCTCCCAGGTTCAAGTGATTCTCTCACCTTAGCCTCCCAGGTAGCTGGGATTACAGGTGTGTGCCACCATCCCTGGCTAATTTTTGTAGGCTTTTTTTTTTTTTTTTTTTTGAGTTGAAGTCTCGCTCTGTTGTCCAGGCTGGAGTGCAATGGCACAATCTCAGCTCACTGCAACCTCCGCCTCCCAGGTTCAAGCAAATTCTCCTGCCTCAGCCTCCTGAGTAGCTGGGATTACAGGCACGTGCCACCATGCCCAGCTAATTTTTGTACTTTTAGTAGAGACGGGGTTTCACCATGTTGGCCAGGATGGTCTCGATCTCCTGACCTGGTGATCCACCCACCTCAGCCTCCCAAAGTGCTGGGATTACAGGCGTGAGCCACCACGCCCAGCCGGAAAAGGAAACTCTTATACACTGTTGGTAGAATGTAAATTAGTACAACCACTGTGGAAAACAGTATGGAGATTTCTCAAAAGACTCAAAATGGAACTACCATATGATCCAGCAATCTCACTACTGGGTATTTATCCAAAATAAAGGAAATCAGTATATCAAAGGGATAGCTGCATTCCCATGTTTATTGCAGCACTATTCACAATAGCCAAGATATGGAATCACCCAAGTGTTCATCAAGAGTTGAATGAGTAAAGAAAATGTGGGCCGGGCGCGGTGGCTCACGCCTGTAATCCAAGCACTTTGGGAGGCTGAGGTGGGCGGATCACAAGGTCAGGAGATCGAGACCATCCTGGCTAACACGGTGAAACCCCGACTCTACTAAAAATACAAAAAAATTAGCCAGGCATTGTGGCGGGTGCCTGTAGTCCCAGCTACTCGGGAGGCTGAGGCAGGAGAATGGCGTGAACCCGGGAGGCAGAGCTTGCAGTGAGCCAAGTTCACACCACTGGACTCCAGCCTGGGCGACAGAGCGAGACTCCGTCTCAAAAAAAAAAAAAGAAAAGAAAATGTGGTATATATACACAATGGAATACTATGAAGCCATTGAAAACAATGAAATCTTGTTATTTGTAGCAACACGGATGATCATTATGTTAAGTGAAATACTCAAGGCACAGAAGGAAAAATATTGTATGTTCTCACTGATATGTGGAGCTAATAAAACATTTGATCTCATGGAGGTAGAGAGTAGAATGATAGTTACCAGAGGCTGGGAAGGGTGAGCGGTGAGGAGGACGAGGGAAAAAAGAGAGGTTGGTTAATGGGTACAAACATACAATTAAATAGAAGGAGTAAGTTCTGGTGTTTGATAGCACAGTAGGGTGACTATAGTTAACAATAATATATATATTGAAATGGTTAGAATAAAAGTTCTGAAAGTTTCTAACAAAAAGAAATGATAAATGTTCAAAGCGGTAGATATCCTAAATACCCTGATTTGGTCATTGCACATTGTATGCATGTATCAAAATATCACATGTACCTGATAAATATGTACAATTATTATGTATTGTCTGGGCACAGTGGCTCATGCCTGTAATTCCAGTACTTTGGGAGGTCGAGGCAGGCGGATTGCTTGAGCTATAGAGTTGGAGACCAGCCTGGGCAACATGGTAAAACCCTGTCTCTACAAAAAAAAAAAAAAAAAAAAAAAAAAAAGCCTGGGCCTGGGAGGCAGAGGTTGCAGTGAGCTGTGATTGTGCCACTGTACTCCAGTCCGGGCACCAGAGTGAGACTCTTTCTCAAAATAAAAGTTATTATTTATTGATAAATTTTTTTTAAAAAAATGCCAAATTGCTAACAAGGATAACCCATTTTTCGGAAGTTGGCTATTTGCTGGGAGCCTACTTATGTTCTCCACCACTGCAGCATCCCCCTAATGGTCTGATGGTCCACTCCTTACTTCCAGTGTCTTTGTCTTGACAGCAAGAAGAGAATTGTCTGTTTCTTCCCTTTCTCCTGTTTAATTATCTTATTGTCTTCCCATAATTTTCAATTCACATATAAGGAAAAAGTGGCAGAGAAAGGTCAGGTGGCTGTCACCAGGCCCCAAGGACACTTAATGGAGCAGCCAGAGAGGACCTCAGAACCACCTGACAGGCTCTCCCTCACTCTGTTCCATGGTACCTCCCAAATGCCCATCCCAGAGCCCCTCCCCACTGCCTAATGCACCAGGGCACCACTCCCTGTCTTGCCAATTTCAGCTGCCCCTCTGCCTCCAAGATCAGCCTTGCCATCCTTGACACCACAGGCTTCCTTCATCCAAGCCCTCTGAGCCCCTCTCTGGGCGGTTTGGAGGATGCTAAGCCCTCTCAGTGCACCATCCAGGGGGTCCATGTTGCAGAAATGAGTGAGGAGGTAGTTATCTTCATCCTCACAGCTCAGCATATGCCTCGACCCAGTGCGATGTAGATCCTTCCCCAACTGCTTCCTGCAAGTCAAGTCACAAAGGTTGGCATTGGTTCTTCACCATAGGCTAGCCTGGCTGAAGCTCAGCTGCACAGAGTCTGTCCTGAGAAGCAGAATGCCACTGTCCCCTGGGCCCTCCAGACTGCCAAGGCTGCTCAGTTTCAGAGAGCAGGCTCCCTGTGGCCTCACACGCCGGCTGCCAGCTGGGCCAGGTAACTCTGGCCAGGCTGCACTGTGAAGAACACGAGAGTCGGCGGAGACCTGTGCCTGCTCTTCTCAGCCTCAATGTCTGGAAGACAAAAAAAGGCATCCTGCTCCCAAGATTGTGGTGGAGGCCAGCAGGGTGACGCACATGAAAGCCACTGGAGATAGATGGCACTTGTTCCCACCCACTGCCCACAACAGGCCCAGGACTGCCTCAGCCCCGGTGGACCCCAGAGCCAGCAGGCCCTTCAGAATGGAAGGTGCCAAACACCATCGGAAGGCGTGGTTCTTTTCAGAGAACCAGACTCTGAGACTGTGGCCTCCCACTATGAGTCACCACCTCTGATTCCTGAGGTCCCCTCCAGTCATTGGCTCTCTCCCAAGCCAGCCAGCTGATCAGCCTTGAGGACAGCAGAGTGTCTGCCAAGAGAGATCTGTGAAGTTTCCCATCACCGTGGCAGTCCACAATGTGAAGCCCCTGAGGCCACCCTTCTCCATGTGTCCCCCACACTGTCCCTGACCCTCCCACCATCCTAGAAAACCAGCCTCCCAGGTCCTCTGTCATGGAAGTAATTTACAGCAAGGCAGAAAGAGCTGAAAGATTTATAAATGTGTAAAATTTACAAAGGTGTTTCTTTCTTTCTTTCTTTCTTTTTTTTTTTTTTTTTTTTTGAGGCAGAGTCTCACTCTGTTGCCCAGGCTGGAGTGCAGTGGCACAATTTTGGCTCACTGCAACCTCCGCCTCCCGGGTTCAAGTGATTCTCCTGCCTCAGCCTCCCAAGTAGCTGGGATTACAGGTGCATGCCACCACGCCTAGCTAATTTTTGTATTTTTAGTAGAGACAGAGTTTTTTGCCATGTTGGCCAGGCTGGTCTTGAACTCCTGACCTCAGGTGATCTGCCTGCCTCAGCCTCCCAAAGTGCTGGGATTACAGGCGTGAGTCACCGTGCCCGGCCTACAGAGGTGTTTCTGAGTGGAGAAACCACTGCCTGGTTGGACTGACTGCCCAGTTCCACCACCCTGTGAGCCCATGAGTGAGCTCACTGCACTTGTTATAGACATCCTACCACCAGCAGCCTGATTTTGCTGAGTCCGTAGCTTACAACTCCAATCTCATGGCCCTGCCTTTCACCTCACTTGCTGCCTTAAAAACCTGCAGACTGAGGTGGCGTAGAAGCTGTGACATCCCAGTACCCAGAAGTTCATCTCACACCCAGATCTTGGTTTCTAAATGTCATTCTCTACTAAAAGGGACCAGGGCTGGTACAGGAGAAGAGCAAGAGCTTGGAATATCTTATACCTGAGAGTAAGGAAGTGCTCAGAGAATCACAGGAGCACGTTAAAAGGACATAGAAGTCAGTTTAATGAGACTGCTTCTGGCCAAAGTTGGAACACATCAAACATTAAAACAATGATGGTAATGGATTAGATTCCATAGAATAAAATCCTTGAGGACATAGTTATATAAACATAACTGAGGAAGAAGGAAAAGCTCTCCCTAACAGAATAATACAACTAGTAAATGGGAAAGGAAAGGAGTTAGGAATTCACGCTGGGTATTGAAACTAGTGGGTGAAAGCTCAATGAATCGGATTCTTAGTCTCAATGTCTCTCCTCTCAATTTAGTAATTATAGTGGAGTAATCATGACTTTACAGTGGAGAAACCTGGCCAACACTACCTTCACAACACTAACAAAAACCTTGCAGACCTGCAGCCTAAGCTCCCAGAAGTCACCTGCTGAAATGCCTTCAAAGAGTGACCTCTCTGCGTGTAGTGCTCAGCAACTTGGGCTCAGTGTCTATTTCCACAAGCTACAAACCAGAATACAGTGGAATTCAGCCCATATGTGGTAATTTATCTACCAATCAAGGACCTTTGACTCCAAAAATTACCTTTTTTGTACAAGTGACTACCTGGTGTAGAGCTCAGACATGGCTTTGAATTTTTGCCATGCTGTGTGAGCTCAGGCAAGCTGCTTCACCTCTTTGAGCTTCAATCTTTTATCTATAAAATGGGAATAACAATAACTTAATGAAACAGCAATTCCAGTGTTAGGTATTTCCTCAGGAGAAATGAAAACACGTTCACACAAATAATTGTACATGTATGTTTCTACACGCTTTATTCATAATAGTCATAAACAACCTAAATATTCATCAACTGGTTAGCAGAGAAAAGAGCAAACCACTGATGACATGAACGAATTTCAGAAGCACTGTGCTCAGTGAAAGAAGCCAGACAAAAATTACATCTTACATAAATTTCATTTATATGAAATTCTAGTGAAGGCAAAACATATAGCCAGGGGCCAAGAGGGGAGGATGGTCTGCAAAGAGGCAGGAACTTCTTCCTGGGGTGATGGGAATATTCTGTGTCATGAACATCGTGATTGTGGTTACAAGACTATACTTTTGTCAAAACTCATCAAATTGTACACCTAAAATGGATGCATTAAGCCTCAATACAGCCAATAAAAGATACCTACGTTACAGTATCTTCTGAGGAGTAATGGGGTGATATATATGCAGCCCCAAGTTCAGTGCCTGTGGTGAGAGGAGTCCTAAAATAGTACCTGTGACCACGCCCCACGGTCTTAGACCTGGGCAGGGCAACTGTGCAGACAGCAGGCCCAGCCAGGAAGCAAGCTGGCAAGGCGTTCTGCAGCGAAGGTGAGTACCAGTGATGCAAGGTGGAATAAGAAAAGTGCCCTTTGGAGGAGTCACTTATGAGGGGAATGGGGAGCAGGGCAGCAGAGGCCCCTCTGCTGCTGGGAACCGGGCGCACTCCCGCCAGTCGCAGGAGCTGGCTCCACCCGCCCCTTCTGATCCAGTGTCCCGCAGTCCTGCCCGCTTCACCGCCCTCGCCTAGCCCCCGCGGGTGGTAAAAGTCCAGCCCGGCGGAGCGCCCCTGCCTCCTTCCACGCCCCTGGCCTGCCCTGCGCAGCTACGCCCAGCCCGCGTCCATCCCGGACCATCCTGTTGAAGGCAGTCCCCTGGCACGCAGGGCTGGGAGCTCTTAGCTGAGGATGGAACCGACTGCACCAGGAGCCGCTGGGAGGAAGGCCGAGGGGCGCAGAGGAGAGGCAAGGAAAAAACAGCAGCCCAAGAATCGGGCCTCCCTGTTACAGCAGGAGTCGCATCTATTTATATATGTTATGTCTTATTGCTCAGCAACCAGCTCTCGGCCGGGGCGTGGGCCGGGAAGAGGGGTCTCCTGGTGCAGCGGGTTGGCGTGACTCATCACCGCCGCGCACTCTGGCCTCTGGGCCTAGGTTAACAGACTCCCGGGTTTCAGGCTGGGCCCAGGCGGCCAGGCCCTCCCTGCTGAGGAATCTGGGTTGGGGCAGTGCCAGCTCCCTGCTTCTCACCTGGCCACAGAAGGGGTAGCGGGAGGAGCGTGGGTTCATGGAGGCAGGTGGACCACCCCTTGGCTCCTGGCTCTGCCACCTGTCCACTGTGTAGCCCTGGGCGAGTCACAGCCTCTGACATCAGCCTGCTTATACTGTAAAAGGAGTGTGAGATCATGTTGGAGGAGACACTACAGTGAAATCTAAATACATTTTAACTCTTCACACACCCTCTCCCATGCATTTGACAGCGAGGAAACTGCAGCCCGGGGCAAAGTTGACTCACTTCCCAAAGCCAACTAATTTGTACTTAGAAGAGGCAGGATTTGAACCGGGGCCTCTGTGGTTTAGAGCCCTGTGTATCTTATCACTGTAACGCCTACCTCATGCCCTCAAAATGCCTACCCATCCGAGGGGTGCAGAACTTGTGGGTTCCTGGGCTCACCCGATGGGATTCTCTAGGGGCAGCCCCTGCAAGGGTGGGGAAATACAGAATTCTCTCTGGTGTCAGGGTCGTGTGTCTCAGTCAGAAAAGCCCTGCCCCGGATGGTCTCAGGAATGAGGTGCAGCTGCCTGCCCACCTCAGCCTGCCTTCCCTTGCTATCAGCCGTTCACTTGAGATGCTAACCCCCTGTTATATACCTGAGTCACCTAACAGGATGTCTTCCAAGCACTGCACAGTGTCAGGTTTTGATTACCAGCTTCCTTATGGCTACAGAAATCCCTTGTTTGAGTCAATGTGGTGGATCTAGATCTGGCCGTGTCACTCCTCTACTCACAGCATTTGCTTACAGGGCTAAATTTAAACTCCAGTTTGTGGCAAGTACAGAAGGCCTCCATCATGTGGCCTCTGCATCCCCAGCTCTCCTTGTCATTGTCATCAGCCACTCTTCTCCAGCCCCCAAATTCTCAGGAGCTCCTTGGGCCCTCCCATCCTGCAGGCCTGCAGGCCTCCACGCCAAGCTCTCCTAAGACGCTCCTGGCCTTACCAGGCTGGCATGAGCCTTCCTTCTCCAACAGTGGCAGAGCACTGTGCCAGGAGGTTCTCAGAGCTTGTTACAACTCAAGGAGGCAGGTCCCACCCCCTTTTATGGGGAAGGAAACTGAAGCTCAGGAAGGTAACCTTCCAAAGGTCACATTCCCGCTTGCCTCAGCACCTTCCCTGCCCACTCTGTGCACATCTCCATTACTGCCAGGTCCTGCCCAGGTATGGCTGTTTGTATGTCTGTCTCTCTAGGTGACTGATGGCCCTTCCCCTTGCATGCGTGCTCTCCCACTACTACTATCTAAGGACATTTGCTGAGTAAGTGGATGGATGAACAGATTATGGACAAAACATTTATTTAAAAGAGCTTAAGGCCTCCATAATCAGGAATTTGGGGCTTTTGAATAAGGGCAGGAAAACTCTGGTTTAAGACCCATAGGCTAATTTCATCCAGCTCTTGACACTTAAATTAAAAGTCTACCCTTATTATTCAGACCTGTTTCTCTCCATAGCTATAAAAATGTAGCATGGTTTGACAGGCCCTTAGTAAATGCATCCTGGAGAGCTGCAGCCTTTGGGCACTCATTTCCCTTTTTAGGGCCTCAGTTTCCCATTTGCACAATAAGAGTATGGCAAACTAGCAGGAAATAACCTGCATAGAATAGAAAATTGAATGTGTCACACATAACAAGAGTGAATACTGTGCTATAAAATTTTAGGTTGAATGTGTGTCTGTATGGTAGGTCATGGTATAAAATAGACTTTTTCTTTGCTGTGGGTGGCAATCAGGAGAGTTTGAAAGCCCCAGCCTAAGATGGTCTCTGCAGCCCCTCTGGCTCTGAGCCTTAAGGATGTCATGATCGGGCCCTGGAGTGCAGCTGGATCCCTGCACAAAGACCCACCGCACCAGTGCGCGTGGCACAGTGAGAGCCCATGTTATTTGACAGTCCATCTGCGTCCACTCCACTGTTCTTCAATTGGAGAAAAGGAAACAAAAATTTTAGACATTGTTAAAAAAAAATAGAAAAGTAGACCTTTTCTGCTTTTATTATTTAATGTTTAAAGTATTAATAATAGATGCCTATGATTTTTAAAAAGTAAAAGTTTTTCCTCTCCCTCCCAACTGCAGCCTCCAGGTGTACACCCTAGAGGCAAGCTCTGCCAGTGCTGAATCCACAAGCCGTGCTCCCCACAGGGGCTCCCAGCCAAGGACTGAGAGGCCAAGCTGCCCTCCCTCTCAGAGTCTGTCTGTCCCTCTGCCCCTCACCTGGACCCTGCAGTCTGACCCCTCCTTCCCACACTGTCCCGCCTGTCAGCACAGTTCTGCAGTTTCATTTGACCAAGTTAAATCTGACTGGTGCCCAGATCTCACTTTCTCAATATCATCCTCCAGCAAAACAAGTCAGGGTTCTTAGAGAAACAATTGATTCCACGGCTGAGACAGGGAGAATACCAGATGAGCCTGGAGCATCTTGTGCCAGAATGTAAGGAAGGGATCAAAGAAGGATGGGGCATGTCCAAGGACATAGGAGCACGTAGGAGCCAACTAAGGAGCTCCCAGTATCGGGTACAGATCCCAAATCTGGTACAATTTGAGTAAAAATAATTGCAATGAATTATAACCCATAGAATAAGAGAAACATCCAAGAGTTCATACAGATATAAAAATAATGGAATAAATACACATGGAGGAAAGAGTTCTTTTTTACAGTAGAATTCCAATCAATAAATACAGAAAGAGTGATATACAAAGAAAATCACCATTTGCTAAAAACTATGGTAATAACTGTTGCAGCCAGGAATCATCAACCGATGCTAAAATGAGTAGGCAAAAATATGATGAGAAACAGGATATTTACATACTCATAAAGCATCTCCCCCACAGGACATTTATTAATTACAAAGGGAAAATAGCAACTTTCCAGTGGAGAAACTTCAGAGACACCACTTTAACCAAGTGATCCAAGCTACCATGACCAGTAATGAGACATATTATCACCCCGCCCTTGACAGTGTCCTGAGAGGCGCACAGCATCACTTCTTTGGCATTTGTGCCAAAAATGCATATCCTCAATCTAATACTGAGAAAACATCAGACAAATCCAAAGTGAGAAATGTCCTATAAAATAGCTGGCCAGTGTCACAGCGACAAGGAAAGACGGGGGAACTGCCCCACATGGGAGGAGACAAGTGCCATGTTGGATTCTGAATGGGATCCTGGACTGGAAACAGGACATCAGTGGGACCCAGGGGGCAATGGCAGGGAGAGGTGCGGGACCCAGCTGGGACATCTGCTTTCGGGACTCTGCTTTCGTCCCCAGCGGCAATCAAAGATGCACCCCTCTGCCAACCACAGCAGTCTGTGATTAGATGTAATGGAGGCTTCAGGATCAGAATGATCCAGCAACCTGGCTCTGTTTCTCTCTGATTTCCTTAATCACATCCTCTTCTGGGGCTGTCTTTGTTGTCAGGCTGCCTCCTTCCTGATAGCCAAATGGTTCTTGAAGTTTCAGTTCCCATATCTGCTTGCCACTCTGGAGGAGAATGAGGGCTCTTCTGGTAGTTCTTTCCTTAAAGAACAGGAGCACGTTTCTTCCCCAGAAGTCTCCAAACTTATCCTCATATTTCACTGGGCTGAATTTGATTACAAACCCATTCCTGAAGTAAACCTTGGGCCAGGAAATGCCATGCACAAGTTGGCAAATGCAATGGGATCACTCTCTGAAAAATCAGCTTCCCAACCCCCACTCAGGAGCTGCAGGCAAGGGGCTGAGCATGGGTCAGCTTTCCCTGAAGCATGTGTAGACAGGCAGATACCTGAACAAAACTGGGGTGCTAAAACTGGGGTGCTATTAGGAAGGAAGGGGAGAATGGAAGCTGGGTAGGCAACAGTGTCCACAACTCCAAGCAGTGTTCTCTTCTGTAATAATTGCCTTTCCTGGTGGAGTTTCCTGTGGACCAGGAGGATGCCTGCAGCAGGCACGGACTTTCTGTTTCTCCTGACGGCTGTATTTCTTACTCCCAGTGAGCCAAAGGGCACTTTCTTCTTTATACGGCAGGCTCTCAAGAGTTGATTTAGAACAAGCCAGATCAAATGTGGGGGCCCAGATAATGTCAGGTTTCTCTGTCCTGGAGAGAGGGATTCACAGTGGCAACCACCAGCTAGGAGATTTTTCAGGTCCCATGTCCTAGAGGAGGCTCCTCCAGGGCCTTCCAAGCCCCAGGATTCTGAGACCAAATAATGCCCAAAGGCCTACATAATTAAACACGTACACCCAACACATAAGCAATCTTATTTTTGCTGCTTTGTATTGTTCTCCAGCTACATTAGAATCTTCTCCAGGCCAGAGTCCAAGTCCCATCTTAATTACTCTTGGTTTTTGTTATATTTCCCCAGAAAGACCTTAAATGCTCTGGGGGATACGGACTGAAGAGGTGTTGAGAGGTAACTGCATACCTCTCACTTCTCAGGAACTGCCAGTTCCCTGGGCAGAATCAGGACCTGGGACAGACCTGCCTGCTGATGAGATGGCCCCACACCATCTGCAGGCCAGATTTGGTGCTGTGGACAATGTCGGAGGGGACAGTCTACAGGACAGCCAACGGCTTTCAAAAATTCTGATATGATCAACTGGTGACACTACTCAGAAGACTGTGTTAAGAATTCCGAATTGGGGCCGGGCAAGGTGGCTCATGCCTGTAATCCCAGCACTTTGGGAGGCCAAAGCAGGTGGATTGCTTGAGCCTAGGAGTTCGAGACCAGCCTGGGCAACATGGAGAAACCCCATCTCTATTAAAAATAGAAAAATTAGCTGGGTATGGTGGTGTGTGCCACTTAGGAGGCTGAGGTGGGAGGATCACCTGAGCCTGGGATTCAGAGGTTGCAGTGAGCTGAGATCGCGCCACTGCACGCCAGCCCACAGAGTGAGACCCTTCCTCAAAAAAAAAAAAAAGAAGAAGAAGAAGAAAGAAAAGAATTTGAATTGGGTACTAGGCATAGTACCTGGGTGATGAAATAATCTGTACCACAAACCCCCATGATACAAGTTTACCTATATAACAAACCTGCACATACACCGTGAACCTAAAACAAAAGTTTACCAAAAAAAAAAAAAAAAGAAAGAAAAGAAAAGAAAAAGAAAAAAAATTTCAAGACCTAGATCAGAAATCAGCTCCTTGGCCAGGCATACTGGCTCATGCTTGAGCAAGGCAGGAGGATTGCTTGAGCCCAGGAATTTGAGACCAGCCTGGGCAATACTGTGTGACTTCATCTCAAAAAAAAAAAAAAAGGAAAAAAAATTATATATAAAATAAAGCATTCTGAGGCTTCATCCACTCCTCACTCCTCAGAGAAGTACTGAAGCTAGCTAGAGATTTCTGCAGGGTGTGGAATGGGGAGAAAGGCAGCGTGACTGTGTGTCACATTTGTTTCTGACACCTTTTTGTAGGTCTGAAATGCTTTTAAATAAACATTTTTAAGTAATATATACGTGACAAAAATTCAAACAGCAGCAAAGTACAGTGAAAAGTCCTCCCTCATCCCCAGTGCCCTCCCACCCCAGGTAATCACAGTTACCAGGATTCAATGCACATCCAAACACAAACAAACACAAACCATGGTGTGTTTATTGCCCATGGAGGCTCTGTCTCAGGTCCCTGGGAATCATTGGGAGTTGTGGATCCCAGCACTTTGGGAGGCTGAGGCAGGAGGATCGCTTGAGCCCAGGAGTTTTTTGAGACCAGCTTGAACAACATAGTGAGACCCCATCTCTACAAAAAATTAAAAAATTAGCCAGGTGTGGCGGTCCATGCCGGTAGTCCCAGCTACTTGGGAGGCTGAGGCAGGATGATCACTTGCACCTGGGACGTTGAGGCGGCAGTGAGCCGTGTTCGCGCCACTGCACTCCAGCCTGGGTGACACTGCAAGACCCTGTCTCAAAAAAAGTAGTCAAGGAGGCTGAGAGCCAGGAAGCCTCTGGCCAGCAGGTGAGCAGGCCCTTTCCTGCTGCTGTGCATTGTATTTAAGAGAAAAGACAGATACGTCTGATACCTTCAAAGGTGTTCTTCATACAGCAGGTTGCAACCTATTAATAGATCATAAAATCAGTTTAGTGTTTCATCATCATCATCAAAAACCACCACCAACAACAAAAAGACCCAGAACAGATAGTGTAAAGAGTGCATCCCTGCATTCCTGTATAGGGAGAAATATGGTTTTGTGGAACCTTGTTGCGATGTAAAGTGTACTTCTTAAGATAAATACAGGGTTGAGGTTTTTGAAATAAAGTTTGAACAGGACCACCTTAAGCCACAGTGTAGACTTTCCATAGGCCAAAACCTGGATCACCAAGACAGTGTGCCCCAGGCTGCAGGCCACACTCCTGGGAGCCTCAGGCAACCTTGTGCAGGCCTGACTTCGAGACACTCTGAGCATGAGCTGGTTCCTGGGTAGCCTCCCCTCTACCTCTCCCCGCTTGCCCTCCCTCCCTCCTTCTGCTCCTGTCTCTCCTCATCCCCTCCCCGAGTTGCTGCCTCCTCCTCCTCCTCCCCCACCACCTCTCCCCGTCTCCGAGTTGCCTGCCCCGCCCCCTCCTCTTCCCCCTGCCCCTCTCCGCGTCCTTCCCGCCTTCCCCCTCCTCGTCTCCCCCCTCCCCGCCCGCGCCGTCTGCGTCCCTCCCGGGCCCAGACGCGGCGCGGTCAGGGGGCGCTGACTCACAGGCTGACTCAGCTGCAGGCGCGCTGCCAGGCGACGCAGCGGGCGGGTGGCCGGGCGCCGGCGGGCTCGCAGCCGGGCTGCTGGCAACGGTGCCGGCGGAGGTGGGGGCGTGGCGCGGGATGGGCGGCGCGGGCCCTGCCGTGGTACCGCCTGGCAGCGTCCACCCCGCCGCTGGGGCGCCCTGGAGGCTCCTGGCCCTCCGTGGGGCCGTGACACCGGCGCTGCGGGGAGCGGTGGCCTCGCAGAGGCTGGGCATGGGAGGACGGCCGCCCCGGGTAAAGGACAGGGCCCTGGAAACGCGGGTCTGCCGGGAGCAGGGGACAGGAAGGAGACCGCGGCTCTCCCAGTCCTGCTGCCCCGGGCCTCCAGACGGCCAGACTCTCCCCACACCGGCCTGGAGGGGGACGCGCCGACCCCAGCTGGGAGGGGTGGCTGGCTGCGTAGATCCGTTTGGGCCGCCTGCCTGGAAAGGCCCAGGTCCGGGCCTCGTCCTCCTCTTCACACTCTCCCCCGATCTCCAACCACCTTCACCCTCGCCCCCACCACCACCACCCCCAGCTCCTCCTGGCCGCCTGCGGTCCAGCTGAGGCCCGCCTCCTCCAGGAAGTCTTCCTGGAGAGCCTGTCCTGGGTTAGGCCCGCCCAGAGCCACCTGGGGCGACTTATTTCATGGCACCTTCGACCTTGCTCTCTGTCTGTTTTGTGTCTGGCTTCATCACCAAACTGAGCCTCTTGGGGGCAGTGACCGGGTCTTAGGTCTTAGTTGGCCCTTAGGCGCTAGGGCTGAGAAGACTTAGGCGGACAGGAGATGAGACTGTGTATTCGACGACACACTTTAGAGATCCAGCCCGGAACACAGCCATACCAGATTTTAAAAAAAGCCAACATAATATAGCATGTTAAAAATTATTGTAGGCCGGGAGCGGTGGCCCACGCCTGTAATCCCAGCAATTCAGGAGGCTGAGGCCGGAGGATCACTTGAGCTCAGGAGTTTGAGACCAGCCTAGGCAACCAACATAGTGAGACTCCGTCTGTACAAAAATGAAAAAAAATTAGCCGAGCGTGGTGGCCTGCACCTATAGTCCCAGCTACCTCGGGAGGCTGAGGAGGGAGGACCCTTTGAGCCCCAGGAGGTCCAGGCTGCAGTGAGCTGTGATGGTGCCACTGTACTCCAGCCTGTAAGACAAAGGGAGAGACCCTGTCTCTAAAAAATAAAAAATAAATAGTATACACATATGGTGCTTATTTGAAATATACATATTGTGTATTTTTTACCTTCTATATAAATGCTATTATTTAAAGAAAACAATATGATTAGTTCACAGTGGCAATTAGTAATAATAGGACTAATAACAAATAATATGTGTGAGAAAAATATAAAAATAGTTTTATAATGTTTCTTCCTGTCCTGTGATTTAGCAATTTATTTTAAGTCATTATTAGATACTTAAATTTTGTATCAAAATACATAAATGTAAGACTTTTAAAATGGTGAATGTAATATAACAGCAGTATTTAAACAGATATTACTAATATTTAATCAAAAATAACAATGACGGGCTGGGCGTGGTGGCTCATGCCTGTAATCCTAGCACTTTGGGAGGCCGAAGCGGGCCGATCACTTGAGGTCAGGAGTTTGAGACCAGCCTGGCCAACATGGTGAAACCCTGTCTCTACTAAAAAAACAAAAATTAGTCGCCCGTGGTGGCACCCACCTGTAGTCCCAGGTACTCAGCAGGCTGAGGCAAGAGGATTGCTTGAACCTGGGAGGTAGAGGTTGCAGTGAGCCAAGATCACGCCACCGCACTCCAGCCTGGGCAAGAGTGAGACTCCGTCTACAAAAAAAAAGACATTTTGGTCCTATGATATAGTAGGATATTTTGACTCTTTTTATTTCCTTGCCTGCAGCCTTTAGTAGGAAGTTCTTCCTTGATGTAGTGATGAAACTGAATATAGTTAAATGGAAAATCCTTTGACTTGCAGCTCTGCTCTTAGAGAGCCCTCAGTACACTGACTCCTGAGGTCAGTCCAATGTGATGGCCTCAAGCTGCTATCTCAACAAAAGCGTTTGAGAATGGAATACTTAGGATTGTACCTACAAGCAACGGCAGGGTTTTAGATTTGTAGGGATTCGTTTCCAGCTGTCCAAAGATGTCCATTCACTTTGCATCTGCAGGCTGGTTTTGGTAAACCAGCAGTTTGTCATCTTTTGCATCTATCATGTAGGATATCCATGGCTAAGATATCCATCCTTTTTGAACTTTTTTTTTTTTTTTGAGTTGGAGTCTTACTCTGTCGCCCTGGCTGGAGTACAGTGGCGTGATCTCGGCTCACTGCAACCTCAACTACCCAGGTTCAAGTGATCCTCCGGCCTCAGCCTCCCAAGTAGCTGGGAGTACAGGCGCGTGCCACCACGCCTGGCTAATTTTTGTATTTTTAGTAGAGACAGGGTTCGCCATGTTGGCCAGGTTGGTCTCGAACTCCTGACCTCAGCTGATCCACCCACCTCGGCCTCCCAAAGTGCTGGAATTATAGGCGTGAGCAATGGCACCCGGCCCTTTTTGAACATTTCTGAGCACACTGGATGTCACTGTAAGTTAAACCTCTCTCTGTCTCTCTCCTTCTCTGTCTGTGTTTCTCTCAGGAAAAATAGTTTTAAAGCACAAAGATACTTTGAACTTGTGAAGTTGAAGTTGAAGTTGAATTCCAAATAAGTTACAGTTTTAGTAAAGAAGTGAGAAAGTCTTGTTTAAATTGGCTGTCCTTTTCTGGTGACATTTTGGTTTCGTTTCCAAAAAATGAGTCATTTTTCATTATATGAGCTTTGTCAGTACCTACCTATAACATCGACAACTCAGGGACAGTCAGTTCATGCTTTTCCAGAGCCCTTATGGGCTCCTCAAAGATCATCAGGCAGTTTTGGAGGAAGAACTTATAAATTTCAGTTTGACTGTTTAACCATAATCTTTTTCTCTATTTTCATTCTTAATATATTTCCAAATTAGACAAGGACATTCTTCTTGTCCCATGCTTTGAAAATATGGTTGTATGGCAGGCTGCCTTTTTACCCTGGCAACAGTGACAGCCCTCGTGTAGGCACATGTCCAAAGGAGGCCATCTCCTTCCATTTCTGGAATGTGAAAAATCTCATTAAGTGCTTTTTCATGCTTTGAGGAAACTGAAAAGTAAATAAAAGCTTTCATTTTGAAAGCATCAATATCACAGGGAAGGAAACTCCACCCCTTTTTACTGATGTGTACAAAATGTGCAGGACACTTCGTGGCTAATATTTTTAACTTTTCTTTGGTAAAGCGTTCATAGACTGCATGGAATTTGCAAAAATTTACATTTGCACGGTCTGCCAAATAGGCAGACAGATGGGCAAAGTCATGTTTGTATTTGGACAAGATAGCATCAACATTCTTTTTTTTTTTCTGCAGGTGGATTAAAATCTTCATAGAAATAAAAAGGATGATTTGAAACTCCATTTTTTCAAATCAAAGTATTTACAAGTTAGGAGAACTGTTTTTCATTGCCATGATTGGATGCAGCACTTGGTTACTGTAGAAAGCATGATTGTTGGTGGGATCTGGCAGAATCCGCTGCATGTTGTAAAGGGTCAACACAGCTGCCATCGACATTTCTCCCTTTGTTCACCCACGTGATATTTCAGTTACAGCCTGTAAATGAGGAAATGTGCCCCTACTCAGTTTCAAAAAACAATCAAAGGAGCAGCACAATCACACAAATTCATTTTTGTAGTTTGCCCTAGCTAATTCAGCAGCCACTATTTTCAATTGGTGTCTTTTGTGGAGACAAAAAGCTTTTTGGTTAATGTGGACATACTTGCCTATCTCACTGAGGACTTGTGAGGCAGTCTCTACAGTCCCTTCTTCCACCATGCCCAACCCCGAATTCTCTCTGCTTATTGCGCAGTATCCCTTGTTTTGATTCTTTACCTCCCTCATCCAGTTGTCTGTGTCACTCCTCCTGTCGTTAAAATAACATGGCCATTTGGGTCACGCGGGCATTGATATTGCAACACCATTTCCTCATTTTCATCACCTGAATGCTTAAGAAAACATGGCCTCAGTAGTCACCATGCTAAAATTAAACTAGCAGTGTCTCAATACAAAGCACAACAATTAATCCGCAGGCAAAGTGGATGGTCACGTTCAAGATTATAGCGCGCTTAAGTTACATCACAAGGAGTGACATAATAATGGATGATCCACTATGGTGTACTACAAATCATGGTGGTTGTCCTCAGCAACAGACACTAAGGAAGGTGATGTGCCCATTTGGCACTAAAACCAGTGTTGCCTTCGGCCTCTGTTTCTGGGGTTGCCATGTGGGTTTTATACCTTTCCCCTAATCTCCTGTATCAATCACTGAAAACCTCGACTTTTCTCTTCCCAAGGGAGAGTTTACTTCCCTTTAACTTTTTGGCTTCTTCTTTAGGACTTTTAGTGTTAAAAATGGTACAATCCCAGACAAATGGGATAGTTGATCATCTTATCATGTTTATAGAATCAAGAAATAATGTCTCAATTTAAAAAGTCAATTGTATTTATAAACACTAGCAACAAACAATTGTAAGTTCAAATTTTTAAAATGCCACTTACAATAACATTTTTAAAACATGAAATAAGTAGGGATAAATTTAACAAAATATGTTCAAGACCTATACCTGAAAACAATTAAACATTGGAGAGAGAAATTAACAAAGAGCTGAATAAATGTAGAGAAATACCATGCTAATAGATGAGAAGACTCAACATTAAGATGTCTTTTATTCCTAAATTGTTCTATAGATTCAATTCAATCCAAATCAAGATTTCACCAGGAATTTTTTTTTTAGAAATTGAGAAATTGGTTCTAAAATTTATATAGAAGTAGAAAGGACCTAGAATAGCCAAAACAATTTTGAAAAATAAGAACAAAGTTGGAGGACTTACACTACTTGATTTCATGAGTTACTTGAATCTTGTAATAGCAATTAAGACATTATAATGTTGGCATAAAAATGAAAGATAGATTAACAGAACAAAATAGAGTCCAGAAGTAGATGTATGCATATACGGTCAATTGATTTCAACAAAGCACCAAAGCAATTCAATGGGAGAAAGGATAGTGTTTGCAAGAAATGGGACTGTGACAACTAGATCTCCATATATTTTAAAGAATGATTCTTGGCCCCTACCTCACACCATATACCAAAATTAACGAATTCAAAATGGGTCAGAGATGTAAATGTAAGAGTGAAAAACCATAAAGCTTCTAGAAGAAAACATAAGAGAAAGCCTTTGTGACCTTGAATAAGGCAGTGTTCTTTGGTAGGACACAAAAGCACGAATCATAAAAGAAAATGTTGATAATTGGACTTCATCAAAATTACAAACATCTGTTCATTAAAAGACACTGTTAAGTATAAAAGACAAGTCACAGACTGAGAGGAAATTTTTGCAAAATACTTAGCTGACAAAGGGCTTGTTACTAGGATACATACAAATTCTAAAAACTCAATTTAAAAAACCCTCAAAAACAAAGAAACAAACAAAAAACAGCCCAAAGACTTAAACTGGCACTTCACCAAAGAAGATATAAATAGCAAATTAGCACAGGAAAAGATGCTCAAAATCACCAGAGAAGAGGGAAATGAAAATTAAAGCTACAATGAGATACCACTACACATCTATTAAGAAGGCTAAAAATTGAAAATTAAAATTAAAAAACAACCGACAACACCAAATGCTGGTGAGGATGCAGAGCAACAGGAACACTCAGACATTGCTTGGTGGGAATGCAAAATGCCACCACCACTCTGGAAAAGTTTGACTTTATTTTTTTTTCCCAAAAGTAAACACGTACTCACCACATGACTCAGCAATCTTATTCCTAGATATTACCCAAGAGAAATGAAAACATATGCCCACACAAGGACCTATACATAAATGTTCTAGCAGCTTAATTTAATGATAGCCAAGAACTGGCAAATGGATAACAGATTGTGGCACATCTATATAATGGAGCCCAGTCAGCAATAAAAAGAAATAAAGTACTGATATAGAATTCCACATGAATAAATCTCAAAAGCTTTATGCTGAGTGAAAGAAGGTAGTCTTAAAAAGCTATGTACTGGTTGGGCACGGTGGCTCACGCCTATAATCCCAGCACTTTGGGAGGCTGAGGTGGGCGGATCACTTGCGGTCAGGAATTCAAGACTAGCCTGGCCAACATGGTGAAACTAAAAAATACAAAAATTAGGCAGGTGTGGTGGCGTGTGCCTGTAATTCCAGCTACTCAGGAGGCTGAGGCAGGAGAATCACTTGAACCCAGGAGGTGGAGATTGCAGCGAGCTGAGATCACACCACTGCACTCCAGCCTGGGCAAGAGAGCAAGACACCAACTCAAAAAAATATATATATGTGCTGTAGGATTCCCTTTATATGCTATTCTAGAAAATGCAGATTATAGAGATAGAAATCCAATCAGTGGTTGCCAAGAGTTGGGGTGGAACACAGAATTTCTGAGGGTGATGAAAATGTGTATATCATGATGTGGTGGTGGATGCACTATAACATACATTTGTCAAAACAAGCAGAACTGTACATTTTTAAAGTGTGAGTTTCCCTGTGTGTAAATTATACCACAATAACCTGACAACAACAAAAGAGAGAGACGTTGGACTGCATCCATCCCACTCCACTTCTTACCAGGGAGCTCCCGGGAGCCTCTCTAGTGTCTGTCCTCCCTGCCCTGCCTGGGGTGGGCTGAGCAGCACAGCGTCCCTGCAGAGAGAATGGAGAATGGGCAATGCCCACACAGGGGAGTGGCATGGGGTGAGAAGGAACCTTAGTCCCGTCAGCCCTGACCACCAGCCCATCTCTCATCACTGTTCAGCAGAGTGAGCTCAAGTTGGGTTTCTGGCATCTATTGGCAGAGCCAGGGCCAAAACGCAAGGGGTGGGGAGTGTTGTACAGGTTAGGGCTGACTGAATGATCAGCCCTAATCTGTACAACGGATCTGTGCAGTCTGAGCTTCCACACAGCAGCAGCTGTCCTTGACCCCTTCCCCTCCTAGTCGGCCCCTCCCTGACCTTCCCAGGCCTGTGGGAAGTCCTGTTAAGTCCCAGGCCATGTCCACTTTGTATAAAATACTTAAAAATAAGGCCAGGCACAGTGGCTCCCGCCTGTAATCTCAGCACTTTGGCAGGCTGAGGAGGGAGGATCACTTGAGGTCAGGAGTTCTAGAGCAACACAGCAAGACCTCCTCTCTCCTAAAAATTTTTAAAAATCAGCTGGGCGTGGTGGCACGGGCCTGTGATCCCAGCTACTGAGGTGGCTGAAACAGAAGAATCGCTTGAGCCCAGGAGATCTAGGCCGCAGAGAGCTGTGATCCCGCCACTGCACTCCAGCCTGGGTGACAGAGCCAGAGAGACCCTGTTTCAAAACTTTTTTAATTAAAAAATTAATAAAAGATTTAACGTGACCCTTATAACAGTCACCTGAGACGGACGCTGACCCCATTTTACAAATGTGGACATTGAGACACAGGGAAGTTAAATCCCCCTGTCAGAAAAAGGCTAGCGGAGGTTTAAGGCCGTGGGAACGTGACTCCAGAGCTGAGGGCTTTGGAACCCCGCCTGCTCCGGTAGTTGTGGCTGGCCTTGCCCCACACACATTTGGTTCTAGCTCCTTTGCTTGGGTCTTCATCCATGCAGCGAATTCCTTAGCCACAGGTGTCCCTCTGCTCTCTAACTCACAGCGAGCTCGCTGCCCAAAGTCCTGCTCCGGCTTCCTGGGTGGACCTGACCGCGTTCGGGTGCACGTGGGGCGACTCACACCTGACAAGTAAAGCGGGTGAGGCCGCGCCTGTGAAGGGCGCCTGGCTCCTCCGCAGGAGCGGTGCGGCGCGGCGCCCCCGGCTGGAACCAGGTGTAACTGCAGAGACCCTGGGATCGCAGGAACGGCTGGCGGCAGGACTGTCCCTACCTCGAGAAGGTGACGGGGTTTCCTGCGCTGCCAGCCGATGAGGCGGCCGTGACGCAGCCCGCCGTGCAGAGTCCCCGTCGGCCGACAGGCGTGCAGAGCTCTGCAGAGGACCCTTCCGCCCTCTGGGCAGCCTGCCAAGCCGTGGCACCCCCAACCCCCAGCACTGGGCACTTGGGAGCATTGCAGCCGCCCTGGCTCGTACCGGTGCCGGTGCTTTGGGCACCTGGGCTGGTTTGGACATGGGTGCCCCGGGCAGAGTCCATTTATGCAGGTCAGAATCAGTGTGTGGAGCCTGCATAGACTTGCCCTGGAGCGGCTGCCTGTGCTGGGGTGGGGAGGAGTAGAGGGCGAGAAGTTGGTGGGGAAGGGAAGCGGCGCCAAAAGAATACCCACAACATCTTGCACCTGGAAGGCAAAGCAGAGGGCAGTGATCTCTGCAGACTTGCGGGGGCGACGCCTGAAGCAAACAGGGACATACAAGCTGGTGCCTTCTGTGGTTGTGCATGGGGTCTTCATGCTTCCTGTCTGAGTTCCCAGAAGCTTGTCTCTGCTTTTCTAGGCAGCTGCCACAGCCTGTCACAAACAGCTCCTGGTTCTCCACTTCTCATAGTCTCGATTTCAAAATCCATTGCCTCACCCTCCACCTCCTCTCCACCTCCACCCCTCCTAGCACCTCCTGACTGCTTGTGTTCTGTGTCTCCCCACTGTCTCCCAACCTGGGGTGGGGTTGGGGGGGATGTCTTTCCTCCTGTCTGCTCTTTGATGTCCAGCTGAAGTGTCACCTCCTACAGGCAGCCTCCCCTGGCTATGCCAGCTTGTACTGATTGCCCTCTCCTCTGAATTCTGTAAGCATTTCCTATGTGTACCTGCCCCTGGGCAAGGTGGGCCTGACTTGTTAGAGTGTTAGAGTTTTACCCTGTTCCTCTAGGAGGGCCTGGTACCACCACAGCCCAGCATGGTGTGGTGCCTCAGCAGGAGGCATCTGGTTACAATCAACACAAGCTGTTCCAGCCAATTTAAAGAAACTTCAGGAGGAATAGGGTTTTAGGAGGGCATGGGGACCCTCCTGCACCCGAAGCCAGGATGTGCCACCAATCATAAGGAGGCAGGGGCCTCCTTCCGCTGCTCCCTGGGACTCTCTAGGTGTCCGTGGCCTCAGTCCCCCTCTGCACACCTGCATCTTCCTTCTCATCAGCTTCCTCTGCTTTAAGCGTAAACATGGATGCCCAGGACCTGGCCTCAATCTTCCGAGTCTGGTACTTATGGTGTACTGACAGTGTGAGACCCTACTCCTCTGATCAATCCCCTGGGTTGGTGACTTCCCTGTGCAATCAATGGAAGCCAGCGAGGCAGGGTCACATGCCCCGTTTAGAGGTGCAGACTTGGAGAAGGAACGTGGGCAAGTCTTCCCAGGAACAGGTAGGGCAGGGAGGAAAGGGGGGCATCTCTGGTGCAGCCCGGTTCGGAGCAGGAAGACGCTTAATAAATGCTGATAGACTGCAGGACACAGGCAAAGGTGCTGAGCTGGACCCTTTATTTCTGCCCTTCTCCCTTCTGGCACCCCGGCCAGGAAATTGCTGCAGCCTTTCTGGAATCCCGTTCATTTTTCTTACTGGTCCACAAAAGGGGCCAAATGGAAGCAGCAAGACCTGAGTTCAAATTAAATCTGCCAACTACCAGCTCAGTGAATCTGGGCGAGTAACACAAAACTTGAGTGTCCTTACCTGAAAAATAGAGGTTAGAGGGATGCTATGTGCCATTGTGTGTGTGTGTTGGGGGTGGGGATTGGGGGTGATTTGTGAGCAATTGGAGGTGAGGGTGGAGCCCAGTGCCCAGCACCTATGCACTGGGGACCCAAAAAGGAGCATCTTCTCATGATTTTATGTATCAGAAATTGGGATGGCATGTCATTGGGACAGCGTCTTTTTTCTTGTATGGTGGCACATAAATACATGTGTCTTATAATTAATGGTATTTTAGATTTGACGAAATATGGAATATTACCTGTTGTGCTGATCTTGGGCAAACTATAATATCTCTGGGCAAAAATGTCCCCATCTGAAAAACAGGGACAACGTTCCTCCCTCAGCCAGCCACTATGGGGCTAAAATGAGACCACATCTGTCAAGGGTTTTGCCCTCACCTCCCTCCCTGCTGGACGGCATCCTTGGTGGGCAGAGGTGGGCTTCGGGCAGAACAAGCCGTGCTGAGCTAGGACCAGGAGTGCTAGTGCCACTGTTTGTCTATGGAGAGGGAGGCCTCAGTGCTGAGGGCCAAGCAAATATTTGTGGTTATGGATTAACTCGAACTCCAGGCTGTCATGGCGGCAGGACGGCGAACTTGCAGTATCTCCACGACCCGCCCCTGTGAGTCCCCCTCCAGGCAGGTCTATGAGGGGTGTGGAGGGAGGGCTGCCCCCGGGAGAAGAGAGCTAGGTGGTGATGAGGGCTGAATCCTCCAGCCAGGGTGCTCAACAAGCCTGAGCTTGGGGTGAAAGGACACAAGGCCCTCCACAGGCCAGGCCTGGCAGCCACAGTCTCAGGTCCCTTTGCCATGCGCCTCCCTCTTTCCAGGCCAAGGGTCCCCAGGGCCCAGGGCCATTCCAACAGACAGTTTGGAGCCCAGGACCCTCCATTCTCCCCACCCCACTTCCACCTTTGGGGGTGTCGGATTTGAACAAATCTCAGAAGTGGCCTCAGAGGGAGTCGGCAAGAATGGAGAGCAGGGTCCGGTAGGGTGTGCAGAGGGCCACGTGGCCTATCCACTGGGGAGGGTTCCTTGATCTCTGGCCACCAGGGCTATCTCTGTGGCCTTTTGGAGCACCTGGTGGTTTGGGGCAGGGGTTGAATTTCCAGGCCTAAAACCACACAGGCCTGGCCTTGAGTCCTGGCTCTGCGAGTAATGCATGGATGTAAACATGGAGACCCAGGACCTTGCCTCAGTCTTCCGAGTCTGGTGCCTGCAGTGTACTGATGGTGTGAGACCCTACTCCTGGAGGATGGGGGACAGAATCTGATCGATCCCCTGGGTTGGTGACTTCCCTGTGCAATCAACGGAGACCAGCAAGGGTTGGATTTTTAATAAACCACTTAACTCCTCCGAGTCTCAGTTTCCCCCTCTATGAAATGGGGTTGACAGCATTAATAACTACCTCTTGGGTGGTTGTGAGCCTTAACTGAAGTCATAATATCTCATGTTTACTGAGCATGAGCTATGTGCAAAGCCTGTTTTGAGAGCTTTATGTGGACTAACTCCTTTAATTCTCACAACACCCTTTAAGGCACAGATACACCACGTTATTCCATCCATTTTACAAATGAGGAAACTGAGGCATGGAGCAGTTAAGCATCTTGCCCAACATTGCCCTCCAGTAAGTGCTGGAGCTGGAATTTGCACCGTGCAGTCTGGCTTCATGGCCTGCCCTGTGAATCCTGTAAAAATTGTTTGAAAGACACCATGAGTGTCCAATCAACGTTAGCTAATATTCTCAGCCCAGTCATCAGACCGGCAGAGGCAGCCACCCCACTGTCCCCAGGGAGGACACAAACATCCTGGCACCCTCTCCACTGCATTCTGGAGCTGCTTTCTAGGCAGGCAGTGTGAGCTCAGCCCCACGTAGAGCGGGCAGCCGAGGCCTTCTGAGGCTATGTCTCTAGCGAACAAGGACCCTCAATCCCAGCTTCCGCCCTGACGGCCAGCACACAGGGACAGCCCTTTCATTCCGCTTCCACCTGGGGGTGCAGGCAGAGCAGCAGCGGGGGTAGGCACTGCCCGGAGCTCAGAAGTCCTCCTCAGACAGGTGCCAGTGCCTCCAGAATGTGGCAGCTCACAAGCCTCCTGCTGTTCGTGGCCACCTGGGGAATTTCCGGCACACCAGCTCCTCTTGGTAAGGCCACCCCACCCCTACCCCGGGACCCTTGTGGCCTCTACAAGGCCCTGGTGGGCATCTGCCCAGGCCTTCACAGCTTCCACCATCTCTCTGAGCCCTGGGTGAGGTGAGGGGCAGATGGGAATGGCAGGAATCAACTGACAAGTCCCAGGTAGGCCAGCTGCCAGAGTGCCACACAGGGGCTGCCAGGGCAGGCATGCGTGATGGCAGGGAGCCCCGCGATGACCTCCTAAAGCTCCCTCCTCCACACGGGGATGGTCACAGAGTCCCCTGGGCCTTCCCTCTCCACCCACTCACTCCCTCAACTGTGAAGACCCCAGGCCCAGGCTACCGTCCACACTATCCAGCACAGCCTCCCCTACTCAAATGCACACTGGCCTCATGGCTGCCCTGCCCCAACCCCTTTCCTGGTCTCCACAGCCAACGGGAGGAGGCCATGATTCTTGGGGAGGTCCGCAGGACACATGGGCCCCTAAAGCCACACCAGGCTGTTGGTTTCATTTGTGCCTTTATAGAGCTGTTTATCTGCTTGGGACCTGCACCTCCACCCTTTCCCAAGGTGCCCTCAGCTCAGGCATACCCTCCTCTAGGATGCCTTTTCCCCCATCCCTTCTTGCTCACACCCCCAACTTGATCTCTCCCTCCTAACTGTGCCCTGCACCCAAGACAGACACTTCACAGAGCCCAGGAGACACCTGGGGACCCTTCCTGGGTGATAGGTCTGTCTATCCTCCAGGTGTCCCTGCCCAAGGGGAGAAGCATGGGGAATACTTGGTTGGGGGAGGAGAGGAAGACTGGGGGGATGTGTCAAGATGGGGCTGCACGTGGTGTACTGGCAGAAGAGTGAGAGGATTTAACTTGGCAGCCTTTACAGCAGCAGCCAGGGCTTGAGTACTTATCTCTGGGCCAGGGACTGTATTGGATGTTTTACATGACGGTCTCATCCCCATGTTTTTGGATGAGTAAATTGAACCTTAGAAAGGTAAAGACACTGGCTCAAGGTCACACAGAGATCGGGGTGGGGTTCACAGGGAGGCCTGTCCATCTCAGAGCAAGGCTTCGTCCTCCAACTGCCATCTGCTTCCTGGGGAGGAAAAGAGCAGAGGACCCCTGCGCCAAGCCATGACCTAGAATTAGAATGAGTCTTGAGGGGGCGGAGACAAGACCTTCCCAGGCTCTCCCAGCTCTGCTTCCTCAGACCCCCTCATGGCCCCAGCCCCTCTTAGGCCCCTCCACCAAGGTGAGCTCCCCCTCCCTCCAAAACCAGACTCAGTGTTCTCCAGCAGCGAGCGTGCCCACCAGGTGCTGCGGATCCGCAAACGTGCCAACTCCTTCCTGGAGGAGCTCCGTCACAGCAGCCTGGAGCGGGAGTGCATAGAGGAGATCTGTGACTTCGAGGAGGCCAAGGAAATTTTCCAAAATGTGGATGACACAGTAAGGCCACCATGGGTCCAGAGGATGAGGCTCAGGGGCGAGCTGGTAACCAGCAGGGGCCTCGAGGAGCAGGTGGGGACTCAATGCTGAGGCCCTCTTAGGAGTTGTGGGGGTGGCTGAGTGGAGCGATTAGGATGCTGGCCCTATGATGTCGGCCAGGCACATGTGACTGCAAGAAACAGAATTCAGGAAGAAGCTCCAGGAAAGAGTGTGGGGTGACCCTAGGTGGGGACTCCCACCAGCCACAGTGTAGGTGGTTCAGTCCACCCTCCAGCCACTGCTGAGCACCACTGCCTCCCCGTCCCACCTCACAAAGAGGGGACCTAAAGACCACCCTGCTTCCACCCATGCCTCTGCTGATCAGGGTGTGTGTGTGACCGAAACTCACTTCTGTCCACATAAAATCGCTCACTCTGTGCCTCACATCAAAGGGAGAAAATCTGATTGTTCAGGGGGTCGGAAGACAGGGTCTGTGTCCTATTTGTCTAAGGGTCAGAGTCCTTTGGAGCCCCCAGAGTCCTGTGGACGTGGCCCTAGGTAGTAGGGTGAGCTTGGTAACGGGGCTGGCTTCCTGAGACAAGGCTCAGACCCGCTCTGTCCCTGGGGATCGCTTCAGCCACTAGGACCTGAAAATTGTGCACGGCCTGGGCCCCCTTCCAAGGCATCCAGGGATGCTTTCCAGTGGAGGCTTTCAGGGCAGGAGACCCTCTGGCCTGCACCCTCTCTTGCCCTCAGCCTCCACCTCCTTGACTGGACCCCCATCTGGACCTCCATCCCCACCACCTCTTTCCCCAGTGGCCTCCCTGGCAGACGCCACAGTGACTTTCTGCAGGCACATATCTGATCACATCAAGTCCCCACCGTGCTCCCACCTCACCCATGGTCTCTCAGCCCCAGCAGGCCTTGGCTGGCCTCTCTGATGGAGCAGGCATCAGGCACAGGCCGTGGGTCTCAACGTGGGCTGGGTGGTCCTGGACCAGCAGCAGCCGCCGCAGCAGCAACCCTGGTACCTGGTTAGGAACGCAGACCCTCTGCCCCCATCCTCCCAACTCTGAAAAACACTGGCTTAGGGAAAGGCGCGATGCTCAGGGGTCCCCCAAAGCCCGCAGGCAGAGGGAGTGATGGGACTGGAAGGAGGCCGAGTGACTTGGTGAGGGATTCGGGTCCCTTGCATGCCAGAGGCTGCTGTGGGAGCAGACAGTCGCGAGAGCAGCACTGCAGCTGCATGGGGAGAGGGTGTTGCTCCAGGGACGTGGGATGGAGGCTGGGCGCGGGCGGGTGGCGCTGGAGGGCGGGGGAGGGGCAGGGAGCACCAGCTCCTAGCAGCCAACGACCATCGGGCGTCGATCCCTGTTTGTCTGGAAGCCCTCCCCTCCCCTGCCCGCTCACCCGCTGCCCTGCCCCACCCGGGCGCGCCCCCTCCGCACACCGGCTGCAGGAGCCTGACGCTGCCCGCTCTCTCCGCAGCTGGCCTTCTGGTCCAAGCACGTCGGTGAGTGCGTTCTAGATCCCCGGCTGGACTACCGGCGCCCGCGCCCCTCGGGATCTCTGGCCGCTGACCCCCTACCCCGCCTTGTGTCGCAGACGGTGACCAGTGCTTGGTCTTGCCCTTGGAGCACCCGTGCGCCAGCCTGTGCTGCGGGCACGGCACGTGCATCGACGGCATCGGCAGCTTCAGCTGCGACTGCCGCAGCGGCTGGGAGGGCCGCTTCTGCCAGCGCGGTGAGGGGGAGAGGTGGATGCTGGCGGGCGGCGGGGCGGGGCTGGGGCCGGGTTGGGGGCGCGGCACCAGCACCAGCTGCCCGCGCCCTCCCCTGCCCGCAGAGGTGAGCTTCCTCAATTGCTCGCTGGACAACGGCGGCTGCACGCATTACTGCCTAGAGGAGGTGGGCTGGCGGCGCTGTAGCTGTGCGCCTGGCTACAAGCTGGGGGACGACCTCCTGCAGTGTCACCCCGCAGGTGAGAAGCCCCCAATACATCGCCCAGGAATCACGCTGGGTGCAGGGTGGGCAGGCCCCCTGACGGGGCGCGGCGCGGGGGGCTCAGGAGGGTTTCTAGGGAGGGAGCGAGGAACAGAGTTGAGCCTTGGGGCAGCGGCAGACGCGCCCCAACACCGGGGCCACTGTTAGCGCAATCAGCCCGGGAGCTGGGCGCGCCCTCCGCTTTCCCTGCTTCCTTTCTTCCTGGCGTCCCCGCCTTCCTCCGGGCGCCCCCTGCGCACCTGGGGCCACCTCCTGGAGCGCAAGCCCAGTGGTGGCTCCGCTCCCCAGTCTGAGCGTATCTGGGGCGAGGCGTGCAGCGTCCTCCTCCATGTAGCCTGGCTGCGTTTTTCTCTGACGTTGTCCGGCGTGCATCGCATTTCCCTCTTTACCCCCTTGCTTCCTTGAGGAGAGAACAGAATCCCGATTCTGCCTTCTTCTATATTTTCCTTTTTATGCATTTTAATCAAATTTATATATGTATGAAACTTTAAAAATCAGAGTTTTACAACTTTTACATTTCAGCATGCTGTTCCTTGGCATGGGTCCTTTTTTCATTCATTTTCATTAAAAGGTGGACCCTTTTAATGTGGAAATTCCTATCTTCTGCCTCTAGGGACATTTATCACTTATTTCTTCTACAATCTCCCCTTTACTTCCTCTATTTTCTCTTTCTGGACCTCCCATTATTCAGACCTCTTTCCTCTAGTTTTATTGTCTCTTCTATTTCCCATCTCTTTGACTTTGTGTTTTCTTTCAGGGAACTTTCTTTTTTTTCTTTTTTTTTGAGATGGAGTTTCACTCTTGTTGTCCCAGGCTGGAGTGCAATGACGTGATCTCAGCTCACCACAACCTCCGCCTCCTGGATTCAAGCGATTCTCCTGCCGCAGCCTCCCGAGTAGCTGGGATTACAGGCATGCGCCACCACGCCCAGCTAATTTTGTGTTTTTAGTAGAGAAGGGGTTTCTCCGTGTTGGTCAAGCTGGTCTTGAACTCCTGACCTCAGGTGATCCACCTGCCTTGGCCTCCTAAAGTGCTGGGATTACAGGCGTGAGCCACCGCGCCCAGCCTCTTTCAGGGAACTTTCTACAACTTTATAATTCAATTCTTCTGCAGAAAAAAATTTTTGGCCAGGCTCAGTAGCTCAGACCAATAATTCCAGCACTTTGAGAGGCTGAGGTGGGAGGATTGCTTGAGCTTGGGAGTTTGAGACTAGCCTGGGCAACACAGTGAGACCCTGTCTCTATTTTTAAAAAAAGTAAAAAAAGATCTAAAAATTTAACTTTTTATTTTGAAATAATTAGATATTTCCAGGAAGCTGCAAAGAAATGCCTGGTGGGCCTGTTGGCCTGTGGGTTTCCTGCAAGGCCTTGGGAAGGCCCTGTCATTGGCAGAACCCCAGATCGTGAGGGCTTTCCTTTTAGGCTGCTTTCTAAGAGGACTCCTCCAAGCTCTTGGAGGATGGAAGACGCTCACCCATGGTGTTCGGCCCCTCAGAGCAGGGTGGGGCAGGGGAGCTGGTGCCTGTGCAGGCTGTGGACATTTGCATGACTCCCTGTGGTCAGCTAAGAGCACCACTCCTTCCTGAAGCGGGGCCTGAAGTCCCTAGTCAGAGCCTCTGGTTCACCTTCTGCAGGCAGGGAGAGGGGAGTCAAGTCAGTGAGGAGGGCTTTCGCAGTTTCTCTTACAAACTCTCAACATGCCCTCCCACCTGCACTGCCTTCCTGGAAGCCCCACAGCCTCCTATGGTTCCGTGGTCCAGTCCTTCAGCTTCTGGGCGCCCCCATCACGGGCTGAGATTTTTGCTTTCCAGTCTGCCAAGTCAGTTACTGTGTCCATCCATCTGCTGTCAGCTTCTGGAATTGTTGCTGTTGTGCCCTTTCCATTCTTTTGTTATGATGCAGCTCCCCTGCTGACGACGTCCCATTGCTCTTTTAAGTCTAGATATCTGGACTGGGCATTCAAGGCCCATTTTGAGCAGAGTCGGGCCGACCTTTCAGCCCTCAGTTCTCCATGGAGTATGCGCTCTCTTCTTGGCAGGGAGGCCTCACAAACATGCCATGCCTATTGTAGGAGCTCTCCAAGAATGCTCACCTCCTTCTCCCTGTAATTCCTTTCCTCTGTGAGGAGCTCAGCAGCATCCCATTATGAGACCTTACTAATCCCAGGGATCACCCCCAACAGCCCTGGGGTACAATGAGCTTTTAAGAAGTTTAACCACCTATGTAAGGAGACACAGGCAGTGGGCGATGCTGCCTGGCCTGACTCTTGCCATTGGGTGGTACTGTTTGTTGACTGACTGACTGACTGACTGGAGGGGGTTTGTAATTTGTATCTCAGGGATTACCCCCAACAGCCCTGGGGTACAATGAGCCTTCAAGAAGTTTAACAACCTATGTAAGGACACACAGCCAGTGGGTGATGCTGCCTGGTCTGACTCTTACCATTCAGTGGCACTGTTTGTTGACTGACTGACTGACTGACTGGCTGACTGGAGGGGGTTCATAGCTAATATTAATGGAGTGGTCTAAGTATCATTGGTTCCTTGAACCCTGCACTGTGGCAAAGTGGCCCACAGGCTGGAGGAGGACCAAGACAGGAGGGCAGTCTCGGGAGGAGTGCCTGGCAGGCCCCTCACCACCTCTGCCTACCTCAGTGAAGTTCCCTTGTGGGAGGCCCTGGAAGCGGATGGAGAAGAAGCGCAGTCACCTGAAACGAGACACAGAAGACCAAGAAGACCAAGTAGATCCGCGGCTCATTGATGGGAAGATGACCAGGCGGGGAGACAGCCCCTGGCAGGTGGGAGGCGAGGCAGCACCGGCTGCTCACGTGCTGGGTCCGGGATCACTGAGTCCATCCTGGCAGCTATGCTCAGGGTGCAGAAACCGAGAGGGAAGCGCTGCCATTGCGTTTGGGGGATGATGAAGGTGGGGGATGCTTCAGGGAAAGATGGACGCAACCTGAGGGGAGAGGAGCAGCCAGGGTGGGTGAGGGGAGGGGCATGGGGGCATGGAGGGGTCTGCAGGAGGGAGGGTTACAGTTTCTAAAAAGAGCTGGAAAGACACTGCTCTGCTGGCGGGATTTTAGGCAGAAGCCCTGCTGATGGGAGAGGGCTAGGAGGGAGGGCCGGGCCTGAGTACCCCTCCAGCCTCCACATGGGAACTGACACTTACTGGGTTCCCCTCTCTGCCAGGCATGGGGGAGATAGGAACCAACAAGTGGGAGTATTTGCCCTGGGGACTCAGACTCTGCAAGGGTCAGGACCCCAAAGACCCGGCAGCCCAGTGGGACCACAGCCAGGACGGCCCTTCAAGATAGGGGCTGAGGGAGGCCCAAGGGGAACATCCAGGCAGCCTGGGGGCCACAAAGTCTTCCTGGAAGACACAAGGCCTGGCCAAGCCTCTAAGGATGAGAGGAGCTCGCTGGGCGATGTTGGGTGTGGCTGAGGGTGACTGAAACAGTATGAACAGTGCAGGAACAGCATGGGCAAAGGCAGGAAGACACCCTGGGACAGGCTGACACTGTAAAATGGGCAAAAATAGAAAACGCCAGAAAGGGCCTAAGCCTATGCCCATATGACCAGGGAACCCAGGAAAGTGCATATGAAACCCAGGTGCCCTGGACTGGAGGCTGTCAGGAGGCAGCCCTGTGATGTCATCATCCCACCCCATTCCAGGTGGTCCTGCTGGACTCAAAGAAGAAGCTGGCCTGCGGGGCAGTGCTCATCCACCCCTCCTGGGTGCTGACAGCGGCCCACTGCATGGATGAGTCCAAGAAGCTCCTTGTCAGGCTTGGTATGGGCTGGAGCCAGGCAGAAGGGGGCTGCCAGAGGCCTGGGTAGGGGGACCAGGCAGGCTGTTCAGGTTTGGGGGACCCCGCTCCCCAGGTGCTTAAGCAAGAGGCTTCTTGAGCTCCACAGAAGGTGTTTGGGGGGAAGAGGCCTATGTGCCCCCACCCTGCCCACCCATGTACACCCAGTATTTTGCAGTAGGGGGTTCTCTGGTGCCCTCTTCGAATCTGGGCACAGGTACCTGCACACACATGTTTGTGAGGGGCTACACAGACCTTCACCTCTCCACTCCCACTCATGAGGAGCAGGCTGTGTGGGCCTCAGCACCCTTGGGTGCAGAGACCAGCAAGGCCTGGCCTCAGGGCTGTGCCTCCCACAGACTGACAGGGATGGAGCTGTACAGAGGGAGCCCTAGCATCTGCCAAAGCCACAAGCTGCTTCCCTAGCAGGCTGGGGGCACCTATGCATTGGCCCCGATCTATGGCAATTTCTGGAGGGGGGGTCTGGCTCAACTCTTTATGCCAAAAAGAAGGCAAAGCATATTGAGAAAGGCCAAATTCACATTTCCTACAGCATAATCTATGGCCAGTGGCCCCCCGTGGGGCTTGGCTTAGAATTCCCAGGTGCTCTTCCCAGGGAACCATCAGTCTGGACTGAGAGGACCTTCTCTCTCAGGTGGGACCCGGCCCTGTCCTCCCTGGCAGTGCCGTGTTCTGGGGGTCCTCCTCTCTGGGTCTCACTGCCCCTGGGGTCTCTCCAGCTACCTTTGCTCCACGTTCCTTTGTGGCTCTGGTCTGTGTCTGGGGTTTCCAGGGGTCTCGGGCTTCCCTGCTGCCCATTCCTTCTCTGGTCTCACGGCTCCGTGACTCCTGAAAACCAACCAGCATCCTACCTCTTTGGGATTGACACCTGTTGGCCACTCCTTCTGGCAGGAAAAGTCACCGTTGATAGGGTTCCACGGCATAGACAGGTGGCTCCGCGCCAGTGCCTGGGACGTGTGGGTGCACAGTCTCCGGGTGAACCTTCTTCAGGCCCTCTGCCCAGGCCTGCAGGGGCACAGCAGTGGGTGGGCCTCAGGAAAGTGCCACTGGGGAGAGGCTCCCCGCAGCCCACTCTGACTGTGCCCTCTGCCCTGCAGGAGAGTATGACCTGCGGCGCTGGGAGAAGTGGGAGCTGGACCTGGACATCAAGGAGGTCTTCGTCCACCCCAACTACAGCAAGAGCACCACCGACAATGACATCGCACTGCTGCACCTGGCCCAGCCCGCCACCCTCTCGCAGACCATAGTGCCCATCTGCCTCCCGGACAGCGGCCTTGCAGAGCGCGAGCTCAATCAGGCCGGCCAGGAGACCCTCGTGACGGGCTGGGGCTACCACAGCAGCCGAGAGAAGGAGGCCAAGAGAAACCGCACCTTCGTCCTCAACTTCATCAAGATTCCCGTGGTCCCGCACAATGAGTGCAGCGAGGTCATGAGCAACATGGTGTCTGAGAACATGCTGTGTGCGGGCATCCTCGGGGACCGGCAGGATGCCTGCGAGGGCGACAGTGGGGGGCCCATGGTCGCCTCCTTCCACGGCACCTGGTTCCTGGTGGGCCTGGTGAGCTGGGGTGAGGGCTGTGGGCTCCTTCACAACTACGGCGTTTACACCAAAGTCAGCCGCTACCTCGACTGGATCCATGGGCACATCAGAGACAAGGAAGCCCCCCAGAAGAGCTGGGCACCTTAGCGACCCTCCCTGCAGGGCTGGGCTTTTGCATGGCAATGGATGGGACATTAAAGGGACATGTAACAAGCACACCGGCCTGCTGTTCTGTCCTTCCATCCCTCTTTTGGGCTCTTCTGGAGGGAAGTAACATTTACTGAGCACCTGTTGTATGTCACATGCCTTATGAATAGAATCTTAACTCCTAGAGCAACTCTGTGGGGTGGGGAGGAGCAGATCCAAGTTTTGCGGGGTCTAAAGCTGTGTGTGTTGAGGGGGATACTCTGTTTATGAAAAAGAATAAAAAACACAACCACGAAGCCACTAGAGCCTTTTCCAGGGCTTTGGGAAGAGCCTGTGCAAGCCGGGGATGCTGAAGGTGAGGCTTGACCAGCTTTCCAGCTAGCCCAGCTATGAGGTAGACATGTTTAGCTCATATCACAGAGGAGGAAACTGAGGGGTCTGAAAGGTTTACATGGTGGAGCCAGGATTCAAATCTAGGTCTGACTCCAAAACCCAGGTGCTTTTTTCTGTTCTCCACTGTCCTGGAGGACAGCTGTTTCGACGGTGCTCAGTGTGGAGGCCACTATTAGTTCTGTAGGGAAGCAGCCAGAGACCCAGAAAGTGTTGGTTCAGCCCAGAATGAGCTCACAGTGTCGCGGGGGAAGCTGTTTAAGAACAATGTTACACCATCATGAACAGCAGTAAGAAAGAGGCTCTGGCTTAACCTGGCCTGATAGGCCTAATTGAATGAGACAGAAATAAGTCAAGGATGCTCTGATTTGAAATCATGAAGTACCTGATGAAAAGAAATGGTGGTGAGATAAAGCTGAGAAAATTCATCTAAAGCCCAAAATTAGTCTAGCTCTGTGTGTGGCCTCAGGCAAGTCTTTTTCTCCTCTCTGAGTGTGATGGTTAATTTTAGGTGTCGATTTGACTGGATGAAGGGATACCCAGATGGCTGGCGAAGCATGATTTCTGGGTGTGTCTGTGAGATGTTCTGGAGGAGATGGGCCACTGAGTCGGTGGACTATGTGGGGAAGATCCGCCCTCAGTGTGGGCAGGCACCATCCAATCAGCTCGGGACCCAGACAGAATAAAAAGGCAGAGGACAGGTGAATTATCTGTCTCTCCTAGAGCTGGGACACCCTTCTCCTGCCCTTGGACATCAGTTCCAGGTTCTCAGGCCTTTGGACTCTGAGACTTAACACCAGTGGCCCTCCAGATTCTCCAGCCATTAGCCCTGTACTGAGGATCCTGCTATCAGCTTCCCTGGTTCTGAGGCCTTGAGACCTGGACTGAGCCAGGCCGGCTTCCCGGGCTCTCCAGCTGGCAGGTCTGCCATGGGACTCCTCAGCCTCAATGATCACAGAAGCCAAATCCTTAATAAGCCCCTTCTCATCTATCTGTGTCTATATATACATCCTATTAGTTCTGTCTCTGGAGAACCCTGACTAATCCAGGGGACATCAGTAAAATGAAGGGATTGGATGAGAGCAGTGGTTCTACACCCTGGCTGCACATTTGCATCTCCCGGACAGCCTTTTTTTTTTTTTTTTTTTTTTTTTTTTTTGAGGTGGAGTCTCACTTTGTCTCCCAGGCTGGAGTGCAATGGTGCGATCTCAGCTCACTGCAACCTCCGCCTCCCGGGTTCAAGTGATTCTCCTGCCTCAGCCTCTTGAGTAGCTGGGATTACAGGTGCGTGCTAGTAGAGATGGGGTTTCACCATGTTGGCCAGGCTGGTCTCGAACTCCTGACTTCATGATCAGTCTGCCTTGCCTCCCAAAATCCTGGGATTACAGGTGTGAGCCACCGTGCCCGGCCCCAGAGAGCTTTTAAAAACACTGATGTGGCCGGGCGCGGTGGCTCAAGCCTGTAATCCCAGCACTTTGGGAGGCTGAGGTAGGTGGATCACGAGGTCAGGAGACCAAGACCATCCTGGCTAACACGGTGAAACCCCGTCTCTACTAAAAATACAAAAAATTAGCTGGGCGTGGTGGTGGGCACCTGTAGTCCCAGCTAGTTGGGAGGCTGAGGCAGGAGAATGGCGTGAACCTGGGAGGCGGAGCTTGCAGTGAGCCGAGATTGTGCCACTGCACTCCAGCCTGGGTGACAGAGTGAGACTCCGTCTCAAAAATAAATAAATAAATAAAAATAAAAATAAAATAAATAAATAAAAATAAAAACACTGATGTCCAGTCCCACCCCCAGAGATGCTAATTTAACTGATTGTGCCAGGGGAGTGGGGACCCAGACATTGATATTTTTACAACTCTCCAATTCATTTCAATGTGTTCACTGGGGTTGAAAGCGACTGGGCTAGGCCAGGTGCCATGGCTCATACTGGTAATCCTGGCGCTTTGGGAAGCTGAGGCAGGAGGATTGCTTGAGCCCAGGAGTTCGAGGCCAGCCTGGGCAACATAGGGAGAACTTGTCTCTATTTAAAATAATAATAAATAAATAAAAATAAATTAATAAAAATGGACCAAATGGTCTTTAAGGGCCTTTCTTCTCAGGTAAACTCTAGTTCTAAGACTCTCCAGGCCAACGAGGATAAAGCCAATTATCTGAGAAAGCACAGCACAGCTCAGTCCACAGTAAAATAAAGGAGGACTTGATTTGTGGCCACAGCTGCGGCCAGACCAGAGAGGACACCAGGACCCACGGAGTTAGTTATCTGTGTGTGGCCACAAGAAAAGAGATCTGCCCGAGCTGGGGCCTGTGGGATTCTCCTCCTTACTGACCTGGGGGAGGAATAGGTGGGGCTGCCTGGAAATGGGAGCAAACCGCGCCCGGGGCTGGAAGCACCCGCCGAATGGCACAGGGCCAGTGCCCACCACAGTCTCAGTGGAGGTGACGGACTGAAAGAATGACAGAGGACTGGAAGTCTTCGCCTCTGCTGAAGATTTCCGGGTGGGCTGCTGTCAGGATGGTGACCCTGCATGGCCTAGAGCACCTCTGGCATGACAGTGTTGGGAGATCCACCGACCTGCTGCCTGGGGAAACCGGGGAAAATTAGAAAAGCAAACAAACATTTCAAGTCCTGGAAATGGCCCTGAGGGCAAACAAAACAAGAACAAAAATACAACTTTTAAACCAACAGAAGAAAACTTGATGTGCCCAACAGAAAGCAAAGGAGAGGAATGAAAATAAGCGAGAAGCACGTATAAATCAACTGCATTTCTCTACACGAACATGAACATGTGGAAACCCAGGTTAAAAGCACAACAGCACCCCTGTCACTTTAAGGAAAAAGTACTTCGATATACATTTAGCAAAACATGTACCAGATCTGTGTGACAAAATTCACAAAATACCGGGAATGTCCATTCTCCCAAAATTGATCTACAGATGTCATGTAATTCCTATCAAAATCCCAGTATGTCTTTTTGTGGTCATAAACAAGGTACTATATGTGTGTGTATGTGCGTAAAGGACCTCAAATGACTAGAATGTTTTGGAAAAAAGAATTAGAGAAATCGCTCTACCCAGCGTCATGGCTTGTTGAATAGCTACAGTCATCAGACTACGTGGTGCTCATGGAGGAAGAGAAACACGGATGGAGCGAAATGGAGACTGTGGAGCGAGACCCACACAGCTACAGCCTTTTGATTTTTGACAAAGATACCAAAGCAATTCAGTGGAGGAAGGAGAGGCTTTTCAACAAAGGGTGCTGGCACAGTGGGGCCTCAATAGGCAAAAAAGTGAACCTCAACCTATATCTCTCACCTCATACAAAAATTAACTCAGCATGGAACTTAGGCCGGGCGCAGTGGCTCACACCCATAATCCCAGCACTTTGGGAAGCTGAGGCGGGTGGATCCCCTGAGGTCAGGAGTTTCGAGACCAGCCTGGCCAACATGAAGAAGCCCTGTCTCTACTAAAAATACAAAAATTAGCTGGGCGTGGTGGCACATGCCTGTAATCCCAGCTACCCAGGAGGCTGAGGCAGGAGAATTGCTTGAACCCAGGAGGCGGAGGTTGCAGTGAGCCAAGATGGCGCCATTGCATTCTAGCCTGAGTGACACAGTGGGACTCCATCTCAAAAAAGAAAAAAAAAAAAGAGAATGGAACTTAGATGTAATGTAAAACTATGAAACAAAACAAAAGAAAGTACAGTTGATGGAAACTGTGAAATAAGATGGAAATAATAACAATAAATGTAATTAGGTTAAGCTTACCAATTTAAAAAGATAAATCTAAGAATTAAAAAACCAATGAGACAATATATTGATTAGAGACAACTTAAAAAGCACCCAAAGACTGAAAATAAAGAATGCTAGAAATTCCATGCAACTTTGAATGAAAAGAAAGCTAAGATAGTGATTCCAGTAACGAATACAATGGAAATTAAGAAAAAAATACCATAAAGAACAATGATGGACATTATATACAGAAAAAATCACTCACATGTAAAGATCTAATTATTATAAAACAATATGTGCCCCTGCAACATAACCTCCAAATACTGCATACAGTGTGACATTTGACAGAAGGGAAAGGAGAAATAAACAACTTTTACTTGTATTTGGAGAGTTTTTTAAAAAATTATCTTATAAACCAATAAATCAAACAGATTTTTAAAAAGTGGATATGTAGATGATCTGAACAATAAAATTAATAAGCTTGAGCGATTCTTTTTTTGAATTGAGTCTCGCTCTGTCACCCAGGGTGGACTACAGTGGTGCGATCTTGGCTCACTGCAATCTCTGCCTCCCGGGTTCAAGCAATTCTCCTGTCTCAGCCTCCTGAGCAGCTGGGACTACAGGTGCCCACCACCATGCCTGGCTAGTTCTTGTATTTTTATTAGAGATGGAGTCTCGTCATGTTGGTCAGGCTGGTCTCGAACTCCAACCTCAGGTAATCCACCCACCTTGGCCTCCCAAAGTGCTCGGATTACAGGCGTGAGCCACTGTGCCCAGCCGAGTGATTCTTTTTGAGCACACTAGGAACATTTACAAAACTATACTGGACCATGAAGAAAGCCTCAATAAATTCCAAGGGATCAATATAATACAGAGCATGTCCTCTAGCTAAAAGACAATAAAAGTAGAAATTTCTAATGAAAAACTTTAAAAATGCCATATGTCTGCAAACTAATTAACATATCAGCAGGCAATCATAAGATAAACTAAGAAATTGTAAGAATTATATGTTAATTTGTGTTTCACAGCTACAGCAACACCAGGAGGGAAATTATACCTTTAAATATACTTATCCAGGCTGGGCGCGGTGTCTCATGCCTGTAATCCCAGCACTTTGGGAGCCCAAGATGGGTGGGTCACCTGAGGTCAGGAGTTCAAGACTAGCCTGGCCAACATGGTGAAATTCCATCTCTACTAAAAATACAAAAATTAGCTGGGCATGGTGGTGGGCGCCTATAATCCCAGCTACTTGGGAGGCTGAGGCAGGAGGATCACTTAAACCCAGGGAGTGGAGGTTGTGGCGAGTCAAGACTGCACCATTGCACTCCAGCCTGGGCAACAAGAGCGAAACTCCATCTCAAAATAAATAAGTAAATATTCTTATCCAGAAACAAAAAGTTAAAAGCAAATACATGTTATTCAGGGTTCTCCAGGGAAATGAAATTGACCGAATAGAGAGAGAGATTTATTTCAAAGAAACAGCTCACATAATCGTGAAGGCTGATAAGTCTAAAATCTGCAGCGTGGGCCTGCAGGCTGGAGACTTAGGGAACACTCACAGTTTGAGTCTGAGTGCAGTGTGCTGGCAGAATTCCTTCTTTCTTGGGTAGAGTCAGCCTTTATTAAGACCTTCAACTGATTGGATGCAGCCCACCTGCATTATGGAGGATAACCTGCTTTACTCAAAGTCCACTGGTTTAAGTGTTAATCTCATCCAAAAAAACATCTGCCCAGAAAACATTCGAAATGATGTTTGACCAAATATCTGGATACTGAGGCCTAGCCAAGATGACACATAAAATTAACCATCACGAAGGGTCACGGGTTGAATTGTGTCCTCCCAAAATTCACACACTGAAGCCCCAACCTCCAAAAACTCGGAATGTGACCTCACTTGGAAATGGGATTGCTGAGGATATAATTAGTTAAGACAAGGTCAATACAAAAGTTAGCTGGGTGTGGTGGTGGGTGCCTGTAATCCCAGCTACTCAGGAGGCTGAGACAGGAGAATCGCTTGAACCCAGGAGACGGAGGTTGCAGTGAGCTGAGATCAAGCCACTGCACTCCAGCCTGGGCGACAGGGTGAGGCTCTGTCTAAAAAATAAATAAATACATAAATACATAAATAAAAAGACAAGGTCATTCTGGAATAGGGTGGACCCCTAAAATGATTGGTGTTCTCATAAAAAGGAGAAATTGGGGCACAGACATGAACGGAGAGAAGACAACGTGAACACACGGGGAGAACACCACATGAAGATGAAGGCGGAGGTCAGGGCCACTCATCTACAAGCCAAGGGCTCCCAAGATGGCCCGCAACCTCCAGAAGCTGGGAGAGCAGCCTTGACCAGCTTCACCCTTGCAGCCCTCAGAAGGCAGCAACCCTGCTGACACCTCAGTCTTGAACTTCTAGCGTCCAAAACTGTGAAACAATGGATTTCTGTTATTTAGGACATCCAGTCTGTGGTACTTTATTATAACAGCCCTTGCAATCTAATACAGCAGGTGACATGAAATCCTTACTTAAGAAGCTGGAAAAACACCAGATGCAGGATCACGCCTGTAATCACAGCACTTTGGGAGGCTGAGGAGGGAGGATCACTTGAGCTCAGGAGTTCAAGACCAGCCTGGGCAACAAAGTGACCTTCTCTCTACAAAAAATCAAAAGGTTAGCCAGGCACGGCGGCATATACCTATGGTCCCAGCTACTCAGGACGCTGAGGCAGGAGGATCTCTTGAGCCCAGGAGGTTGAGGCTGCAGTGAGCTGTGAGTGTGCCATTGTACTCCAGCTGGGGCAACAGAGTGAGACCCTGTTTCAATAATTAAATAAATACATACATACATACATACGAAACTGGGAAGAGAGCAAGTGACATAAAAATCTTACTTAAGAAGCTGGAAAGTAACACAAACCCAAAGAAACAAGAAGGAGGGAAATATAAAGATAAGGAGGCAGAATTGAGTGTAAGAGAGGTGCAAATGATGAACACAAGAAATAACATCAAAAGCAGAGAGGCAGATCTATGAAAAATGCAGATTAGAAAGAGTGACAGGGGCGTAGCAATGATTTTACTATAAGCTAATACATTTGAAAGCCTAGGTGAAATACACACATTCCTGAACAAATATAAAATACTAACACTGGTGCAAGAAGAAAACTGCACTGCCGGTAAAAGCCATTCCACTCCCCTTCAAAAGCTTCTGTCTCATGCTGCTTTGTGTGCGAGTTCTGTCAAAGTTTTAAAGAACAGTTAGTTCCCATCTTAAACAAGTTTCCTCCCCCGAATGGAAAAATAACAAAACCCACCCAACTCATTTTATGATATTTTGTGCCATGCAGCCAGGCTAGAACTTCTGTACCTCCTGGAGGGAAGCACCCACATCCCTTGGCTCCTGAGTGTGGAAAGCTCTGCCCTCTGGCTCTGTGAAAGCGGCTGTCTCCAGACAGACTCGGGTGCAGGCAGCTCCTTGCAAGGTCGGCAGGGAGAGCATGCCCCATCTGCCCCTGTCTTTTGAAACATCCTTTTTGCCCCATATTGATTGATTGATTGATTAACTGATTGAGACAGAGTCTTACTCTGTCACCCAGGCTGGACGGAGTGCAGTGGCACAATCTCAGCTCATTGCAACCTCTGCCTTCCTTGTTCAAGCAATTCTCCTGCCTCAGCCTCCCCAGTAGCTGGGGTTACAGGCACCTGCCACAAATCTCAGCTAATTTTTGTATTTTTAGTAGAGACACAGTGTCACCATGTTGGCTAGGCTGGTCGTGAACTCCTGACCTCACGTGATCCGCCCACCTCAGCCTCCTAAAGTGCTGGGATTACAGGCATGAGCCACCACGCCTGGCTCCCCATCCTTGATTTGTACATGTTTTTTGTTTTTGTAGATTTAGGGGTTTGAGTATAGATTTCTTGCTTGCATGGATTATGCAGTGCTGGAGTCTGGGCTTCTAGTGGAGCCATCGCCCAGTGAGCCCTGTACCCAAATAGGTGATTTTCAACCCTCACCCCTTCCCTTCCACCTTTCGCAGTCTCCCACGTCTAGGATTCCACTCTGTATGTCCATGACAACACCCAGCTTTAGAGTGCACGGCTGAGGGCACAGTCGAGGAGGAGACACCCTCCCCCAGGGGGCACATGCTGGGCCTTCTGGAGGCAGATGAGGGAGAGTCTCTTGGGAGGCTGCAGGCCTGGCGTGCGTGGGGGTGTGTCACGAAGGAGGTGAGCAGTGTAGGGGACAGGCTGGGTTAAGCTTATCCATTGACCATATCTATCGAGTGCCACCTCTGGGCCCAGAGCTGAGCCCAGACAGGCGCATGGGTCAGACAAGGCCCAGGGACACACAAATTGTAGAAGAGAAGCTTTACACAAGCTTGCTTTAACAGAGCCTTTTCATTGACAAAAATAAAAGGACGTGAAAAGAAATTTAAGACTCAATGGGCTGAAGAGTGATCTCTTATTACCGCAACATTTGAGAGCTGATGTCAGATGGCAGCCTGGCTGCAGAGAAGGTACCCAGGCCCTGGGCTCAGTGGCCCTTCCCCAGCTGGTGCCCCCAGCCTTACTGCCTGGCCCTCCTGCACCTTCTTTTCCTTGTCTAGGAACTGGGCTCATCCCCCTCTATCCCCAGTGGTTGTGGGGATGAAAGGAAGGCCAACCCCTGCAAGGCCTGGTGCCTGGAGCTGGCCCTGGGTAGACGCCTCCCTCCCCTTCTTCCTGAGCCCTTCATGCAGAGCCCAGGACGCAATGGTCACAATGGCTAAAATCTCTTTGGAGGAGGGAGAGATCAGTGCAGGCTGAAGCCATTGGTGAGAGTGGAAGAATTCAGCTCTCCAGCGGAAGGCAGCAATATGCAGAGAGCCCTGTGATGGGGCTGCTGGAGCCGAGGCCTGGGGGTTCAGTCCCCTGAGAAGCCCCCACCAGCTTAGCCTGGGGGACGAGTTATGGGAAGGACAGATGAGAAACTGCTAACTAAACAAGGCCAAAAGGACCAGGGCAAGCTGGGGGAGACCATGGAGGCTGTGGAAGGAACAGGCTGACTAAGCCTCAGGAGAGGCCAAGAGAGGCTAAGCAGGGAGCCAGGTCCTAGGAAAGAAACAGCACCCAGCTCTGGGGCCATGCCGGGGAGGCTGTGGGTAGAGGGCTAGGGCACCAGGCCATATTGAGAACCTTCATTGCAGGCCCATGCCAGGCACGTGACCCACAGTGACCCGGGGCTTCACAGAGCAACCAAGGGAGGAACTGCCGACTCCATTCTGATGAAGGGAAAAGAGCCTCTGGGGGGCTCCCTACATCACTGCTATTGGAGGAGTCTGGGTAGGAATGCAGCAGGCTCCAAAGTCCCTGCTGTGTCCCGTGGGCCATGGAGCCAGGTGGCGGGTCAGGGAGAGGAGTGGTGCATGGTTGGGCAGTGGCAGGACCTAGGCTCTGTCAATATTTGGTGTGGGTCAATCATTAGCCAGCCTCAGACTTGTCCCCCCACAGGTTCCTCAGGTGGGTTCTGGGCTAGGCCCTGCCCTGCTGGGGGCTCCACAGGGCTTGGCCTAGATTGGACGAGTCGGGTGGGCAGCCCCTGGTCTCTCCACTCAGGAGACTCCCCACCCACAGGGCTGCAGTCCTGCCTCAGGGCTCAGCAAGCAAACACGTAAGAGCACTGCACAGTTGAAAAAATGAGTTTTAAAACAATCTGCCAAGAAAAAAGATGTCAAAGTAGTCATCACGGGAAAAGTCAGAATTTTGGTGGACTTCACTGCACTTATTCTGTGGCTATTAATTTTAAATTATGTATGTGGGGGAGGGGAGCACACCATAATCTTTCTAGTGCCCTGAGGCTCTTAAACCAGGCTCTGTTCACCTGGACCTGTGTTCATGGGCAGGAAACTGTTCTAGGCCCTTTATATGCATTGTTTGATTTAATCCTGTAAGTGATTTTTTTTTTTTTTTTGAGACAGAGTCTCACTCTGTCACCCATGCTATAGTGCAGTGGTGTGATCTCAGCTCACTGCAACCTCTGCCTCCCCGGTTCAAGTGATTCTCACGCCTCAGCCTCCTGAGTAGCTGGGACCACAGGCGTGCACCATCATGGCCGGCTAATTTTTGTATTTTTAGTAGAGATGGTATTTCGTCATGTTGGCCAGGCTGGTCTCTAACTCCTGGCCTCAAGTGATCTGCCTGCTTTGGCCTCCCAGAGGGCTGGGATTACCGGTGTGAGCAACCATGCTGGACCCTCTAAGTGATCTTAAGAGATGCCTGCTCTTGCCTTCCCATGTTAGCCCCCTAATGTAACCGGCTCAGAGATGGACACAGCGAATACAGACAGAATGGGGATGTGCCTCCAAATCTGCCTGACTCCAGGAGGGGTCCCTTTAGTTGACATTGGCCCTGGAGAGACCTCAGTGGAGTGGGGAACTGGGCAGGAGTCTAGCGGGGCTGAGGTGGGAGGCAGGCTTCCTGCCAGTTCTGGCAGAGGGTGGGGCTGAGTGGGGTGGGCCATGGGCCAGCAGGGTCCTCATGGCTGGCTGCAGATGGAGTTCTAGGTCTATTATCAGGGTGGTGGACGAGGGAGGGACAACAGCTCTCTGGGATCAGGTGTGTGTGCTATAACATGGGCTCCAGGCCACCTGGCTACAGAGAAGCTATGCTGTTTGGGGGGCGTCACCTCACCCCACAATTGGCCTCACATTCATCAATTGTCCCTCATTTGGGCAAGAAAACCCAGGTCACACACAACTTGGTGGGAGAGCTAGGCCTAAAACCAGGTCCCCTGGCTTGGTGTCCAGTGTTCTTTCCTGTGCACCTGTCCCGCCACCCTGGACAGTAAGTGTGAGGGCCACAGTGTGGACTCTGAGGCCCCAGGAGCCTTCAGCAGGCCACAGCACACACACATGCCAAAAACAAGTTATACATGCATGTGGTAAAAAACTCAAATAGGACAGAGGACTTCATATGAGTGGTTGTACTTGGCTATCCCATCCCTCCTTACCCTTACTCTTTTTGCTCTCTGTATGCTATAATTTGAGTACTTTCTATTATCTTTCTTCATCAATTCTGTCTTCTCATGTGTCCAAACCCTGTGAAACTTGGCCAATCAGTTAATAATTTCAGATGATAAACCCTTCAATTCTAGAATGCCCACTTGATTCCTCTCTACAGATTCCATTTCTCTGTAAAAATTCTCCATCTTTTCACCTATTTTCCCCATTTTTCTTCTATCTTCTTTAATATATTGCTATAGTTGTTACCTTATCCAACATTTGGATCATCTGTGGGTCTATGTCTATTGGCTTTTTTTCTTTTGACTATTGGTTCTATTTTCCTTTTTATTTGCCTGTCTTGTAATTTCCACAGTATGCAGAAGACAATTTATAAAGGAACCATAGCAACCAAATATTATATTATTTTCTTGTCAGGAAAGTCTGCCCTTTCAGGTTTAATTAACAACAAAACTGGGATGAAGCTGGGCTGCAGTTTTAGTTATAATCAGTCCATATCAGGTTTCAAATGCTTGATGGGACAGCCTGAGTGCCTGGTAAGTCTGTCTTGTCAATCCCAAAGATGTAGGAGAGTCATTCTTCCCTTTGGCAGTTTTAAACTCTGCTCCTTAGTTTCCTATCCCCTGCTGCTTCCAAATTTCACAAATGTCTTGAGAAGGAGACTGGCAGTTTGTTCAAGACTGTCCCCCTTCCTGGGGAGGACTTTGCTTACCAATTATCCAAGACTAAAGGAGATTAGGCTCTAGTTTAAAAACTCCCTAGTATCTTGTGAAGCTTCCAGATGCAGCGAATCAGCAAATGAACTGGGGGACGGAGGGCAGCATGGTTGTCACGCTTTAAAAAAATTAACAGATTTTAGGTCGGGCATGGTGGCTCATGCCTTAAGTAATCCCAGCACTTTGGGAGGCTGAGGCGGGTGAATCACTTGAGGTCAGGAGTTCAAGACCAGCCTGGCCAATATGGTGAAACCCCGTCTCTACTAAAAATACAAAAATTAGCTGGGTGTGGTGGCATACTCCTGTAATACCAGCTACTTGGGAGGCTGAGGCAGGAGACTCACTTGAACCCAGGAGGTGGAGGTTGCAGTGAGCCAAGATTGCACCACTGCACTCCAGCCTGGGCAAAAGAGCGAGACTCCATCTCAAAAAACAACAACAAAAATCAACATATTAACATATTTTATTTTTCAGAGCAGTTTTAAGTTTATAGAAAAGTGAATAGGTGGCTGGACGCGGTGGCTCACACCTGTAATCCCAGCACTTTGGGAGGCCGAGGTGGGTGAATCACGAGGTCAGGAGTTCCAAGACCAGCCTGGCCAACATGGTGAAACCCCCGTCTCTACTAAAAATACAAAAAATTAGCTGGGCTTAGTGGGGGGTGCCTGTAATCCCAGCTACTCGGAAGGCTGAGGCAGAAGAATCACTTGAACCCAGAGGTGGAGGTTGCAGTGAGCCGAGTTTGCACCACTACACTCCAGCCTGGGCGACAGAATGAGAATTCATCTCAAGAAAAAAAAGAAAAGAAAGAAAAAGCGAATAGAAGGTACAGAGAGTTCCCATATGCCTTCCTAACCCCAATAGAGTTTCTCCTATTATTAACATGTTGTATTAGTGTGGTACATTTGTTATAAGTGATGAGTCAGTATTGATATATTATTAACTAAAGTCCACGGTTTACATCAGAGCTCACTCTGTGTTGTCCATTGTATAGGTCTTGACAAACATATGACATGTATCCACCATCACAGCATCATAAAGAATAATTTCACTGCCCTAAAAATATCTTATTCTCTCCACCTATTTATCCCTCCCTTCCTTCCTGCCTCCACCCAATCCCTGATCTTTTTTTTTTCGAGACAGAGTCTCACTGTGTCACCCAGGCTGGAGTACAGTGGCACGATCTCGACTCACTGCAACCTCTGCTTCCCGGGTTCAAGCAATTCTCTGCCTCGGCCTCCCGAATAGCTGGGATTACAGGTGCCCACCACCACACCCAGCATTTTTGTATTTTTAGTAGAGATGGGGTTTCACCATTTTGGCCAGGCTGCTCTTGAACTCCTGACCTTGTGATCCACCGTCTCGGCCTCCCAAACTGCTGGGATTATAGGCGTGAGCCATCGCGCCCGGCCTGATCTTTTTACTGTCTCCATAGTTTTGCCTTTTCCAGAATGTCATGTAGTTGGAATCACACAATAGGTAGCCTTTTCAGATTGGCTTCTTTCACTTGGCAATGAGCATTTAAGATTCTTTCATGTCTTTTAGTGGCTTGATAGCTCAATTCTTTTTATTGCTGAATAAAATTCCATTGTTTTGATGTACCCCAGTTTATTTATTCAACTACTGAAGGACATCTTAGTTGCTCCCAACTTGTGGCAATATGAATAAAGCTGCTCTAAATATCTGTGTGGGTGCAGGTTCTTCTATTAACACAAGTTTTCAACTCATTTGGATACAAACCAAGGAGTATGATTGCTACATTTTATGGTAAAAGCATGTGTAGTTCTTTTGTTTTTGTAAAGATGGGATTTTGCTATGCTCCCCAGGAGGGTCTTGAACTCCTAGCTCAAGTGATCCTCCTGCCTCAGCCTCCCAAAGCACTGGGATTGAAGGTGTGAGCCACCACACCTGGCCTATGTTTACTTTTGTAAGAAACTGCCTTCCAAAGTGGCTGTGTTCTATTTTGCATTCCCACCAGCAATGAATGAGAGATCCTGTTGCTCCCCACCCTTGCCAAATTTGATGTGGTTGGTATTTTAGATTTTTGTCATTCTAATAGGTGTTAGTGGCATCTCATTGTTTTAATTTGTAATTTCTTAGTGACATCTGATGTTGGATATCTTTTCATAAGTATATTTGCCATCTGTATATCTTCTTTGATGAGATGTCTGTTCAGATCTTTTGCCTCTTTTACATTTTGGATTGTATGTTTTCTTACTGTTGAGTTGTAAGATTTTGTGTGTGTATCTATATGTTTTGGACACCCATCCAAATATATAGGTATTTTGCAAAGATTTTCTCCCAGTCTATGGCATGTCTTTTCATTTTCCAAACTATCTTTCGCGGAGCATGTGTTTTTAATTTTAATGAAGTCCGGCTTATCAATATTTTCTTCCATAGATTGTGCCTTTGGTGTTGTATCTAAAAAGTCATTGCCAAACCCAAGGTCATCTAGATTTTCTCCTACATTTTCTAGAAGTTATAGTTTTGCATTTTTCATTTAGGTCTATGATCCATTTTGAGTTAATTTTTGTACAGGTGTAAGGTCTGTGTACGGATTTTTTTTTTTTTTTTTTTTGAGACAAGGTCTGGCTGTGTCCCCCAGGCTAGAGTGGAGGGGTGTGCTCTCAGCTTACTGCAACCTCTGCGCTCAAGCCATCCTCCTACCTCAGCCTCCCAAATAGCTGGGACTACAGGCGCATAGCACCATGCCCAGCTAAGTTTTGTATTTTTTGTAGAGACGGGGTTTTGACATGTTGCCCAGGCTGCTCTCGAACTCGTGAACTCAAGCAATCCGCCCTCCTTGGCCTCCTGAAGTGCTGGGATTACAGGTGTGAGCCACCACACCCAGCATGGATTCATTTTTGCATGTGGATATCCAGCGGTTCTAGCACCATTTGTTGAAAAGACTATCCTTTCTCCATTGAATTGCTTTCGCTCCTTTGGCAAAGATCAGCAAACTTTATTTGTGTAGGTCTATTTCTGGGCTCTCTTTTCTGTTCCATTGATCTATTTGTCAATTCTTTCACCAATACCACACTGTTTTAATTACTGTAGCTTTATAGAAAGGCTTGACGTCAGTATCAGTTCTTCAATTTGTTCTTTTCCTTCAATATTGTGTTGGCTATCCTGGCACCTTTGCCTTTTCATATAAACTTTAGAACTGCTGGGCGCAGTGGCTCACGCCTGTAGTCCCAGCACTTTGGGAGGCTGAAATGGGATGATCACTTGAGGCCAGGAGTTCGAGACCAGCATGGCCAACACAGCAAAACTCGTCTCTACTAAAAATACAAAAACTTAGCCAGGTGTGGTGGTGCGCACCTGTAATTCCAGCTACTCAGGAGGCTGAGGCAAGAGAATCGCTTGAACCTGGAAGGCAGAAGTTGCAGTGAGCTGAGATTGCACTACTGCACTCCAGCCCGAGTGACTTTATAAATAAGACTCTGTCTCAAAAAATAAAAAATAAACTTTAGAATCGGTTTTCCAATATCTATAAAATAACTTGCTGGGATTTTGACTGGGATTACATTGAATCGATCAAATTGCAGAAGAGACATCTTGACAACACTGAGTCAAGATCTCTGTGATGGGATGGATATCTCTCCATTTATTTAGATCTTTGATTTCTTTCATCAAAGTGTTGTAGTTCTCCTCATATAGAACTTTTACTTATTTTGTTCAATATATACCTAAGTATTTCATTTTTGGGGGTGCTAATGTAATGGTATTGTGTTTTTATTTTATTTTTTTCTTTTTGAGATGGAGTTTTGCTCTTGTTGCCCAGGCTGGAGTGCAATGGCACAATCTCAGCTCACCGCAATCTCTGCCTCCTGGGTTTGAGCAATTCTCCTGCCTCAGCCTTCTGAGTAGCTGGGATTATGGGCATGTGCCACCACACCCGCCTAGTTTTGTATTTTTAGTAGAGATGGGGTTTCGCCATGTTGGTCAGGCTGGTCTTGAACTCCCAACCTCAGGTGATCTGCCCGCCTCAGCCTCCCAAAGTGCTGGGATTACAGGTGTAAGCCACTGTGCCTGGCCTATGTTTTATTTCAAATTTGACTTGTTTATTGTTGGTATAGAAGAAACAATTGACTTTTGCATATTAACCTTGTGATTAATATGCAACCTTGCTATAATCACTTATTCATTTCAACTAAATGAAAATGAAAATTGCAATGCTGAATTGCAAGCTGGCTATAATCACTTATTCATTCCAGGAGGTTTTTGTTTTTAATTCTTCAGGATTTTCTACATAGACAATCACATTATCTGTGAACAAAAACAGTTTTAGCTCTTCCTTCTCAATCTGTATGCCTTTCATTTCCTTTTCTTGTCTTATTGCATTAACTAGGACTTCCAGTGCAATTCTGAATGGTGGTTCTGAGAAAGGACATCCTTTACCTTGTTACTGATCTTGGTGGGAAAACATCTAGTTTCTCACAATTAAGTACGATGTTAACTGTAGGGTTTTTGTAGATGTTCTTTATTCAAATTGAAGAAGTCTATTCCTAGTTCTCTGAGAGTTTCTGTTATAAATGGGTGTTGGATTTTGTCAAATGCTTCTTCTGCATTTATTGATATGATCATGTGGGTTTTCTTCTTTAGCCTGTTGATATAATGGATTACATTAACTGATTTTCAAATGTTGAACCAGACTTGCCTATCTGGAATCAATCCTATTTGGCCATGGTATATAATTCCCCTTATGCATTATGCACTGTTGGATTTGATTCACATATATATGTGTGTGTGTGTGTGTGTGTGTGTGTGTGTGTGTGTGTATGTGTGTATACATAAATATATATATAAATATATATTTATATATATACACACATACACACACACACACACACACACACACACATATATTTTTTGAGATGGAGTCTCTCTCTGTCGCCCAGGCTGGAGTGCAGTGGTGCGATCTCAGTTCACTGCATCCTCCACCTCCCAAGTTCAAGCAATTCTCCTGCCTCAGCCTCCCAAGTAGCTAGGATTATAGGTGCACACCACAACACCCAGATTTTGTGTGTGTGTGTGTGTGTGTATTTTTAGTAGAGACAGCATTTCACCATGTTGGCCAGGCTGGTCTCAAACTCCTGACCTCAAACGATCCGCCTGCCTTGGCCTCCGAAACTGCTGGGATGACAGGCGTGAACCACAGCACCCAGCTTGATTCACTAATATTTTATTGATGATTTTTGCATCTATGTTCATGAGACATATCAGTCTGCAGTTTCCCATTCTTGTAATGTCTTTGTCTGCTTTTGGTATTAGGCTAATGCTATCTTTATAAAATGAGTTCAGAAGTATTCCTTCTGCTTCTTTTTTCTGGAAGAAGTGTTTGTTGTTGTTGTTGTTTTTGGTTTTTGAGACAGAGTCTCACTCTGTCACCCAGGCTGGAGTGCAATGGTGCGATCTCAGCTCGCTGTAACCTCTGCCTCCCGGGTTCAAGTGATTCTCCTGCCTCAGCCTCCCAAGTAGCTGGGATTACAGGTACCTGCCACCACACCTGGCTAGTTTTTGGTTGGTTTTTTGTTGTTGTTGTTGTTGTTTGTTTTTGTTTTTTTGAGACGGAGTCTTGCTCTGTGGCCCAGGCTGGAGTGCAGTGGTGCGATCTCAGCTCACTGCAAGCTCCACCTCCCAGGTTCATGCCATTCCCCCGCCTCGGCCTCCCGAGTAGCTAGGACTACAGGCGCCTGCCACCACGCCCGGCTAATGTATTTTTAGTAGAGACGGGGTTTCACCATGTTAGCCAGGATGGAATCAGTAGTGATGATTTCTTTTTCACTTCTGATATTAGTGATTTGGGTCTTCTCTTTTTTTTTCTTAGTTAACCTGGATAGAGTTTTAACCCTTTTGTGAATCTTTTTAAGAACTAGCTTTTGGTTTTGTTGATTTTTCTCTATTGATTTCCTGTTTTCAATTTCAGTGATTTCTCCTCTAATTTTTATTATCTTTTTTTCTTCCCTACTTCGGGTTTACTTTGCTCTTCTTTATCTAGTTTGCTAAAGTGGAAGCTTAGATTGCTGATTTTAGATATTTCTCATTTTCTAATATATGTATTCAGTGATCTAAATTTCCCTCTAACACTGCTTTTGGTGCATCCCACAAATTTTGATAAGTTGTATTTTCATTTTAATTGAAAATATTTTAAAATTTATCTGGAAACTTCTTCTTTGTCCCAACATGTCATAAGTGTGTTGCCTAATCTCCAAATATTTTGGGGTTTTCTAGCTATCTGTTATTGATTTATAGCTTAATTCCATTGTGGTCTGAGATCATACTTTGTATAATTTCCGTTCTTTTAGATTTATTAAGGTGCGTTTCATGGCTGAGAATGTGGTCTATCCTGGTGAATGAATGCTCCAAGTGAGCTTGAGAATGTGTATTCTGCTGTCATTGGATGAAGTATTCTATAGATGTCCATTAGATCCAGTTGATTGATGATGCTGTTGAGTTCAACTATGTCTTTGCTAGTTTTCTGCCAGCTGGATCTGTTAAATAGAGGGGTACTGAAGTCTCCAACATAAAAATGAGTTTGTTTATTTCTCCCTGCAGTTCTATCAGTTCTTGCCTCATCTTGGGACACTGTGTTGCTAGGTGCACACACTTTAAACACTGTTATATCATCTTTGACAACTGACCCCTTTATGGCTATGCAATGCCCCTCTTCATCCCTGATAACATTCCTTGCTCTGAGGAAGTCTACTTTGCCTGAAATTAACACAGCCACTCCAGCTGTCTTTTGATTAGTGTTAACATAGTATACTGTATCTCCATCCCTTTACTTTTAATCTATTTCTTTATATTTAAAGTATATTTCTTCCATTTCTATTCATTGCCCTTGATTTGTTTTGTTCTTTCTAGCCTTTTCAGGTTGTGTGTGTGTGTGTGTGTTGTGTGTGTTTTGCTTTCTCTGGTTTTAATCGAGCATTTTATATTATTCCCTTTTTACTCCTCTCTTATCATACAAATTATACTTGTGGGGTTTTTTAATGTGTGTGGTTTCCCGTGACTTTGCAGTAAATATTTACAACTAATTCAAGTCTTCTTTCATAAAACACTTTACCACTTCATGGGTAGTGCAAATACCTTATGAAAAAGTATTCTCAATTCCTCTCTTCCATCTTTATAACACTGCTGTCATTCATTTATCCATAAGCTGTAATCACTATTAACTGAAAAAACTTTACCTATTAGTTAAAAATGAGAAAGCTAAATTTTTATTTTACCTTCATTTATTTCTTCTCTAACACTCTTCCTTTCTTTATGTAGATCTGAGTTTCTGACCTACATAATTTCCCTTTCCTTCTGAAGAATTTAACACTTCTTGCGAGGCAGGTCTACTGGTGACAAATTCTCTCAATTTTTGATTGTCTGATAAAGTCTTTACTTCTCCTTCACTTAAAAAAAAAAACAAAAAAACCTTTATTGTATTTCCAGTATCTCCTTCACCTTTGAAGGATAACATTTGGTGAATACAGAATTCTAGGTTGATGGGTTTTTTTTCTTTCAACGCTTTAAATCCCATAAACCACTCTCTTCTTGGGTGCAGTTTCTGATGTGAAGCATGATATAATGCTTACCATTGTTCTTCTACAGATAAGATGTTTTTCCCCTCTGGCTTCTTTCTATATTCTTCCCATGTCTTTGATTTTTGCAGTTTGAATAGATATTCTTAGGTGTAGATTTTTTGGGGTATTCATCCTGTTTGGTGTTCTCTGGGCTTCCTACACCTGTGGTTTGGTGTCTGCCATTAATTTTGGAAAGTTCTGTTATTACTTCAAGTATTTCTTCTGTTTCTTTCTTCTCTGTGTGGTATTCCCATTATGTGTACACTATCCTTTTATACCTTTGGTATTTGTCCCACAGTTCTTGAATATTCTATCCCATCATTTCCATTACTTCTTCCTCTCTGCATTTCAATTTTGGGAGTTTCTATTGACATTCCTTGAAGCTCACTGATTCATTCCTTGGCCATGTCCCATCTATTCATGACTCCACTAAAAGCATTCTTCACTTCAGTTACAGTGTTTATTTTTATTTCTAGCATTTTGTTTTGCTTTTTTCCTTTTTTCTTTTTATAGAGACAAGGTCTCACTATGTTGCCCAGCCTGGTCTCGAACTCCTGGGCTCAAGCGATCCTCCTCAGCCTCCCAAAGTGCTGGGATTACAGGTGTGAGCCACCGCATCTGGCCATTGCACCTGATTCTTTCTTAGGCATTTCCATCTTTCTACTTACATTACTCCTCTGTTCTTGCATGTTAGCCACTTTTCTTATTTGAGTCCTTAGCATATTAATCAATTATTTAAAATTTTCTGTCTGATAATTCAAGCATCTCTGCCATATCTGTCTTATTCTGATGTTTGTTCTGTCTATTCAAAGTGTATTTGTCTCTTATAAAACATGATGTGTTGGGCAAAAGAAACTGAGGTAAACAAGCCTTTTGTGAGGCTTTCTGTACTTTACTTCTCCTTCACTTAAAAAAAAAACAACAAACCTTGATTGTATTTCCAGTATCTCCTTCACTTTTGAAGGATAATTTGGTGAATACAGAATTCTATCTGGCTAGGAGTTGGGCTGTGTTTACCGTTTGCTCTAGCTGTAGGTGTCAGAGGATAACATTTACTTTGGTGTTCTTGTCTGTGGCTTCCCTGTTGTCTTTGGGTTTCCCTAGAGTCTTCTTCATAAATCAGGTCTGAGATGTGCAGTTCAGTTGTATTCTCGTTATTACAGGAGCCCTGTTGATGTGTTAGTGAGGGGTGGAGGGACGAAGCATTCTATAGGTCTCAGTCTTTTAATGAACCTCTGCAGGGGCTGTGACCAACACAAGGGCTTCTCATTTGTCTTTCCCCGCTGGAGGTGGGCAGGAAGCCTAGAGGAGGGTAGAGTTGGGTATTTCTCTTCCCACATGTCAGGCTCCGGTAAAACAGTTTCCCCTGAGGACAGACCTTGTTAAGAAGAGAATGCTCTGGGTTACCTTTTCTTTTCCTCTACCAGAAGCAGCAGGGAATTTTTCTCTGATCTTTACTGTGACAACTTGGTAAAGCAAAACAAAACAAAAAACTGTGTGGGGCCCTGTAAGACTGGCTCCCCTGGTATTTTTAACTCTCTCATGGAGTGCCCAGCAAATCATCAATTAAGTTTTAAGTTTCCCTACCCCGGTACTGGTTCCTGTGGAGTTTTCTACTCCTAGGCCTCTGCTCCCGTAAGTTCTGGTTCTCTGTATGTGCTTCTCTGTCTCTCCATTTTGAGGACAGCAGTTTGCCCTGTGGCCTCAGATCTCTGGTGGATCAAGAAAAGTTGTTGATTTTCAGTCTGTTCAGCGTTTTTCTTGTTGTGAGGTTGGGGGTGATGACTGCTAAGCTCCTCACATGCCAACTGAAAATGAACAGTGTCTTTTGAAGAATGACAGTTTTTAATTTTGAAATAGTCCAATTTATTTTTTCCTTTATAGGGTTTTTTGTGTCATATTTTAAAACCCCTGACAAATTCAAAGTCACGAAGATTTTCTCCTAGAAGTGTTACGGTTTTAGCTCTTACATTTAGGTCTGTGATCCATTTATTTCTTTGTGTGTGGTGTGAGCTAAGGTCAGAGGTTTAATTTTTTATATATCCAGTTGTAAAGATTTCTTGTGACTATCATCCTTTCCTCATTGAATTGCCTTGGCATCTCTAGCAAAAGTCATATGTACATGAGTCTTACCTGGACACCTATCTGCTCCATTGATAATCCGCTCCATTGATTTCTTTGTCTCTATGCCAACATCACATTGTTTTCACTGCTGAAGCTTTATAAATCTTTAAATAATGTAATTCATGCAGCTTTTAAACTTATTTTTCAAAGTTATCTTGGCTAGTCTAGAGTTTTTTGCATTTACATATACATTTTAGAATCAGCTTATCAAATTTTACAAAAAAGCCTGCTAGTACTTTGCTTGGTATTACAGTAAATTTGTAGATCAATTTGGGAGAACTGATATCTTAGCAATATTGAGTCTTCTGAAACATGAACATAGCATACCTCTCTATTTATTTAGGTCTTTAATTTCTCACAGTAACTGTATCTTTCAATGCAGAGGACTTACACATCTTTTGCCAAAGTTATTCATAAACATTTCAAAATTTTGATGCATTTTATATATTTAAATTTTTTTCTTCAGCCTGTCTCCTTGCTGAGATGCTATTTTTTAAACATTTAATTTCCAATTGCTTGTTGCTAGTTCACAGACATATGACTGAATTTTGCTATTGACATTGTATCCTGCAACTATGCTAAACTAACTTATTAGTTCTAAGAATTCTTCTGCAGGTTCCATATTTTCTACATAATCATGTTGTTTGTGAATAAAGACTGGTTTATTCCTCATTTCCAAACCATATGACTTCCTTAAACGTTTAGAATTCTCTAGTAGAGACATCTTGGTTTGTAGTTTTCTTTGTGGGAAGGTTTTTAGCTACAAATTCAGTTTCTAAAAATACATATAGGCATATTCAGGCTATTTCTTCTTGAGTTAGCTTTAGTAGTTTGTGTTTTATAAGGAATTTGTTTAGGTTGTCAAATTTACTGGCATAAAGTTTTTCATAATATTTTTTGTCCAATATATACAGAATAGTGATATTCCTTCTCTTATTCCTGATCTTTTGTTTTGAGACAGAGTCTCGCTCTGTCGCCAGGCTGGAGTGCAGTGGTGCAACCTCGGCTCACTGCAACCTCCGCCTCCAGGGTTCAAGTGATTCTCCTGCCTCAGCCTCTTGAGTAGCTGGGACTACAGGCGCCCGCCACCACATCCAACTAATTTTTGTATTTTTAGTAGAGACGGGGTTTCACCACACTGGCCAGGATGATCTCCATCTCTTGACCTCGTGATCCACCCGCCTCGGCCTCCCAAAGTGTTGGTATTACAGGCACATGCCACCACGCCTGGCTAATTTTTGCATTTTTATTAGAGACGGGGTTTCACCATGTTGGCCAGGAGGTCTCGATCTCTTGACCTCGTGATCCGCCTGCCTCGGCCTCCCAAAGTGCTGGGATTACAGGCATGAGCCACTGCGCCCGGCCTCCTGATATTGTTAATTTGTGTCCTCTGTTTCCTGATCAGGCAGTGCTGTATTAATGAGTCAGATAGCTTCTCTGTGTTGCCCCTCTATTGTTTACTTCTTCAGGGCAGATTTCAAAAATCCACAGGCACCAAACTCAAAGTTTGACACATCCAATAGCTTCAAACGTAGCCCATATAAACTAATTTTTAGCCATTTAGAGCCTGTCTGCTTTGCATGCCCCATGAAACTGCACCCAACATCTGCTAGCCACAGACAAAATAAACCTGGTAGTACAAGATTCCAAGCCGCAGCTGCCCTTCAGAAATTGGATCCAGATACATGGTGCTGCTCAGTCACGTCATCTGACACATAAGCCCCTCCCTGGCAGTCCCCTCCTCCTTGAGTCCCCTACCCTCCGGTACTTCTGAGTGGCTATCCTGGGGCTGTAACCTCTGGATGGCCTCGTCCCTCATGGGACTTCCCTTACATGCCACCCTGTCAAAGTGTTGCCAAATAAAGCTCATCGTTTGCTATTGCTAAGTAATGGTCAGATCTTTTTTTCTTGGTCAGTCCTGAAATCCCCCTGTTGTTTCTGAGACAGAGTCTCACTCTGTCACCCAGGCTGGAGTACCGTGACATGATCTCAGCTCGCTGCAACCTCTGCTTCCTGGGTTCAAGCGATTCTCCTGCCTCAGCCTCCTGAGTAGCTGGGATTACAGGCGTGCACCACCATGCCTGGCTAATTTTTGTATTTTTGGTAGAGACGGGGTTTCACCATGTTGGCCAGGGTGGTCTTGAACTCCTGACCTCAAGTGATCCTCCTGCCTCGGCCTCCCAAAGTGCTCTGATTACAGGCATGAGCCACTGTGCCCAGCCAGTCCCAAAATCCCTTGAACTCGCTACAAGGGGTGGTGAAGAAAGGGGAGGGTTTTGGAAATGGTTAAGAAATTGATATGGGGGCCGCCCAGCCAGTAGGACAATCAATTGGCAAAAGAATCCTGGACAGTCCCAAGTGGTTGGAACTCAGAATTTGGAAGCTTTCCACTCAGTTTGTATAGCACTGCTGTGTGCTCTATGGCACTCTATATTTGTTTGGTTTCCCCCAGACACTCATTAGCTTGGGCAAGTGGTAGCACCAGTATTTGAATGAACCCACACACTGGAACTGATCTTTGGGGCGGGAGGTTTGGGGTTGCCCAGGAGGGAGGTCAGTCCACCCGCCTGAGTCCTCCACTAGGCAGTTGCTGGACATTATAAGACATTTGGGCTTGAATAGTAAAAGGGGAGGATGGCATGTACCTGCACTGAGAGCAGACTACCCCTGACTCCCTAACAGTGTCCTGTTGGTTTAGGGAACTCTTAGAGAAGAGGATGCCCTCATCCCTGGAGACTGTGATAGCAGGTGAATGAACTGACAAGGCAGAGACATCAGGCCAAGGCTGGTCTCCTAAGCACAGCTGGAGCGATACCTCTGCTGCTGGGACCTGCTGTGCCCAACCCTTGTGCTAAGCCAGCTAAAGCATTACTTAAAGTGACTAAAGACAAGGAAGGTCATATCCCTGACCCTCGCAGGACTCTGAAGATGGTGGCTGTCCTACTGAACAGGTGCTCCAAACCACGAAACACGGGTCAAGCTCTATTGCTTCTTACCAGGATGCCGCTGGACAGGAGGCAGGGGCTTGAACTCCCAGGAAGGAAGAGCCTGAGGGTAGGACCCTGTGGAAGAGGACTGGTGTCCTCTAGAGGAAAGGCAGAGTGACAGCACCATGACAGTGATAAGTGGCAATCAATCCACCATCTGCTTTGCCGGTGACCACAGCAAAGTAATAACAACTGAGAAGACAAAAAGGGAGGACCAAGAAGGAGGGGACAACTCTTGCCTGGAGGAGAAAACATCTTCTCTCTCGCCCTGTGGCCCTGTTTCTCCTAACCCAGGAACCAAAGACAAAGGGGCTGGCTGGCTGTCTAGAGTGTTCTGGCGGGGAGGGAGCTCCACCTAAAGGGCTGAAACTCAATGGCTGGCTGCCCCAGTATGGAATGGAAAAATGGTGTCCCTGCAAAAGCATCCTGCACAATTAGTGAGGAAGGTGGGAATGACCCCCAGCGAAGGCTTTGGACCCTGGCCCACAGATACCTTGTTGATGGGGATTTTTAAGGCTTGGAAGGCTGCTGACCCTATGTTAGCATAGGGTCTTAAGGGTTTGGGCAGACTGTCAATGGAAAATGTTAGCTGAGGCCAAAGGTCTTGGTCAGCTGGGGATGTAGAAGTGGGCTTATCAGACGACAGGCTGAATGCAACACAATGGTGTGGCAAGCCCTGAGCAGCTTAAGGGAGTCCTGACTCCATCTGCTTGTTTCTTAGGAGAGCTTCCGACAAAGTCCTCTTCAGGGGCAATGATACTAATACTAAGACAATTCAAGGGGCCATAGCTGCCTGGACTTACTGGAAACTTAGAAAAGACAAACTCAGAGTGCTGCCCATGAATTCTACAAACAACACCCTACCTGGCCTAAATCCAAATTACTATGAACAGTAAGACTTCCCCTCTCCTAAGCCAGACAAGCTTCCTACAGCCAGGCATCTCCTTAAATGTGAACCCTGCAATGAACAAGAAAGGTTACTTTGGATCCTAAGGAGGGGGGCGCTCAAGATTGGATGATCTCTAGTAAATTGGTTTAACAGTTCCAATAATTACTAGGGTTAGACGACAATTCTCAGCAGGTGTCTCCTCTGGAAACAGCCCCTCCTTCATATCTGGCCGTGTCCCCCATACGGATCCAGTGGTCCATGTTCATGGAAAACAGACCCTTCTGGTAGACAATCGCCCTTTTACCTTTCTCCACGTTAATAGTAATCTGGGCAGGGCGCAGTGGCTCATGCCTGTAATCCCAGCCCTTTGGGAGGCAGAAGTAGGTGGATCACTGGAGGTCAGGAGTTCGACACCAGCCTGGCCAACATGGTGAATCCCCATCTCTACTAAAAATACAAAAATTAGCTGGGTGTGGTGGCAGGCACCTGTCGTCCCAGCTACTCAGGAGGCTGAGGCAGGAGAATTGCTTGAACCCAAGAGCGGAGGTTGCAGTGAGCCGAGATCACGCCATCGCACTCCAGCCTGAATGACAAGAGCAAGACTCCGTCTCAAAAGAAAAAAAAAAATAGTAATCTGGACTCCAAAAAATAAACAACACTGGGTGACCAAATCTCATATTACAGGAAATGCTCATGCTTTAAAGGGATCCGTGGACTTTGTACCCTTGCTTGAACTAAGTCAGCGTGACAGGCTGTAATCCTTCCAAGGGGAATGGTTTGGGAGGATTAATTAAAGGGATAATTACCCACTTAACTGTTAGTATTGGCCTGGTTTTGCTACAATGTGCACCCCATTATTGGAATGGATCTCCTCAGTCACTATGTAACTCACGGAACAAGCCCAAGTCTTTCACGCTATTGGTGGGTGCCAGGGGTGAACTTTCCCCTCGTGGTGCAGGTGGTAAACATGCTACCTTACCGCTGAGGCGGGGCATGGAAGGATTACTGCCTGTCACAGCTCACTTAGTTCAAGCAGGGGTGCGAAGTCCACAGGCTCACCCCCACCCTTTCTCAGAGAGCTGGTTTCATATGGCTGGATTCTTTTGTCACAGTCTGCATTTCATCCTAGGATTGTCCTGATTCCCTAAATGAATTGTATTTTTTTGAGACAGGGTCTGGCAGCCTCGAACCCCTGGAGGCTTAGGTGATCCTCCCACCTCAGCCCCCAAGTAGCTGGGACCACAGGCTCAGCTAATTTTTACTTTTTTTTGCAGATATCAACCTCTCTATGTTTCCTAGGCTGGTCTCAAACTCCTGGACTCAAGCAATCCTCCTGCCTTAGCCTCCACAAGTGCTGGGATTACAGGCATGAGCAACTGCATCCGGCTAAACAACCTCTCTTCTTGCAACACTGTTTCCTTGTGAGCTCATTAACATGCTAATTACCACATTCCACAGGAAGATGGATTACAGAGCAATAAGACAGGCTGGGTTCACCCTGGAACGTGACCAGTAGTGACAGCCTCTAACAATGACACAGGTGGGGACCACTATCGGAAGATGGAGATTCTGGGGAACTGCTACCAGCTGCAGGGCTGAGAGTGACATATCTGACATTTGTTCATTGTTCATCTGTTCATACAGTCATTCTTGCATGAGTTTACTGGACACCTGCTGTGAGCAGGCACTGAGTGGCATAAAAATTCCTAGAACAGTCTCATCAGAGAAAAGACACACACAGAAAGAGAAATTATACTACAATGCAGTTATGGAAACTCATTCAACAAAATTTTACTGAATGCTTACTATTTGTCAGGTACCGTTATCGATGCTGGGAGAAGAGAAAAGGACATCATTTTGCCCTCAGGGAGCTCATGGTCTAACGGAGAGAGAGACATGTGAACAACTACAACGTCTGCGGTCTAAGAAAACACTAAATTGGAGACGTGTTCAAAGCAGTGCAGGGGAGGGAGCGGAGTGAGACTTCCGGGGTCACCCAGAAGGGCTTCCCGGCAGGTAAGTTGCAGCTAACCCACACAGATGTTAATTACAGCAAGAAAAGATCTTTCACAGTGCTCCCTGTGCGTCAGGCAGGCTAGAGGTCTTGTCAAAAGTATGGCATATGTATCACATGCAAAATGATTTGAAGTAGAATGTGGACCAATTTTTAATTTTTTACTTATGCATCTAAATGTGCATTACAAAAAAATATAATGAGAAAACCAAACTTTCACCAATATGATTGCTCAGAGTGAGGCTAAAGGAATGAGTTTTAAAACTGATTTGAATCACAAATAGTGCTTAGATGTGGAGAGCATCTTAAATGTGGCTTGCCAATGACTGGATTTTGGAAAGCACCGATATGCGCATCTTTTTTTTTTTTTTTTTTTTTTTTTTTTTTTTTGAGATGGAGTCTTGCTCTGTCGCCAGGCTGGAGTGCAGTGGCGTGATACCGGCTCACTGCAATCTCCATCTCCTGGGTTCAAGCGATTCCCCTGCCTCAGCCTCCCCGAGTAGCTGTGACTCCAGGCACGCACCACTATGCCCGGCTAATTTTTTGTATTTTAGTAGAGACAAGGTTTCACCACGATGGCCAGGAAAGTCTCGATCTCCTAACCTTGTGATCTGCCCACCTTGGCCTCCCAAAGTGCTGGGATTACAGGCGTGAACCACCGCACCCGGCCACATGCATCTTATTTTAGTGAGATGAGATGTAGGAGTTAGCGAGGTAGGGAAAGGGAAGAACAGTAGACACAAGGAACACCAACTCAAAGCACACAGGAGAGAGTGCACGGGCTGCCTGAGAACAGGTGGTGGTGAAGCACGGTGGGCTGCGGGGCACGCGGAGGGCTGGAGGAGTGTGCGGGAGCAGAACCCCTGCTTCTGTGTTCCACTGCCTGTGTAAACTTCTCAGGTCGGTTCCCATGGTCATGTCTCTCCAGGAAGTTTCTCAATGGCACACACCATGTTACCCTCCCTTATGTCAAGCTTGTCCAACCCGTGGCCCAGGATGGCTATGAATGCAGCCCAACACAGATTTGTAAACTTTCTTAAAACATTATGAGATTTTTTTTTTTTTAGCTCATCAGCTATCATTATTGTATTTTACATGGAGCCCAAGACAATTCTTCTTCTAACACGGCCCAGGGAAGCCAAAAGATTGGACTTCGCCACTTTAAGATAAGCGGTTGTTGACTTTAAGACAAAAAAGGACACTTTATAATGACTAAAAAAATCAATCCATCAGGAATACACACCATTATAAACATAATGTACCAAACAACTGAGCACCAAAACACATGAAGCAAAAACTGGTAACACTGAAGGGAGAAACAGACAACTTAACAAAAGTAGTTGAAGACTTCAGTGCCCAACTTTCAATAATGGACGGAACAGCTAGGCAGAAGATCAGCAAGGAAACAGAAGGCTGAACAAGCTACACCTACAGACCACTGCAGAACACCCAATCACAGAACACACATTCTTCTGAAGAGCACATGAAACATTTGCCAGGAAACATCAAATGCTAAACCATAAAACAAGCCTCAATAAAATTAAGAGGACTGATATCACACACAGTCTGTTCTGTGATCAAAATGGAATGAAATTAGAAATCGATAATAGAAGGAAATTTGAGAAATTCATAAATATGTGGAAATTAAACAACTCCTAAATACAAATGGGTGAAAGAAGAAATCAGAAAATTTAACAGTACTTGAAATAAATGAAAACACAATATACAGAAATTTATGGGATGCAGTGAAAACAGTACGTACAGGGAAATGTACAGCTATAAACACCTATATTAGCCAGACATGGTGGCTCATGCCTGTAGTCGCAGCTACTTGGAAAGCTGAGGCAGGAGGATCATTTGAGTCCAGAAGTTTGAGACCAGCCTGGACAACATAGCAAGACCTCATTCCAAACCAAAAAAAAAAAAACCCCCAAACCCCAACTATATTTAAAAAGAAGAATGATCTCAAATCAGGAATTGAAACTTCCACTTAAGAAACAGAAAAAAAAAGTAGCAAGCAAAATCCAAAGTAAGCAGAAAGGAAATAATAAAGATTAAAGCAGAAATAAATAAAACAGAATAGAAAAAAATCAAGGAAAATCAATAAAAGTAAAAATAGATTATTTTAAAAGATCAACCAAATTTCTGAACCTTTAGCTAGACTGACCAATAAAAAGGAGAGAATGCAAATTACTAAAGTCGAGAATAAAAGAGAGAGGCCAGGTACAGTGGCTCACACCTGTAATCCCAGCACTTTGGGAGGCTGAGGCAGGAGGATGGAGACCGGCTTGGGCAAGATAGCAAGACTCCATCTCTTAAAAAAAAAAGGAAAATTAGCCAGGCATGGCTAGGCGTGGTGGCTCATGCCTGTAATCCCAACACTTTGGGAAGCTAAGGTGGGAGGATCACTTGAGGCCAGGAGTTTCAGACCAGTGTGGGCAACATAGTGAGATTGCCTAAGGAGGTCAAGGCTGCAGTCAAGCTATGATTGAACCACTGCACTCCACCCAGAATGACAGAGTGAGACTCTGTCTCAAAAAAAAAAAAAAGGCGGGGGGGCGAGGGAGGCCAAGGCAGGAGGATTACTTGAGGCCAGGAGCTCAAGACCAGGCTGGGAAACATAGTGAGACCCTAGCTCTACAAAAAAGTAAAACAAAAATGAGCTGGGCGTGGTGGCTTATGCCTGTAGTCCAGCTACTCAGGAGGCTGAAGCAGGAGGATCACTTGAGCCCAGGAATTCGGGGCTACAGTGAGCCATGATCAAGCCACTGATTTCTAGCCTGGGTGACACAGCAAGACCCTGTCTCTATAAAATAACAACTAAGAAAGAATAAAAGAGAGGGAATCAATGCTGACCTTACAATAATAAAAGGGATAATAGGGGAATCGTTTAAATTGTATGCCAACAAATCCAATAACTAAGATGAGATGCAGAAATTCCTACAAATAAACAAACTATCGAAAAACTTTCCACAAAGAAAATGTCAGACACAGACGGTTTCAATTGTAATTCCACCAAATGTTTAAAGAATTAATACAAATTCTTCACAAACTTTTCCAAAAATAGAAGATGGAACATTTCTAACTCATTCTGTGAGGGGCCAATATATTCTGATGTTAAAACCAGACAAAGACATCACAATAAAACTGCAGATCAATAGCCCCTAAAAAATAAAGATGAAAAAATCCTCAACAGAGTACTAGCAATCCAATTCCAGCAACTTTTTTTTTTTTTTTTGGAGATGAAGTCTTGCTTTGTCGCCAGGCTGGAGTGCAGGGGCGCAATCTTGGCTCACCGCAACCTCTGCCTTCTGGGTTCAAGCGATTCTCCTGCCTCAGCCTCCCAAGTAGCTGGGACTACAGGCATGTGCCACCACGCCCAGCTAATTTTTTGTATTTTTAGTAGAGACGGGGTTTCACCATGTTGGCCGGATGGTCTCGATCTCTTGACCTCGTGATCTGCCCACCTTGGCCTCCCAAAGTGCCGGGATTACAGGCATGTGCCACTGACCCTGGCCAGCAACTTATTTTTAAAAAGATTATGCACTGTAACCAAGCAGAATTTACCCCAGGAATGCAAAGTTGGCGTAACACTAAAAAAAATTAATTAATGTAACATGTCAATACAATAGGATAAAAACCACATGATCATCTCAATAGATGCAAAGTACCTGACAAAATTCAATACCTCTTCATAATAAAATAACTCAAACTAGGAATAAAAGGCAACTCCTCAACCTGATAAAGGGTATCTATGAAAAATATCACAGCTAACATCATCCCTACTAGTGAAACACTGAAGGCTTTCCTCTTAACTTCAGGAACAAGATTAAAATGTACGTATGTGCTTGTTATTTCTGTTCATTGCTATACTGAAGGTTCCAGTCAACTAGGCAAGCAAAAGAAATAAATTCATCCAGATTGGAAAGGAAGAAGTAAATTTATTTCTATTTGCAGAAGATATGATCTTGCATATAGAAAAGCCTAAAGAATCAACTAAAAAAGTATTATAATTAATAAACAAGTTCAGGCCAGGTGCAGTGGCTCACACCTGTAATTCCAGCACTTTAGGAGGCCAAGGTGGGTGGATCACTTGAGGCCAGGAGTTTGAGACCAGCCTGGGCAACATGGTGAAACGTCGTCTCTACTAAAAATACAAAAATTAGCTGAGCATGGTGGTGCATGCCTGTAATCCCAGCTACTTGGGAGGCTGAGGCAGGAGAATCACTTGAACCTGGGAGGCAGAGGTTGCAGTGAGACCAGATTGCACCTCTGCACTCCAGCATGGGTGACAGTGCGAGACTCCATCTCAAAAAAAAAATAATTAATAATAATAATAATAAACAAGTTCAGCAAGCAAGCAGGATACAAGATCAATACAGAAAAACCAACAGTATTTTATACAATATTGAAAAATCTAAAAATGGAATTAAGAAACAACATTTACAATAGCATCAGAAAGAATACTTAAGAATAAACTTAACAAAAAATGCAAAACGTGTACTCTGAAAACTACAATTGTTGAACAAAATTAAAGAAAATCTAAATAAAATGGAAAAACATTCCATATTCGTAAGTCTGTAGACTTAACAGTTAAGATGGTGTTGGGCGTGGGGGCATGCACCTATAGTCCCAGCTACTCAGGAAGCTGAGGAGAGAATCGCTTGAGCCCAGGAGTTCATGGCTGCAGTGAGCTATGATCACACCACTATACTCAGCCTGGCAACAGAGCAAGGCCTCATCTCAAAAAAAAAGTATATATTGTCAAGATGGCAACATGCCCCAAACCCAAATTGATCTATAGATGCAATGTAATCCCTATCAAAATCCCAGTTGGCTTCTTTGCAGCTATCAACAAGATGATCCTACAATTCATATAGAACTTTGGGGGACTCAGAACAGCCAAAACAATCTGCAAAAGAATGAAGTTGAACGATTTACACTTCCTGATTTCAAATCTTCTTACAGTGTTATAATAATCAAGAGAGCGTGTCGCTGGCAAAAGGACAGACATACAGATAAATGGAATAAAATGGAAAGTCCAGAAATAAACCCTTACACATATATGTTCAATTTATTTTTAAAAGTTAAACAGACTATTTTTAAAGCAATTTTAGGCTTACAGAAAAATTGATGGCCGGACAAGGTGGCTCACACCTGTAATCCCAGCACTTTGGGAGGCTGAGGTAAGAGGATCTCCTGACACCAGCAGTTTGAGACCAGCCCGGACAACATAGTGAGACCCCGTCTCCATCTCTACAAAAAATGGAAATAATTAGCCAGGCATGGTGGTGTGTGCCTGTAGTCCCAGCTACTCGGGAGGCTGAGGTGGGAGGATTGCTTGAGCCCAGGAAGTCGAGGCTGGAGTGAGCTGTGATTGTGCCCCAGTACTTCAGCCTGGGTAACAGAATGAGACCCTGTCTCAAAAATAAAAATAAAATAAAATAACAACTCAGCAGGAAGTACAGAGAATTTCCATATGTCCCCCTCTCCATGCACAGTTTCCTATAGTATTAACATCTTGCACTAGTGTGGTACATTTGTTACAATCAATAAGTCAATATTGACACAGTTATTGCTATCAAAGTTCAATTAAATTTTGACAAGGGTGCCAAGACCATTCAATGAAGGAAAGAGTTTTTTCAATAAATGAAGCTGGAACAACTGTATAGTCACATACAAAAGAATGATTTTGGACCCCTACGTCATGCCATATACAAAAATTAATGCAACAGTGCTGTAAAATCTCTTAGAAGAAACACAGGAGTAAATCTTGCATTAGGCAATGGATTCCTAGTTATTACACCAAAAACACAGGCAAATAAGAAAAAAATAGATACACTGAATTCCATAAAAATTAAAAACTTCTGTGCTTCAAAGGATACTATGAAGAAAGTAAAAAGACAATCCATAGAATGGGAGATCATTTTTGCAAATCCTTTACCTAAGGAGCTTATATACAGAATTTATAAAGAACTCCTATGCTCCACCAGAAAAAGACAAATAACCCAATGTTTTAAATGGGCAAATAATCTGAATAGACATTGGTCCAAAGAAGAGATACAAACGGCCAAAGAGCACATGAAAAGATGCTCAACATCATTAGCCATCAGGGAAATGTCAAAACCACAATGAGATGCTACTTCACATCTACTGCAAGGGCTGAAACAACAATAACAGAAAACAAACCTACAGAAAAAAAGTGTGAGGATGTGGAGAAATGGGAATCCTCAAACGTTTGCCGGTGGACATTTGCTGGTGGAAATGTAAAACAGTGCAGCTGCTTTGGAAAATGGTTTGGCAGTTCATCAAAAGGTTAAAAATGCAGTTACCATATGATCTGGCAGTTCCATTCTTAGTTATAAACCCAAGAGAACTGAAAACATGTCCACACAAACACTTGTACATGAATGTTCATAGCAGCGTTATTGATCACAGCCAAAAAAGTGTGAACACAAATGTTTATCAACTAATGAATGCATAAGCACCATGTGGCATATCCATAAAATGAATATTATTCAGTCATTACAAGAAATGCTACAATATGGATGACCTTAGAAAAGCTTATACAAAGGGAAAGAACCCGGACACAAAAGGCGACACATTGTAGGATTCCATTTATATTAAGCGTAAAGAATAATCAAATCCATAAAGTAGATCAGTGGTTGCTGAGGACTGGTAGGAGGGGAAATGGGGAGTGTTATGGGACTTCTTTTTGGGGTGATAAGAATATTTAAACATGGATTGTGGGGATGGTTACATAACTGTGAATATACAAAAAAAAAAAAAACCATGGAATTACCTCTTTAAAATGACTGCAGCATGTGAATTAAATCTCAGTAAAGCTGTTACATTAAAAGAAAAAGCTAAAGTAAAAACAATATCTTTCAAGAATTGTATTGCAATCATATTACACCACGTGATGAAATCCTCAAAAACGTGGGGCAGGTGGTAAATCCTGGCCAAGGCTCCTCGAGCCAGGCCGGCTGGCAGTGCTGCATCGTGCTGAAGGCGCTGAGGTTGCAGCGGATGCATTCCGGGCCAGTGATATGATGTGGACAGGAAAAGTCTTTTGTTCTGGGAAAATGGAGGACTGAAACCTCTTCATGTCTTTTTCCCAGGCCCTGATTTAGGAAGACCAAAACAGGGACTTCTACAGTAGCAGCTTAATCAGCAGATGCTGGGTGGTCGCCTCTGCACATGGCCTGGGGGGCGGGGCGCCTTACCGCGTCACACTGGGTGGATGGGCCTGTGTGTGGCCTCTCTCCAGCTGTGGCTGACAGTACTCACTCAGCCCAGGCTTCCAGGCCCTCCTGGGCCCTCCTATCCACTGAAGGAAATGGGAGATGAGTGGGTAATGGAAAAGCCTTTGGAGTCAGATGTAAATCCATGACTTGACCACTTATTGCTGTGAGACCCTGGACAGCTGGATATAGAGTTCTTGTTCTAGCATCCGCCCTGGGAATCCCCGGAACTGGGCCTCTTACCGACACCATTGCCTGTAATCCACAAACCTAGGAGGTAGGAGTGGCTTTCTTTCGCAGATCCTCCCTCTCCCTGAGTCCCAGAGTTACTGGGCAAACTCGGTTGACCACAGGCATCCAGGCGGTCTCAACCTGGTTTTGTTGTTTTGACACAGTTGTCATTTTTGTAGTTACCCTTGTAATGTAAAAGGTTTTCTTTTTTCCCTTTTTCTTCCCCCCAACCCGCCCATTTTCTTTTCTCTCCTCCCAGTCTCCTGCCTTCCTTTCACCCTCCAAAAGAAGTCTAACTATTAGAGTTGGCAGCAAAATTTGAAGAAAGTGGTTTAAAACTCAGAGAGCCAGGGCTGGGGGTAGTGGCTCACACCTGTAATTCCAGCACTTTGGGAGGCTGAGGCAGGTGGATCACCTGAGGTCAGGAGTTCAAGAGCAGCCTGGTCAACACTGAAACCCCATCTCTACTAAAAATACAAAAATTAGCTGGGCATGGTGGCGCATGCCTGTAATCCCAGCTACTCATGAGGCTGAGGCAGGAGAGTCACTTGAACCCAGGAGGTGGAGGTTGCAGTGAGTGGAGGTCATGCCATTGCACGCCAGCCTGGGCAACAGAGAGATACTCAGTCTCAAAAAAACAAAAACAAAACAAGTCAGAGAGCCAGAAAATAGGAATTTTAGAGTAAGGAACTGGGGCAATTACATGCTCTGGCAGCGTTTAAGAATCTGGGGGCCCCAAAGCCAGCCCTGGGCATTTCTTGGGTATCATGTACCTCTCTGTGGGGGCAGTGCTTCAAAGCCTCCCACTCAGGAGATCTTTGTCAGCAGTGTGATGAGTGGGAAGAGAAAGGCGTACAGCAGTGTGCATGCCAGGCCCCATATGCTTTTAAAAAGGGACTTTATAGCTACGGACAGTCCTATAAGAGAGCAGAAACTGATTTCCTCCCTGTGGTAGGGAGATTTTTCTTACCCTTTTGAACTGTTTCTTTTTTTAACCATGAGGAGGTTACTTTCCATCTAAAAAGTAATAATGTAAAAACCACATGGGGGTGAATGGTATAGAGCCGAGAAGTGCCTGCTCCGGAGGCTGCAAGCTCGGGCTCCCGCAGCACAGCTGCTGCCCACTCTGCTGGAGGCCTCTTCTGGGTGCATCTTCATGAGTTACAAGAAGCACATTACTTTGACCCCAAAGGTAATTATCTTGACTCACTAATTATCTGAATCAGCATATTTGGCTTGGAATCACATAGCTATTACTCCAAACCTGCTCTTTCTTGAAAGAGCAAAGGTTTTTGGCTAGTTGGTTGTTTTACCATTTATAGACATTCAAAAGACTCTTAAGGCAATGTTAAGACTTGTTAACTGGATGGGTGTGGTGGCTCATGCCTATAATCCCAGCACTTTGGGAGGCCAAGGCTGGAGGAGCATTGCTTGAGCCCAGAAGTTGGTGACCAGCCTGGGCCATCATAGTGGGACTAACCTTGCCTCTACTAAAAAAAAAAGACTTGTTGATATGGTTTGGCTGTGTCCCCAACCACATCTTATCTTGAATTGTATCTCCCACAATTCCCACGTCATGGGAGGAACCCAGTAGGAGGTGATTGAATTGTGGGGGTGGGTCTTTCCTCCACTGTTCTCGGGTAGTGAATGAGTCTGATGAGATCTGATGGTTTTAAAAACGGGAGTTTTCCTGCACAAGCTCTCTCTTTGCCTGCAGCCATTCATGTGAGACGTGACTTGCCCCTCCTGCCTTCTGCCATGATTGTGAGGCCTCCCCAGCTATATGTAACTGGAAGTCTTTAAACCTTTTTCCTGTATAAATTACCCAGTCTTGGGTATGTCTTTATCAGCAGTATGAAAATGAACTAATACATTTGTTACATATTTTGAGCCATGGAAAGTGCTCAATTTGGAATAAGTATATGCCCTTGAAGGGTGGCAATTTTCACCAAGATGGATACCACAATATTTGAATGTTTACCATATGCCAAACAATTCCCACACATAATATCTTATTTTCTTCTAACAACACCTCTATAAGGTAAGTGCTATTATTACTCCCACAGAGACCAATTAGGGAAATGACTTATTCAAAGTCAAAGAGTTAGTAAACTATTGGAGCCAGGATCTGAGGCTAGGTCTGGTTAAACTCCAGAGCCTGAGCACATAATCCTTACACTACTGTGAACTGTGGGAAGGGAAATACAAGTTCACACATCACCAAATCCAGTGCCAAGTTAAGCAGATCAAAAACATAACAGTCACTTGGAGGATAACCACAATGAGGGAGCCCTACCTATTAGGCACCTACTGGATGCTGGGCATCCTGCTGGGCACATCCATCCCCATGGCCTCTCTGTGCACTGACATCTGACGTCTTTCTCAGGGAGAAGAAAACTGAAGCTCATGGGGGTGAAGTGACTTTTGCCCTAGGCCAGATAGCCCATAGGTGCAGAAAGGATAAGACTCAGGGTCACATGACCCCAAAGCACTTTCCCTTGCTACTTCTATTCTTGCTCCTGTTCTCTACTCTTAAGTGATCCGGATGGGCTCCTGCATGAGTAGACGATAAGACCACCCTGAAGAATGTTCATTCCTTCCTCATTGCAATAGTGCCACGGCCCTGCTTGGCCGGAGGTGGGGTGTGGTCTGGGGCAAACATGTTCTTCCCCTCCCTTCCCAAACCAGAAGCTGGGACTGTACTGATCTAGAACGGGAGGACAAGGACAGTGAGTCGCTGGGGCTCTTTCTCTTCCCTCAGCCCTGTTTCCCAGTTCCTCCAGGAACCTTACTGACGGCAAGCTTTGTGCTGGCTTCCATTCTGAAGTGGAGGCTCCTGGCTGGGTGTTGCCTGGACACTTTGTTCCTGGTGGGCACTGTGCACTCAGAAGAAGGCTGGGCCAAAATGGGTCTGTACTCGTTTCCAGTGGTAGTTCATCAATAAGGAAGATCACTGAGGCTGTGATCTTCCAGACAGGGTTGTGAAAATAACTAGGAATGAAAAAAGTAGCTGGATCAAAGGTTACAAAGGGTTGGATACATTGGCTCACACTTGTAATCCCAGCACTTTGGGAGGCTGAAGTGGAGGATCACTTGAGGCCAGGAGTTTGAGACTAGCCTGAGCAACATAGTGAGATTCCATTTCTACAAAAAAAAATCTAGTAAGACTATATTTTAAAAAATGCAATCAAGGTATTAACTGGGGGGAAAAAAGAAAGAAAGAAAAAAAAGGGTTACAGAGAACCCTGCTTGACTGAAGGGACTTCGCACACTGCCATTTTACCCACACACTGATAGAAGAAAATGCTTCAAGGAGAACTCATTTACCCAGATAACTTCCTTTAATTAGGAAATTTCAAAAAATTCCCTGAATGGTTTAGATAATATGTTTGTCCAATCATGACTTCACAAGGGATCTGAAGCAACGTAGTTCTGGTCCAGAACTGTCAGTGCTGAGGAGATTCCCAGTGTCCACAGCTGCTGCTCCCAAGCTCACTGCTGGTCTTTCTCTAGACTCTCTTCCTGGGCATTAACTTGAAAGAAGCTGAAGTTTGTTAGCTCTGTGACTCTACCTGGAGCTCCAGCCTTACACATCCCAATCAGGATGGGGCATCTCCCTGGCTCGACAAGCCACAGGGGCTCCAAAACTGCCTGACTTTTCATCTCCCACTCCCATGGAACGTTCTCATACACAGTGTTCTGTTACTGGCACTGTTGCTCCACCACTCACCCAGGCCTAGCCTCCTGCCTCTCTAACAGCCAATGGCGACCAAGTCCTAGCAGTCCTATCTCTAAAGGTCCTCGCTATCTGTCATCTCCCCTTCATTTTCCCAGTTACTCCAGTTACTGTCCTACTGAAGGACCCCCATCCCATCTGGGCTACTATAACCACATGGACCATCCCTTGCTTCAATCATAGAATTCTTTCTTCAGATCAAAGTATATTCAGACACTCGATACAGTAACAAAAGCAAGCTATCCTGGAAGGAAGAAGGAATCAGGAGGCAGAGGTATGAAATATCTGTGGCCTGTATCTCACCTTCTGGGTGAGGTAGACTCCTGCCTCATCTCTTCCCTGGAATTCCTGGGGTTCCCTGAATACACACCATGAAGTTTCCATTTTTGAGATGGATTATTTCTTCTGCTCACAGTGTCTTTCTTTCTTGTCTGCCCAGCACATGGTTAAAGCATGAGATGTGAAACCAGGAAGAACCAGGTCTGAACCTTAGCTCCACCAGTGGTAGCTTCAAACCTTGGTCCTTTCTGAGCCTGCTTCTTCAACCGTAAGGTAAAAATAATATCAGTACTTATGTTATACACCTGTTCACGGCGTTAAATAATGCTATATTTAAGTTGCTTAGCAGAGAGATGGTAAGCACTCAACAAATGTTCACACATCATAATTTTCCTCACCCTTCATGAGTCAACTGGACAGCAACTCCTCCACGAAGCTTTCCCCAATCTCCTCCAGCTGTGTCCCCAGTGAAATCTACCACACTGCATTTATAGTCAGGAGGCACCATTCTGCCTCCCTCCTCACACTGTGACCTCTTTAAGGGCAGAGGCTATCTTGTTCATCTTTGGTTCTCTGCTATTCAGTAGTATCCATCACTTAGTAGAGCTCAGTGTTCACTGAATTAGTTAATTAACAAAAAAGGGAGGAAGTATGATCATTCATTAATGAAATGTATCGAACATGTACTGTGTGACAGACAATGTGCTGGCTGCTGGGGATACATCTGTGAATAAACAGAGGGAGTTCTTGCCCTCATGGGGCTCCCATTCTAATGAGGAGGATACACTCAATAAACAACCACATGTATAGTATACTAGATAATGCAAAGTGCTTTGGGAAAAAATAAAGCAGATTAGGGGTAACAAGGCAAGAAGCAGTTGTTGCTCTTTTTTTATTTTATTTTTTTCAAAATGGAGTCTGACTCTGTCACCCAGGCTGGAGTGCTATGGCGCGATCTCAGCTCACTCCAACCTTCACCTCTCAGGTTCGAGTGATTCTCCCGCCTCAGCCTCCCAAGTAGCTGGGATTACAGGCGCCCGCCACCATACCCGGCTAATTCTTTTTGTATTTTTAGTAGAGACGGGGTTTCACCATGTTGGCCAGGCTGGTCTCGAACTCCTGACCTCAGGTGATCTGCCTGCCTTGACCTCCCAAAGTGCTGGAATAACAGGCGTGAGCCACTGAGACTGACCTTGTTGCTGTTTATGTTAGGTCAGGGAAGGCCTCACAGAAAAGGTGACGTCTGAACAGAGAGCTGAAGAAAGTGAGGAAGAAGGCACATGGACATTAGAGGGTGGGAAGATAGGGAAGAGCACAACCCAGATCAAGGGAGAAGCCAAGTGTAAAGGCCCTGAGGGGAGAGCGTGCTGCACGGGAGGCCAGCCAGCGGGGGCCGGGGCTGGAGTGCTACGAGATGAGGGCAGAGAAGCAGTGGGGCGGGGGTCCTGTGGGGTGCAGATCGTGGGTCATGTGGGGCTCTACCATTCCTTCATGAAGATGTGCATGATTATTGCTTGATTACTTTCTTGGGCATCTTGAAAATCCTGTCCTCCTACCTATGTTAAAATGCAGCAGAAAGGAAAAGTCCTAGCCTTACTCAGTCTTAATGAGTACAAATGAAGTTGTTTTACATTAATATCTAAATCTCAATGGTTTGAGTTCTCACCTGTGCAAATGTAGAATGTCCCAGCTCCGGGAAAATCCTTTTCCCCTTAGTATTTCTAGGAATCCTAGGGGCATGTGCATGGTTGTATGATCCTAAACCAGTTGCCAGGGCTGGTCAGGTCATGCTTTGGCAGCATCAGGCTCCAGTGGTCCTACAGACACACCACAGTAGGGTGCTCCACTCACCTCACCAGCCCCTAGGTCATCCAGAGGATTTATCATTATTCTGAGACTCCACAGGGCCTTGCCTGTGGATCCAGAAAGCTACCACTGTGCCTCAATACAAGACACTACTCTTGGCAGGTGAGAACATTCCGTCTGGGTTTGGATGAGAAGGGCCGTTCCACAGCAACATTTTTTGAACTCCAGTGTTACAGTGTCTATGGACACAGCTTTTAGTTCACACCTAGAGCCCTTCTCTCCCCAGGGAGCAAACTTACCTTCAAGTTGGCTGGTTTGGGACATACCTGGACAGCAGCTTGCCTCCAACCTTCTATCTTCTTGGGAAGCTGGGCTTGCTATCAGACTGGTCCTTTTCTTATGGTAGATTTTCTCTTGAGGCTCCCATTAGTCTCTGCAAGTGGGCCTCCGCCTGGGCCACTCCAGCACATTAGACCTGTCAGTAGTCAAAGCCAAGAGTGCACAAAGTTCCCAACTTTTTCCCAGGATCCCCAGGCCCAACAAAAATCAATGAATGTGATGCCTGAGGAGGATTATTGCCTAACTACGTACCAGTACTGTTGAATCCCATCTCCTACTCAGCTGGGACCCACTGAAGTTCTTCCTCAGGATATTAGCTTTATCAACATCCCAAGGTTTTCCATTTCTTATTCAAGGTGTGACTACACTGAGCAGTAACAGCAAAACCTGAAAGAGAATGGATACAGGTGTTCATTTCAGATGGTACAAGTTTAACAAAGTACAAGAGCAACTTAAGGTTTGACACAAAAACTCTAAGCATATATTTAAATCCTAGTATTTCATCCAGAAAACACCACAGCATAACTGAGAGCACTGGAGGCAGAAATAATTCAGTTTAGATCCATGGATTGCTTGCTATTTACTGTGTGACTCTGGGTAGCCACTTACTTTAAATCTATTTTTCCCACTTATAGAAAGGTAATGATGACCACTTGTTGGAAAACTTGAGGGTAATACTTGTAAAGGTCATAGTAAGACCCAACAACTTGGGCCCAACACCTGGTAGGCACAAAGTCTGTTCTGCTTCCTTTCCCTTTCTGTAGAGAAATGCACAGGATATTCCTTATATGCCACTTATGTTATGGGATTGACATAGGTTTTGTCCCTCATGCTATGGGATTGATTAGGTTTTGCTCTAAAAAGCTTTAAAAAAGAAAATTCATTACTATAAGATCAACTCGATTCCAACTTAATCTTATAGTAACTCTAAGGTATGATTATGCTGCAATTCTAGTGTATTTGATTTTTATTTCATATTGAATATCATTATATTCTCAATAAACCCTTAACAGGCTTTAACTGTCTCATAGCTTTCTCTCTGATTTCCTCGATAAAAACAAAATAGCAATAATTAAGAAAGATCAGAAAATAAAAGCCAAGGAATGAAAAGTCTGAATAAAAGCTATTGCATACTCTACATAGAAAAGATCTAGCTGATATGGTGATCAGGAAGGCACACAGGATCTGGAATCAGGAGACCTGAGCTTGAATTGACTCAGCCACTCTGTAGATGGGAGGCATCTTGGTCTCTATGGGACATTTTCCTCATCTAAGATGCAAATATCATCTCACAGAATTATAATCGGTGTCAAATGACAAGTGCTATATGTTAGTTCAGTTCAACAAGCCAAATAGAGACAATCAGACAGACCTGGTCCCTGCCCCAGGGAGCTCACAGTCTCTTTGACCTGGGCCCTACTTTTTCCCTGATCTGGTTTTTAGTAGAGGCCAGCTTGGAATTGCTGCTCATGACTACATTGATTGACTTCCAGGAGAGCCTTCGAAACACCAGTGCTCACTGACCTAACCTTCTCTGCTGGTCTTACATAGAACTGGTCTGGGGAACTCACTCAATTTCCATGCTATCTCTAGCCAAAATACTTAACTTCTTGCACAAAAATCATAAAATAAAGAATTACAAATAAATCACTCCCCCTGCAAACTCAAAGATCAGGCTCATCCCCTCTCCTGACTGTGTGGCAATATCATCCTTTGCCCAAAAGAGATCCTCTCATACTGGAGACCAAACTCCAGGTCACTTTATTGCCAGTCCTGTGTGTTTACATGCCATCATAATAAAATTTACAAAGTGTTTTCCCTAAAGCCTCGCCCACTGCTACCCAGGTCAAGTAGAACCAAAGGATATCTAGCTGTCTGTCCTTGGGACTGACACACCCTGAATCTCTCCTCTCGCATTTTTAAGCAGTTATGACACAGAAAGAACCTTTGGGCCCAGGACCCTGGGTTTTGTAAGAACCAGTCTTTGGGAGAACAGACCTAAACCCTCTTCTTCTAAAGTGAGTGGTGTTTTTACTAGTTGCTTCTTCAAACTTTGTAATTCGAGTCCTTCTTTAAAGTAACAAAAATGTTTTTAAAGTCTTCTGCTGAATCTCTTACCAAACAATAACCTTCAAGTTTTGGTGAAACCATTACTTTTATATGTTGAGCTTGCTTAAAACAAGGCACGCAAGTAATCCTGTGACATACTCCATTTTCTTCAAAAACTGATGAACAAGCTTTGCGCAGTGGCAGTATCATAGCCAATGAGGTTTACTCAAGGAGTGATTATTGCTAATTGAAAAACTGATGAACATATGAAGTGCATGTCTGTAGCTTAATAGTACAAAGTCAGCCAACTTGAGACCTTGGCTCAGGTATTTTTGCAACATTTCTAGCCCATGACTACACTGGGTAATCCTACCCCTTTGGACTTACCAAACATCTCTGTAATCCTTTAATGTACAAGTAATAGACATCTACATCACTCCAAACAACACTCTACCTGCTCCAGGGGGAGTCTTACGTCAGAGGACTTCTGCTGCTGCAATAGGGGAAGATCACAGAAAGAGACAGTATGGAGTTTGATTCAATAATTTCTGCCTGTCTGAGAGGAACAGTACACAGGCAGGTGGGGAAGACTTGGTTTATAAACAGTGGTTACCAATGCCTTCCAAAAAACTGTACAGTACTTTACTAGTAGTCTCTCTCTACCCCTGCCAGGACAATCTAAGCAGAAACTCTGCAGTTAGAAGGCAATAGAATGATATATTTAAAGTGATGAAAGAAAAACCTGTCAACCAAGATTTCTTTCTTTTTTTTGAGACAGGGTCTCACTCTGTCACCCAGGCTAGAGTGCAGTGGTGTGATTTCAGCCCACTGCAGTACTACACTACCTCCTGTAGTCAAGGGATCCTCCCACCTCAGCCTCCTGAGCAGCTGGGACTACATGCATGAGCCATCACATTCAGCTAATTTTTCTATTTTTTGTAGAGATGGAGTTTTGCCATGTTGCCCCGGCTGGTCTCGAACTCCTGAGCTCAAGTGATCAGCTTGTCTCAGGCTCCCAGAGTGCTGGGATTACAGGTGTGAGCCACCACGCCCAGCCAAGAATTCTGTATCTGGTAAAACTATCCTTCAAAATCAAGGGAGAAACTAAGATATCCCTAAATAAACAAAAGCTGAAGGAATTCATTACCACTAGACCTACCCTGCAAGAAACGTTAAAAGGAGTCCCTTCCTTCAGGTTGTAAGTAAACAACACTAGACAGTAACTCAAAGATGTATAAAAATATACATTTTTCCTTTCAAGGTAAACACATAGACAAATATAAAAATCAGTATTATTGCAATTTTGGTTCGTAACTCCCCTTATTATTTTACAGGACTTAAAATAGAAAAGCATAAAAAACTATAAATCTTTGCTAGTGGGTACACAATATATAAAGATGTAATTTGTGGCAGCAATAACATAAAGAAGAGACGGAGCTGTAAAGGACGTCTTTTGTATGCAATTAAAGTTATCAGTTTAAAATAGGTTGTTATAACATTAGGATGTTTTATCTAAGTCTCATGGTAACACAAAGGAAATATCTACAGAATATACACAAAAGGAAGTGAGAAGGGAACCAAACACGCCACTATAAAAAAATCAACTGAACTCGCTGGGCGCGGTGGCTCACACCTGTAATCCCAGCACTTTGGGAGGCTGAGGCGGGCGGATCACAAGGTCAGGAGTTCGAGACCAGCCTGGCCAATATGGTGAAACCCTGTCTCTATTAAAAATACAAAAATTAGCTGGGTGGGCGTGGTGGCACGTGCCTGTAGTCCCAGCTACTTAGGGGGCTGAGGCAGAGGAATCGCTTGAGCCTGGGAGGCAGAGGTTGCAGTGAGCCGAGATCATGCCACTGCACTCCAGCCTGGGTGACAGAGCGAGACTCCGTGTCAAAAAAAAAAAAAAAAAAAGAAAAAGAAAAACAAAATCAACTGAACTCAAAGAAACACAGTAAGGGCGTAAATGAGGGACAAAAAGAGCCTATAAGAGATACAGAAAACAACAAAATGGCAACAGTAAGTCCTTCCCCATCAGTAATTACTTTAAATGTAAATGAATTTTAACTCCCAAATCAAGACAGATTGCCAGAATGAATTTAAAAAAAAGAGTCCATCTACATACTGTCTACAAGAGACTCACTTTAGATCTAAGCACACACAGGTTGACAAAGAAAGGACAGAAAAAGATATTCCATGCAAATAGTAATGAAGACAGTAGGGGTGACTATACTAATATCAGACAAAATAGACTTTAAGTCAAAAACTGGTACAAAAGACAAAGAACATTATATATTTTTAAAAGGATCAATTCACCAATGAGATATAGCAATTATAAACATACACAAACACACACACACACACACACACACACACACACCGCAAACATAAGAGCTCCTAAATATATGAACAAACACTGACAGAACTGAAGGGAGGAACAGATGGCCTACTGTAACAGTAGGCTTCAATACCCCACTTTCTATAACTGATAGAAAAGCAAGAGACTAGATCAAAAAAGAAACAGAGGCTGGGCGCAGTGGCTCACACTTGTAATCTCAGCACTATGGGAGGCTGAGGCGGGTGAATTGCTCGAGTCTAGGAGTTCAAGACCAGCCTGGGCGACATGGTAAAACCCCCCCCATCTCTACTAAAAATACAAAAAATTAGCCAGGCATGGTGGTGCACGCCTATAGTCCCAGCTACTTGACAGGCTAAGGCAGGAGAATCACTTGAGCCTGGGAGGCAGAGGTTGTAGTGAGCCAAGATCGCACCACTTCACTCCAGCCTGGGTGACAGAAGTGAAACCCTGTCTCAAAAAGAGGACTTGAACAACATGATAGGCCATTTGGACCTAACACATAGACAAAAAGCATACCACCCAACAATAAGCAGAATACACATATTCCTCAAGAGTATATGGAACATTCGCTGGGACAGGCTATTAGGCCACAAGTAAGTCTTAAAACATTTGAAAAGACTGAAATTATATAAAGTAGCTTTCTAATCACAATGGAATAAAATTAGAAATCCATAGCAGAAAGAAAACCCTAAAATCCACAAATATGTGGAAATCAAATGGTACATTCTTAAACAACCAATGGGTCAAGGAAGAAGTCACAAGGGAAATAAGAAAATAACTTGAGACAATGAAAATAAAAACACCAAAGCTTATGGGATGCAACAAAAGCAATGCTGAAAGAAATTTGTATCTACAAATGCTCAAATTTTAAGATCTCAAATCAACAACCTAGTTTTATACCTTAAAGAACAAGAAGAACAAACTAAACACAAAGCAAGCAAAAGGAAAGAAATAATAAAGATTAGAGCAGAGATAAACATAACAGAGAATACAAAAAAAGAGAAAAAAAAATCAAAGAAAACAAGAGCTGGTTCCTCAGAAATATCAACAAAATTGACAAACTTTTAGCTAGGTGAAGAAAAAGAGAAGACTCAAATGCGAGGACATTATGACCCATTTTACAGAAACAAAAAGGATTATAAAACACTACTATGAACAACTGTATGCCACCAAGTTGGATAACCTAGACAAAACGGACAAATTAAATTCCTGGAAACACAACCTACCAACTCTAAATCATGAAAAAATAAAAATCTGAACAGATCTATAACTAGTAAGGAAACACCCAATGAACAAAAGTTCAGGACCAGATGGCCTTACTGGTGAGCTCTACCAAACATTTAAAAAAGAATACCAATCTTCCTCATACTTCAAAAAATTGAAGAGAAACACTTCCAAACTCCAAACTATGAAGTCAGTATTATCCTGATACCAAAACCAAAGGCACTAAAACTACAGACCAATATCCCTGATAAATATGTTGCAAAAATCCTCAACAAAATACTAGCAAAGAAAATTCAAGAGCACACTAAAAGAATTACACCCCATGACCGTGAAGGATTTATTCCCAAAATGCAAGGATGGTTCAACAACAACAAATATAAATCGATCAATATAATACACCACATTAACAGAATGAAGAAAACAACTCATGATCATCTCAATTGATGCAGAAAAGACATTTAACAAAATCCAACACCATTTCATGATTTAAAAAAAAACACTCTACAAACAAGGAACAGAAGGAAACTCAACATAATAAATGTCATATATGAAAAGCCCACAGCTAATATCATACTCATACTCAGGACTGAAAGCTTTTTATCAGAAACAAGACAAGAATGCCCACTTTTACCACGTCTGTTCAACATAGTACTGGAAATCTTAGCCAAAACAATTAGGCATAAAAAGGAAACTAAAAAGCCATCCAAGCTGGAAAGAAATTAAATTATCTGTTTGCAGACAACATGATATTACATGTAGAAATGCCCAGAGTCCACAAAACACCCCCAAAGCCAAACAAAACTGTTAGAATAAACAAATTCAGAAAAGCTGCAGGATACAAAAATCAATACAAATCAGTCGCATTTTTACATGTTAACAATGAACAATCCTAAAAGGAACTTATGAAAACAAATTATGATAGCATCAAATACAATAAAATACTTAGGAATATACCTAACCAAGGAGGCGAAAGACTTCTACATTGAAAACTACAGGCCATCATGGTGGCTCACATCTGTAATCCTAGCACTTTGGAGGCCAAGGCAGGGGGATCGCTTGAGGCCAGGAGTTGAAGAGCAGCCTGGGCAACATAGCAAGACCTCAACTCTACAAAAAAAATTATCCGGGCATGGTGGCACACACCTGTAGTCCTAGCTATTTGGAAAGCTGAGGTGGGAAGACTGCTTGAAGCCAGGAGTTTGAGACAAGCCTGGACAACAAAGGGAGAATCTGAATCAAAAAGAAGAATGAAAAGAAAGAAAGAAAAAGAAAAGGAAAAAAGGAAAAGAAAACTACAAAACATTAAGGAAATTAAAGAAGACACCAATAAATGAAGATATTCCATGGTCATGATTCAAAGACTTAATATTGTTAAGAAGTCAATACTACCCAGAGCACCTCTACAGATTCAATGCAATTCCTAACAAAATACCAATAATGTTTACTGCATATATAGAAAAATCCATTTTAAAATTCACATGAAATCTCAAATAGCCAAAACAATCTTGAAAAACAACAAAGTTGGAAGACTCACACGTCCTGACTTCAGTGGGGACAGACACACAGACAGTTCTATATTGCAACATGCAGACCAATGGAAAAGAAGAAAGTCCAGAAATCAACTCTTACACATATGGTCAAATGATTTTTGAAAAGACTTGCAAGACCATTCCATGGGGAAAATAAGTTTTTTTCAGTAAATGTTGCTGGGGAAACTTGATATCCATATGCAAATGGATAAAGTTGGAACCTTATTTTACACAACATACAAAAAATCAACTAGAAATGGATCAAAGACCTAAACATAAGAACTAAACTTACAAAATTATAGGGTAAAAGCTTCATAATATTGAATTTGGCAATAATTTTTTTGATATGACACCAAAAGCACAGGCAATAAAAGAAAAAAGTGAGATACAGCAAAATTTAAATGTGTGCAACGAAGAACACAATCAAGAGTGAAAAGGCAATCTAAAGAATGAAAGAGAGTATTTGCAAATCATATAGCTGATAAAGCATTAACATGAGTACACAAAGCACTCCTACAACTCACACCAAACAACCCAATATAAAACTGGGCAAATGACTTGAATAGACATTTCTCCAAGGAAGATATATAAATGGTCAAAAAGTACATTAAAAGATGCTCTACATCACTATCATTAGGGAAATGCAAACTAAAATCACAAGATACCACCTCACATCACTTAGGATGGCTACCATCAAAAAATAAAAATAACAAGTGTTAGCAAGCATATGGAGAAATTGGAACTCTTGTGTACTATTGGTGGGAATATAAAATTGTGTAGCCCCTTATGGAAAGTGTATGTATGGCACTTTCTAAACAAATTTAAAATGGAATTACCATATGATCTAGCAATTCTACTTCTAGGTATATAACCAAAAGAATTGGAAAAAAAAATGGTTGTTTTTTAATATCTCTAAAAGTGAAGAAAAAAAGGTCTTGAACAAATACTTGTACACCCATGATCACAGCAGCGTTATTCACAATAGCCAAAGGTGGAGGCAACCCAAGTGTCCATTGACAGATGAATGGACAAACAAAATGTGGTATATACACACACTGGAATATTATGCAACCTTAAAATGCAAGGAAATTTGGACACATGGACAAACCTTGAGGACATTATACCAAGTGAAATAAGACAGTCGCAAAAAGACAAATGTATGATTCCACTTATATGAGGTACCTAGAACAGACAACTCGTAAGAGACAGAAAGTAGAATGGTGGTTGCCAAGAGCTTGGGGGAGGAAGGAGAGTTCTTTGATAGGTAGAGTTAAAATTTTGCAAGATGAGAAGATTTCTGAAGATGAATGGTGGTGATGGCGATACATTGTGAACATACTCAATGCCACTGAGCGGTAAAACTGTTTAAGATAGTAAATCTTAAAACCGGAAGGGGAAGAAAAAAAGCCAAGCATGAGAGTGCATGCCTATAGTCCCAGCCACTTGGGAGGAGACTGAGGCAGGAAGATTGCTTGAGCCTGGGAGTTCAAGGCTGCAGGGAGCTAGGATCACACCACTGCACTTCAGCCTGGGCGACACAGTAAGAACCCATCTCTTAAAAAACAAACAAAATCCCCCACAACTCTGTATCATCATAGCCAAGTTGTCAAAGTTAGTATCATCAATTCTGGGACAAAACTAAAGTCTATGTTCTTGGAAGAAATATGCTGAAGTATTTGGGGCTCAAGGGGCAAGTTGTCGGCAAGTTACTCTGAGTCTGCAAAAATAGCTCTATGCATATACAAGATGACAGAGTCAATGACGTGGCAAAACGTTAACACTTGGTAAATATCAGTGAGTATACCGGAGTTTATTTACTATTTTTGCAACTACTATAAATTGGAAATATCTTCAAAATTAAAGGTTTTTCTGGCCAGCTAGGTTTGAGCTGCCATAAAACCAACACCAAGGATCATTTATATAGAAACTAATTTTTTCCTTCAAACACAGTACAGGAGAATCTCTTACCATTTTGAATTCCCCGGGTATGGTTTAAAACTTTTTACTTGCCAACATCGTTAAAGTTTTACCCTGTAATAGTGAAATTTTCAGGTAATTGGAGCTTACCCCATTAAATGACAAAATTGTGTAACTTAAAAATCTTTCTTAAATACAACCTTTGTTGTCTTTGTTTCAAATTTATTTTTTAATGATCAGTGTAAGGCTTCACTAGATGCCTCTGCTTTTTCCTTCTCAAGTGTTTTTGAGGGTATTTGTATGAAACATTGCAGAAAAGCTTAGGTTTTTGTCTCCATCTAGTGGCTAGCTATTACCTTCTAATGCCTTTATGCACCTGCTTTTTACAAAGCACTATATCCCACTGTGCTTCTGCGTTTGCTGGAAGTAAATAGTTTGAGAGTTTCTTGTGAGCAGTGTTTTAGTATCTAAACTTCATTATTTTAGCTGTTCAAAGGCTTTTTTGGCCAAAAGTAGTTTTATGTGTTTCTGAAGATCAAGGTGCCAATCCGTATCAGAATAGGATTTCTGAAATTAAAATAATCTAGTTGATAAAACGTTCTTGGGCCTCGTCATCTTGACCTTAAGAGACCTCTCATAATTAAGTCTATAGAGACTATTATCACAAAAATAGAGCAACAAGAAACATAGCTACAAGCTATAATTTTTCTCTCTCCTCTAACTGCTCAACTGCTCTAAGCTTTCGGCATAGTGATTTTCAGTTATATCCATATTTCCTTGAAGACAGTAGTATTTCTTGATCTTTTCTCTGTTATAAGCCCCCATCCCAGAGAAAAATGAAAATCAAAATAATTATCCCAAATAAGAGAAACACATTAATAAGATTTTGTTGGTATTCCATTTCCACCCCAACTGAGGTACTGCAATTCAATTCTGATACGACACACCCAGAGCTGGCATCAGACTCCACGGGTTTAAGAGGTCAGTCCTCCACAATACTGCCCCCACTTCAGATGCAAGCCACAAGTGAGGCATCCAGGCTACTGTCGCTTCTGACCAGCTACAAATTTGGGGTTCTCATAAACCTCTCAGGTTTAAGAACTTGCTGAAATGACTCACAGAACTCAGGAAAGCACTATCCTTCCCTAGAAAACACTATGATTAGTTTTACTACAGAAGATATGAATTAGGAGGGCCAGTCAAATGAAGGGATACATAAGGGAAGGTCTGGGAGGGAAGGCAGAGCTTCTGTGCCCCTGTCCTCATGGAGGGGAATCCTCTCCCTCCCAGCACACCAATGCTTTCACCAACCAAGAAGCGTCATTGAGCTGTGGGGTCCAGAGCTCTTCATCAGGTCCCATTTGGCAGGCATGGTTGATTAAATCAAACAGGTCACTGACTGCGTCTCAATCTCCCGGGTCCTGCTGGCCCAACCCTCTGTAGTAGCTGTTTCTGGTTACCAGCCTCCACCCTAAAGCCCACCATACAGTCACCTCGTTAGCATAACAAGAGACGCTCTATCACTCAGGAAACCACAAGTGTTTTAGACATTCCTTGTCAGCAACCAGGGGCAAAGGCCACACAAATTCCTCATTATACCACAATGAGGGAGGATTGAACCTCTAAGGGTCACAAACCCCTATAATATCATAAGATTTTTTCCCACACAACAAGAAACAATCTTTGCCCCTATTAAGAATGTATCCTCTAAGAAATGAAGAGACAGCCCCCCAAAAACCAGAATGAAATTTTATTGTGTAAAGTTTATAGAAGTATGACTAGTATTCCTTTGTACAAAGTACACAACGGTTTTAAATATAACTGAGAGAAATGTGAGTCCTATGACAACATCTGATACACGCTGAACCATTTACAGACACACTAAAAATGTTTTAAAATATCTTCTTTCTCCAAAGAGTCCATTGCGCATTTCTTAGAGTAGAGATGGGGACACATTCCAGGCAAGGTCACAATGGCATTTTGTTGCCCTCAATGCTGATTTTCACTGCGTGTGCAGATCTGCTTTTTTTCCTTATATCTGTGAACTTTCTCATCTGTTTATCCAGTCGACTGATACCCTTCTTGGAGGTCGCCTGAAACTAAGAGTAAGGGAAAAATTAAAGAGCAAACTACTGAAATACGTAAGTCTAGTTATGTCTTTCATCTTCTTATAACTGAGTTAGCAACCAGAAGAGCTTCTAGCTCTGGAATAACCAGAATGTGTGTTGATGACCTCAAGAACAACAAAGCAAGTATAGATGGTGTTAGAAACGCATATTAAACTCTCTCAGTGAAGAATAATTCTGTTGTCTGTGCTTTATTTTTAATTTTGCTGCAGTCCATGGAGGTCTCCTAGATGGGAGAAAGGGGGGGGGAAACTGAGACTATGATCCTCCCAATTCCATCATGTACATTACGTTTTAACTGCATGCGTTTCCCTTTCGAAGACCAAATGTGGAGCTAGCCGCTTGACATGCACTTTCAAACAGTGCTGGCATAAAAAAGAATGACCTAAAGCAAAGTCAGGTCAGCTGAGAAAAAGCCTTAAGCATAATAAATGAGGTTAGATGATTAGTGAAGTAAACCCCTAAGTGCAGGAGCTCTTGAGTTTTTACACTTGGGGTGAATCCCTGCTCTAATTCAGTAACTTCTGTGACCCTGGGCAAAGCATACCCAGGGTAGGTACTCCTTCCAGAACTGCTGAGAGAAGGAAATGAGATAGTGATGTCAGATCCAAGCACAGAGGCTGAGCACATATAGTCAGTGCTCAAAATAATAGGAGCTATTACTATTTTACTACTTCACAAGCAACTAGATTTACATTAAGTATACTTGACACAAAAAGAATATTAAGTCTTTACCCATTTGCCCTTCATGTTTAAAGGTTTGGTTTGGGGGCTATTTTATATTTTGAAAATACTGCCTTGCAAAGATGTGGTCTCCAAGAAACTGCCATCTTTTAGAAATGCTAGAAAGGTTTGCTGACTCTGTTGTAAAACAATTCAGATGTTTAAGAATGATGACTGCTTAAAAAGAGATGGGTTTTTCTAATTCTTCTCCCCATACATTTACTACTGAATCACCTCTGAAACTCAATTCAAAAGAATGCTAAAATAAGGTAGGGCCTGGGAGACACTCTGGGGTCAGTACCAGCCTGGTGAGCTTTGGTGGAATCTTATCCCACCTGTGGACCCAGCCTCAACTATGACATGAAGCCAGCTGAGCACTAGGCAAGGAACTCTAAGTCATTCTTGACCAAGAGCCATGTTGACCTGTCTTTCTAGGAATATCTCAATTCAAATATTATTCTGTATCGTCTCAATACTTGGCATTCGTACTCTGAGTAAGCATAAAAAGTGTCAGATGAGAAAGAGCTATGCCACCATCACACTATCTCCCAGATTTCCTGGACAGTCCCAAATATCTGACTTCCTTTTAGAGGATGTGCCGTGATCTTAGTACTTGTACTTGGTCCACATCGGAAGCTTTACCTGCTCAAATCTCTGCCAACTACACAATTCCCAGCAGCTTCACACATTAACTGGACTTCCCTTCGCCTACTCCCAGGACCCTCACTAACTGTCTAAGCCCTGATGGATCTGTCTAGCCTCAGCAATCAGGGCACACACGGGCCAGTGGGTTACAAAATATATGACTGGTAGTTGCAGATGCCTACTTACCCCAAGCTTGAAAAGACAGACCAGAGTACCTCATACACCAAGTTCAATGATCTCTCTCCTGATTCATCAAGGGAACGCTACACTTCCTTAGAAATTAAGAGTGTGTGCTACACTGCTTTACCAGAGCAAGGCCAAAAGCAGCTTCAATTATGGTACAACTGTGTGAAGACACAATGCAAAACCACTCAAGAATGCTCACTCAAATGGATTTTTACCATGGTAAGTAAAAAACAAACCCAATAAGGTATAAAAGAATACAATCACAATGTCGCTTGAAAAAAAAACAAAAAACAAAACAAAAACCCAGTAATTGTCTATGCATATGTATGAAAAAAAAAGAAATAATTTAAAATGTTAACATTAAGTTGTGGTGGGATTACAGATGGCATTAATTTTATTTATGCTTTCTGTATTTTTAAAAGTTCATGAAAAAATAGGCATTCCTTTGTCATTTTACTGTTATTTTAGAAGTATTCCACGGAGTAAATGAACATATAAAAAATACAATGTAGCACAGGTTACTACATTATTTAGGAGTAAAAAATCAGAAATCATAAACGAACGAATAAACACATTATATTCATGGCCGGGTGTGGTGGCTCCCGCCCGTAATCCCAGCACGCTGGGAGGTCAAGGCCAGAGGATCGCTTGAGACCAGCCTGAGCAAGATGGTGAAACCATCTCTACAAAGAAAGAAAATACATAATAAAAAAAAAAGCAAATTATATTCAGGATAGACCATTATGCAGCCATTAAAAATGATAAATCGACTAGGTGGTTTAATGAAGGAAAATAACCAAAATTATAATTTGGTCGGGGCGGGGGGTGGTGGGGTGGGGGGGTTGGGCTGTGTGTGTGTGTGTGTGTGCGTGTGCGTGTGTGTGTGTGTGTGTTTTCTAGAGATAGGGTCTCACCTAGGCTGGAGTGCAATGGCATGATTCTAGCTCACTGCAGCCTCAAACTCCTGGGCTCGAGTGATTCTCCTACCTCACCCTCCCAAGTAGCTAGGACTACAGATGTATGCCACCATGCCCGGCTAATTTTTTAATTTTTTGGTAGAGATGGAGTCTTGCTATGTTGTCCAGGCTGATATTTAGTATAATTTTAATTAACGTTATCAGTAGAAAAAAGACAACAAATACATCAAACTGCTTTTGAATGCTAGGACCATGAATAATGTTTCTCTTTGTACTTAAACATTTTCTATAATTATAAAAACTAAGTTCAAGGCATATCTGGAAATACATTTAAAACCTCAAATTGTTAGCCGGGCATGGTGGCTCACACCTGTAATCCCAGCACTTTGGGAGGCCGAGGCGGGCAGATCACTAGAGGTCAGGAGATCAAGACCATCCTGGCTAACACAGTGAAACCCCATCTCTACTAAAAATACAAAAACAAAGTTAGCCAGGTGTGGTGGTGGGCGCCTGCCCTAGTCCCAGCTACTCAGGAGGCTGAGGCGGGAGAATGGTGTGAACCCGGGAGGCAGAGCTTGCAGTGAGCAGAGATTGCACCACTATGCTCCAGCCTGGGCGACAGAGTGAGACACCGTCTCAAAAACAAAAACAAAAACAAAAAACAAAAAACCCTATTTATTTTTTATATTTATTTACATAACTTTGAAAACAAAAATGATACTTAAGACAAAAAGTGTTTCATTGGAAACCCATTTCCATTTCTTTTCCTGGACATGTCTTTTCTAATACTGCTCATTAGCGTCTACAATGTGGAAGCAAGTCCTGAGTGAATATGCAACCCTGCTCCACCTATGGGGAAGTGGGACCAGAACCAGAAACATCAGCACACAGGGACACAGCCCTGGAAACACAACCTCTGCTTTCAAAGCAGATTGGCCACTAAGAGTTTTTATTACCTATTTTCTTTGCCATATTGTAGTTCCCAATTCTCAAAAATAAAAATGTTAAGAGAAATATGAAAGACGGCTAAAAAGAGAGAAGAAACAATGAAAAAGGAGATGGCTCATGCCTGTAATCCCTTTGGGAGGCCGAGGCGGGTGGATCACGAGGTCAGGAGATCAAGACCATCATGGCTAACAGGATGAAACCCCGTCTCTACTAAAAATACAAAAAATTAGCCGAGCATGGTGGCAGGAGCCTGTAGTCCCAGCTAACTGGGAGGCTGAGGCAGGAGAATGGTGTGAACCCAGGAGGCGGAACTTGCAGTGAGTGGAGATCGCACCACTGCACTCCAACCTGGGCGACAGAGCAAGACTCCGTCTCAAAAAGAAAAAGAAAAAGAAAAAGAAAAAGGACAGAAGGGCAAAAAAGAAACAGGTACAGGGGACATGGAGAGGTGGTCAGGGACACGGATATGGGCACAAGAAAGAGGAGGGAGAGAGAGAGGAGGAAGTTCTTGGCACAGAACTAGTCCTTCTCTACCCTCGATTTATTCTCAAGAAATAAGAAAGTACGTTTTGTTTTGATAGTCACTTAATAGCAACATGAACTGGCAGGTAGGAGAGTGGAGTCAGTGGAAACAGCTGCCAAAGCAGGGGTCATGGAGAAGAACCATAGGCAGGCAACACACACACACTGTGTGTGCTCCGCAACAAAGGTGCCATTAGTCTCAAAGCATAGTGGATCAGTGAGTTGGGCTTATGAATGTTCCCAAGTCTTTTCCACTTCTGACCACATTTTGAGTATGTGTTAATCAAATTCATCTCCTAAATATTTAGTATAAGGCTTTATGTAATGAGTTCTCAAATGCATGTTGCTGAGCCACTGACAGCAGGAAACAAGCTACCTCCCACCAGGAAACCACTAACTAGTTTATATGCCTGTAACACATATCACTGTAATTCTGGGTCCTAACAAAAACCTTTTTCATAAAAACGGGTACCAGTCAGGAAGACCCAAATGCATATTAGGGAAGTAATTATCTATTACTCTCTAGGATACTGATAAAGGAAGGGACTTCCATGTCAATTTCTAAATATTCAAGAGGCCTTGAATATCCCAAGGTGCCTGTTAGGGTCATTATTTTGAAACTAAAAGCAGACCTGGCCTCTTCTGATTAAGAAAGCACACACACACACACTTTTCACTCTGACTGTTGACAATTCAAGCCCATGCACAGTACATGCTTCCTTGGGAATACCTCTCGTGTATATACTCTGGTAGGGCCAGGCCTATAGGGGCATCCTGTTGCCTTCAATGCTGAACTTGACAGCACGATGCACTTTGCTGAGTCGTTTCTGTTCTGCAAATCGCCTCTTATGCTTTTCCAATCGGCTTAGGCCCTTTTTAAGAATACCAGGCTAGAAGTAGTAGTTTGATTGGAGAATAAAAAGAGATTACTGAGAAACACTGAAGATCCACTGAGCAGTATTTACAATGATAACAGAATAAGTGTCTACCCTAATCATTTGCAATGGAATTGCTTAAACCGTTGAAGAGAAAGGGAGAGGTAGGTCTGCTGAAGCACGTAAGCTCTGTTTCTCATGGTTATTAAAAAAAAAAATTCACTGTATCAGAATACTCCAGGTTTCAATTTCAAGCCTTGCTTGAAGTAAAGGGATTAATAAGAAGAAACTTCCCTACCTGATAATGTTGAATTAAGACTGAAGAAAAATTCATCAGCAATAAACTTTAATCCTGGGTAATACTTTTCCTTTCTCTATTGCTCAATTTGTGGTTTGGCTAGATAAGCGACCAGAAAACAGTCCTCTCTGAATCAGACAAACTTCAAGAGCTACAAGGGTTATTAACACATGAAGTAAAGAGTCAAACAGTAATCTGCAGGTGAGATCCACCTTGCCGATCCTCCGCTTGCTTACCCTGGATGACTCCATTTCCACATTCCATTTGGGCCTGACAACATAGTCCTTGTTTGAAGGCATTGGGACCCTTGCACGGGCACAGAATCCAGGATCTCCAGGTCTAAGAGCCCTGAAAAAGGGAAGAGGAAGAGCATGCTTCTTATGTGGCCAGCCACAGTGGGGCACATAGGCCATTTCACACTCCTGTTCCTACATCCACCCATTAAGCTGCAATGTTCGAAACTCCTCTACTCCCCACCAAAGGTCACCCAATCCACCCTCCTGCCGCCTCCCAGCTAGCCTGTCATCACACACACTACAGTATGCATTCCTCACTTCTCTTCCAAAGCCAACTTGCTCTGCATTTGCATGAATCCTTTTCTCCTCTCCTCAGCTTCAGATATACTCATGCCCCTCTGCCTTCCAAGGCTAGTCCCGCCCGCATGACTTGGAATCCCCTTTTCTCTTGTATAGTGGAGTCACTCATGAGTTCACTTGTGAGATGAGGAATTGTGAAGAATTGAGTCGTCAAATGACCCCCAAAACTCCCAGTATGCCTATAAAGTAGTTTTTCAATATACAACTCATACATCAATTTTTAATGTTTATTTTTGTAAAAATCTTTTGAAGATAATTACAGATTCAAATGAAGTTGTAAAAAATGATAGAGAGAGAGATCCAATGTCTCTCCCAATAGCAACAACTTGCGAATCTACAGTATAGTATCACAACCAGGATACTGATGTTGATACAGTACACTAATCTTATTTACACTTCCCCAGTTTTACTTGCACTCATTTATGTGTATGTATTTAGTTCTATGCAAATCCGTGGGTAACCATGCTAGACTAAAATAAGATTACTAACCTTCCAAAGTAAAGCCTATCTATGGATGCCTGGGCATTCAAACCATTCAGCATTTAGGTAACTAGTAAAGAGTGGATCTATGTGTGTCTGCTGGGGATGGGGAGAGAAGGGTAAAAAATTCTCAATTGTTTCTATTCTCTTGTACAGTTTACCCCATTTTTAACCCTAAACTTGAATCTCGCTCTGTTGCCCGGGCTAGAGTGCAGTGGCACAATCTCAGCTCACCGCGAGCTCCACCTCCTGGGTTTGTGCCATTCTCCTGCCCCAGCCTACAAAGTAGCTGGGACTACAGGCGCCCGCCACCACGTCCAGCTAATTTTTTGTATTTTTAGTAGAGATGGGGTTTCTCCATGTTAGCCAGGATGGTCTCAACCTCCTGACCTCGTGATCTGCCCACCTCAGCCTCCCAAAGTGCTGGGATTACAGGCGTGAGCCACCGCGCCCGGCCAACCTTAAACTTTTATAACCTTCATATATATATGAACAGACTAATTGGCTTGCCAAGAAAATTCCCTGTAACTCTTACTTTCCTTCTGAAGCCACGGTCTCATCAACTTCCTTCCTAAACAAACTTTTCCTCTAGCTCATCCCCTATTCTCTTCTTGCAATCGGGATGCTGCCTGACTACCAACACACCTGCACAAAGCCCTCTGCAGCACCTGCCACTGGCCCATGCTTTTGTCATTGCCACCTCCAGCTCAGCCTCATTCCCCTCCAGGCTCTGCTCCAACGCACAGGACCACAGGTGCTCATTCCCCTTCGCTGGCTGCTCTGCCTGGCTATGCCCCCTTTCAAAATTGTTTAGTTCGTTTCTTACTCTATACTCTCTTGATTGAACAATCTTTTCTATGGAGAGAACCATCAAATCTAGGTCTCTAGCCCAAACATCTCTTTACAAGTTCTAGACCCATAATATTTATAGGGCTATCTCATTAGGCATGTCACATTTAATATGCTCAAAAGAGAACTTGCCTGGTCCCTCAAATCTACTTCTCCCTCCATTTTGGTGAAAGGTAATAAACACTGTCTCAGCACTCAGGTTAAAATTTTGGCTGAGGTCTTCAACTCTAGCCATCTTCTCTCCCACTAAGTCACCAACATATGACAGCTTTGCCTCTGCAATGTCTTCTCACCCCTCTGTTTCCCAACTACCACCTCTGTTTAGCTGTATCACTGCCTCAGTCCCACTGCCCTCCAATCCATCCTACATGATGCCATTGGCATCAGCACCCTAAATCAAATCAAACCAGATGGCTTCACATCCAGCCTCAAAAACTTCCTGTGGAATCACAAGACGTGAAAATTCCTCATCTTGATTCAAAGCCCTTCACCGGTCTATTATTTCCAACCTTATCTTCTACCACCTCAGGCCCCATACTACTGTCCAACCCCTTCAGTCTACTTGCCATTCCAAACACAGACCTGGCACACTTAGCCCATGGCTTTACCAAAGACCTCCCTTTGCCTATCATCCTTGTAAAGACTTACACTTTTGAGAGCATAGACTATTTTTAATTTGTTTTTATATTCTCAGAGCACAACAAGGAGTCTAGCACTTAGCAAACAGCAATAAAATCTTTATTGAATGAATTATTTTCTCAATTTTCCTTACATCCCCAGAGTACCCAATACAATGCTTTGTAGATACTAAACGTTAAAATGAAAGTCACCTCCCACAAATGAGAGCATAACATCATTTCATTTACTACTTTTCTTAAAGCAGCAAACGGAAATTCTCTATATAGTCTAGGAAGAAAAATTAACATTAAAACCTTACTTCTCCTCTCCTGTCAGCACCTTTTCCAGGTCTCTTCTGGGTGTCTGACCACCAGTGCTGAAAAAAAAGTAAACAAGGAGATACCAGGAATATTAGAACCTAATAACTCAGAAAAAGAGCAAACTAAAAATCAAACTTAGACCATAACTATTAATAGCTCTTTTACGATGGATCAGGGAAAATAATTCCTAATCTTTAAAAAGTACTACTCATTTTAGTATTCATTTGCATAACAGGTTTCCTTGTGGATGAGCCGTAATTGCCACATTTGTAACTAATGACCCTGTCCTCCTGGATGCAACTGTATCCACTATTATCAATACAAACTAAAACTATAACATTTTTTCTTCTAGGAACTCGGAAACGGGACCCAGAAAGTTGTTTTCTCAAGTGGATGGAACAACACAAGCAATCAGTATCCTGAAACAGGCCCTGTTCCA